>NC_000021.9:15465808-16715808 GCF_000001405.40 Homo sapiens | reverse complement strand
TGAAATTAATGCTTTTTTATATCCAGAATAAAGGTGTAGCAATGGAATTGTTTGGAAATAATAATTGGATTAAAGTTAATATGGTAAGAACACAGAAAATAACCACATTATAAAAATGTAAATTATATAAATCACTAAACCAGTAAAAGAAGGTTAATAAGGTTTTTTTTAGTTGACTTAAAGCAATTTTATATAAAGATGAAGAAGCATTGACAGGCGCATATCAAACTGAATACTGATGACAAAGTATTTCTGAAGCAATGAGATCTCATGGCTTGATCTTCTGTAATAAAGGTAAAATTCCTAGGGCAGATATCAGATTTTATTCTTGCTCATAGGGAAAAATTAGATGGGCTTCTAATAGTAGAAAGAAACCTTGAGGAAACAATCACAAGTTAATGAAATCGAATTCTCTTCCCTAAGGGAAGGAAATGGAAATGTCAGCAGAATTAAGAAAATTAACTTTATGAAGCTAATTGCATCAAATTTGAAAATTAGTACGATGAATCCTTGGGCTTCTTTTAGAAAGCAGAGTTCAAGGAAGTTGGCTGTCCAAAAGAACACAGTTCTACCCAGTCAAAACAAATTATGCCAGGATATTTAAAAGCCAAAAAGGGAAAGAAGGAGTCAATATGAATACATCCAGAACTTTGGATAAAGTTGAAGGGCAAATGAGGTTACACATAGTGAAATTTAGAAAGAATATTACAAAAGGGAATAATAGAATGAAAGTCATCGGAAATAAAATACTTACGGAGAATTCTGTTTTCAGAGAAAGATAAAAATCACAATTTAAGTGATATAAAGATTTTCATCATTTATTCATTTCACACATATTTATTGAGTGCCTACTATGTATGAGGCATCTTTTTAGGCACTGGACATTAACCGGAAAACATGACAAACAACATCTCTCCATTGTAAAGTTACATTTTAAAAATATAAATGTATCATAAAAATTCATCAGATATCTTCCAATATATTTTCTGATGTTGTTTGTATTTGGCTCAATTATCTACATTTTTTACACGTATATTTTTGATATTGATGATTCATGCTAATTCAGAATGATAACCCTGAGGGCAAAATCCTTTATAAACTGTATTCAATTAAGGAGGAAGAACTAATACTTTTTAGAATAATACGAAATAATAAAGGTTAAAAAGAAAACGTGTCGTTGTTGTTATTGTTATTTAATCAGCCAGATCATCAAGATACAATAGACATTACTTTTGCCTTCATAATATCCACTCCTCCTTTCTTTCCAAGAGCATTCTGACTTGTGTTTTCAGGTAATCTCTACCCCACACCTAATACACATAGCTAAGTATCTTGATAAGTAAATTCCATTCATCCTCCAGGAAGAGACTAATAATCCAAGGAGTTATCCCATTTCCCCTGCCAGTGATTGGATCAGAAATGGACATGTGGCCCAGTTTTGCTTTATGAGGTATTTTCTAATAGAAGTTCTAAGTTCTTCAATATTTGAGAGAACCTATTAACAATGACACACTTGTCATTCATCATCTATAAAAAGAAATATATATATATATATATATAAGAAAAGAAATATATAAAAGAAATAAATATATAAACCCTTACTTTTAATCTTGTCCCTGAAAATGCAGCAGGGCATATTTTTAAAATCTTACTTTTATGAGTCTTTTGATGTTTTTTATTCTCATCCATCATTTAGTTGAATGCAATAAAAAATGCAGCTAGTATGAGAAAGTCTTGATTCTTGTGTGGAACTGCTTTTCTAGGTGCTTTAAAATTGACTGATGTTCTATTTGACAGTCCTTTCCTAATTGATTTTACTCATATGTCCTAACTGGTTCCCAGGAGACCTATAACTCAAATACTGGCCCTCTCTTACATTTCAGGCTTACACCCTAGACTGTTTCTCTGAGTGTGAAATGCATGTCTTGCTCATCCAGCAGACCTAAAATGTCCCAAACTGAGCCCGTTATCTTCTTTCCCTCAGTCTGCCCCACTGCCTTTGTCTTCTGCCGTGGTTTAGATAGCACCACCATCCTCTAGGTTAACCATCAGAAGCTACTCTCTCAATTTCCTCTCTCACATTTGTTCCTGAAACAGATTCTCTGTAATGAACTATTATTTCTAAATCTAAATTATCTTTCAAAATAATCCACTCATTTCCCTTTCCCTAGCCAATGAATTGTATGAGAACTTACTCTTCTCTGAATTTTACAATAGCTATCTAACCAGTCTCTCTGCCAATTTTGGCAGAACATCAAGATTATTCATACTCTGATGCTTTTATACTTTTTAGAGTGGACTATCGTTTTATTTTCCCTTATGACCCTATGCTACAGTCAACCCAAGATAGTAATCATTTTCAGAACATGCTTTTCCTCTCCTTTGTTCACAATGTTTTCTGGGACAAAATTTCCTTAGGTCCACCAGTTGAAGTACTACGAATTCCTAACTTCCCAGAAAAGCTTTCCCTTCACTTAGAAATCTTTCTGATTTCCAAGGAGAGTCACTCCCTTCCTCCGCGGTGTGCCATGAGGTGTGAGTTGGGCTTTATCAGACACTCACTTGATTTCTGTGGCACTTATATAGAATACATACTGTCCATGAGTCATTAATGTATGGTTACTAGGTAAAAAGTCAGCTTAGATCTAGAAATATGATGTTCATGAGCTTAGAAATTAATATTTGTTCCACATGCTATGTTATTATAATAGTAATTTAAATCCCATTTGTCAGTACATTTTGTGACAATGACGTATAAACCAAAATGGGCATAGAAAAGAAAAAAACGAAAACAGTAAAAGCATGGGAACATAGACAGAGACACTTTTAACAAGCAAGGATAATTTACCCTTCTGATCACAACAGTTTTAACAGGAACTAAATTGGACTGCCTCTTTCAGGTCTGTAAATTGAGTCGACTACTAGAAAATGTATTTTCCAGCCTATCATTGATGGGCATTTGGGTTGGTCCCATGACTTTGCTAATATAAATAGTGCTGTGATAAACATACGTGTGCATATGTCTTTACAGTAGAATGATTTTTAATCCTTTGGGTATATACCCAGTAATGGGATTGTTGGGCCAAAGGGTATTTCTGGTTCTAGATCCTTGAGGAGTTGCCACACTGTCTTCCACAATGGTTGAACTAATTACACTCCCACCAACAGTGTAAAAGTGTTTCTGTGATAAACTGGATTAAAAAAAAATACGTCACATGTACAGCCATTAAAAAAAGAGTGAGTTCATGTCCTTTGCAGGGACATGGATGAAGCTGGAAGCCATCATTCACCACAAACTAACACAAGAACAGAAACCCAAACACTGCATATTCCCACTCATAAGTGGGAGTTGACCAATGAAAACACATGGACACAGGGAGGGGAACATCACACACCAGGGCCTGTGAGGAGATGGGGGACAAGGGGAGCGAGAGCATTAGGACAAATACCTAATGCATGCAGGGCTTAAAACCTAGATGACAGGTTCATAGGTGCAGCAAACCACCATGGCACATGTATACTTATATAACAAACCTTCATGTTCTGCACATGTATCCCAGAAATTAAAGTAAAATAAAAATAAAGAAAATATATTTTTCATAGAATCTGTTCCCTCCCTTCCTACTTCCCTATATGTCTGAATTATGGTCAATAGGAAGTTATATGTGCCATTTTGGGGACAAAGTTCATAACAGGGGAAGGATATACGATATTGACATTGTGGATATTATTTGATTCCATTATACTTGTAGTTAATATCAGCACCAAGTACTAGAACTAAATGCTCTTCCATGCTCACTTTTCCCTCCTGCTGGCTTTGGCAGACAAGGGCTGAGATTCTTAGCCTTCGGGGATTTGTGGATAGAATTCAGGGAGTTCATGAACTTGGATGGGAACAAATTACATCTCTATTTTAACTGGATCTAACTGAAATTTATAATTTCTTTCTCTTATGATGGCAGCCAACAAATCCCAGTGGCATAGTAGTACCTGTGACTTGGCTCCCAGTTAAAATCATAGATATTTTTGTATCAGCTCTTCTGCTGCAGATATCTCAAAATACTGTTTGCCTTCATCACTACTTCAAAATTATGGTGGTTATTAGCACTGTGTTGCAAGATCTGGTTATCTAATACTAATTTAAAAACACACATAGGGCTGGGCACAGTGGGTCACACCTGTAATCCTAGCACTTTTGGAAGTTGAGAAAGGAAGATCAATTGAGGCCACGAGTTCAAGACCAATCTGGGCAATATAGTGAGATCCCATCTCTCCAAAAATAAGAAAAACTTAGCCAGGCAAGGTGGCCCATGCCTATAGTCCCAGCTACTCGAGAGGCTGAGGTAGGAGAATCAGTTGAGCCTAGGAAGTTGGGGCTGTAGTGAGCCATGATCTCCACTCCAGCCTGGGCAACAGAGCAAGACCTTGCCTCTGGAAAAAAAAAAAAAAAAAAAAAAAGGACATATATTGCTGTATCACAAATTCATTTCATATACATGTTTTGATAAACGTATGTCAATATAATTGTTTTCCTTTAAGCCCTATTATTATTGTATGTATTTTAAAGCATTGTACTTAGAAAGTTTCTTTAGGCTTTACCAGAGTGAAAGATGAGTCCATGGCACAGAAACAAAAATATGAAGAACCTTGCCTCTGGATTGGTAGTCACAGATGAAGGAGTGTGGGTTCTTGAATGATCACAAGATGAGAGCTGCCATTTGAAAAGTAGACCCTTGCTTGAACTATTAAGGGTAGGAGCAATACATGTCTATTGTTTTTGGTCTATTATATGTTATGGAGTACATTTGTTAACCCAGACTGCCCTACCAAAACTCATATAATACTACAATATTTTCTTCATTTGTCATTCCCTATGCAAAAAAATACCATAAGCAAGAAAGAATCAGGAAATAAAAAGGATGATCTAAGTAATTACATGGAATAAAGAGAAGAAAAAAAGCAAAACACTACGAGTATGTAAGTATTCTAGCTGTTCAAAGGTGGTTGACTGCAGCCTGATTTATTACAATTCCGTTTTTATAATAAGCATTATAATTAATGACAGCTTCTGTAACATTAAGCCCCTGAAAACCTTGGTTGTTAATTCTCATTCACAGAATGAAGAATTCGTCTTTGTTATAAAAAGGAACGAATGGTTCTCTATTTCAGTTATGATTGAAACAACTCTGCCACTCAGTGACATGTATCCAAATGTTAGTTTTAGAACTTTTTTCTTATATAAAAACTGCAAATATAAGGGGATAAAGTAATATCCATAATGTCAAGGTTGTATATTCTTTCACATCCTTTCTTTCTGCTCTGTTAAGACAGAGGAAGCGTTTTTAGTTCTCATTTTCTTTTGAAAGTTTTAAGTTGGCCACAGTTTCCAAAAAAACAGATGTGATTCATTTTGGACCAGACTTAAACGTATAAATTTCACATGAGTTTAGAGGCCACTAAAGTCATGGAAGAAGCATCTCATGACTTACAAACACAGCCCATTCTGGGCGAGTGACCAGTTAAGATGATAAGGGCAAGGGAAGTATCTGAGTATTTAAAGTGAACTACCCTTGAGCAAACTGTCAGCTGGATCCACAATTATTTCACATTGTTATAAAATTAATTTTATTGATTTAAAGCAGAAAAATATGATTTTTTATTATACTCCCTTTCTGCAGCCTCCTCAGTAGGCACCACCCTATGTGTTTGCACAAATTCCAAAGATCAATCACATTCCAGGCATTTTTTTTTTTTTGGCTTTGTGTATTGTTCTCTCCTCGCCCATCTGCTAGGCCTCCAAGATTCAGACGTTTACAATTTAAAGATTATAAGACTTTTGAGAAGCTAGATCCTTAATAATCTTAATATTAAAACAGGTTTCATTGTGTGGGGGTATGTGAAATTATTTTAAATTAAATATATGTCCATGAGTGTTTGTGTACTTTTTTTTTAAACTTTCATTTTAGGTCCAGGGTACAAGTACAGGTTTGTTTCATAGGTAAAGTTGTGTCATGGGGATTTGTTGTACTTTTGTAACTGAGCAATCCATTTTTCTTTTTTCTTGAGATGGAGTTTCGCTCTTGTTGCCCAGGCTGGAGTGCAATGGCACGATCTCAGCTCACTGCAACCTCTGCCTCCCAGGTTCAAATGATTTTCCTGCCTCAGCCTCCTGAGTAGCTGGGATTGCAGGCGCCTGCCACCAAACCCAGCAATTTTTTTGTATTTTTAGTAAAGATGGGGTTTCACTGTGTTGGCCAGGCTGGTCTCAAACTCCTGACCTCAGGCAATCCACCTTCCTCGGCCTCCCAAAATATTTGTTGTACTTTTGTAACTGAGTAATCTATTTTTTTTTGTTGTTATTAAGATTCCCAAATTATACATTCAGGAAAAAATAATTGACTCTAAGATTATCAATTTACATTACAGTTCCATTGTTTCAAAACTAATGGAAACACATATTTTAGATTTTTCACCAGGAATTATGATATGGTTTGGCTGTGTCCCCACTCAAATCTCAGATTGAATTGTAGTTCCCATAACCCTCACTTGTCATGGGAGGGTCCCAGTGGGAAGTAATTGAATCATAGGGGCGGGTTTTCCCTGTGCTGTTCTCATGATAGTGAATATGTCTCATGAGATCTGGTGGTTTTATAAAGGGGAGCTCCCTGCATATGACCTCTTGCCTGCTGCCATGTAAGACATGCCCTTGCTCCTCCTTTGCCTTCCACCATGTTAACATCGTGAGAATGGGCTAATACAAATGATTTGTTTCTTTCTTAGCTGCATTGGGATAAGTTCAGTGTATTAACTCAAAAGTTCTTATTATGAAAGAAATTACTCATAACAACTCTTTACTCAAAAAATAATGCAACAGAAAAGTCATATAAATAGGAACAAATATTTTGGGGACATTACATCTATCAGTTTACGAGTGTTTTAAATCTAAGAGTACACTGATTAGTGCAAGGATGTGATCCATGTTAATGGGAATTTTATCATGACAACTCTCCATCTTACAGAAAGCTATTTCTTCAGGACAAGAATTTGTATGATCCAGTCAGATGAGTCTTACAATGTAGATGACATTTGTTTTGTGGAAGTTTTTCTGGATTCTGAGTTTTTCCTGACAGAGAACAAGATACATGTGGGACACAGCTGAAAAGCAGTTTAATATCCTACAGGGACGCTATGACTCATAAATGCTGACTTTGTCTCCAGTGGGCCTGTGGCATGAGCCCCAAGTAGGGCATTCCAGTGAGGCTTGAATGTAACAGCTGTAATTGTCACCCTTTTGGGTCATTAAAGCACAGATAATGATCTAATGTGCTAATTAAAGGAGAAAAAGAACATAGTAGGGTGGTTTCTAAAATGACAATCTCATCTAATTAGCATGAGGAAAATTAGAACAGAAACACTGAAGGATTTCTTAGTATTTTTAGAGCTGGAAGAAAACTGTTAGCTTCTCATTTAGAATTATCTGGCAGTTGTAGCTCTTGTTACATATTTAGAAAGCCTTCCTTGTAAAGAAACTGGTTAGTTTCCAGATTCGCATGAATGCTATGTACATCCTGAGCAAGAATGAAACATTTTTCATTATAATTTGAAAATTTCTGAAGTAGGGTTTGTTCCTGCCCACCCACTCCTTCCCCCCAATTCATTGTTGGAGACAATAGCAAACAGTGCAACACATTTAGAGTTCTTTACTCCAGTATGGTACCGTATGGAATGGATTTAAATGTGAATGAAGGGTAAGGATAATTTAAGGTATTATACATAGGTCCAGTCTACTTTGTTAAAAATATTGGGTACAAAATACTTAATTAATTCATACAAATAAATACATATATGTAAAATAAAATTTATCTCATGTAAAGCTACTGTATGACATGAAATGACTGGGAAAACTGTTCTATTGATTTGGGAAAAACATTTTAAAATCTTTAGTTAACAATTGTGAATTTTTAATTTATTCTAGTGTTTTTGTCACTGTAACTTTTTTATTACAAAAAATCTTTCATTTTCATATTTAGACATTAAATATATAACATTAAAATTTCTCAATCCACAGTGGTTTTATTAACAGTTACCTCATCTATCACATTTCATCCTTTTATTTGTATTTCATTTGACTCACTTTTTTGTTGTTTTTATCTGGCAGTTTGGAAATTATATATCCTATCTCGATTCTTCCGATTTCTTTTGTGAGTACAAGTATTTAATCCCAGTGTAGTTTTATATCAATATCTAAAGTTTAACACCATCTATAACCACTCCCCAAATGAGACAAAAATGTTATCATGCTTTCATTGCCTCCTGTTTCATGTCACTCATACCAATACACATGTTGAGATCATCTGGCAATTTAGTTTCAGTTTACTCAGTCTGTGTTTCACATCAACATTTAGTTGATACTAAATATAAGTTGTATTTGTTTCTTTGCTTACCATTTGCCTTTGTATTCCAGCTCATCTTCTTTCTTGAGTTTTTCAATTCTTTATTGTGTTTTGTTTTGCTCTAGAAATGTTTTCCAAAATACTTCCCTATTGCTTTTTTTCTCACACTTCTTTATCCTTTGATTCCAATCTTGGAATGCCCAGAAATCAGTCCTATATCCAATAGTAGTGAACATTCTTGAATTAAGAACAGTGTCTCAAAACTAAATCCAATCCAATGTCAAAACACATGACGATGCCTTAAGATCAGCTGGATATAGTCAAATTCATTTCCAAATTTTCATAACCATTAGAAGAGTCTTCCAAAAAGCAAATTGAGTTTATGAGTTAGAAGCAAGAACACTGGGCTAAAAGACAGCAACTTCCATTCCTGTGTTCAGTCTACTAGCTAGTCCTGTGGTGTTGATAAAATCATTAGACTTTTATCCATTTAATTTCTTCATTTGAAAAATGAGTAATTTCAAACTTTATATTTCCTAATGTTCAATATAAATTTAAATTAGACTGTAGTATATTTGGGAAGGATGTTACATTGTATTAAAATATTACTTTAGGTCAGGCACGGTGGCTCACGCCTGTAATCCTAGCACTTTGGGAGGCCTAGGTGAGCAGATCACTTGAGGTCAGGAGTTCAAGACCAGCCTGGCCAACATGGTGAAACCCTGTCTCTACTAAAAATACAAAAAATATTTGCTGGGCATGGTGGTGGGCACCTGTAATCCCAGCTACTCCGGAGGCTGAGGCAGGATAATTGCTTGAATCCAGGAGGCAGGGGTTGCAGTGAGCTGAGATCACACCACTGCACTCCAGCCTGGGCGACAGAGCGAGATTCCATCTTAAACAAAAAGTTTTTTATATACACATAAAACTTAACTTTGATGTCTAGGACTAGCCCTTCTCTATTTTAGCAATGTTTTTATGATTTGATAGTGTGGATTCTAAAAAACACACTAATAAAAAATAAAGATGGTATTGTGGTTTTTAATATATCTGCATAATATGGATTTATGATAAGCAGTCAATAATTTATGGATAATATTTGTTCCAAACAACTTTGTGTTGTCCATAAACATATCATGTAAGTCAGGAGAAAAATGTATTAAATATCTGTATTTTACATACATTAAAATACTTTCTTTAAAAGTAGAGAGAAATAAATTCTAAATATTTAATAAAAGTGGAAAAATAATTGCATTGCAAATATTCCATTTTGAAAATAAATTTGCAATATTGGTTTTTTCCCCTTAAAAGTGGCAACAGGCATTTTGCTTAATAACAAAAAAAAGCAAGAAACTTTATTTCCCAGAGAATCCTTATTGATCTATAGATAGTGTTGTAGGAAAACAGTTCATCAGGAATAGTTCTAACAGCATGTGTGAAACCAAAGGAGCGGATGTTACGAGCGCATTTTAAAAAACATCCATCAGTGTCATCTGCTTCCTCTTGTTACGTCTTTCCTTTTCAAATACTTCTTTCATCTTGTACATCTGGAGTATCTCCAGTTTTGTAACAAATTATCTTTCATAAAATCTATGCAATTTTTATAACACTCTCAATCATCATTAAAAAGACAACACCTTGTCTGGGTCACACAGATTGGGCCACCGAGCGAACACCTACCATTCATTTTTAGCTTTTTTGAGAGTGGCTAATACCACCATCATAAGCCTTTCAGTTTATTTTAAATACGTAGTACATCATATGGTGCACAAATTGAAATGACATAAAATGCAATCTTTTTTCTACCACCTTGTTCTTCATCTATCCTTTTGGCTCTCTAGTGCAAACATTTTGGTTCTTCATTTTTACAATTGATTCCTCAGTTATTATACAGCCAACACTTTTTCATAGGTAATCATTTTAAAAATAATTTCAAAAAATTTAATATTTGAATACTTCTAATATTTAGAATCCTGAAAATGAACTTCTACTGTCATCTATTTTGTAGGCAGAAACAAAGTGAAATAATAGGCTTTTAGTCTCAAATGTAATACATTAATATCACACATATGTTTGGTTTTTCTTATACTACAATAAAAATAGAAATATTCCAATGGAAAATAAGAATGTCAACTTAAAATTTTTGTCACAATTGGCTAGGCCATTTTCAAAGAAGATGGCAAATTTTGCAGTCTATTTACATTGATTTGCTTGAATTGACTTCAAAAAGCTGAAGAGAAAACAATATGTGTTGGTAAGGATAAACTTTAAGAAATATAATGAATTCAGAAGTATTTGTTATAAGAAATAGAAGTCTCAGGGCAGAAATACAGTGACCACAAGTATGTGAGCCTTTATAAAGCAAATATAGAAGAGAAGGCATAGTATCACTAAATCAAGAAATAAATTTTGATCACTAAGATGTGTTGCTTGCTCTAACTTAGAGCTACAGGGATAAAGTGGTTCAAGATGAACCATTCCTTCTCCTTAGAATATTTGGAACAATACTACATCAGAAAGTTGTTTCAAAATGAAGTCATAATACATATAGGCAAATTTTGTCTTATTTAAGCTAAATGTACTAAGTGTACTTTAATACATTAAATAAAAAGTGTATTTAATACATGAAAATACACTTACTTAACTTGGGTCTTTAGCAGTAGGTAAATTCAGAGTGAACATTTACATTCTTTAACCCAATCTTCAACTTCTCCCTCGTGTCTCCATGTATTTAGTAACACAAATCTTCTTCTTAAAGTAAAACATAATGTTCTTCAAAGTCCATGATAGCGAGTCTCCAAATAGCAGGCATAGAATCAACTCTGCTATGTTGACACCCTTAATTGAATATGCTCAATATTATATTAAAAAATTAAAAGTATAATTCCCTTCACCTTGCAGGGATATTTTAAACCTAATTATAGAAACCAAAGGAAGGAAAACAATCAGCCTCATTATACATTAGGAATTGTTTGTATCAGTGCCCATTATTCATTAGGAATCATCTGATATAATTTATCACCCAAGTATTTAAAAATTTTCTTTTTGTCAGTTTATCACTAGACTATGTAAAAGATATTTGTCTTTTTTCCACAAAATTTATTTTAGCATATACACTTAAATAAAAACACAGAGAGGATTTACTTTATGCTAGACCATTGTGGAAGGAGAAAGAATAAACTTGAAGTCAAGGGGAAAATATCCATTCCTTCTGTGCCATCACATGGCCGAAGTTCAAGACTCTCTGGAGTGCTTTGTACTTCCCCATAGTTCCAGGATCCTCATTCCATTTGGGATGTACTTGTTTTTCAAGGCAGAGAGTATTTTTTTCCTTTTGAATTACGTTATTTATAATGTTTTATAAACTTTACAAAAGTAATCAATGTATACTTAAAAAAAAAAAGATATTAAAATCTTGCATTGAAATCCAGGAATCTCTTGTCCTTCCTATCCTTGCTTTCTAGTCTTGATAGTCAAAGCTAAATTTGACCCAGCCATCCCATTACTGGGTATATACCCAAGGGAATATAAATCATGCTGCTATAAAGACACATGCACCCATATGTTTTATTGTGGCACTATTCACAATAGCAAAGACTTGGAACCAACCCAAATGTCCAACAATGATAGACTGGATCAAGAAAATGTGGCACATATACACCATGGAATACTATGCAGCCATAAAAAAAGATGAGTTCATGTCCTTTGTAGGGACATGGATGAAGCTGGAAACCATCATTCTCAGCAAACTATCACAAGGACAAAAAACCAAACACCGCATGTTCTCACTCATAGGTGGGAATTGAACAATGAGAACACATGGACAGAGGAAGGGGAACATCACACACTGGGGCCTGTTGTGGGGTGGGGGTAGCAGGGAGGGATAGCATTAGGAGATACACCTAATATAAATGACGAGTTAATGGGTGCAGCACACCAACATGGCCCATGTATACATATGTAACAAACCTGCACATTGTGACATGTTCCCTAGAACTTAAAGTATAATTTTAAAAAAGTGGCTTTTTTCACTCAACATAATATCCATCCATTATGTTAAGAGTATTGGTAGTTTATTTAACCATTTATATTTTGATGAAACAATAGTATTGTGTCCAGGTTTTGGTATTACAAATACAGCTGCTATGCAACTTCTTGTATGAGCGTTTGTATGTTCATATGTTTTAATTTTTCCTGACAAATACCCAGAATTGGGATTGCTGAGCCATATGGAAAGTGTATGTTTAGCTTTGTAAGAAACTGTCAAACTGTTTTCCAACATGATTGTACAGTATTACATTTCTACTAGCAATCTATGAGAATTTCAATTGTTCTATCTCCTCACCCACACGTAGTATTGGAAGCCTTTAATTTCTTCTCTTCTAGTGGGTAGATAATGATTTCTTCTTAGAGAAGAAATAGGTTTAAATGTGGTAATAGAACCTTGGAAGGGTATTTTACATCTTTAATGCAAGGAGCAAGGGACAGAAAGGACAGAGGTGCCAAACTGGGTAAACACATAGCTGAAAAAGGAGTAATTGGATGGAGAAAAAAATTTACCCAATCTGAGATTTTTTAAAGGCCAAACCCAGACTCTGTCCCACAGCAGTTCAGAAGTTGTAAAAAGTCACTTTAGGATGATGATTCCTTATGGAACTTTGCTGAATCCTTCATAGAATTTTCCATGGAAATAAACATGGCTAAAATAGAGTATTCTTACATTTAAAATATAGGGCAGTAAGTAAAACTTGTCTTTTTGCTTTCATTCATAACTGCCCTTCATTGCTATCCTGTGGTTTTCCAAAATTCCCTGCTTCAATTCTCTACTCGGCATTACCCCTTAGTACCATGCTTTTTCTTCTAAATGTTTTATCTCCCACTTTCATTTCTTCTAAATGTTTCATCTCTCACTTTCATCAAAACTGATCTGAAATTCCACTATCATCTATGAAAGAGGAACTGCTCTGAAAATTGCCTTTATGCCAAAAAAATTTATAAAATTGAACAAAATATGTAAAACAACTGACTTCATACATAGGACAATAGCACAGTACAGAACTGTGATCTCTGAGATTAGAAAAATTAGGTGAAATAATTAGGTGAATCTTAAAATGTACCGTTTATACACCGAGGGCAGTTTGCAGATCACAGTGGACCAAGGGAAAATTCAAACTGGGCCTAACAATCTAGCTAAGTTGGAGAGACAAAGATTAGAGCTCAGTGAAAAATTTGTCTAAATTCTGTGCGGCAGAATATTTAAATGGCGGAAGTTTTACACACTCAGAGAGAGAATTTGAGACGTTTATAGTTGAGTCTTCTTGGGTCTTTGATTTACTGGAAATCTTGAATGCATGGAGTAATATTTTACAAAGCCATGGAAAAAAAACTAGAAAATAATATTTTGAAAATTATCTGGATATCACCTAAGGCTGAGAAGAATTTGTGTTCCCAACAGTCAGATTTGTTAAATGTTTTCACACGTGCAGTGATGGGTAGAGTCCTCAGAAGATACATGCCTGTGCAATGGCTTTAGAAGGCTGTTTTGAAACTTCAATGAAAAAGTTGGGGTCAGCGGGGTGTGGTGGCTCACGCCTGTAATCCCAGCACTTTGGGAGGCTGAGGCAGGCGGATCAGGAGGTCAGGAGATCGAATCCATCCTGGCCAACACGGTGAAACCCCGTCTCTACTAAAAATACAAAAAAATTAGTCGGGCGTGGTGGCGGGCGCCTGTAGTCCCAGCTACTCGGGAGGCTGAGGTAGGAGAATGGCGTGAACCCGGGAGGCGGAGCTTGCAGTGAGCCAAGATGGCACCACTTCTCTCCAGCCTGGGCAACAGAGTGAGACTCCTTCTCAAAAAAACAAAAACAAAAACAAAAACAAAAATCCTTGAAAGGATTGAACTTGTTCTAGGTAACTTAACTACATGCCAGAAAAAAAGTTAAAAACTATTAAAAGAAAAAAAAAATCACCATTGAAGACCTCACATTTTACAAAGTATTTTATCTAATGAAGAATTATCAGGGATACCAAAGAGCGGGATTATATGACATATCATCAGGAGAATGAAATATCAATAGAAACAAACTCAAAATAACAAAAATATTGGAATGGTAAGATGAAAATGCGGTCTAAACATTATAAATACACTTGAGGAAGTTAAGAAAAGCATGAAATGAGAAATGGATAGTAGAAAAGTAAAAACTTGAGAAATTTTAGAGAAAGAGAAAAATATAATATTCAAAATAAAAAATACACTGGAGGCAACTAATTGAAGATTAGACACTACCGAATGAAACACCAATGGATTGGAAGGCTTACAAATAGAAACTATTCAAAATAAAGCACAGTAAGAGAAAAAAAATGAAAAGTGTAGTTCATCAGAAACCTATAAGACATATCACATTATACATATATAAGTGAAATTGGAGTCCTAGAGGTACGGGGCAGATAGTTGAAGAAATAAAAATAAAAATATTTCAAAAACATTTTAAATAGTCACATTTAAAAAGAGATACTAAGTTGAACAAATATAAGCAAAACCACACCATGATACATTATAATCAATTTACTAGAAATCAATAATTAAAAATGACGAGAAGCTGGAGAAAAGACACAACACATGCAAAGAAAAGAAGATAATAATTACAGCAGACTTTTCATAGCCAAAAAGTAAGTTCAAAAAGTTGTATGATGTAAGGTCATTACGCAAAAGTCAATTGTAATGATATACACTAAAAATAAATAAGAAGACATTGAAATTAATTAAATAATGTCATTAATTATAGCATCAAACTACAAAATGCCTAGGGATATATTTTATAAAATATGTATAAGACATCCACTGAAAACTAAAATATTCCTAAGGGAAATTAAAGAAGACTCCAAAATGGAGGAATATACTATATGCATGGATCAGAAAAATCAAGGTTTTTAAGATGTCGATTTTCTTTAAATTCATCTGTGGACTCATTGCAGTCAAATTTCCACAAAGCTTTGTTGTTGTAATTGATACACTGGTTCTAAAATTAAGTAGAAATGCAAAGAACTAAAATATCAAAACAATTTAACAAAAGAGAAACTAAATTAGATAATTTATAGTATCTAATTTCAAGTTATGTAGTAATTGAGATTGTCATCAAAATATTGATGTGAAGATAAACATAATCAGTGAAACACAATAAACAGTACGTGGACTCATCCAAATATGATGATATTCAATAATAAAATAAAGGTAATATTTTCAACAAGTGGTACATGAGGAAATGGACATCAATATACAAAGTAGTATACATATATACATACATCCATACAGAGAACTTGACCTTTACCTCACAACTAAACACAAGAAAGAGCTAAAATTATACTACTTCTAAAAGAAAACATAGGAAAAACTCTTTCTGGCCCTGGGGTGAATAATGACTTCTTCGCTAGAATACCAAAAGAACAAAACATAAAGGAAAATTTTATAAATTGAACTTCATCCAAAAAAGAAAATAAAAAAAGAAAACTGTTGCTCTGCTGAAGTCTCTGCTGAGAAAATGAAAAGGCAAGTCACAACTGGGAGAAAATATTTATAAATCTTATATCTGATTAAAGACTTGTATGGAGAGTATATAAAGAACTCTCATAACTGAATAATAAGACTAATGACTCAATTTAAAAATGGGCAAAAGATATGGGCAGACAGTTCACTAACAATAGTATGTGAATGGCCAAAAAACAAATGCGAAGATAATCAACGTGTTTAGTCACCAGGGAAATGTAAATGAAACCACAATTAGACATTATTATCTACCCACCAGAATAGAAGAAATTAAAGGCTTCCAATACTACATGTGGGTGAGGAGGTAGAGCAATTGAAATTCTCATAGATTGCTAGTAGAAATGTAATACTGTACAATCATGTTGGAAAACAGTTTGACAGTTTCTTACAAAGCTAAACATACACTTTCCATATGGCTCAGCAATCCCAATTCTGGGTATTTGTCAGGAAAAATTAAAACATATGAACATACAAAGGCTCATACGAGAAGTTGCATAGCAGCTGTATTTGTAAAATCCCAAACCTGGACACAATACTAATGTTTCATCAAAATATAAATGGTTAAATAAACTACCAATACTCTTAACATAATGGATGGATATTATGTTGAGCGAAAAAAGCCACATTCTGTGTGATCCAATTGATAAGAAATTCTATGAAAGACCAAACTATAGGTACAAAGAGCACTGCTCCCATGAACCGGGGATGGAAATATGCATTTCAATATCAGGGACCATGAGATATCCTTTTTGGGTGTAAAAAGGGTTTCTGTTTCTTGACTGTGGCAGAAACACAGTAATACCTTTTACAAAATTTATTCAATTTAATAAAGTGAGTGAAATAACTTTATGTAAGACATTCTTCGATAAAACTGATTATTTAAATTTTTCTGCTTGATCTATGTTCTCTTCTTTTTCATCTACTTGACAAATTATAACTGTGTTAAGGATAAGAAAAGAAATTTACTTTTGGGGGTACTCTCATTTCAAAACTGACATTTTTAGGTGAAAGTTTTAACCTCAAAGAGAGGAATTTTAATGACACTCATTTTAACTGCTGTGGTATTGCTATGATGATGTGGGAGCAGGATAGATTTTCTAATACTTAACAAATCTCACTAGGACTACCTGAGTAGATTTACTCCTGCAGAAACAAACAGACCTAAATTTAAAATGTGTGATCAGGCAATCATAGGAGGAAAAATCTCAGGCTGTTGAGGCAATTTACTGCTTCTCAATAATTTAGTCTCATGAAAAAGTACAGTGGCAGTAACATTCCACAATAGCTTCAAGTCATGAGAAAATTTCTATTTGGCTTTATAATGTAGCATAGATTTTTTTAGCGTGATTTTTCCAAAAACGTAATTTTCCATAAAATGTAACAATAATAAGCATAGAGCAACTAAACATTACAGAAGGGGAGACAATACAACCACAAGCATTTTAAACATCCTCTATGATAGGGCTCTGTGAAAGACCTTGGGAATAAAAAGACCTCAATTCTATTGATTAACAAATATTTGACACATGTCATTTACTCAATATAATCTGTGAAACAAATAAATATAAGACAAAACAATATATGTCTCATATTCCACAGAACCATGGAGTTGGCTTCGAAGAATTGCAAATATAAGACATTTCCTTGGACAACCCATCAAAGATTAGAATGCCCATTTTCATTATGAATACACATTCATCTACTGAAAAATTTCTGCTTCCCTTATATGCTCATCCAAATCAACCTGGTATAGAACATTTATTTTATAAAAGCTACAAAATGCAAAATCTGCATATGAATTCTCAAGAATGCCTGAAAGGCAAAAATAAATTCGGATTAAATAATGTCAGAATACATTTATCATCACAATTGATCTACGCATTTACGAAAGAGAAAATTGGTTATGTTTAAGTTCTTGTCAACTTCTACTTGTATTTTGTAAATATGGGATTACTTTGAAATAGTACCAGCCTTTCCAGGAGAATATGGCATATTAAATTGACACATAAACCTGTAACAATCTTCAAAGGGATGGATGCTTTGTAGATTTTAGGTAAAATATGTTTAAGTAGAAGCTGACAGTTGTTTCTCTCAACAGGCTGTATTTCCAAGCAAACACATGAAAGAGAAAGCACATTGACACTCTTGGGAAGCAACATATCAGTATAACTTCCTGAGACAGACTAAGCCAAAATAATGCCATGGAGAAAGGATTCAGGTACAACCCCAGAGAACTTAGTTGTAGCACATTTCTACTGGATCAGCAATCCATGTGTAGGAGTGAGAGCCTAAATCACCACAATGCTCATTAATAACTATAACCATACAAAATTAGACTTCCTATCACAAAACCCTTATCAGAAACTTGATAACAGCTTTTGAATTTAGCATTCTGTGTCTTAAAACATATATATAGGAATTTAAAGCAATGACTTTTGACCACAGTAATTTTCTTCTAAGATGAAAGGGAATTGAATGGTGTAGACTGGACAGAGAGTGCTTAAGAATTTCAGTTACATTCTCTGGCTTTAAAAGTACAAATTTAGTTTTTCTTTCTACTTATGATAGAGTCAGCAGTTAAATAATAATAATTATTATTATTATTGTTATTGTTATCTTTGAAATGGAGTCTTGGTCTCTCACCCAGGCTGGAGTGCAGTGGCATGATCTTGGCTCACTGCAGCCTCTGCCTCCAGGGTTCGAGCAATTCTCCTGCCTCATCCTCCTGAGTAGCTGGGATTACAGGTGCCCACCACCATGCCTGGCTAATTTTTGTATTTTTGGTAGAGATGGGGTTTCACCATGTTGGCCAGGCTGGTCTCGAGCACTTGACCTCAGGTGATCCACCTGCCTCGGCCTCCCAAAATGTTGGGATTACAGGCATAAGCCACCGTTCCCAGCCAGCCAAATTATTTAGATAGGTTTTTAGAGTAAATATTGCTTGCAGAATGAAAAAGCTGCACTTTTTGTCAGTTCTTATCACTGATCTATTCAACTGACCTGGATGTGCCTTTTGACAGTTTTAGCTGGCTTTCATTTGGAGAAAGCAAGCAAGTGGTAGTTTAATCCATTGATGTCATAAAACACTGCAATGAATACCCATAACACATATTCATAGGCATAATACATTATCATTATATACTTACTCTACACACTCATTGATATATAACACATCCACTGGAATTAAACTTACTAACCCAATGAGTATATACAGTGTGAGTTTTGTAAAGTCCATACTTCTTGGAACAAAAGCTGATCTATATTTCCTTGATACACACTTGCCTAAAACCTCTGCCATTATTTTTCTTCCCTATCATGGTCAACAAGAAAAATGTAAGCAATAAAAGACCAATCGATCATCCTATTTTTATACATATGAAGAAAACTCTTCATGTCCTAGTTTAATTTGATTCTTCTACCTATTCATCTTCCCTCTTTTAAGTCTTCACTCCTTTTTTCTCTTTCTTTTCTAGAGCACTTTTCATTGACTCTTTATCTTCTTTGCTATACTCTTACCTCATTCATAACGAGTGATATCGTTTGGCACTCTGTCCTCTCCCAAATCTCATTTTGAATTGTAATCCTCATGTGTTGGAGGAGGAGCATTGTGGGAGGTGATTGAATCATGGAGATGGACTTCCTGCTTGCTGTTGTCATGATAGTGAGGGAGTTCTCACAAGATCTGATGGTTTAAAAGTGTGACACTTTCCCTCTTCACTCTCTCTCTCCTGCCACCATGAAAAACATGTCTTGCTTCTCCTTTGCCTTCCACCATAATTGTAAGTTTCCCAATGCCTCCTCAGCCATACTGTACTGTGAGTCATTTAAATCTCTTTTCTTTATAAATTACCCAGTCTCAGGTAGTTCTTTATAACAGTGGGAAAACCAACTAATACAGACAATTGGTACCAGGTGTGATAAAGGAACCTAAAAATGTGGAAGCGACTTTGGAACTGGGTAACAGGCAGAGGTCGAAACAATTTGATGGGCTCAGCAGAAGACAGGAAGATGTGGGAAAGTTTGGAACTTCCTAGAGACTTGTTGAATGCTTTTGACCAAAATGCTGATAGTGACATGGACAATGAAGTCCAGGCTGGGGTGGTCTCAGATGGAGATGAGGAACTTATTGGGAACTGGAGTAAATGTCACTGTTGCTGTGCTTTAGCAAAGAGACTGGTGGCATTTTGCCCCTGTCCTGGAGATCTGTGGAGCTTTGAACTTGAGAGAACTGAATTAGGGTATCTGGTGGAAGAAATTTCTAAACATCCAGGCATTCAAGATGTGGCCTGGCTGCTCCTAACATCATACAGTCATATGTATTTACAAAGAGATTATCAGAAATTGGAACTTATGTTTAAAAGAGAAGCAGAGTATAAAAGTTTGGAAAATTTGCAGCCTGATCATGCAGTAGAAAAGAAAATCCAGGTTTTCTGGGGAGGAATTCAAGCCACTGGCTGCAAAACTTTACATAATTAAAGAGAAGCAAAATGTTAATCACCAAGATAATGGGAAAATGTCTCCAGGGCATTTCAGAGATTTTCATGGCTGTTCCTCCCATCATAGGCCTTGAGGCCTAGGATGAAAAAATGGTTTCATGTGCACGGCCCAGGGCCCTGCTGTTCTGTGCAGCCTCAGGACATGGCACCCTGTGTCCCAGCTGCTCCAGCTCCAACCATGGCTAAAAGAGGCCAAGGTACAGCTCAGGCCATTGCTTCAGAGGGTAAAAGCTCCAAGCCTTGGCAGCTTCCACATGGTGTTGTTCTTGCAAGTGTGCAGAAGACAAGAACTGAGGTTCGGGAACCTCTGCCTAGATTTCAGTGGATGAATGGAAACACCTAGATGTCCAGACAGAATTCTGCTGCAGAAGTGGAGCCCTCATGGAGACCCTCCACTAGGGCAGTGTAGAGGGGAAATGTGGGATTGGAGCCCCAACACATAATCCCCACTGGGGCACTGCATACTGGAGCTGTGAGAAAGAGGCCACTGTCCTCCAAACCCCAGAATGGTAAATCTACCAACAGCTGTGCACCTGGAAAAGCCACAGGCAATCAACGCCAGTTGGTGAAAGCAGCCTCGGGGGCTGTCTCCTGAAGAGGCACAGGGATGGAACTGCCCAAGGCTTTGGGAGCCCATCCCTTGCATTAATGTGCCCTGGATGTGAGAAGTGAAGTTAAGGGAGATTATTTTGGAGACTTAAGATTTAATGACTGCCCTGCTGGGTTTCAGACTTGTGTGGGGCCTGTAGCCCCTTTGTTTTGGCCAACTTCTCCCTTCTGCAATGGGAGCATTTTACACAATGCCTGTATCCTCATTGTATCTTGGAAGTAACTAACTTGTTTTTTTATTTTATAGGCTCCTAGGTGGAATGGACTTGATTTGTCTCAGATGAAACTTTCGACTTGGACTTTCCAGTTAATGCTGGAAAGAATTAAGACTTTGGGGCACTGTCGAGAAGGCATGATTTATTTTAAAATGTGAGAAGAATATGAGATTTGTGAGGGGTCAGGGCTGGAATGATATGGTTTGACTCTGTGTCCCCACCCAAATCTCATCTTGAATTGTAATCTCCACATGTCAGGGGAGGGACATGGTGGGAAGTGACTGAATAATGGGGGTGGACTTCCCCCTTGCTGTTCTCCTGATACTGAGTCCTTTCTCATGCGATCTGATGGTTTAGAAGTCTGGCACTTCCTCCCTCGCTCTCTCTCCTGTCTCCATATAAGACATGCCTTGCTTCCCCTTTGCCTTCCTCTATGATTGTAAGTTTCCTGAGCCCTCCCCAGCCTTGTGGAACTGTGATTTAATTAAAACTCTTTTCTTTATAAAATACCCATTCTCAGTCTCAGGTAGTTCTCATAGCAGTGTGAAAACAGATTAATACAATGAGTGCACTCCTAATTTTAGCACTCAAAATCTTCTCATGTTAGCATTTGCTTGGTAAATATCTTTTTCTATAGCACTAAGTAAAATCTAACTACAGATTTCATGTGAAGACTATTTAGAAAAGCAGGAAAGCCGAAGGTGAAGGAATTAATAATTTATAAGTTAGGGTCTGGGAGTAGCAGAGACACCAGTGCTTGCTGTTTAAGATCTTCAGTATTTCCTTACCATAGACAGTCTGGGTCTCTGGATTCCCACATGTGAATCTGAGTCCTGTGAGCCAGACTCATGTCTCTTGTAGTTGAGCTACTAAATTATTACCTGGGACTGCCAACCTGAACAAACAGTGTTTGTTATTCCACTTTATCCTGTGACTCAATCAATTGTAAGCCTCTCATTTGCACTTATAGGTATTTTCCTGACATACTGGGTTTGGTTTATATTCTTCTGCATAAGCTGCCCCTGAGTAGGATTACCTCCCTACTAGGAATCATCATGACTTTTGAGTTCTCGTTGTACTAACAAGTGGTTCTACATCTTTTCGTGAGTAGTTATGAGGTGACAAATTCTTTACAACCTAAAAGAGCAGTTTGTTTCTAAACAATGTATCTCACACCAAGATGAATTGTTTACATAACAATAATTATGCAGAAGATGATAATGGTATAATATATTGAATATATTGATACTGATATATATTGGATATGTTGCAAATATTAGAAATGAGGAAAACTCAATTGTAATGTGGCTATGTATGCCATCTTTCTTCTGTCAGTAACTAAATTTTAAAATCTAGTCACTGCCTCAATGTTACACTGTGATAGACTGCATTAATGGTCCTAATTCTTCCTCCCTAACTATATTTGTACCCTTTGTCATGTGATCCTGCAATCCTTTCCAAAAAAGAGATGGGGCATATTCACTCACCTCTTCATCCTAAACTTGGACATACACATTGCTTTGATCTATAGGGTGATTTTTAAGAGAAGGTGCCTAGTATGAACCTAGACCTTAAGGGGTCTGACATATTTCAATGTATTCTTTCTTGTGTCTCCGCAGTTAGCCTGGGTCACTGGGCCTGTGTCACATTACAGTTGTCCAGTTGCCCTGGTCACTCTGGCAGAAGCCAGCCTACCTCCCTCAACAGCCCTCTGAGCTCCAGGTATCTAAGCAAGCATAAACAATGTCAGGGGATCCCCTTAACTGACCCCCACTTGATTACAGACACATGCACAATGACTAATTATTGTTAATTATACATACACTTTTGTGGTTGTTTGTTCTATGGTGTTATCACTGCAGTATTGTTGTGACAATAAATAACTGGCACATAAGTTCTTCCAAAGACAATATATCCAGATTATTTAATATCAAAAAAGTCCGTTGATAATTTCTCACTTCTTTTTTTCTCACCGATATTAAAATATTTTCATATACTAATCAGTTTGCAGTAGAAAGTTTAGTTGAGGCTCTGTTTGTTCTCTAGGTATACAAACTAAGAATATTATTTTGTCTTTCACGGTTTGGGTCTTATTCTTAAGGAGTCCTTATGCTCCATTCTTTGTGTTTTCATGTAGAGTGATATTCATTAGTGTAAAACTCATGATCTTTCTTTACTAATTCACTGGCATCCTCCAGGAGTAGGAGAATTGAATTCCAGTTGGAGAATTTTTAGTAAGAACTGATCATGGAGTTATTGCCTGTAGGAAACTTACATTTCTTTTCCCTTTTATTTACAGGGCGGAATCTTTGTTTACTCACTCTGAGTACAAATGGAAAGTCTGGATAATTCTGAGCTTCTGTATTTGGAAACCCATTGTGGCTATTCATATAAACTATCTAGTTTAATAAAAATAATGTTTGTGCTTCATTTGCCCATCTCTTTACTTTCTCTCACTTGACTTAAACTCACATGGGGAAAAGAGGGCTTCACTCCCTTTCTGTCAAATTCCACCAACTTCCATCTTAACTGTAGCACCGAGGACCTTTACCTGTCATTCATGGTGTTCTTTTGTGGGCTGCCATTTCCTCAGGACACTAACAATAGTATCATGCAATGTAACATTATATTAAGTCCATGGTTTTAAGCCTAAGACTAGTCAATTAATTTGAACTTTTGCTTTTTTTAATAATCAAAATCTACTGTGATCCAGGAATTGAATGAGACAATGGAGGTGCCAATGTGCAACAGTTTTGATCCCTGACTTTAAAAACAGAGTCAACCATCTAAACCACCAATGTTGTAAGTTTACCTTCCAGTAATCACTAGAGCTATGAAGAAAAAATAAAACAGCCTAGAGCAAGAGAAAATGATATGTTTAGACACTGTATTTAGATAGGGTAGTCAGGGGAGGCCTCTCTGTGGAGGGGATTCTTGAATGAATACCACAATGAGTGAAAGAGGCTACCATGTGGGAGTTGCTCATATTATGCATATATGTAATTTTTGAACTGATCATAAAGATACAGTAGAGAAAAAATAGATAATTTAGGAAAGAGGAATAATGATTAAGAGCAAAGTCCTTGTATAGGAAAGAAGAGGTGAGGTCAGGTGCAGAAGCAGAAGAATAGGCATTAGCATTTTAGTCTCTTGTTCTTGCATGACACAGAAGACAGTGTGCCTACATACCAAGAGTTTGCTAAATATAGTGGGAAAGCAATAAAGGGATTCTCTCCTAATTGCTTCTGTCTTCAAGCAAATAGAAATTGAAGTTAGCAGTTGGAATAAAAGCAAGTGTTTGGTATTTCACAACAGAACATACGTAAAGATTTGAAAGAATCACTTGAGAGATGAGAAAAGTAAGAGTAACATGATTTACAGGCTCTAAAAAGGAACAACCTTAGCGTTGTAACATATGAATTAAAAGGGAGCCCAATCAGCACAGTTGTATGTTTTTCAACACTTCCTAAGTAAAGGTTTATTACAGCAGAACATAGGGTTTAACCTTGTTTAGGATTTTTCCAAGAAGTATGATGGAGTAACTATAGGTAAGGGAGTTGTGAGTAAAGACGAGAGAGTAATCATAGTGATTGAACATTGACTTAAATTAGGTAAAGAGGATAATAATGATATTAGGTGATTAATGCGTGGTGAAAAAATGACAGAATGACCAATGGATTGGCAGCTCTGATGGCCTCATAAAATTTTTGGGATGGGATACTAGAAACCTGGAATAATAAGAATCTCTGTTCAGAGAGATGGCTAAACTGCAAATATTGTTACAGTTAATGCCAAGTTTTAGGGTATGATTACAAAATAGTGTGACTGAAGGGGATTTTAGAAAAATATGTTACTGAAAGTGACTGAGCCTAGATGTTATTAATAGATTAATTTTCTATTTAGAATTTATTATTTCAGAGACTAATAACTGAAGTAGTTTTGAAGAGAAGCACATGAACCAGTCACTAAAATTTTCAATGAGTGAAAGTGACTGGGAATTTGGAAAATAAACAAGGAAGGGTAAGAGTTGGTGTAATCTGATGGCATGTGCTTCAAAGTAGCTGGCTTGATTGAGAGACAAGGATTGATAAGCATTCTGGAAGTGCATAGATCTGCCAACCCATTGACCAGCAATGAGAAACAAGGATGATACCACCTGAAGGTTTCTCAGAGAATAGAGTAAATCTATTCTCTGTTTGAGAGATCTTCAAGGAGATAAGTGACCTCAGAAATCACTAGACTTCAATTAAAGCAAGAAAGTGAAGCTAACGCTCATAAAAGATTGTGAGTGTACAGGCAGTTTTGTTGATGACAGTACATTCCTAGGAGCTTTAATGGAAATGTCTGCAGCACTGGGGAGGGTTGGGATAGAGGGTCACATTAGTGGAGAGGTACATAGAGACTTTAGGTGTAAGTGCTCAGATGATGATGGATGACCTTTGAGGATTGAACTTTTGGTGGTCAATGATATAAACATGTAATGGAATTATTCTTAATGGTTTTTTATGGGAAGATGAATAATCAATACTTATAATCTTCTTCTTAGGCTCAGGCTTCTAGGCAATTTTAGAGTGGTTGATGGAAAACTACATGGTAGAAGTAATTCTCACCTACCTGATGCATCTTTCTCTCACTTATAGCTAAGATTGTTGAGTGCCTGCACCTGTTGAAGAAGCTTTATCTCATATCCAACTCATCTCTTCAAGCTTTATACAATGGAAGTAGATAAGAGTTGTAAGGAGAGATGAAAGTGATATCCCTTTTTTTTTTTTTTTTTTTTTTTGAGACGGAGTCTCGCTCTGTCGCCCAGGCTGGAGTGCAGTGGCACGATCTCGGCTCACTGCAAGCTCGGCCTCCCGGGTTCACGCCATCCTCCAGCCTCAGCCTCCCGAGTAGCTGGGACTACAGGCGTCTGCCACCAAGCCCAGCTAATTTTTTTGTATTTTAGTAGAGACGGGGTTTCACCGTGTTAGCCAGAATGGTCTCGATCTCCTGACCTCGTGATCCGCCCTCCTCGGCCTCCCAAAGTGCTAGGATTACAGGCGTGAGCCACTGTGCCTGGCCGTGATATCCTTTTTATAAGAACTCCAGCTAACTAATCGAAAAACTATGGCTGGCAACGCACGAGTATAAAAATAAGGTTAAGCTAAATGGGACTCATCACAATTTAGTACGGCATAAAATCAGATTAGAACATCAGAGACATAAAAAAGCAAGTTCTCCCTCATGGATCAGATATACCTTTTCTTTCTCTTTTATGATTTTGCTTCTCTCAATTTTCTCTTCTAAAGACCAAGTTTAAACTAGAACAAAAAACCTTAAAGAGAAGATTAAATTTGGATGCATAGCTCATATGAAGAGCTAAAATTGGCTTACATAGAAAATGAGTTTTGGATCAAAGAACAGGAAGTACAGAGGTGGGATAGATTTGAAGGTTGATTGATGTAGTAGCTCATGGATCTACTCACTGTTCCACAAGCATGGTGTCTTTTATTAACTATAGTGTGTCCTTGCACTGAAATGGGCTATCTACCGAAGTTTTACTTGGGCTTCTGTGTTTAGCTCAAACACTAATTTCACACTAATACAGTAGGCGCTAGTCATATGTCGCTATTTAAATCCAATTCAATTTAAACTGGAGAAGATAAAACATTCATTTCCCCAGTCACACTAGCCATATTTCAAGTTCTCTATAGCTACAGGTAGCTGTGGCTACATATTATACAGCACATGCAATCATTTCCATCATCACAGAAAGTTCTATTGAACAACACTGTTCTACATCCCTGATTTTTCTGAGACAGTTAACTGTTTTGCACATTTACTTCTCAATGCCAAGAGTTCTTCTTTGTCTTATCTCTTCATTTTATCCCTTAATTGTATATTGTTCTTGTGTCATTTCGTCAAATATTTCTTGCTTATATATGTTATCTGCACAAGATAGCAAATTTTAAGGGCAAGGAAATTTTCAATGCTGAATGATTAAAAGTCGCTTGTTGCTTTGAATTTGAGCACTATTATGGGATTTCAAATTGACACCAAATACCCAACATGAATTTCAAAAAGGGAGCATTTTTTAAATTAAAATTTTAATTTAGAATAGTTTTAGAATTAATTTTAAAACTGAAGATAATATAGAGAGTTCTCATATACCCCACATCCAGATTTCTTTTTACTAAGATATTAGTATGGTACATCTATTATTATCAATTAAACAATATTGACACATTATTAACTATAATCCATATTTTATTCTGTTGTTTGCCTAATCTTTTTCTGTTCCAAGATCTCATCCAGTATAGCATATTATATTGAGCAGTCATGTTGCTTCAACCGTGAGAGTTCTCAAATTTTTCTTGTTTTTGACGACTTTCATAGTTTTGAGATGTATCAGTCAGATATTTTATAGAATGTCCTTTAACTGGGATTTGTATAATTTTTTTCCATGATCAGATAGAAGCATTTTGAAATGACCATTTACAGGCTAATTTTCGCGCGATGGCTCACGCCTGTAATCCCAGCACTTTGGGAGGCCGAGGCGGGTGGATCACGAGGTCAGGAGATTGAGACCACCCTGGCTGACACGGTGAAACCCCGTCTCTACTAAAAATACAAAAAATTAGCCGGGCGTGGTGGCGGGCGCCTGTAGTCCCAGCTACTCAGGAGGCTGAGGCAGGAGAATGGCGTGAACCTGGGAGGCGGAGGTTGCAGTGAGCGGAGATGGCGCCACTGCACTCCAGCCTGGGTGACAGAGCGAGTCTCGGTCTCAAAAAATAATAATAAAAAATAAAAATAAAAAAATTAAATGAAAGTTAACGAAATGAACATATCTGAATTGAGACATCACCATCATAACTGGTATGTAGAACATGGTATCACAAAACCTTTTTTTTCTTTCTTTCTTTCTTTGAGACAGAGTCTTACTCTGTCACCCAGGCTGGAGTACAGTGGCATGATTGTGGCTCACTGCAACCTCTGCTTCCAGGATTCAAGGGATTCTCGTGCCTCAGCCATCTAAGTACTGGGATTACAGCCCTGCGCCATCACACCCAGCTAATTTTTGTACTTTTACTAGAGACAGGTTTTTGCCATGTTGCCCAGGCTGGTCTCAAACTCCTGAATTTGAGAGATCTGCCAATCTTGGCCTCCCAAACTTCTGGGATTACAGGTGTGTGTTACCGCGCCCGGCTTACAAAACCATTTTTGTAGGTGATAATGCTGAACAAATTTTCAGCAAATTTTCTTTTAAAGCAGCCATTTTTGAGTTATTCTAGGCAAAAGTTTCTAGAAAGTTGAATGAGTTTCTGCAAATACCTACAGTAAAAGCAAGACTAATCTAATAATATTCTTGAGTCAAAATTTAAAAAAAAATCAGTGTTAGTTTTTGTTAATCAAATAAGTAAAATAGTAGTTATGTCAAAACATCTCCAATAGAGCTTCATAATGGATACTGTGATAATCCTTTTTAACTTTTTCAATCCTTCTAGGACTGCCAAGCCACACAAATTTCTGCTTGGAAACAGTGCAGTGATGTGTTTATATAACCACATCAGAAGCATGAATATATGTGCTTTTTGACAAGCCAGTAATGTGCGGTGGCTCTTAATTTTCTTGATTTATCACATTTGTTGTTACCGCTTGGTGTAAAAATACATTTTAAGAGGTCAAATAATTCATATACAATTATAAGTGTGTATCTTGGTCTAATATTCATACATTTGCTTAAAAATATTTTCAAGCATGATGTCCAAAGTATGATGTATCTGTGTATGCAGAATGGTTAGGCTGAATAAAAGGAAGTACAATCTTCTAAATGAGTGAGAAAAACAAAGGGGTCATGGAAGGAGAGGTAATGTAATTAGAGGGAAAAGTTGAAAAACAATACTTTTTATAGTTTTTTATTATGATAATATTATTTATCTTGTCACTTGTCATGTCAGCCTACTCTTGGGACCCAGACTTCTTTCCTCACAGTTACACAGAAGGAAAATGGATATTATTTTGGTGACTGCTATGTGTAATTTGCCCTGTTAGGTGTATTACAAGCTTTATTCTATTTAATTGCCTCTACAAACCCTTTGGTAGTTTTATTATTTTCATTTTATGATGAATAAACTAAGGCTTTAAGAAGTCACATTATTTGCCCCTTGTCAGAGAGCTAGTCAGTAATGGAGCTGTCGGGTAATCTCAAACAAAACTCATGTTCTTTCTACAAATAAGACATTTCCCACATAATTAGATTGAATTGGGCTATGAATTCCTTACATCTATATTCAGGAGCCGTATATACAGCTCCATCTTTGATGACTATTCTGTTTTCAAAAACTAGGGAGCAGAGAAGTTAAACTTAGAGTTGGTTAATCCATTAGCTCAAAGTACTACTACTGTTCCTCAAGCATTGTGTTTCACTAATTTATATCCAGTATGCCTCACAGGTGAGACAAGATTTCAACTACAGCTTCACAGCAGACAAGACTAGGTTTAACACTCACAGTGAGAGTTTTCATTGTCAAGAAAAGACAGGTTTGCTAACAAAGGAAACTCCTAACTCATTGAGTTGCATACTCAACAAGGCTTTAGAAAGTCATCTGGTGTAGAAACTTATCTTTAGAAAAACTAATCCAATGTAACCGGGCAGTATGTGAATAAATCACCACAAAGAGTCATGAACACACGTTGTTCCTGGCTGATGATGTAGAATCTTGGTTAACTACTCTTCCACGGATTCTAGCTTCTTGCATGATTTTCAAACTGTGTTCATACATTTGCCCTTGACGCAAATGATAGCTCCAGCAGGGAAATGATCTTGATCAAAACATAAATGCTTTAATCCTGTTTGTACAATGTTTGATCACTGCAATATGGTGAAAATCAGGAGGTGGAAATATAATTACCTTCATAATTTTAAAAGCCTGTAGAGAAATTATTGTTAAGAAATGTTTAGGTGGGTGTGTGTGGGTATGTGAGTGGGAGATGTAGGAGTTCTGTATCTGTACCTACATAATTATAACATCCCTTTGAAGACTGGATTGCGATTTTGATGTCACATGTAGAAATGGAAATTTAAGAACAAGAATAACTATTTAGTAAAACTCTTGCTTTTGTTTCAAGTTTCAATATATAATTTTCACAGACCTTATCACTAGATAATAAAAACTTATTCAACATTTAATGTATTCCATATTTTAGCATTTATGTATCTCTACACTGTAATGAATTGACAGTTTACTTGCTACAGAAAGAATAACACAAAGACAATATTGGGCATCTCTCCCTCCTTTATCCCAGTTGACTGTGAACTACCTCAAATATTATTTGGACATATACAGGGATAAACATAATGATTATGGAGCAAAAGTTCATGATTATATTGGCTTTTTATTCTAGCATATTTTAGCAAATTGACCTGACTGTAACTTTTCTTTGGAATGCTTTTTGAAAAAGGCATAACAGTAAGTATTAAAGCTTGGATTGAAACTTAATGTATATGGCAATAAAATTTGGAAGAATCCAAGCTCAATTCAGACCAAATTGTTAGAACAGTTTTTGAAAAGAGTACATCTTATACAACCTAACAATATAAACAAATAAGCCATCTATCACTTTGCAATTTTTCAACAAAGGGCACAATTTGTAAGAAAAGGAAATACATATTTAACTAACAGTTGCTTTAGCATGTTCTTATTACTTTTATGGTGTATTTTCTCTGTGGAAGAGATAAAGGAATCACGATACAACAGTTTACATTCTCCTTTGCAATTCTGAGGGAAAGCTACCAGATCTTCATTAAACAGTTTTATATTTTCATGCAACTCTTTCGTTAATGTGCTTCACATTTAATATAGGCTAAGTTTTTATTAAATGGCTTTAAATACGTAGAATCTACAAAATAGCGTTGGTTAAAAAATGCAGTAGTATTTGTTCCCTTCTTGTCATCTTCCCCACCACCTCCCTATCACAAACTGAAACAATCCACAAACATAGAACAGCAATATGCCTAAACTGATTTCCAACCTAAAGCACTTGTTCTCAAACTTAGCTGAACACTGTAATCAGCTGAAACATTTTTAAACGCTGTTCCTTGTGTCTCACTCTACCTGATTTAATTGGTATGGAGTGTGGTTTTGACTTTTAAACAAAGTTTAAAAACCTCCACAGGTAATTAGAATGTAAAACAAATTCAGAGCCACTAGTTGAGTAGTATTTCTCAAGTTTGTCTGCACATTGGAAACTTCAGGTAATTCTTAAAAATATCGCTGCCAGTTCCCACACTTCAATTTGATATAAATGATCCAAGGGGCAGCCAGGGCATCAGGACCTTCGTGAGCTTCACCTCCGTCCCCAGGTGCTTCCAGTAAATAGCCAAGGCTGAGAAGTACTGAATAGCATTTTGTGTTTTGTTGGGTCAGAAAGACATCAGTATAATTTTCACATTTTTGATGTTTTCTACATTGAATTTTAAAAATGTAATATAAAAAATTGAGTCTTGAAATAGACTTCCTTGAATGTACTTTAATAAATTCAAAGCAAAGAACAACTAATAATTACATGTGAATATCTCCCAGAAGAAAACTGTCATTCTCATTGTAAAAGTGAAAGTTTCAAGGTCAATGTTATTCCGTTTTAAAAAAGCAGATGATAAAAACTGTAATCCAAATAAAGTTATTTTTAATGCAGGTATGACAATTAAGATGATCCTTGGAACAACTCTATTTCTCTTATATAAAAATGAGATAGAAAAGGAAAAAGACACTTTTTTTTGTCAGATACAGCACTTTTAAAAAACATGATCGATTCTCAAATAAATGTTTTCCAGTGTTTAAAAGTCACCTATAAATGTTTATTCTACTTAGAATTTTTTTTAAAACACAAACTCTTGACAACTAATATAAACTGTTAATTGCTTAAAAGTGAAATGTAGAAAATGAATGTCTATTTCAGGACTATTGTATGTTTCTCACCAAAAGGTACAGTGTTATTTTTAAGACTTGATAATATATTCAGAGAGAAGTCAAATGAAAACCATTAAGTATTTTTCTACACTTGTGCAAAGGGTTTGTATGGTTCCGTTAGTGCAGCTTATTGAAGTGTTGTGTAAACACTGGATGAGTTTTTTCTTATAAATTAATTTATACATGCTAATTAATGCTTAAAGTATTTTTTCTGTTCAGAAACATATCCTATTTTCTACATTCAAAATGATTCAGTATAAAGGGATATGTTCTCATTCTCCAGTATCAACAGGAATTTTTTCCCTAATGTATATGTTTTTTAAATGTGGGTGGAGAGAGAGAGAGAGAGACAGAGGGAGAGAGAGAGTGTGTTGTATTTGATACTTCATTTTTCAAGCACGGTATTTTCCTTAAGAATCATATCTATAATTCTACCATCTGCATTTTAGGATAAATACTTTGTTAGCAAAACTAATGCAAACCTTTCAATGTGTACTCATGACTGATAAGATGCCTATAAAATGGTATAATAAGTGTGCAATTCATAAGAAAATTAACAGGGCATCTGTAGCCATTTAATTAATGTTGATGAAAGAAACTATAAAAATGTTTTTGCGTGGCCGGCAGACTTAAAGTTTCCTACAGAAATTTTCTAACATTGGAAACTTTTTTAAAATAATGAATTAAATAAAATAGAAAACTACAAATTAGGATATAAAGCACAGCCAAGATAAGTATAATACTTTAATGCAAAAACAATGCCAATCTATTTGAGTTTGTAATTTTATTAGAAGTTTATACTTTTGCCTCATTAATTATGTCCCATTACGGGGTCCTTATGGTTGCTCTGCCTTTTGATCCATGCTCCAGCATTTTCTGTTATACTAACTGAAAAGAAAGAAAAAAAAAAATATATATATATATATATATATATAAAATTAAGACCCTGTTTCCAGTTATCTAAACAATATCCATTTACCTAGACCATTATTTAATTAGCCCTAAACTTTCACTTGATTATAAAAGCCAATATACTGTGTAATATTGTTTGTCTCTATGTCCCCGCCCAAAACTCATCTCAAATTATAATCCTCCCGTGTCAAGGGAGGAACTTGTAATCCCCACGTGTAGAGGGAGGGAGGTGATTGGATCATGGGGTGGTTTCCCCCACGCTCTTCTTGTGATAGTGAATTCTCATGAGATCTGATGGATTTATAAGAGTCTGGCATTTCCTGTGCTTGCACTTCTCTCTCCTGCTGCAATGTAACCAAGGTCCTTGCTTCTCTTTTGCCTTCTGCCATGACTGTAAGTTTCCTGAGGCCTCCCCAGCCATGTGGAAATGGGAGTCAATTAAAGTCTTTTTCTTTATAAATTACCCAGTCTCGGGTATTTATTTATAGCAGGGTGAGAATGGACTAATACACTGTGGATTTTGTCTAACCCATAAGGTAACTGAAATAACCAGAATACAGAAAAGTCAAATTATTTGTCATTTACAGAAATGGTCTCAAAATTAGAAAGTGTCAGAGTTTCATGAATTTTAACAATTTTCTTTTCTGGTCACAGGAACTATTTTGGACATCAGAAACACCATAAATGAGATATGGAAGAAACTTTAGAAACTTTCTTCCTCAACAGGGTCACAATCCAGTGGAGTAAAGCAAACAGCAGGCAATTAAAATACAGAGTGAAGTTAGGAGAATCATGCAAGTTATCTGAGATTGCAGAGACAAGGCATCTCTCTAAAATGAAGGGGCTAAGGATGGGGAAAGGTACTAGAAAATGTCCTTGAAAGATATGATTTCCAAGCTGAATCTTAATGAACCTAAAGAAACAAGCGGAAGTTGAGAGACAGGCAGTAGGTTTGGAGAAATACAAACTCTAAGGATAAGGGAGTCTGGAGGGGAAATAGGTCTTCAAAAGGTACTAAAACTAGGTAAATGGAGTTAGAGCACTGTGTATGAAGATTTGAGAGGCAGAAAATATTTGAAGAAACAATACCCAAATGTGCTATCATAAGAATGAACAAGTGAAAACCAACAAAATACTTTAAACATTAATGGTACAGATGATAGTGATGGTGGTATTGAATAACTTCTTCATAATTGCATTTAGGAAAAAAAAACTATTTGGCAGCAGATTAGAGGTTGAAGGAAGTGGAAAGCTCAGTTAGGAGGGTTGTGGCAGCCAGAATTTCAAAATGACTTTAATGACCCTCTCCTTTGTGTAATCTCTTACCCATATGTGTGGGTGGAAACTGTGAATATGATTAGATATCACTTCACTGATGATGTGTTATATGCCAAAGGGATTTTGCAAATGTAATTAAGATTCCAAACCATTTGACCTTAATATGGGAAGATTATCTTGAGAGGGATGAACCTAATCAGGGAATCCACTTGGCTGTATTCTTGGCCAAGGAGATTTGAAGGTGAGGGTGATTGGATGAAAAAGAAATACTATGCTGCTGGCTTTGAACTTGGAGGTGCCACTTGGCAAGGAGCTGAGAGTGGCCTCTGGCTGAGAGCTGGAAACAGGGACCTAAGTGCTATAACTGCATGGAACTAAAACTTGCCCAAAACATGTATGTTTAGAAAAAGATTTCAAGCTCCATAAAAAAATTCAGCCCAGATGTATTAGTTTATTCCCACACTGCTGAAAGATATACCTGAGACTGGGTAATTTATAAAGAAAAGGAGGTTTAATCGACTCACAGTTCCACAGGGCTGGGGAGGCCTCACAATCATGGTGGAGGACAAAGGAGGAGCAAAGAACGACTTGCACGGCAGCAGGCAAGAGAGCATGTGCAGGGGAACTGCCCTTTATAAGACCATCAGATCTCGTGAGAGTTATTCACTATCATGAGAACAGCATGAGAAAAACCCTCTTCTATAATTTAATTACCTCCCACTGGGTCCCTCCCACAACACAAGGGAATTATGGGAGCCACAATTCAAGATGAGATTTGGGTGGGGACACAGCCAACTCATATCACCAGATGACACCTTGATTTTTAGTATTCTGAGATCTCAGCAGAGAACTGATGATGCCATGTCCTTATTTCTGAACTACAGAACCATGAACTAATAAGTGGATACTGTTGCATGCTGCTAAATTTGTGGAATTTATTACACAGCAACAGAAAACTGATTCAAAAGAGACAAATTATTCAAAGAGGAAATTCACTTTATGTTATGACTTCAAATACTTTCTGGAGTCATCTAGAGTCATATTTAGCAGCACTTTATAAATCATGCAAAAATTAGTATTAGTCTCATCACCCATTAACAACAAAATAAAAGAGGATAAAAATTTACCCAGTTAGTGTGCTCAAATATTTACTAGATTTTTGGCTATTCCTAAAGTTGAATCACTTTTAAGTTTGAGGATTAGCAAAGTTTTAAACCATAATTTCATGTGCATCTGCCCCTTTCTTCCAAAATCTCCCTCCTACAAAAATATTTCTATGTCAAAACTTTTATATTGCTTTTTGCTCGAGGACCTGAATTACTTATCACCCTTCTCATTTTTGTAGTTAAAAAAAAAAAAGATAAGTATTGTTTTCAACCTAGTATAAAAATATTCTATCATTACAAGTTACTTTTAAAGGTAATACTCATTTTGAATTTTGCTATACAATGATCAATTTTAAGTCTTTCTTTATATAGATGGGTGCTTATTCTTCACTTTTCCACCATCATTTTAAACATCATAAAACTCACTTTCGCTGCAAAATATGTACAAGAGGATCAACAAATACAAATAACACAGAACTTAACCTAGAGAAAAGTCTCCTTTTCCTAATTCATGCTTATTTTTATTTTATTTTATAAACACTTATTATCATTATTATATGAAATTTATATGTGAGATGATCACCTTAAAATTTATATAGATTGAAAGGCAATATTAATTATTTTTATATTGTAATATAAGTGAAGTTATTTACTGAAACATGACAAAGATTATATTAAATAATAGTCTCAGATAATGTATTCTAACATTTATATTATAGTGATGGCCTATGGAATAATGTTTATGTAGTTCTTGACACATACTTTTCTTAACTACCTCTAAAATAATACTAGAATATTACTATTCTAAGATAGTAGGAGTATACTACTCCAAGAAGTTATTTCTTGGGTTTCCTTTATAATAAAAACCTTTCTGCCCTATTGTTAGTTGTTACCACTACAGATTTCCTATTCAACACCAAATACTTTGTTTCATTTGGACATTACCAGCAAATGAAATTTTTCTTAAGTTTAGCATGCATTTTAATTCCATGCCAAAAAGGTTTTATTCTCTGGAAATATCAGATAGACATTTTCATACATGAGAAATAAAATCATTGTTAGAATTTATTGTCTAGAAGAGATATAGTAGGCGAGAGATTTTGAAATAAGTAATAAAAATATGGAGAAAAGAATCTGGAAGGGTAATATCTTAAATATGTAATTAAATATCACATTTGTTATTCCTTTTACTTTTAAGGAGAATGTGCTTTTGTTACTGCGGTCACTATAATTCCTTTTATCAATGGGTTGTCACTGTATTTAGACATCTGGAACCCATCACACTGAAAAATCACCAATGCTCATAACTAATAAATGAGGGTTTACTGTGAAGAATATGATCCTGGCTTTGTTATAGTAATTGTGTGATGGAAAATATTTGGTCTTAGACCCTTTGCTGCCTGAAGAGTTGTTATTCTCTTAAACCTTTTAATATCATCAATCATTTACTCAAAAATTCTATTTGTATAAATTTTTTAAAACTTTAGACATTATGATGCTCTCCCCATCCCCTAAAGTACAAATAACATGGTAAGAGTATTCTAACTTTAACCAGAAGTCTTGAGTGAGAGACTCCATGCAATTAGCTTCTAAAATTTTGGCCTCAGTACTTCAGGAAACCACTTAAAACAAGAGAGCTTTTTAACTGCTCTCAACCGAATTCCATTCTGCTTTTATCTCTGGAGAGGATTTCCCTATAATTCTAGCACTTCAGCCAGATTGTTTGCACACGGCTGAGCAGAAATAACATATATTTTTACATCAGCATATTTAATATCACAGGTTCTTCAATGTACTGACACAATGTTGGCAGTATTAACAATATTGACATCATTAGCTTTCCAAAAGATCCATAATTGAAAAGTCAGACTGCTGAAAAATGTCACCTTGTGTGTACTGTGCTAAGGGAATAAAGCTTTGCATAAGTCCTTGAAAGGGCAAATAAAACTCAATTATGGTCTGCATTGAATCCATAGCCCCTCAATTCCATTTAGCCTCAGCATGCTGTTTGGAATTTCCATCTCTGATGAACTAGTTCTCCGAAATTTGCAAGAACAGCTCAATTTCCATCCAGCTTGCTCCTCTGTCCTAGCCAAGTTAGAAAGTTACACACTTACACAGTATGTCTGCAAGTTGTATGTTTCAATATATTAAGGTTGCAGGTATAAATTTTTGTGTGTCTAGGAAGAAAAGTGACATTTTATGAATTCATTTGTTTCCTAGAAGCAGAATTCCTGACACAATGTAGGTAATTACTCTGCTGACTCAAGTTATAATTTTCAACTTTCAGTTAAAAATCATACTTACAAATTTAAACACATTCTAAAGGGAAAAAAATGCTTCTGAGTAAAAAATTTCTTTTCCTGACCTTCTTTCTCTTCCCACATTTCCCTTTTCTCCATATTTCACTCCCTTTTTGTACCTACAGCCTATGCTTTTGAAGGAGGGGGTAAGGGGGAAAACCAAGCCTTTTGAAAATTTAAAAAATAAATGAAAATACCATAGATTCAAAGTTTGTCTCCCATAAGCTCTGTAGGTGCTCCCACTCAGACTGCTTTAAGCCAAAACCCAAGGGCTACTTTGGTTCTACCTGAGCTGTCTGGAGACAAGCATGGACTTGAATGTGAAGTGGGCTTGTACGGGATGGGACTGAGTCGGCTCATAGCTCAGATCTATAGCATGTTTAAAGGAGGGATGGGAACTGTCTATGTGCTATTAGTTTAACTTTAGAAGATACTAATGTTTACTTTTAAAAGTCATATTTCCATATCTTTTTCCTACCCAGGCTTCTTTTAAGCATATCTAAAATCCAGGAACAATGACTTAAATATGAGCTTAAGTATTGTGAATTTTTCCCTGGCACTGAATATTTAAAGGGGTTCCTGAAAAAAAAATCAGAGTATTTAAGCAGAATGTATGAGGTTTTTTTGAATTGTATATTTGGATAAATTTAATAAATCTTTGGATTTAATTCTCCCTTGAGCCCAACCATTTTGGGTGCCACAGACAAACAATGTGAACAAAAATTCTGGAGTCAGACTGCCTAGGTTTGAATCTCAGCTTTTCCACTTACTAGCTGTTTTTGTGGTTGACTAATGAAACATATTTGTGTCTCCTTTTCTTTGCCTGTAAAAGGGTAATGATAACTCTTTTACAAGTAAAAGATAATGATCATCCCTGTCTCATGGGTTTGTTTTGAAGGTTAAATAACTACGTCATCTAAATAGTGGTTCTCAACAAGAGGTGATTCCCCGCCACACCCCACAACTCCCAGCCAAGGTGACATTGGCCATGCCTGAAAACACTTTTGTTTATTGTAAATGGTGTGTCTGTCTGTGTGCCACTGGCATCTAATGGATAGAGGCCAAGGATGCTGCCGGCAGTCCTAAAATGCATAGGAAAGCTCCCGTAAGAAAGTTTTCTCCCACGCCACTTGTCACCAGAACTGAGTTTGAGAAACCCTGACTGGAATCACTTGACACAATGCTTCACACCAAGTAAACACTTTTTAAAAAGTTAAATCTTATCTGGAAAACGTTAAAGTTTATTTACTTCTACTGAATGTATACAACTTTTTCTATTACTTGTCATTTACCATTGTTTCTGTGCTTCATATTTTCCTTTGAGAGTTCAATCTGACACAGTCTGCAATTTCTGAAGCAGCTGACTTCAGAGTGAAACTATTCCAAATATTTTTTATTTTGCCCCAGAGAAATACATTCACAGAACACTAGATAACGGATTTAAACCTAATAACTGCTATCTCTGGTTTTGCCCATATCCGTTGTACTATGTACTTCACAACAATGTATATATACTGCACAACAATGAAAAAGAGAAGCTAGGCAGATGTTAGACTAATTTAATTTTGCACTCTCCTTATTGATATACAAATTCAGAAATGAGACTGCTGGAAGTGATGAGGATAAAGAGAAATGGTACCTACATACAGTAAATTCACTTGGATTGCCTGGAACAAATGGCTGAGAAAAGATATGCAATCTTCATAACTGAGAGTTGACTTTTTAGTTGAGATATTATATCAGTTAGGCTTCGTGATTGCAAGTGACAGAAACTGACTCTAGTCTGGCCTGAAAGGATCATATTAGAAGGGTGTCTGATAGCTTGCACAATATATGGGAACACCAAAACAAGGGGAAGAAACAAGGAAGGAAAGCCTGCAGGAAAACAGCAAGACTGTCATCCCCAGAGCAGTCGGGTTGGGATGCACCCTGGCACTGCTGTCCTGGATAGGGCTTTCTTGGAACACACAAGGCGGCAGAGCTAGACTCTCAATGGCACAGCTAGCTCTTGGTCACACCAAGATTACAAATTCCATACTAGGTAAAATGCTCAAAGTGTTACTGCCAGAAACAGGAAGACAGAATATCTGACCATTAGACTTCCATGATAGGAGATGAAAGAAAATCATACACGGCCGACTTATTAGATAACTATCTCAAGAAAAGCCAACCTAAACACTTGAGGTTTCAAGACGTAGTTACAGTGCTACTTCTGGGAGTATCATTCAGAATCCAGCTATTGCCAGTTCATTAAATGTGATCCCTGGGAAGGGGAGAATTCCTCAAAGATTGTATGCAGGAGTTGTGGCTTGCATTGATTGTATTTTTAAATTAAGGATTTTCCATTTGAGCAATTTGTATTGTTGCTTTTAAATCTGTAGACATGGACCAACATGTTTTAAATTTAAAAAGGACGTAGATTCTTTGTTACATGGGCATTTCACGTTGGGCAAAATGTTGGCAGAGTTTGGCTAACCACTCAAATACATGAGCCTGCACATGCTGCTGACTCAGAGAAATAAAAGAAAAGAGGCCCAGAAGGCCTTCAACACTAAAATATTATTTTCCTTTCCCATGTAATCTCAGTATACAAAAGCCTTTATTAAAGTTTTTCTACCAACTGTAAAGTTTATATAGTACATTGCTAACAGATGTAACTGTTGGACAGATAACACACTCATAAACCATTTTTAAAGTTGAAAATGTATATCCCAGGTAGTAGTAGCCATGACTATAGCCAAGGGGGTACACGTCTATCATTAGTCTCATTGGTAACGTTAAAATGACCTTTACACAGTTTTTAGATAAATTTGTCAAGAGTAAGCAAAGGCTAGCATTTAGATTGCAGTTTCAAAGGGCAATTCTCCCAGATAGGTGATTACCAATTCCTCTTGGAAGAAAAGTAGCAGGATTGAACTTTTGTGTAGTAGCAGCAGAGGGAAAAGATTTGTTTTTGCCATACAAAGTCTGGTTTACAGAGTCCTGTAGTTGGATTTCTTTATCATTTTGTGTTTTGAAATTTTTCTAATGCCAGGATGCATCCTATATTTACCATTAGTACCTATATTTTTGGCCCTCTATTTCTGGTTCTTCATAAGTAATTGGATATTTTAGCAACTGTAGTTTCTTGATATATGATTATTTTTCTCATTCAGTTTTATTGCCTTAAATATTTTATACTTAGTTTTAAAATATCTTTTCTAGTTATTCCAATATCTGATATACCAAATTGTTTTCTGTGGTTCCATTATCTTTGGACCATGATAATTGGGTTTTGTTTTGGTTTTGCTTTTGGGTTTTTGGGGACATGTATTTGGCATTTGATAATAATTAAATCTAGATGTTAGCTTTAATTTTGGAAAATCCTGAGCTAGTAGCTTAAGAATCTCCAGAGAAGAACTGAAATTGCCTCTGCTGGTACCAAAGAATGCTAACAACCTAGAACTTTAAATTGATTTCTCAACGTGAGGGGTTCCTGACCTGTTCAGGTAGTATAAATTGATGAGGTAGGTCTATGCTTATCATGTGTGGAAAATACTATTCTTACCCCATCCAGGGCTATAGCAGAGACAAGCAGGTCTCTTTCTGGTTCCATTTGTGGGCATATTTGTTGTTATAACTAAGACTCTCATTGAGTTTATAGTATCTTAGATATTCCCAGCTTTGTGCAGGGCTTTCAGGCTTAGCTGTATGTCTTGTGAAGACCCACATGGGTTGGCCACTAATTTCCTCAAAACTTCAGTTTCCAATAACAACATTTCCCTCAGGATAATAACGGCTGTTCATTTACTTACTACTCTGGTTTCAGCCCAAGGGTTGTGTGTGTGCGTGTGTGTGTCCTAATGTGAATGTTCTGAGGATACCAGAAAACTAGACTTGCTCTTTATATTCAGGGAACAAAGTTAAATTAATACTAATTATTACTATCTCATTAATTATGATACTTCGGTCTTTTATATAGGTACTGATTTTATGACTGCTTGATCTATTATGCACTTAGGAAAATAAAAGTTACTACTAATGTATTCATATAACTTTCTTCAAGTGTTTTTAAAATTAGTTTCAGTATGATTGTTGATGCTATATCCTTTCCTGCATAGAAATTCATCTGTTAGGTGTTGACTGTGGATTTTATCCTTATTCATTGCTTTAGTGGATATATTTGTGTCCCCTCCCCCAAATTTATACGTTCACATCCTAACCCCCAAGGTGATGGTATTAAGAGGTAGGACCTTTGGGACGTGATTAGATCATAAGGACAGTGTCCTCATGAATGGGATTGGTGCCCTTATAAAAGAGGCCCAAGGGAGCTCATTAGCCTCTTCCACCATGCAAGGAGGCAGTGAGAAGGTGCCATCTATGACCCAGGAAACTGGCCCTCATCATGTACTGAATCTGTGTCTTAATCTCAGCTTTCCAGCCTCTAGAACTCTGAGAAATAGGTTTCTATTGCTTATGATCTACCCAGTCTAAGTTATTTTGTTATAGCAGCCTGAATGGATTAAGTCATTATTATATAGTGGTACACTTTATGTTGTTTAGTGCTTTTTCCTTTAGATTTTACCTTCTCTGAAATATTAATATTGTGACTCCTGCTTTATTTTGGGTTTGAATTTGCTATATGTTTCCCATCATTTTTTTTTAATCTCTCTCAGTCAGTTGGTTTTAGGAGATTCTCTGGTACACACTATGTAGATGAATATTTATAATGATATAAATGAAAGTGTTATTATTTCAATGAGTTGTAGATGTATAATTTTTAAAAATTGTGTTTCAACTTAATTCTGTTCTTATAATTATTCTGTTTATTTTGTTTTTCAAGCAATGTCTTTTTATATATTTACTGACTCTTTTGTTTGCTTATTGTTTTTGCTGTGTGTGTGTGTGTGTGTGTGTGTACTGTGCTATTTTTTTTTTCTGAGGTATCTTTAAAATCAGGGGTAGGTTCAGGTTTTGTGAGTTCTAAAGATTACACAATTAGAGAGAACTTCTTCAATGAAAAGAATAGAAAGTAATAAAATAAAAGTAACCAGGCAAGTGAAAAAAATTATTTAGAATTAAGAAAGGAGTCACAGCAAAGAGTAGAAGGGGTCTGTGCAAAAGAGGTGCCTTCCAGTTTAAGCTTCATTAACTTCATAATAAATATGCCAGAGCTGATTGCTTATTTTAGTAATACACTAAGTTTTTTTGTATTTCAGGCAGGGTTTATGAACTCTCTGCAATAAGCAATGATGTCACTATACATTGCTTCTTTCCTCTTTCTTTTTTTTCTACTGCATGATTTTAGTTGATCATGTTATTGATCTTTGATTTTGTAATTGTATTCTTTGATTTTTTGATAACAAATTCTCTCTAGATTTTTAGCCAGGAAGATTAGGAAAACAGTGTACATATACTATGTATACCTTCTTCTTCTCTTTTTAAAACTAAATATTATTATCTCATTTTGGCCTTATCAGGTTTCTAATACTGATATTTCTTCCTGTAAATATAATTCCTTGGTTTATTCATGTTCAGTACTGTGCATGATACATTCATGTATCAATTTATATCTTAGTTGATTAAAGTTGATTCTCTGCTAATTTCTATAAGAAAATTTCCTGAGAACAATGTTCCCTGAATTTCCTATAAGCTCAAAATGTTTTTTGTTGCTTTCTTTTGTAAATATAGATATAATGCTTCTGTTTTATGTATGTATGAGTAGACAGAATGGTAAAAGGGTTGATATGAGAGTTCAAATAGAAGAGAGTTAAGATAAATTTCTAGGTAGAGTCAAGAGAAGCAAAAACTAAAATTGTGTGATATATCCAGGGGACAGAGAAAAACAACCTGGCTAGAATGAAAAGTAAGTAAAAGGCAATGTGATTATCCTGAAATTCTAGCAGAAGGCATTGGCTGTAGTTTGGTAGGCAATAGAGGTTCTTGCAGGATGAATTCTCTGATAGAGAGATTGAAAACAGGAAGGTCACCTGGAGATCTAGACGTGAGTAACTGGATGATGGTGATTGTGGACAAAATGGCAAAGAAGCTGTGATTCCAAAAGATATCTCAAAAGATAAATGAGCAACTTTGGTGATTAATTATTTTTTAAAAGATTGAGGGAAAGGGGATTTAAAAAAATTGCCAAGATTTCTCACTTTAAAGAATAGAATATGGATAGAATATGGTGTTGTTTACAGGTTTGTAGCTTTTAAGGAAATTAGTAAATGATGAATTTAACATCATACAAGTTGCACTGGAGGTCATGATGAAATGTCCAAATGTTGAATTTTCTGTGATTTTTGCACAAAACTATGTTGTTCTTACTTGATTTAGAGTTAAAATAATAAAGATATTTTATTGGCAATTGTGAAAATTAGCTGGAAAAAGAAAGTTGTAGCAACAGGCGTGTCTCAAGAAAATAACAATAAAAAGACACAGGACAGTCAGTTCACATTGTTTATTTTTAAGGCCATAGGCTATCTTCTTTCCAAATATGTATAGTTTGGTTTTAAGCTCAGAGATCCCCAAATTAGAATTATAGCTAAGTGTGGGCATTAATGAGCAATATTTCTATTTACCACTATTTTATCAGTCAAATGAATGGAAGGCATTCAATAAAATATTTTTTACTAATTTGCATTACAAAATCCCTACTTATTTATTACCGAAGAAAAGTATAACACATATAAGCCAAGTAAAGAAAAGATTTAAAGGCTCAATTTATTTTGCTAACTTGTTTAATTAATTGTTCACAGCAGCATCAGTTTAAGCAATAGGAAGCACAAATAATTCTAGCAATTCAATTCCCAGAGATCCCCTAATATACCATATTTTAGGTTCTTCAAAGAAGAACCTTCTGCAGAGTGTCAAGAATATGAGTGAAGTAACAACAGTGTAATTTTTGAGAGTTAAAAGTATGGTAATAAATTTTGTAGTGATTTTTTCACCAACGCTTGATTTGTACAATTATTACTGTTATTACTATTATTTGGGATTTAAAAAATCATGCCTTGAATCTGTCTCATAAATCTGCTTAGCTTCTAGTACCAACAAATTTCAGCAGCACTTCTCATCCTTTCTTTTCAATTATCAATTTTTCAAAAAAACAAAACCATTTTAATCTATGTTTTTACTTGAAATTTTCTCTAGATTGTGAGCTGAGGCTTTTAGTCCCAGGATTTTATTTTTACTTTGCACTCACATTTGTGAAAGGTCATACTGGAGACAATTTATGTTGCATTTAGACTTTGCAACAAGCTCAACACATAATCTGAGGTGATTTCTATAGTAAATTTTTTTAAAAAAGGAATATGGTCCTTGTGATGGATGGTTGGTGTCATTATGAATATAACTATTATTATTTTACGTGTAATGAAAAGCAGTTTTCTTCCAAAAAGAGAAAGGTGCTTAATAAAGTCATATATAATTTGCCACCATTATTCACGTAAGACCATGCTGGGAAGAAAATACTGAAACCACCCACCGGCTGTGACTGGAAAGACCTCCTGACTCTGCATCTGTTAATGTTTATGAAAGTAAAAATGCCAGTGCTTCCTTTGTCTCTTCCTACTAATTTCAGATACATATTGGGAGTGAAGGAACCACATTAAGGGATGAAAAGAGAGATTCGGCACTCATTTTTGTAGTGCTCGAAAAAGAAGAAACTAAGCAGAATGTATTCATGTATTTTCCATGCATTTTGATTCAAACAAACACAATCATCTTTATTTCTAGCAAAAGCATCTTTGTAATAAAAAATGGCAATTCATAATTTTACCTTTTAAACGAACATTTTATTTTGTAATAATTTTAGATTTGCGAAAAAGTTGCAAAGATAGCATAAAGGGGTTGCAAAATGTACCCCTCAGCCAATTTCCTTACATTAATACATTATTCTTAACTGTATTCCAGACTTACTTGAATTTCATCAGTTTTTAATGCCATAATTCCCTCTCTGGGTTCTAGGATCCAATCAAGGGTACCACATTGCATTTGGTTGCCAAGTCTCCTCATTCTCCTCTGCTCTGTGAATATTTCTCAGTCTGTTTTTCAAGAGCTTGACAGTCTTGAGCAGTAATTTTCAGGTATCCTGTAGAATGCTCCTCAACCTGTATTTGTTTTATGTTTTTTCAGATAAGATTGGGATTATGAGTCTTAAAAAATACTAACGAGGTAAAGCACCATTTTTGTCATATCGTATCAGGCGTTAGATGATAGTCACATGAAATCACTAACAATGTTAACCTTAACTATTTGGATAAAGTAGCGTTTACCAGGTTACTCCACTGAAAACTTGCCTTTTTCCCATTCCCTACTCTACTCTTTGGCAGCAAGTCACTAAGCCCACCGTCAAGTGTAGGGAGTGGTATGAGAATTAAGCTCCACCCCCTATATATATTGTTTGAAATTCTGTAAAGAAGATTTGTCTCCTTCTCTATTTGCTTATCAATCATTTATTTATACCACTATGGAATCAGGTGTATTTATTTTATTCTTTGCTTTATAAACCAATAATGCATTATCTATTTTTTTGGTTACATTTTTTGTTGCTTTGGCAATTGAAATCTTTCATGTGGGTTTCTTTATCCCTTTGACGACACCCCCATATTTTTGTTTTTGGGCACTTTCTTACTTTTTGGTACTACAAGATGCTGATGGCTCATCTTGTATTTTTCTTGTCCCAACCCTAGAAACAGCTGTATCTGCTGTCTTTCAATAAAAAATGGTATGTAGAAACCAAGATCTGGGCTCTGGGTATGTTTGTTACTACTGGGATTGTTATTGATTGAAGACTCAGCATAAAGGGATAATATGTATATGTACAATAACCAATAAACTCACACACATGTAATTAGCTCTGTATATATCCATGTACACAAGGACATACATGTTAATTGGTGACAGGAAGGATTGCTTTTTTATTTTAAGTTAGAAACATATGCATAGAAAATAACTATGTCTATAATCATAAAAAATAATAATTAAAAAAATCATGTTGGCTTACTTTCAGAGCTTCTCTGGAAACACTCCTATGTTTAAATATCAGCCTGTTTAAGAGACAGAACTAGTTCTGTGTGAAGCTAAGAATAATGGCATATATAAAGCATTTGAATATCTGTAAGTTAGGTTTTAGTTTTCTTTGGGTAAGCATGTAAAAGGAAATTATCTTATTTTTGCATATGTATGATGAACATGTATAAAACATATGTGGTATGAGTAGAAAGACTGTCACGTTATGTGGATCATAAATTAATATATTTTTTAGGGTGAACCCCACATAGAAGAGAAAGTCGCAGGGCCACAGAATTTCGTTTATAGGAGAAATTTCAAGTAATCTTTAAATCCAATCCAGTATCTTTACAGGTGCTATTAAAGTCATATTATGTTATTCCTCTGCTCAGAATCATCCAAAGGCTTCTATTTGCCCTTCAACACCCATAAGGCTTTATGTAATCTCACGCTCTATCTGTGACCTCGTCCTTGCTAGTCTCAACACTCTCCACGCAGGGTCTCTACACTTGATCTTTTCCTTGTCCAGAATGATTCTGTCAGATATAACCAGATATTATCTAATCTCCATGGAATATAAGCTTTATAAGAGCAGAGATTTTTGTCAGTTCTATACTCTATTGTCTACCAATTACCTACCTATATAGCGTCTGACACATAGTAGGTGCTCAGTAAATACTTGTTAAATTTAGTTGAATTGAAAAGAAATCTATATTAAGCAGCATATTATACAAGCACTGGACTATATGCGTTATATTAGAATTGAGCTCAGTACTTCTCTTGACACACAGAGATTCATTTAATCACTGTATCATATCATCCTGGTGTCATCATAGAGGAGTTTTGCTGTCACACAATCAGTCAACAGGTATTCATTTTCTTTGTTCGTTTTGTTTTTTGAGACGGAGTCTCACTCTGTCGCCCAGGCTGGAGTGCAGTGGCGCGATCTCGGCTCACTGCAAGCTCCGCCTCCCGGGTTCACGCCATTCTCCGGCCTCAGCCTCCCGAGTAGCTGGGACTACAGGCACCCGCCAACACATCCGGCTTATTTTTTGTATTTTTAGTAGAGATGGGGTTTCACCGTGTTAGCCAGGATGGTCTCGATCTCCTGACCTCGTGATCCGCCCGCCTCGGCCTCCCAAAGTGCTGCGATTGCTGGCATGAGCCACCGCGCCTGGCTGGTATTCATTTTATTATGTAAACCTCTGAGAGACAAAATGTTCAGGATGTTGTAGGTGATGCAGGAAATATAAAAGAAGCAAAATAAATTGTTGTTGCCTTCCAATTGAAGGGAGAAGACACGAACTCAGGAAATCTATTACACCAAACAGTACAAAGTCCTGGAATGCACTGCTCTGTGTATGGCAAGCTACCCAGGAATGGAGGGAGGAGTCCAGGGCTGGCCCTTTAACAATGGATGTATGTAGGATGACCAGAAAGGAGAAAGTAAACACTTCAGAAACAGGAAACTGTGGAACAAAGGAACATCGCAACCAAATACAGTTATTTTCTTCAGTAGCTACTGAATTCAGAATAAACAATGACTTGTTTTTCATTAATGTATTTTTAAGAACTTATTTAAGGAACTAGGACATACCTTGACACATTCTAAAGTGAACTATTCATTATTACCTGAAATGAATAGATTTGTGCTTTTTAGCGGCCTGTTATTAAAATAAGATTAGCAAGTAAATATTATGGTGAGGTTCACTCATCAATTAATTAAATTTTCAAGTAAGATAAGAACGAATATTGTTTCACATATTTTTCTGTCTTCAGAGAATACATTTGCTCTTAGAAATAAGAAAACAAAAAATTAAAATCCTTCCAAATAGCAATCAATTTGTCTGTCCACCTCAGACAACAGAAGGCATAATAATCCATTAAGAAGGTAAGATATGATTCTCAATATCAAACTACCAAATCATTCACATTTCTAAGAAGGCTCAAAGAAGGTCAGTGAGATTTGATTTGTCATACAAATCTCTCAATTAAAACGAAGGAAACTTTAATTCTCTGGAAAGTCCATGAGCACAATAAACAAAGAAATTCCATAACTTTAAAATAATAATAATAGTAATAATTTCATGAATCTACAGTTTTACTACTTCAGAGACTTTCAAGAGTACACAAATTTTTGCAGAAACCCTTGACTTTGTATCAAAGAGTTTAATTAGAGATTCAATTGGAAAAAATAACTTGATTTAATAACAGATTTTCCCAGAATTGTTGAGAAATATAAGGGGTGCAGAGAGGGTCAATTGAAGCGTCCTGAATCTTTGAATAGGCATTTTTCATCCAGGGTCTCTAAGAAAAGCCTCTTTACATTTTTGAAAACATTGACATCAGCTGGGATTTTATTTCTAGTGTTAGTAATTTCGGGCCATGATGAGTTTGAAAACAAAGATTGTTTTTTAAAGGCAGAATTTGATAAAGTTGTGGAATAAAGAGCTCTGGACGTAGGGACAGGGCTGTAAACTAAAAGTCAGCAAGAAAAAGTCTATTTCCTGCTTTTAAAGCCTAGATAATTTGCTGTTGGTTAACGAGTGATTCTACGGTTTTCACACTACTGCCTGAGGATTTAAAAATCAAGCTATCCTTGCTTTGATGCTTTCTAAGAAATATTTCTGTACTGTTATTTCTAGTAGTAATCATGATACTGACGGCTTCTTGTGGGCATATTTTATTTTTAACCTCCTGACATTGAAACAGGGATCATTATGTTGATGAAAAATGTACCCAAGAAATGCAAATATTAAAATAAATATTTTCCTGAATGTTTTGGGTGAAGATGTGATAGAGGGTTTTAACATGTCATATATTAAAATGTCATTAAAATATTTTAAAAACACATTTTTCTCATAGTTTGTGCCTATACAAACCACTTCATTGCTCACCATCACCATGAATAGAAAGAACAGCAACAGGATCTATTTTTTTTTCTGCATGTGCCTTTTAATGGCCTCATTAAACAAACCTCAGCCGTATTTAATTTCTAAAGTGAAATTAATTCTTTAATATGAATGACTTCAAGACAAAGTAGAAATGTAACAATGTGTAATGATAATTTACTAATCACAGGAAACTACAATTAGAAATATAAATTTTGTAGCTTATAAACATAATAATAGTAATGCATTGAGATAGATGAAAAAAACATCCAAAATGGTGCTGTTTCAAAAAAGTTGTGTGGGATGTGAAAAAGTACTCTAGGTGGAATTATGGCAAGGGTTTCTTCCTAAAAATGTAGCAAAAGAATCAAACTATATGCAGGAAAAACAATATGGCACTGAATTCTAATGGATGTGTACAAAATTCATTTGCAAATGCTTTCTATTAAAAATTGCCAGTTTTCCAAAGTGGTTGTACCCATTTAAATTCCCAATATTCATTTATTAGAAATACAGTTAGTCCACATCCTTGTCCACATGTGTTATTATCAGCCTTTTGCATTTTAGTTTTTCTTTAAAAGTTTGGTAGAATTGCCTGGTAAAGCCGTCTATTCCTGGGATTATCTTTATAGGAAAGTTTTAAATTACAGATTAAAATTTTTGACAAAGTGCTAATATCCAGAATCTACAAAGAACTTAAACAAATTTTCAAGAAAAAGACAAACAACCCCATCAAAAAGTGGGCAAAGGATATGAGCAGACACTTCTCAAAAGAAGACATTTATGCAGCCAACAGACACATGAAAAAATGCTCATCATCACTGGTCATCAGAGAAATGCAAATCAAAACCACAATGAGATACCATCTCACACCAGTTAGAATGGCGATCATTAAAAAGTCAGGAAACAACAGATGATGGAGAGGATGTGGAGAAACAGGAGCGCTTTTACACTGTTGGTGGGAGTGTAAACTAGTTCAACCATTGTGGAAGACAGTGTGGTGATTCCTTAAGGATCTAGAACTAGAAATACCATTTGACCCAGTGATCCCATTACTGGGTATACACCCAAAGGATTATAAATCATGCTACTATAAAGACACATTCATGTATATGTTTATTGCAGCACTATTCACAATAGCAAAGACTTGGAACCAAACCAAATGTCCATCAATGATAGACTGGATTAAGAAAATGTGGCACATATACACCATGGAATACTATGCAGCCGTAAAAAAGGATGAGTTCACGTCCTTTGCAGGGACACGGGTGAAGCTGGAAACCATCATTCTGAGCAAACTATCACAAGGACAGAAAAACAAACACTGTGTGTTCTCACTCATAGGTGAGAATCGAACAATGAGAACACTTGGACACAGGGTGGGAAACACCCACTGTGGCTTGTTGTGGGGTGGGGGGCAGGGGGAGGGGTAGCATTAGGAGAAATACCTAATGTAAATGACGAGTTAATGGGTGCAGCAAACCAACATGGTACACGTATACCTATGTAACAAACCTGCACGTTGTGCACATGTACCCTAGAACTTAAAGTATAATAACAAAAAAAGATTTTTTTGACTAGATTTTTATTCATTCCTGCCTCCACTGGCAAATTTTGTACTTTTAGGAATTTGTCTTGTTTCATTAAAATTTTGAAATTTATTGGCATAAATGCATGTCAAATGTTTTATTATCATTTAAATGTCTCTAGGATCTATATTGAGTTTACTTTATCCATTCCTGAATATTAGGAATTTGTGTTTTCTCTTTCTATTCTTGATCTATCTTGCAAAGAGAGTGCCAATTTTATTTGTCTTATCAAAGAACAAACTTCTAGCTTTGTTGATGTTCCATATTGTGGTTTGTGGTTTGGTTATTTTCTTTTTGTTTGTTTTCCCATTGGTTTTTGCTATTTTTACCTTTTTTTCCTTTTTAGAGCAGAAATGAAGGTACTTAACCTTTATCATATGTGAACTATTTTTAAATGTGAAGAATTGTTAGTTATTTCATATCTAACTTCTTATTTCCTACATCAACTTTAACATATCCTTATTGAGAGTTTCTTAAAAGCCCCAATTACTCCAGAAATAATTGATATTTTTCTGCTTTTGTCTTATTATTCCTTTCTTTCTGTACTCTTTGGATTTCATTAGATATTTTATTTCATTTGAATTTTATTTGTGAATTGAATGCTTAGATTACAGATTTTTAAACTTTAGTTTTTTTCCAATGTAGAAATTTAAGACAATGCACTTTTCAGTGAGGATAGTCTTCAATACATCCTACATGTTTTGATATTTTTATTGTCTTCAATTCAAAATATGTTCTAATTTCAATTTTGCTTTCTTTCTTGATGCAAGGACCATTTAGAAATGTATTGGACAATTTCTAAACATGTGGGAACATTCTAGTTATCTTTTGCTCTTATTTCTGGCTGATTTCCACTAATTGCTTACATATTCTGTAAGACTGCCATTCTTTCAAATTTGTTGATTAGTTTCATGGACTAGCATATGAGGTTAAATGCCTATTTATCAGTTCACGAGAAAAGGATGGTTTTTTAACTGATTGTGGGGGCTTAGTAGGTGTATATATTTATGGGGTGAGAAGAATTTTGAAATCCCTCATTATGATTACATATTCGGTTCTTTTTCCTCCTTTTTGTTTTACTTTTACTTCATATATTTTGAATTTTACTCATTACAAAGTTAGAACTGCTATATATTCTTGGTAGATTTTGTTTTTGATTATTATGAAATGTTCTCATTATCAGTTATGCTTCTGGCATGAAACTCTTCTTCGCTAGTATTACTTAAACCAGCTTTATTTTGGTACTGTCTGAATGATCATATTTTCTATTCTTTTTTTTTTTTTGCATCTCTTTTGCTTGCTAATATTTAAGTTATATTTCTCGTAAGTTACATGCATCTTGGTGTTTTCCCTCCTTGACAATTTTTTAATTGGAGCCTTTATTTCCTTTAAGAGTAAAATAATAATTAATTTGGTTTAATTTTTCAAATATACTATTTATTTTAAAATTTAATTTATTTTCCTTTTTTGCATCCTTTTGAATTTTTTTGCATTCTCTTGCTATTTCATTTTTCTAGGTCTACTTGAGCTTTTTTGTTTACTTTTTTGTTTTACATAGAGATTGCAAAACAAATACTTTTCTTATAAGGTCTGACATAAATCTAAAATATTTCTAGAAAAATGAAAAGACTTCAGAATTTTACTTCTATTTTTTCCTCCCTAATTATGTGTTCTTATTGTACTTTAATATGCTATCTACGTTATACCCCAAAAGTCATCAGTATTATTTATGCTGTAAATATTTATTAAAGTTTATCCAGATAGTTTAACTTTCCATTGCTTTTCGCTCTTTTGTCTACCTCAAGCTGCCATTGTGGGTCTTTTCCAAGTGCCAAATAAGACCTTTAGTGAAGGTCTTTTTGTGACAAATTCAACTTTTATCTCAAATTGTCTTTATTTCATCTTTACTTTTGAAGCAAAGTTTTATTGAATATAGAATGTTTGGTACATTTTTTCAGCATTAAGCCTAACATTCTCCAATCTGCTCATTTCAATTATTTCCATTGAGAAGTCAGTCTGTTTTTGTTTTTGTTTCTATTCGTTTTGAATATAACGTGTCTTTTTCCCCCACTTTGGGATTTTTACTTGGTTTGGGGTTTACAGCAGTTATGATTTGATAGCTTCCTCTATATGTATCCTGGTTGAAGATTGTAGTTATTATTAAATCTTGTATTATTTATTTTGTAAATTGGGGAATTCTTAGCATTAACATTAGGTATAGTGTTTCTACCCCATGTTCTCTAATCTCTCCTTCTAAAACTCCAATTGCACATATGTTACATCTTGGTGCCCTACTTGCCAATAATGCTCATTTTGTGTGTGTGTTATAGACACTTTGCCCATTGTGTCAGTTCAGACGTTTTCTTCTTAGCCATGTATTCTTTTATATTAAATCTCTTTTAGCTCCACCTAATGCCCTATGAAACACATGCACTGCACTTTTAATCAGTTGTTGTTTGTTTTTTGTTCTAGAATTTCAATTTGATTCTTTAATAATAAGTAGTTAATAGAAGAAACATGTATGCTGATAGTTCCCAGCAGTTTTATTACTCTTTTAGTAATTTCAACTTTTATTGTAGATTCAGGGAGTACATGTGTAGGTTGGTTATGTGGGTATATCGCGTGATGAGGTTTGGAGTACGAATGATCAAATCACTCAGGTAGTGAGCATGATGCCCAATAGGTAACTTTTCAGCCCTTGCCCCCTCCCACTCTCCTCGTTCTAGTAGTCCCCAGGGCCTATTGTTTCCGTCTTTATATCCATGTGTACCCAATGCTTAGTTCCCACTTTTAAATGAAAGCATATGGTATTTGGTTTTCTCAACAGTTTTTTTTAAACATATTTTTTAATTACAGAGAATTTCAAGGATATACAGATTAGAGCCGTATAAAGCTCTCCAATGTTCCTCTTTCTCAGTTTCAGGACTTATCAAATCCTGGCCAAGAATACTTCACCTGCACCCACCTCACCCCCCATATTATTTTAAGGAAAACTTCAGACATCACATTATTATATCTGTATTTATTTTTGTATGCATCTCTAAAAGATAACAACTCTTTTGGCGATTAGTTCATGTCCTTTGCAGGGACATGGATGAAGCTGGAAACCATCATTCTCAGCAAACTAACACAGGAACAGAAAACCAAACACCATGTGTTCTCACTCAAAACTGGGAGTTGAACAGTGAGAACACATGGACACAGGGAGGGCAACATCACACTCCAGGGCCTGTCAGGGGCTGGGGGGCTGCGGCAGGGATAGCATTAGGAGAAACACCTAAGGTAGATGACGGGTTGATGGGTGCAGCAAACCACCATGGCACGTGTATGCATACACCATGGCACATGTATGCCTATGTAACAAACCTGCACGTTCTGTACATGTACCCCAGAACTTAAGATATAATAAATAAAGATATATGAACTCTATTTAAATTGTTACACATCAAAATTAATAGTTCCCTAATATCTTCAAGTATCCAGTAAGTATCTAATTTTTAAACTGTCTCATAAATATATATTTTAAAGGATATTTGAGTCAGGGTCTAAAGCATGGCTATGCATTGCAATTGTTATCTCTGTCACCCTGTTAAATATATTTTCTTAGAGTATGATAAACATGTATAAAAGCACATAAGTCATTATGCTACATTTTGATAAATATTTCCATATGTATATATCTTTGCAATTGACACTAACATCGAGATATATATGTCAAGCATTACAAAGTGCTTCCACTTTTCCTCTTCCCTATCAATACCTCCTCTAACAATAACTACTATTCTCACATTTATTAGCACAAATTCATTTTGCATGTACTTCAATTTTATATAAATAAATTTAAATGGTATATACTCTTTTGTATGAATACTTTCACTCAACATTATATCTTTTTTTTGTTTTGTTTTGTTTTGTTTTGTTTTGTTTTTTTGAGATGGGGTCTCGCTCTGTCGCCCAGGCTGGAGTATAATGGCGCGATCTTGGCTCACTGCAAGCTCCGCCTCCCGGGATCACGGGGTCTCCTGCTTCAGCCTCGGAGTAGCTGAGATTACAGGCACCAGCCACCACACCTGGCTAATTCTTGTATTTTTAGTAGAGACGGGGGTTTCACCATGTTGGTCAGTCTGGTCTCGAACTCCTGACCTCGTGATCCACCCCCCTCGCACTCCTAAAGTGCTGGAATTACAGGCGTGAGACACCACGCCCGGCCTTTTTTATTCATCCATGTTATTGAATTCAGTTAGTTTTTTATTGCTACTTAGTATTCTATTACATGAATATACCAACAGTTATTTATCCATTTCACTATTGATGGACTTTTGGATGATTTTTCAGTTTTAGGTGATTATAAGCTAAGCCTCTATTAACAGTCTTGTACATATCTGGTGGTAGGTATATCACTCAACTAAGTTAGGGCTATACTCGGGGTGCTGAATTACTGAGTTATAGAGTAGATATATGTTTCGTATTAGTCAAGTTTTTCCAAAGTGTTTTCCAAAGTGGTTATTACAATAGAGACTCCCAGTATTATTGTGTGAAAGTTCTAGTTATTTTTCATCCTCACTAACACTTGATATCTGGTCTCGTCAGCATCTACTGTTTTACATTCTCTTATTAGTGAAGATGTTAAAGCACCTTTCTTTGTCCTTTCCATGTTTTTCTTGTGAAATGCTAAAGACTTCAAGTCATTTATTAAAACTGAATTATGTTTTCCTCATTCACTTGTAGAATTTTTTCATCTATTTTAAGCAGAAGTCCTTGGTCAAATAAAATTATTGCAAACATGCTTGCTTATACAGCAGCTAACTTTTTTTTTTTTGCCCTCAGTAGCTTCTGATAGGTAGAAGTTTTTCATTTTAACTAAGTCCAGTTTATGATTCTTGATTTATAACCATTAGGAATCCCAAATTCAGAACAAAATTGTCCTGGAAGATTTATTGCATTGTTTTTCACATTCAGAATTACACTCTGACTGAAACTAATATTTTATTATAACATACAAGTAAGATTTATATTTTCCCCATACTTAAATTATTGTTTAATTTATCCTACATCATTATTTGGAAAGACTATATTTTATGCTGTATTGTTTTGGGAACTTTGTAATAATAATCAAATGACCATATATGTGTGGCTCTAATTTCTCTATTCTGTTCTATTTTTTTAATTTATATTTTTACTAACACTACACTCTTATTTAATTAAACATCAAGGCTCATTAAAGCTCTAAGCCTTTAACAAGGCTTGATGTTTGATAAGTCTTCTAAATTGCCTTCTTCAAGATGGCCCTGGCTGTTCCTTTGTATTTTCATACAAATGTAAAGTCAGCTTGACAATTTCTACCCAAAATATTCTGTTAGGATTCTGACTAACATTATACTAAATCCATAGTTCATTCAGTTTGGGGAAACCTGGAATCTTATTGATATTGAATGGTTTAATTCATAAAATGATAAATATCTTCATTTATTTAAATCTTTGCTATCTCACGATAGTTTTGTAATTTTTGCACAATATTTTAACACATTTTGTAAGATGTATTTCTACGTGCATTCCTTTTTTGCTGCTACTATTATAAATGGTTTCCTTTTTACTGCTGTAGTTTAAAATTGCAATAGATTAATAAATGTTGTTGAGTTTATAGGTCATAAGGGAAATTCTTAGAACCTTGCCTGTCATATAATATGCCCTAAATAAGTGATTTCTATTGCTATATTTTTATTTTGGCTTATTCTGTTGTTCTTTTTCTAAGTTACTTTAAAAACTTAGGTGTCTAGCACATAAATTTTTAGCCTTTTATTTTTTCAGCATAAACATCCCAGTGTATACATGTCTCCCATTTCCAAAGAAAGCATCAAAACTTTCTTTTTGGCTTTGTTTTATCTTTTGTCATAGCATTTATTTCAGTCCTCTAATACTCAATGTAATTTATTTAGTTAGTTATTTATCCATTTCCACAAGTTGTAAATTAATGTTCCGCGATGTCAGGTATTTTGACTGTTTTATGCAGTGATGTCTCCAGAAGGCCAGACTGTGCCTGGCACATACCAGAGAATAAATAAATACTTGTTTAATGAATGAACTCATATTTTTTCTGCCTGAAAGTTTTGTTATATTTTCATAAATGTTTATGTGTTCTGTTTATAAGAGATCCATAAAAAACTTAAGGATTTTGTCTCGCAACACTAATTTGTGTGTGTGTGTGTGTGTGTGTGTGTGTGTGTGTGTGTGTGTGTGTTTAACTTTTATTTTAAGTTCAGGGATACATGTGCAGGTTTGCTACATAGGTAAACTTTGTGTCATGGGGGTTTGTTATACAGATTATTTCAGCACCCAGGTATTAAGCCTAGTGTCCATTCATTATTTTTCCTGATCCTCTCCCTGCTCCCACCCTCCGATAGGCCCCAGTCTATGTGTCCATGTGTTCTTACCATTTAGCTCCCACTTATAAATGAGAGCATGCTGTGTTTGGGTTTCTGTTTCTGCATTTGTTTGCTAAGAATAGTGTCCTCCACCTCCATCCATGTTCCTGCAAAGGACATGATCTTGTTCTTTTTTATGGTTACATAGTATTCCATGGTGCATATGTACCACATTTTCTTTATCCTTTCTACTGTTGATGGGCATTTTGGTTGATTCCATGTCTTTGTTTTTGTGAATGGAGCTGCAATGAACATACATGTACATGTGTCTTTATGATAAAACAATTTATATTCCTTTGGGTATATACCCAGTAATGGGATTGCTGGGTCCAGTGATATTTGTGTTTTTAGGTCTTTGAGAATTGCCACAATGTCTTCCACAATGATTGAACTAATTTACACTCCCACCAACAGTGTATAAGCATTCTTTTTTCTCCGCATGGCAGCACTAATTTGAGGCAGTTAATCTTTTCATATTTATTGCAAATATTGATTTTTAAAAATGTATTTCTACTATCTTATTGTAAACAATTTGTCCTGGTTTTATTTTTTGCTTGTGTTTTGTCCTTTTTAGGAAAATGATTATGGTTTCTTATTCGTATTTTTCTACTAGTTTGGAGTTTTTATTTCTATTATTTTAGTTGTTATCCTAGAAAGTATCTATGCATGCTTAACTTTCCCAAATGATAAAAAGTAATGGGTCTTTTACTCCCAAACAATTCCAAGAAATGGCCTTTTGATTTCTCTGCTATTATTTTCAACTATTTTTTGTCTCTTTACGATACTAATATCATCGTTTCATACAGTCAGTATTTGTTTAGATTTACTCACATATTTACTTTGTCTTAGGATCACTTCCTGCTGTCTTTAGCTTCCTTGTCATCTATCTTCTCTTTCCTATTTTCCACCTCTTTTCTCTGGGTTGCTTCCAAATAACTTCTCTAAAATGTTATCAGTTTTTTTAATTCCTTACAACCAAACTTAATCAGCTATTAAATCCTTTAAATATTTCACTTCAACTATATTTTCCAAGTCTAAGAGTTCTAATAGCTCATTTGTAAATTTACAAGTTCTTTATTCAAGGTAAACCTCTTATTAATATCTCAAATATATTAAATCATATAGTTTATACTATGTATTCGGTAATTCAATTTTATCAATTTTGTGGCTGGAATCCTGTTTTCTGTTCTTCCAACCATAATTTTTCTAGCACATGGTTGATGTGTTTACCTGTGGATTTGTTGATTTCTAATAGTTTTCTGACTATTTTTGTTGGAATGCTAATTGTGAATTCTTTGGGAGAGATAGAGGAGTCCTGGATAAATGTAGGGTCTATCATACCATTTTTGTCTTTGTTTTAGTAATATTCCTGTACTAGTCTAGGATTTCAACTAAGTCCACAGCTTGGGTTGTTTCGGGCCATTCATGGACTATAAATTTGGGCAATAAACCCATATGAGAACTAGTTTGTGGTTACAAATTCCAAAGTTTGAATTTCCTGAAAACTAGCTAGTTTCCTGAAAACTAGCAAATTGTATTTGTTAGCAGGAGAGCCGTTATTTATGGAAAGCTTGTAATAGTATATTCTTGGTTGCATAGACTGGTTTATCATAAACAAATTTGGAATCTATGGATTTATGTGGCACGGGAAATGGAAGATGTCACAAAGGCCATGTAACTGTACGAATATAAAATGGAAATGTTTCATAATCTGAAATATTTTCTTCTGCACACATTTAGAGACCTCACATATGAGTCTGGGTTCAGAGTGCGTCTGATATAGAAAGCAAGAACCGGGAGCTCTAATAATGATCCCAGGTCTCTTCTCACTTTGCCTGTGCCCTAAATTTAGTTGTATTCATAAAATAATTAGTAATTCTTGATTCTGGGTTAGATCTCTGATTCATTTGAGTCTGATTTGACAGTCTAAATTCATGTGTTATTGCAAGATGTTTTAGGTGACATGACTGGCCTGGCACCCATTCCACTATATTATAAAAATGGAAGTCCTCATGATACTAAATCGGTTTTCAAGTGTCTCTGACCTGATACAAAACTTGCTTATTAAATTTTTACCTCCATAAACATATTTTAATTCCTTCCAGTTATGTTGGTAACACTTTTAAAACTGCTTTATCAGATGGGATGGCCTTGTATTTCTTGTTTATCCTTTAAATTCTTATTCATTCCTTTAAATATGTAAGACACATAGATTTTATATTCTGCATCTACCAGTACCAATGACTATAATATTCATGGGTCTGAGCATGCAATTTACTGTTTCTGGTAACTCTTGTTCATAATGGTTTGTTGGTTTGTTTTTTTTTTATTATTATTATTTTACTTTAAGTTCTGGGATACATGTGTTGAACATGCAGGTTTGTTACATAGGTATACATGTGTCATGGTGGTTTGCTGCACCTATCAACCTGTCATCTAGGTTTTAAGCCCCTCATGCACTAGGTATTTGTCCTAATACTCTCCCTCCCCTTTCCCTCTATCCCCGACAGGCCCTGGCATGTGATGTTGCCCTCCCTGTGTCCATGTGTTCTCATTGTTCAACTCCCACTTATGAGTGAGAACATGTGGTGTTTGGTTTTCTGCCCTTGTGATAGTTTGCTGAGGATGATGGCTTCCAGCATCATCCATGTCCCTGCAAAGGACATAAACTCATCCTTTTTTATGGCTGCATAGTATTCCATGGTGTCTATGTGTCACGTTTTATTTATCCAGATTATCATTGATGAGCATTTGGGTTGGTTCCAAGTCTTTGGTATTGTGAATAGTGTTGCAATAAACATACGTGTGCATGTGTTTTTATTGTAAAATGATTTATAATCCTTTGGGTATATACCCAGTAATGGGATTGCTGGGTCAAATGATATTTCTGGCTCTAGATCCTTGAGGAATTGCCACACTGTCTTTTACAATGATTGAACTAATTTACACTCCCACCAACAGTGTAAAAGAGTTCCTATTTCTCCACATCCTCGCCTGCATCTGTTGTGTCCAGACTTTTTAATGATTACTCATAATCAGTGGCTTGTTTCTTATGTGTTTTGTAATTTCTTTGTATAATGGAGTCATGTGACATAAGAATTATTTAGGAACTGTGTTTAGAGTGAATTTCTCCATGAAATATTTACTTTTGCTTCAGTCAGGTAACTATAGGCACAATCCAAGACTATGTTAAACTAAATTTTCAAAAAGGATTTTTTTAACTTACCCATATGTGCTTGAATGTAAGTTTATGATCATGAATTTTCAAGCGAGTCTTTATTTTTTTCTACTCTATGCCAAGCCTCGCCCAAGTCAGATAAACTATATAAGCTTCCATGTGTGTATGTCTGTATGTGTGTGTGTACCCCTATTGCCTGGCTAATCTTTCTGTGTCCCATATTGGCAGGCAAACTTGACCTCCCACACAAGGCCCACAAGCTGTCTCTTGTCCTTTGTATTCAGTGTCCCTTTAAAACCTAGGCTCTAAGCCACCAGAGATCAGTAGATGCCCTTTGGGTTAGAATAGGCTTTAATAATTTCTTGGCCCTATGATATCATATTTTATCTTTGTTTCTGGACTAAGATTAATTTACATCAGTCAAGTAGCTTTATGAAAAGCTTTTTAAAAATATTTTTATCAGCATATTTAGACGCTCTGTACTGGGAGAGTTTCTTTACCCATCTAGCCCATAATATTGCCTGAAGATTATTTTTATTAACACAAACATTAAACAATTATGGCTTATTAATATAAATTGTCCTAAGAAAAGTCTGGTCTTTTTCCATATACAAATTGTTTTAATAAACCTTTTTTAAGCAAATATTAGTTTTATTAGCTTTTGAAAAGTAATTACAACAGATGAAATGTCCAAATTAGAGGGAGCAGATGCCAAGAAAAGAAAAATAATAGCTTATTTCTTCTATTCCTATACAGTAACTTAACTACAGTATAATATTTAAATATATTTTAGAAATCTAACAATCAGATGTTCAGAATAATCTCTAAAATAATTTCATCTATTTCAGCTGATAACTTCGTTTATAGGTGTCAGGATAATTTTGGCATTTGCCTATTAAAATGTTTATTTTTATTGGCACACTAGGCTTGAAAACTAATTTTAGTAAAATGCAAAATCTTACTAACTGCTAGCAAATAGGAAAACCCATTATTTTCTTTCTTTTTTTTTTTTTTTTTTTTTGAGACGGAGTCTCACTCTGTCACTAGGCTGGAGTGCAGTGGCGCGATGTTGGCTCACTGCAACCTCCGCCTCGGGGTTCAAGGGATTCTCCTGCCTCAGCTTCCCAAGTAGCTGGGACTACAGGTATGTGCCACCACTCCCATCTAATTTTTGTATTTTTAGTAGAGACAGGGTTTCACCATGTTGGCCAGAATGGTCTCGATCTCTTGACCTCGTGATCTGCCCGCCTCGGCCTCCCGAAGTGCTGGGATTACAGGCGTGAGCCACCGCGCCCGGCAAAACCCAATATTTTCTTTATAATGGAAATTATTGAATGGATAGATTCCTCTTACAAATATATATAGACACATAATAAGTACAAATGTAAATTTTTCAGGGAAGGAAGAGTGGTAAATTTCCTTATCTATTAATATATCTTTGCACTCATGCAATAAAGACACATACAATATGTAAATAGTTGTCATATTTGATAGCAAAGTACAAAAACACAGTTACTATGACTAAAGAAATAATATCCACTGATTATCTAATGGGATTGTTATGAGACTCCGGAAACATAATATACATGAAAATGCTATAAAAATTATAAGATGCTTTTACTAAAAATATTATTAGGAGGAGTAGTAGTGTTTTTTCCACTTTAGGAAAAAATATGACCTTCAATATTATTTCACAGAAGTAAATTAAAGAGTGTTATAAATAAGACTAGCTGTAAGTTAGTCTAGGATTAGGTGTTAACAGCAGTAAACAGTTGTGGTTTCAGTTAAATATTTTAGTGAACACTTTTCAAGAAAACAGAATGATTTTTTAAAAATTAAAGCAAGATATCTGTCTTAACATTTTCCCAAACGATCTTACATAATATGTGGTATTTATTATATATAATTTCAATATATAAATAAAGTTCAGTTTAAAACTGAATTATGTGCACTACCTTCGCTAGATGATGCGAGGTTTCTATCGAGTGATCTGTCAAGTTGATAGTGTGTAACCTGGAGATGATTTTCTAGAACTGGCATTTTATCTCTGTAGTCTTCTTCTCAAAATATACAACCCCAGCCTAGTTTATGAGAAAACACCAGTCAAATCCCAATGGAGGGACATACTGTAAAATATCTCACCAGTAAAAACGAAGAAAGTCTAAGAACCTGTCACAGCTAAGAGAAACCTAAGAAGACATACTGAACAAATGTAATATGGTATCTTGCATGAGATTCTGGAACAGAAAAAGCAATGTTAGGGAAACAGAAAATTTAAATAAAGTATAGACCTTAGTTAATAATACTGTATTAATATTGATTCATAACTTGTGACAGGTGTGCCATACTAACGTACTAGGAATTCTGTACTATCTTGAAAACTTTTCTGTATATCTAAGTTTAAAGTAAAAAGTTAATTTTTACATTAAAATAAATAAATAAACCAGTAGCAGGAATTTCATATTTATTTCCACAAATAACCAGTTTGATTTTTTTAAATGTAGAATTTATTGGTTGGTTCCTGCCTCCTAACTCTGTTGTCATTAAATAATTTGGAGGCTTCGATAAGTTTTAATAGCTTCTGATTATTTGGGGTAACCTTGATCAATATATGTGACTAAACTAAATTACTGAAGGGAACTCCATATGTTCACTGAAGTGTTTTTCCTTTATCCAAACTCAGGACTTACACAGATTTAACTTCATCTGAGTAACTCCATATTAAGACACATCAAAATGGAGCAGAACACTTTGACCTGATTCTGTCAGCCCAGCCTCAACTACATCTTAGCTACCGCTTTCCCTACAGAAAAACATACGGTTCTTAGGCAGTTCCAAGTCTCCACTAATCTCTTTCCAACTCTACAAAAGCATTGCTTCTATTTTATCATGTACTTTAAGCCTTCTCTCTTCCATAGTTCCAGTTCTCAGCATTAACCTGGTAAGTTATTGCTCAGGCGTGATATAATTCCAGCCTATACCATGCTCATAATAGAAAAACTAAATATATCTATATTTTATATCCAACACTAGGGTTAGAGAAATTAAACTACAAAACACTCTGAATTCCAGCACCTTTCTTCAAAGCAAGAATTTTAAGCCATACTCTCAAAGATACTGCATTCAGATCTTTAAATATTAGGCTTCCTTTTACTTCCTGTATTAATTTGCAAAATGCAAAATATTTTCATGAGAGTTCCTTCTGCAAACTATTTGGAAAGCTTTTGCTCTGAAAACTGTTGTGCAGTGATGGCTCTCAAGATTCCTCCCAAAAATGAATTTATGTTTTATGTTGTAATTATTTTCGCAAAAGGAAGAATTTATTAAAGTACTACTGGAGGGCTTCTCAACCTCAACACTATTGACATTTTGGATTGGATAAGTCCTTGTTGTGGGGGGATGCCTTGTGCATTGTAGGATGCTTAGCAGCACCCATTCCCGCTAAACATCTTAGCTCCTGCTTTCTTCCCAGTGGATGCCAGTAACAACCCCTTCCCAGCTATGACAATTTTGGAGTTATATCTCCAGGTGTTTTCAAACGTCCCTTGCTGGGCAAAATCAAACCCTACTTGAGAACCACTGATGTAATGTCACTACTAAAATTCAGTTTTATTGAAACTGTGAAAATATTTTGATTTGGCTGTGAGAAGCAATATCCCCAACATTCAGAAAGGACACTTAAATTATTCCCTTTGTTAAGTAAACACCTTCCGTATCTTTGTGTGCCATGCAAGTTGCAACACTGCTATGGGGTGGAGCATGCGGGCAGCAGTTTAGTTGGAAGGAGGCCTATGGAATATGTACTGATGCTCCCTTTGCATTGCAAGTGAACTTTTTTCTTAGAAAGATGTTTACTAACAGGAGCTATGGGAGTCGGAGTTTAGCCTTCCCCTTTGTCAATAAACCTCCACATCAGCCACTTCTCCAAAACGATGTTTTGGTTCAGTTCTAGCAACTAATGTTAATAATTTAGAGCAGGAGTTGGCAATGTGTGGTCTGCAGAAACCTGCTACGCCCATGATCTATTGCTGTCTTCCAGCTCCAGTGTCAGATTTCTGTACTTGTGACAGACTATGGCCCTCAAAGCATCAACTATGTCCTATCTGTCCCTTCGCAGAAACAAATTGGCCTCCCGTTGTAAAGTCTAAAATCTGCAAATTATTTAAACTGTCTAACCTAAACCCTTTATTCTATACATGCATCAGCTAAGTTATAATAGCAGCAGCCGCATTTGTAAAAGTACCAGAGTCTTTAAAATTCATGCCAGAGGCAAGATTAATTTAGACACAATTTTCATCCTCATGGGAATAAGTGCCTTGCTCCTTCACATCCTAAGGCTATTCTTATACCTGTGCTTTTTCTGCCTTTCTCTAGGCTCAGCAACTCTAATACCCCTTACCTTTTGTTATAAGTTTTCTTCCTCAGAACCTTAGAATCCTTCCTGACATTTGTGGGAGTGAAATGGAAGATGAGTCCACCTAGGAGCAAGTTTACTGTTACTGGATAGGTTTAGTTACCTTTTAGGAAGGATTGGGTGTTGGAGAGATGTGGATGACTTTGGTGTAAATTAGCTACAATATTCTTCTTCTTTATCCAGAATCAGAGGCCACTCATACTTTTCTTTGTGTTGTTTGAAAGGTGAGAAGACATTTCAGAAAAAGTTTGTCTAGCAAGTCCACAAAATTTTTAATTTTGTCTGTGTCTTTTCTCTATTAATCGTGGCTCTGGGATGGTTTTCCTACTGCAACCAACTGATGCTGTCGTATTTCTCCTGAAGCTTATGCTATGCTATACTCTACAATGTGGGACATTTTAAAAGTGTTCTACTCAACATGTACAAGGCTTGGAAAACAAAGCGTGTCTATGATACTTGGCTATTTGCAGTCAGGTGATTTATAGTGGAAAAGACACAGAAAGGGAAATGGAAACGTACAACTAACCACAGCTTACTCTGTAGATGATGCCGTCAATCTGTTTTCACTGTGTTAGAAATAATCATTGTAAAGATATAGCAACGGAGCTTGTAATCTTCACTTGTGTTGATTTCCAGAAATGACTAAATTGGGAATATTAAGACTAGATACACTATTAAAAGCAACTTTGCCTGCAATGTTTATTTCCACATTTACTTGTATTTTTCCTATGAACTAATAAACTGCTGAGAGTAATAGTCCAGCGCTAGTGCTTAGAGAATATTTACATGATAGAACAGCATGTTTGAACTGCTGCCCCCTTCATCATCTGTCCCTGCTCCACCTTTGGGTGCCAAAGAAAAATAACTCTGTAGCCAGAGGGGTTAAGGGCCTCACCAGCAAAGAACCACGGGCTCTGCACAACGTGGTTCCAGCTCAGACAGAATTTCATTCACATTTTCAACAGATCCCTGCTAAATATAAACTTAAATCTGCTTTGCATGTCATTACAGTAGGATTAAATCTGTATAAAATATAGAAACCTTAGCTATTAATCAAAGGAATATTCAACTATAATTGACATCTAAATAGGCTGTAGGTTTAAGTGCAAAAAAGTGTCTGGCAGGTGATTGTACTTTTGTGTAAGGCCCACTTGTTTGTAAATATGCACATCAAAATGACAGAAGAAGCTCTAGGATAATTTTCAGAAAAACAGTTTAGAGGGAAAAAATGGGAGAAAATAATGAGTTTGAGGGACGAGCTGAAGAAATAAAAAAAAAAATTGGAAGGAATTTTTGATGTGCAGAGTAGAGTTTTGGAAAGACTATCCTGGAACAAAATAGAAGGAAGAAGAGAGACAGTAGAAAAAATAAGCTAGAAAAGATAAGCTCACTCATAACCCATGTTTCAAAAATCAGTGGATTTTTACTTAGTGTAGAATAAAAGTCAAGCTCTTATTCTACATTTAATTCATGGTTTGCTCTCGAATTACTCAATTTTCCACCTCTTCCTCTTGATCACCAGTCACTTGCCTACCTCAACCCTTAGTTCACTGTGGTTTATCTCCTCTTTCAACTTCCTGGAATGTGGTCCATTCCATTCTTTATTCTCCAACCTCCTTCTCTAGCTCCCTATTACTTATGAAACCTTTTCAATTGAATCCAGACCTCAGATAGCTTTCTTCTCTAAACTTATGCACTCACCTATTTTATAACCCCTCAATTACTGCCTTTGGATGTCTATTAATTTGCTCTCTTAAACTGGGTTTGATTTTTTTGTATATTCCTGATTTATCTTCCTGGAAAAACAGTAAACATACTGAAAGAGAGTACTGTGTCATTCTTTTGTGATGATTATAGTACACCACATAAATCTGTGTGCAAGGAATCTAGTAAAAGCATTTGAAGACAGAGATATACTTTATTTCAGGATATTATAGTCACTTCTGAAAAGTTGAATTTCACAGTCACAGTTCTCTGTAGTTTGTAACGTGAAATTTAAGAGGTCCATACTAAATGACACTTTTCATTAGGTATCATAGTAGGTTGAATTGTGGCCCCAAAAGATATGTCTACCTGGAATCCCAGAATACAACCATATTTGGAATAAAAATCTGAGTTTCAAAGAGGAAGAAGTCATACAGAAAAAGAACATCAGAAATCTTAATGAGGCCCCTTTGAGACTTAGCTGTGAGATATATCTGCATAGGATAAAACCCCATGAGAATAAGCAGAAATTGGCTCAGAGTTGTGAGGTGAGCAGTTCCCAGAGCTCACACAGGGCTGGGGATCCTTGGGTTTATTCCAGCCAGAGTGAAGCATCCTCATTGATCACTCTCAAAATTCAATAGTGATGTTAAAAAAAAAAATCCATCTTTAGTAGTGGAGTTTGATTATACCTAGAATATGGGCTGCTGCAGCCATAACCAAAAAAAAGTAAAAACAAACCTCAAAAAAAGCAAGATGAAATGCAGGTGACTTAACTGCCTTCTAGAACAAAGGCGACACACTACTAGGTTTCAACAGAGGACAAAAATGACTATGACTGACCATCACTGCAGTAAAATTCACACATCCAGCATCCAGTCAAAAATTATTAAACATGTTAAGAAATAGGAAAATGAGACACATAATGAGGAGACAAACTAGGCGATAGAAACAGAACAATAAATGGTAGAGGTGATGGAATTAGAAGGCAAGGATATTAAAATAGCTGTTAGAGTGTTATTCAATTAAGTAAAGAAAACATGATGTTAATAGATAGAAGAAATTTAAACAGAATAACCTAGATTATCTAGAAATAAAAACTAGAATATCTCGCACGAAAAATTCACCACACAGGATTAGACACTGCAGACAAAAACTCTTAGTAAACTTTACTGCAAAAGAAAATATTAGTAAATTTTTGAAGACTATCAATAAAAACCACCTAAAATGAAACCCAGAGAGAAAAAGAGTGAAAAAAAATGAAATGCATTTCTGTGAGCTGTGAGATAACACTGAGCAATGTAATGGCTGTATAATTTAAGGCCCAGGAAGAAGGGGTGGCAGAGCGAATATCTGCAGATAAAATGAACAATTTGTTCAAATTTAAGAAAAATTTAAATATACAGAATCACAATGAACCCTAAGCAGCACAAACACAAATACACTGAGTCCGCATGGGAAGAAATGTTAACAATATCAGAAATGAAAAAAAAGGGGGGACATATCAATTTAAATTCTGCTAACATTAAAAGGACAAGAAGAGCACACTATAACCAACTTTAAGCCAATACATTAGAAAAATTAAATTCAATGAACAAATTCCTTAAACGGAAAAAAAATACCCAGCTGACTCAAAAAGAAATAGAAATAGAAAATCTGAGTTAAAATCAATTTAAAATTCCAATTTAAAAATTGGAATTATAATTTTAAATGATTCCACAAAGAAATCCTCAGATCAGATGGCTTCACTGGTGAATTTTATCACACTTTTAAGGAAAAATAATACCAGTCCTATGCAAACTGTTCCAGAAAATTATAGGAGAGTGGAACATTCTTTAATTCATTTTATGAGGCCAGCATTTCCCTGATTTAAAATGATATTACAAGAAAAGTATAGACAAATATTTCTCATGAATTTAGACACAAAATCCTGAACAAATATTAGCGAATTAATCCTGCAAATCTTTTAAAAGGGAATATATCATAACCCTATAGGGCTTTTCCAGGAATGCACTGTTTAACTTGAATATCGATCATTATAATTCACCACGTTAACAGGATAAAGGAGAAGAACCATCAGACCATTCCAGAAAAAGCATTTGACAAAATTCCATTTTTGATAAAACATCTCAGTCAACTAGCGATAAAAAGGAACATTCTCAATCCGATGAAAGGCAGCTATAAAAACCTACAGTTAACATCACACTTAAAAGTGAAAGACTTTTCTCCTCAGCATTAAGAATAAGGGAAGAATCAGTGTTTAACACTCCTATTCAACATTGTACTGAAGTGCAATAAAGCAAAATTAAAAAAAAGACATACAGATATAAGAAAAGGATGTAAAATTGTTTTAATTACCAAATGACATGATGATGTAAGTGGAAGCTTCTAAGAATTCCACATAAAACTATTGGAAAGAAGTGAGTATAGAAGATTGCATGAGACAAATTAATACAAAATTTATTTTATTTCTATGTACTAACAATGAACAATGGGAGGTATTTACAATTACAGTCAAAACCATAAAACACTTAGAATTTTACAAACTTCAAGACCTACACACTGAAAACTATAAAACATTTCCGAGAAGTCAAAGACTAAATAAATGGAAGATGATACTATGTTCATCAATTAGAGTACTTAATATGTTATTAATTCTCACTAAATTGATTTATAGATTCCATGCAATCCTGTTCAAAATCCCAGCAGGCTTTATTCTGGGGAAATATTGACAACCTAATTCCAAATGTTATAGGGAAATGCAAAGGACCTAGAACAGCCAAAACAACTTGATAAAAGGACAAAATTGAAATCCTTAAATTTGACTCCCATATTTCCAACAAATCTACAGTAATTAAGACAATGATATTGGTGTAAAGGAACACATAAAAATCAATGAAACAGAATAAATAGTTCAAAATAGACAATGTGTATTTGGTAATTTGATTTTAGACATAACAATTTAAAAAAAATAATTCAATGGGTAAAAAAAGAGACTTTTTAATAAATGGTGCTAGAAAGAATTAGAAATATCTATAAATATATTAATAAGCAAACAAACACCCACTCTGACTTTAAACTATACAAGAAAACTCAGAATGAATCACAGATATAAGAGTGAAAGCTAAAATTATGAAACTCGGGATGAAAATATATTTTTTATTTTTACATAGCAATATTTTCATAGTTCAAAAAATATCGATCATAACAGAATGGATAAAATGAATATAAAATCTACTATTCAATAAACAGTATAAAAAGTAAAAACACAAACCACAAACTTAGAAAAAAATATTTGATATATATGTATGTCTGATAAAAGAGTTATATTCAGAATATATAAAGGATGCTTATGACTCTATAATAAAATGTAAAGCAATCCAAATGGGCAAGCTACTTAAACAGATATTTTACAAATGAAGGTACACAAATGGCCTCCAAATACATGAAAAGATGCTTAACATAATTAGTCCCTAATAGGCATTAGGGAAATGCATATTAAAATCATAACGAGTACCATTATAAGCCTATTTAAGTAGCTACAATTAAACTGAGTGACAATATCAAGTGTTTGTGGAGATATGAAACCACTAGATCTATGATATATTGCTATACATTGTTGGGAGTGTAAAATGGTAAAATCACATTGCAAAGCATTTTAAGCAGCTTCTTATAAGATTAAATATGCATTTTCTATGCGACCCTGCAATTTCATTCAAAACAAATGAAACACGCCCACACAAAAGCTTATACTTAAATGTTCATAGTAACTTTTATTTTTAAAATAATAATAGTCTGTATCTTGAATGAACACAAACGTCTATGCCCAGTTGGGTGGATTCAGACATTCTGGTATATTCATGTAATAGAATACTACTCACTGTGGTAGGCAGCTTCTACACTAGCTCCTTCTGATCTCAGCCTCCTGGTATTCACTACATTGTGTAATCCCCTCCTGTTGAGTAATTTCTTTCTAATTAATAAAATATCTCATTGCTAAGGGGATGTCATTTCTGTAGCTACATTACTAGAGATTGTAGCCAACTCTCTCCCTTGCTGGTTTTGATGAAGTAAATTGCCACCTTAGGGAGGCCCACACGGCAACAAACTGAGGGTGAAATCTAGCTAATAGCTACCTAGTTATCTGAGGCCATCAATCCAACTACCCAAGAGCAACTGAATCCTGCCAGCTGTTATGTTAAGTGAGGCTGGAAGCAGACCCATCCCAAGTTGACTTTCAGATGAGACCTCGGTCCTGACTGCTTCCTTGTTTACAGATTTGCCAACAACTTTAAATCAAAGAACTCACATAAACCATGCCCAGATTTCTGACCCACAGAAACTATGAGGTAATAAATATGTGTTGTCTTAAGACACTTAATTATTGTCGATTTGTTAGGAAGTAATAGATAACAAATACACCCACCAATATAAAGGAAAAATCTAATAATATATACAGCATATGTTTTCTCTTGATGTGTAACAAATCACCACAAACTTAGCAGCTTCAAATAATGCTCACTTATTAATTTACTGCTCTACAGGTGAGAAATCTGAGCATGGCATAGCTGAGTTCTCTGCTCATATCTCACCAGGATGAATTTAAGGTATTGGCCAGGGCCATGATCTCATCTGCGGCTCAGGGGCCTCCTCTAAGGTCACGTGGCTGTTGACAGAATTCAATTCCTTATGATGATAAGACTGAAGTCTCAGCTTTTTTGCTGGTTGTCAATTTAGAGGTAACCTTGTGTTCCCTATCATCTGGCTTTCTCTATCACATGGAAGTTTTCTTTTAAAAGCCAACAGAATTTTGTCTACGCTTCAAATATCTCTTAATTTTTTTCTAACAACTCACCTGCTTAGGTCACTCACTTAGCTCAAGCTCACCTGGGAAAATTTTTCTAACTTAAAATAAACTTATTAGGGACTTTAATTACACTTGAGAAATCCCTTTACAATAGCACCTAGGTTAGTGTTCAGCGGAAAACCGAGAGAAAATTATACATACCAGGAGGCAAGAATTTTAGGAACCATCTTAAAATTCTGTCTGCCATATCAACAGTATGGACAAATTTCAGAAATAGTGTGCCGAGAGAAATAAGCCAAAGTTAAAGAGGACACACTACATTATTTCATTTATTTGTATCTCTAGGAAAGACAAATATAATCCATGGTAATAAAAAGCAGATCAATTGTTGCCAGAATCCAGGGGTGGGGCATTGGCTGGAAAGAACACAAGAGACTATTCTGGAATGAGGGGATCATTATATATCTTGATATTGATGCTGGTTATACATGCATATAAATTTGTCAGAACTCATCAAATTGTACACTTAAAATGTGTGCATTATTTATTATTATATATAAAGTGTACCCCAATAAAGATCATTGAACATAAATAAAATCAGCCAGTCACATGACCTTTGCCTTACTATCACCTTCTAAATGTTACACAAGAACATCTAATTGACCAAATCTAATCTCACCCAGGAATCTAGCTACAAAGTAGTTTAGCAAATGCAATTTTAGTTTTAGCATCCATGCTTCATAGTAAAGGAATGGATACTCAAAGGTAGATGGTACAGATGTTGAGCTAAGCCAGGTCCCTCAGTTCAAGGTATTTCTTCTTATTCCTTCAGTAAATTCAGTAGGTCAGAATGAATGAATCAACTATACATACACACATGTGCACACATGCATATACACACAGACACACACCAACACCCCCACCTTGGGCAAACATTATGCTTAAAGACAGTGAACTATAGTTCATAAAAAGAAACATAATATCATATATAATGATAGCTGAACATAATAGAGTTCTTCTTGTTAATATACACAGTAGTTCTAATCCTCTTCTTATTATACCTCCTCTAAGCTAAGAGACAGCAGGCCTGATTTCTAGTCCTGAAATTCACTAACCAGAGCTATCACCTCTGTAGTTAAATCTCACTATAGAGATAATCGCCTCCTGTTTTAAAATTGTGTTCCAGTGTTGATACTTAGGGTTGGAACTTATTCTAGAATCATGTAATTCTTAATAGGAAAAAAAAATAGAGTTGTACAAAGATCTTGTAGAAATATTTAAAATAATGAATTTCCATTTTGTTTTTGGATCAGCTACATTTATAGAGCAGGGATTTCTTCAGCGATCTCTATCTTAATAATGGGGTGGAGTGAGCAGGGCATGAATCAAGGCCAAATATTCCTCTGGGATTAAATGAGGGGTGTCTTCTCTTCCAGTCACAAGCATGTGTACTTAGTTATAAAAATAAAATAGAATATACAAATTAATGAAAATTTTTCAGCACATCTGGGAAGGATTTTCAGATGATGAGTTGCAGGAGCATACCACTTGAGAACCACTGACACAATAAATTATATAAATAGGACAAAGAGCAAGATTTAAGGAAACTATCCAATGTTCATTGATTGTGCTTCTGCAGTATGTTTCATACCAAGAAAGAAATAAAATTTAATTAAAACAATATTATGTGAGGGATGTTGCTTATATGATTTTTGCCAAACCTAGGCATACAAACTGTAATTGCATTTATCAGTTGATGTCCACGGAAATTATAACTCTATCTAAGACAACTTTCCTGGATTCTTTAACCCTAAGTTTCAGGAAAAACCAACAAAGAAACCAACAAAATGATCAGACACCATTTTTCATTCAGGAAAATCCCTTGTACCATGGGCTGAGATGGAATTGTTTCAGTAGAGTGGTTTTAGCTACACATGAGTTTTATTAGATTTGAAAAGTCATGCTCTACCATTTTCCTGGGAAGGAAAAAATGTATTATGACTGTGTTTAGTTCCAAGAAATCCCAACAATGAGTTAAATCAGTAAAAGTCTTGTCTCTTGCAACAAGCTCATGAATAGGAAGATCAAGATTAGTACTCTAGCTCAAATGTCATCAAGGTCCAGATTTCTTCTGTATTACAATTGAAACCAACTTTAAAATATGGCTTCAATTTTCACAATTGCGGGATGATTGTTCCTCCAGGCATCCATCTGGAAGGAAGGCAAAGGAACTAAGACAGGGGCCCCCAAACCCTGGGTTGCGAACCAGTACTGGTCTGTGTCCTGTTAGGAACTGGGCTGCACAGCAGGAGGCGAGCAACGGAACTAGTGAGCATTACTGCCTGAGCTCTGCCTCCTGTCAGATCAGCAGTGGCATTAGATTCTCATAGGAGCATGAACCCTATTGTGAACTGCACATGTGAGAGGTCTAGGTTGCAGGCTCCTTATGAGAATTGAATGCCCGATGATATCTAAGGTGAAACATTTTCATCCCAAAACCATCCCCCGGAACCCTCCTGGTCCATGGAAAAAATTGTCTTCCACAAAACTGGTCTCTTGGTGCCAAAAAGGTTGGGGACCACTGAACTAAGGGACAAAGCCAGTGAGTTTATCTTTTGATAAAGCTTTCCTTGAAGCCCCAACCAGAGGCTTCCATCAATTTTACTGCTGGCCAGAATGGGGTGGCATGGGTACCTTTATTTGCACTGGAAGCTACCGAGGCAAGGTTTTTAACTTGATACATTTCTATTTAATTGACACAGACATTAAGTAAGAAAAGAGAGCCAGGCACGGTGGCTCACGCCTGTAATCCCAGCACTTAGAGAGGCTGAGGCAGGTGGATCACCTGAGGTCAGGAGTTCAAGACTAGCCTGGCCAACATGGCGAAACCCCGTCTCTACTAAAAACACAAAAATTAGCTGGGCGTGGTGGCGAGAGCCTGTAATCCCAGCTACTAGGGAGGCTGAGGCATGAGAATTGCTTGAACCCAGGAGGCAGAGGATGCAGTAAGCCGAGATCGTGCTGTTGCACTCCAGCCTGGGGGACAGAGTGAGACTCTGTTCCAAAAAGAAAAAAAAGAAAAGGGAAGTGGATATTGGAAAGGCATCAGGCAGTGTCTGTTATAGCTGGTGACTATCATAAACAAGATCTGCTATCCTATCACAACCTTCTCCCACCTACTCTTCAAATTACATACACACACACACACACACACACACACACCACTTTATTCTGCTCACTTACATTCAGTTTCTATAAATATCCTCAGTAGATTCATTTCATGAAAAGATAAACTTTTTCTTGAGGAATATAACAATATAGGTGTTATTTACCCAAGTTTCTATGTGTCTAAATCAAGTACTGAGAAGTTCTGAGACTTCAATAATTTATTTAGTTAGGATTGAAATGAAATGAATTTCTGAATGTCCTAACTAGCTTTGCAGACTTTTCCCAGAGTTGATCAAAGGTCAATGTTCAACTGAATGCATTTGAGTCAATAAACATTTGTTGAGTGTCAACAATCTGCCAGGTCTGTGCTAAAGTTACCAAGAAGAATAAGACTAAATGTCTCCCTTTGGGAGAAGCCGGTACAAAAACAACAGGGATGTGAACACATAACTACAATAGAGGAAGATATGAGCACAAGTTAGAGGGTGGCACAGTGGAAGAATACTTAATTCTACAGGGAGAGGAGGGCAGGAGAAACTTCTCTGAAGACATGATATCCGAGTTGAATTAGTCCCCATGTTTGTTGATTCTAGTGCATTTTCCACAACCTACAAATGAAAATTAAAAATTGGCGATAAGAAACATACTTACAATAATATTTTTAAAAATATTTTTGAATAAGAATACAACCCAAAGTATGGATCTGAATTTTAATGAAATATCTGGACTACTGCTTTAGCTTACCCAGAATGCATTCTGTTATTTTCACAGTTTATTGTAACTTCATAAATACAGAACATCTCACAATATGTTTGTGCCTACTGAAAAGCAAACAGCAAAGTATCTAATAATCCAAGAAATTGTTGTTTACAAAATATGCTAGACATTTTCATGATGATCTTCAGAAATATTTAAATTCTTATTTGTTTCCTATACTCATTATTTGAGAATAAGAGAGATTAAATATTTTTAACTGTCTCTACCACACGATCATGGTCTAAACTATAAGTGTGTTGTGGCAGTATACTTGAATCTCTTGATGATCAAGCTACACATTCCTGAAGGTATATATACCCATTTCAGATTTTCATGGGGTGGAATTTCATGGCAGTCCTTAATGACTGTAAATTAGGATGTTTCCTTCTATTTCAATGACTCATTATTTTCATCACCATCTTTAACTCAAGACACCCTCCCCAAAACTCAATTCTGTTCTGCCTAGAAAAATGTACCAAAGTGTTTTCAAATATTCTATTCCTTTAATTCTCACAATATCCCCCAAAATGAGCCATTTTATGTGGGTTTCGTGAACCCAAGACATTTGGCTAAAGTCACAAATCTTGATTTTCCTCCTTAATTCCAGTTCTCTTTCTGATACTTCCCACAAGTCTTCACTATGTCAGCAGGGGGCAGGGGGGTATACTGTTGGTACACTGTATGGTATAGTCAACTGACTGTATGGTACAGTTAATTTTTAATTGCTAATATAGCAGGACAAGCCGCAGACAAAACCCGTCAGACACCGAGTTAAAGAAGGAAGGGCTTTATTTGGCCAGGAGCTTCGGCAAGACTCACTTCTCCAACAACTGAGCTCCCCGAGTCAGCAATTCCTGTCCCTCTTAAGGGCTTACCACTCTAAGGGGTCCACGTGAGAAGGTCATGATCGATTGAGTAAGCAGGGGGTACGTGACTGGAGGCTGCATGCACTGGTAATTAGAATGGAACAGAACAGGACAGGGATTTTCACAGTGCTTTTCTATACAATGTCTGCAATCTATAGATAACATAACCGATTAGGTCAGGGGTGGATCTTTAACTACCAGGCCCAGGGTGTGGCGCAGGGCTGTATGCTTGTGGATTTCATTTCTGCCTTTTAGTTTTTACTTCTTCTTTCTTTGGAGGCAGAAATTGGGCATAAGACAATATGAAGGGTGGTCTCTCCCTTACTAAAACAACAGGTATTTTCTGTTATTTCACCTAAAAAGTAAGCAGTTCTACTAGGTATTCTCTAAAGTGATTTGCTGCTCAAATAATCTTCCACTCCATAAGCCTGCATTTGCTGAGCTTCCTTCTTCAACTAGGCTCCTCAGAAGTTCCTAATATATTTTTTTCTTTTTTTTTTTTTTGAGATGGAGTCTCACTCTGTCGCCCAGGCTGGAGTGCAGTGGTGCGATCTCGGCTCACTGCAAGCTCCGCCTCCCAGGTTCATGCCATCCTCCTGCCTAGCCTCCCGAGTAGCTGGGACTACAGGGGCCCGCCACCAAGCCCGGCTAATTTTTTGTATTTTTAGTAGAGACCGGGTTTTTCCTTGTTAGCCAGGATGGTCTCGATCTCCTGACCTGGTGATCCGCCCGTCTTGGCCTCCCAAGGTGCTGGGATTACAGGTGTGAGCCACTGTGCCCGGCCATAAGTTCCTAACATTTTAAGTATAGTATGCATTTTAATAATCCAGGAGTCTTTATTAAGCACCTACTTATGTTTCCAGCACTCTACTAAGAAAAAGGCAGACAAGAAAACTTTCGGTTTCTGCCTTCTAGAATGATTACAGTTTATTTCACTGTTAATGTAAGCATCATAATGGCAGGGACTTAAGTAAACCTTGTGTTTTTGATGCCTAGAACAGTACCTGATATTTAATAGTTTTTAAATAAGCAAATGCAGGTATACATGTAATATGTAAGTGAATTTTTAAGACCAGACAGTATATGATGGGTATAACTGTGAAGAAGCAAATTTAGCCAGTATGCTATAGAGTGTAAAATTCTATACCCAGTCACCCAAAGATTATTCAGACAGGTATTAGGGACATTACTGGAACAACTAATAATTCCTGGCAGGCATCATAGCCATAGTGGAGAAAAGCCATACCTCTTCTGGGCTGCTGTATAGCAAGAATTTTAACATGAATTTTTAGCTATTTAAAAACTTTAGAACATTTTTTTTTACAAACGATAATATGTGCTCACAGGCATGGAAGTAACAACACCTGGGACTGATCCATTTATAAACATGATGATAACATCTGAGTTAGTGGACTTAGAAGAGAATTAGGCCCTCAGAAAAGGAAAGTAAGAACTTCTAGTCAAATAAAAAGAGACTAGATTAGAAAAAACAGAGACTATTATCTTAACTAAAATTGGTGTAAGTCTCTGGGCTTGGGTTAATGTGAACTAAACTAAATCTGATAGCATATTAATTAAAGTTATGTTAAGTTTGAGTACATTCTGCAAGTTTTATAAGAATTGTTTGTTATTTTCATTTACCAGTATAGGTTTAATCATTCTCAACCAATTCTCTTTGTCTTCAAAATATGAGCCTTTATGTGTGTTCACAGAGACAGGATTTTAGTTTAGACAAACCTTGCCTTGCTATTACGTGTGGGCATCTTTCTCAGGATGTTGCCTCAAAAGCTGTAGCATTAACTAAAATTTACTAAGCATTTTCCTTATTCAGGCAGAAAAAGAAACTGAGGCACAGAGGGTTTGCCCAAGGTCACATAATCAGCAAGTGGTGGGTTATATCTGAACTCAGGAAGTCTGACTTTATAGCTGATGCTCTAAATGATTAAACAGTGTCTGTCTTGGTCTACTGCTTGTGATGCAAATATAGTCAAAGTTCAATTTATACAAATGTGTTTTACCTTCGTGATGAAATTTCTGTAACATGAGTTTAATTCTAGAATGATATCCCCTTGCTATGTTATATGAACTATTTTGTATCTCACAATGGCATAAGTTGCCTGTCTAGGAAATATGATTTAAATACTAGTCTGAAATCAACAAGATGGTAAAGGGGTTGGGAGGGGGGAGCAAGTATATGATAATTTTAAAACACCCTGAAGAAGATATAATGGCAGTTGAAATAATAAAAATCCAGTTGGCTTGATCTTTTAATTTTCCAAGAAAACTATCAAGAAAAGTGAGAACCTGACAATAGATCCACGCAGAGTGGGCATGAAATTGTAAAACTAAAAACCCGGTTAAATAGGATGAGCTCCCGAGAGAAGTAAAAACTCTAGTGAAATAGCAATTAAAAAGGCATGAGGAAAGTATATTGGGGTAATGAGATAGAAGGTTTTAGGAAGTCCTCGACCAAGATATTCTCCAGGCTTTGACCTTTCTTGTCAACTGTTTGAAAACTTTATCACGCAAGAGAATCACCTTGTTATTAAAATACAAATTGCTGGCCATCATCCCCAGATTTTCTGATTCAATGGGTCTGAGGTTTGGCCCAAGACTCTACATCACTAACAATTTCCCAGGTGACAATATGCTGGTCCGGAGACCACACTTTAAGAATCACTGCTTTACGGTAACTGTTCTCAATATATATACAACCATCAGAAGGAGTATTCTCTAAAATGTCTACATTGTCAAGATTATGCCTTTATAATTAGTAACAAAGTATACGCCAGAGAGAAAGGCTGGAGTTACTAAATGCACCTGAACAATTGCAGAAGAAAGGAAAAAAAAAATATACCCAAAAGCATGATCAACTCTAGGAGCAAAAAGCAATCTGTTTGTTGAGGACCCCTCAACCAATGTATTAAAAGGATACTTAACTAGACTACAGACTCTGACCACCCTGTTTACTCTTAGCTAACACTGTCATCAATAAACCAGTGAGAGAGAACCCGCCCCATATTTACTGCAATTATAGGTAAAACCTATATATTAAGTTATAATTACTTAGACTTTATCCCCTATGTAATGGTGAGTCCTGGAGACTTTTAAGCAGGAACATGATCTATTAGAGCTGAATCTTAGGAAATAAAAGTAAATATCAATCAAGACTTCTCCAGTTGAAAATAGTACTCAATTCAGACTAGCTTCAGCAAAATGAGAGGTATGTTATCTCGGATACGAGGAGTAACTTAGAAAATTCATTCATAGTTTTATCTACATGCTCAAAAAATACTACCAAGAATTTGCCAAATTTTTCCATTGTTCCTGAGTCTGACTCTGATTTGCCATGCTCTAGTCTACTGTCAGCCTGAACCAATCCCTATGGCCTGGGGGATAAGCTGCTCTCACTGACCAGAACAGGTCAAGTGCCCTCCTTTATAGCCAAGGATAGGCCAGTTCCACCCAAACCATGTGGAGAAAAGTGAAAGTGCAGAGAGGTGGATTCCATAGGGAAAAGAGAAGTGGTAGAAATAAGGGTTGCTAATGTCACAATTCTTGTGATAAACATGTTTAAGTCTGTGTGTTTAACCCAACTTACCCCATGCTGATTTGACCGTGGACTCCTTATGAATGATCACTTGAACATTGTTGCTGCATGGATTACAGTGTGGAACCTTGCTCGAGATATACTGATGTGCCACAAGATATTAAACCCTTAGTTTCAGGAAATTGGAAGGTTGAGTTGGGCAAAGCCACAGATCCAGTCACCTTGGAACATGAGCAGCCCTGCCCACAGTCCCAATTCTCCTCTAGTTTACCCTAGGTTTTAGTCTGTTCAGATTGCTATACCATAGACTGAGTAGCTTAAAAACAACACAGTATTTTTTTCCTAGTTCTGGAGGTTGGAAAGTCCAAGATCAAGGGACTATAGATTCCAAGTTTCCTGAAGGCCCACTTCTTTATAAATAGCTGTCTTCTCACTGAAATATCACATGGCAGAAGGAGCAAGGAGTCTCTTTTAGGCCTCCTTTATAAGGGCACTTACTGCATTGATGAGAGCTCCACTAATATGATTAAACTGCCTTCCAAAGGCCCCACCTTCTCATCCCATTACCTTGGGGGTTATCTTTACCACCAAGGGGATACAAAAATATTCAGACTATAGCACCCCAGGATCACACAGTTATCTTTTTGTTTTTTCATGTCTGGATATGAAAGAGTTTGGAAAACATTGCTCTAGCAAACAAAGTAACACAGGCCACGTATTTTCCAATCACTCCTATAATTATCCCAGTGGAAAGAGCTTCTTGGTATTTCAAAGTCAAAATCATGTGTACACAACTAGCAGCCTTGACTGTTAAGCTGTTACCCAAGTGAGGTAATCAATCTCTTATAAAAGGGGCTTACACTCTCTCAAAAGGTGAAGGAGAAAAAGGAACGTGAATAGAGACGACATAGACAGGATAATAGGTCTCCCTCCCTACCCGTCGGCTCAAGTACTTGAGTGTTTGAGAGCTGCTTGTTTCTATTTTGCATACAACTTGCTTGAGGTCAAGTTTCAATGGCTACCAAAGGCTTGCCAAACACCACCTCCAAAACAGGCCTAAACAGAGGTTCCTCCAAAGTAGTTATGCCAGCCTTCACAACAGTAACTCAGAAATAATTCTTTCCTTGAAAAAACCCATGCTAAAGATGGTAAGAACCCTACTCCTTTCAATCATCTATTATGAACAGTGCAGGGAATAAATGCTCTGGGACTGAATTTGATGTAGTTATGGTGCAATTGTTTAGTTAGTTTCAAGGACATGGATTTAACTAAAGCTCAGAAATCAGCTTGTCATCTCCCCCGGCTCACAAAAGCCTGAGCAGAGTATATCATACACTGGTTTGAGACAATTCTGGCAAGAGTCCAGTGAGAAAATATTGCATGCCAGCTTCATGCTCAGTTATCTAGTGTTTCAACCAAAATTCTCTGAATTAAAAAAAAAAAAAAAAATGGGAGGGGACTCATAAAATGATAACCAACACCGCATTTAGAAGAAATTTTAGCTTTCAAGAGCTTCATTGCGGAATCACACAAAAATGATTTTAAAAGCCAAGTCTGGGAGTGAGACATACAGTTCTGGGTCTTCAACAAATTCTGACAAGATTTCACACACTGTCAGAGAGGTTCTTGCCCAGCTTCCCTGCAGTGGGAGAGGGGACAGAGCCAATGCCCCAACCTCCCTGCACTTGGGGAGCCACTTTGACCCAATTCCAGAAGCCCAAGGGCTGTCCTTAATTAGCATTGTAATTTATATTGCACAATTATGCAAATTGGGTACATAAACAAAATTATCCTTTCAGTTTGGCTTTGCTACCCGAGAAATGCAAAGCCAGTTAAAGATAAGAATAAAGAAAACAGAATACATTTGCTTTAATGCAATGCACCATTTCCTAATTTATCCTTTCTTTTGTTTTACTCTTTCACCCTGCACTATGGGGTTTTTAAAAATTTTTATTTTGCCTTATTTGTTTTTTTTTTTTCTTCATTTTATGCTTTTCTCCCCTTTATATATACTTGGCTCTTTTTCCTTGAGAAATTTTCCATCTCATTAATTCTCCTGCAGCAATTCATAACTCTTTGGGGGCATTCCTTTGTTTTTTGATATGACTACTACCTGACTGTATATAGTTTCCCTTTTTTTTTTCCTCCCAGATTCTCTCCTTTCTACTGGCATCCTTTTCCATTTTACTCAATTTTCCTCAGTTAGGTTGACTTGCTTTTATACCTGTGTGATGCTCCTTGCCAGATATCTAGCAAATGCCCCCAGGATCCAATCATTTTTTTCCTAAGAAAACTGAAAAGAAGCATGGCAAATAACAGAGCTTGGAAAATAGGAAACTTTAAAATACAAAGCCCAGTGAAATCTACTTGGAAGCCAATGCTTAGAGGCAAGAGACAGTGATTCAAATAGGTGTTGACTGTCAGGTAATCAATCAATGATCAGCATAGCAAAGATCACTTTCCAACATTGGAAAGTTATGCATATTCCAATTGAGCTAGCCCTTTTAAACAGCCTTAAAATTGTATAAAAGAGAAGAAAATTTAAGATATTGAAAACTGGTAGAAAATAAAACCTAGATAAAGCTGGTTTTGGAAGAGCAGTGGCCACTGTGATTGACAATGGGGGCACTTACTGTTAAGGGGATTTATAACAGAAGTACTTGAACAGAATTGTGAAGAGAATAGAATTGTGCATTGTTTTATCTGCCCAGAACCACAGCTCCCATGGGAAATACTCCACCTCATTCTACAACCTTCTGGCTGCAACAAAAGCAGTCAAATTAAAACATAACCCAAGGGGTACCTAACCCAACTTGAGAAAATCATAGCATCCTCCCTTTGGCTATAACTTTTTCCACATGAATAACATTCAAATGCCTTACAGAGCCTCCCATATGTAATTTTAGTCCCTATCTGCCTCCCTGCCTCTAACTTATTCCCTACATTTTTTCCCATTTGCTTACTAGGTTCTAGCCATCCTGGCTGTCTAATATTCTCAGTTCATTGTGTTTGTACCTTTCATCCTCTCTACCTGCCATCACCTTTCTAGATTTTTTGATGGCTGTTTTTTTCTTGTCATCTGGGTCTCTATTCAGATGTTATCTCAGATAAATATTCTCTTATATATCTAATATTGACCTCCACTCCTCTGCCCCATCAATCTTTTGCTATATATTACCTTGTTTTAATGTAGTACTATTTGAAATCAGCTTATGTATTTATCTTATATATGTATTTGCCTCTTGGATATTTATTATATATTTTAACTTACTTATTCCCTGTCTCTCTCTATAGAATATAAGATCTTGTTTGTCTGGTTCACTGCTGGATTCACAGTACTAAAGACAGTGTCAGACATATAAAAACATTCTCAAAATATTCTTGATTTAAGAGACTGAATAGATAATTGTTTTAGAATGGACAATGACCTAAACCTGGCCAAAGTGTTCCATCCCCACAATTAGTGTTGTTTGTGATTAAAAAAAAAAAAAAAGGTCAAGCAACTGTTTTTGGGCATTGAATATTTGGACTAAAAGATATAAAGCTCACAGTAACTATGTTTTCTACTAAGTGGATGGAAGTAAGACAGTGGGGGGTAGAGCGGAGGTGGAGGGAGCTAGTGGAGTGTGGTGGAAGGGGGTCAGGTGGCTGGGGCAGAGGTGGAAACTAAGTTTGGTCAGTCTTTATTCCCTGGATTCTGATATTCCTGAGGCACAGCTGTATTCCTGTACTTGGTTTCTATGAAACGCCTCATAGAAAGGGGGAAGTACCCTAACGGTACCCTCTATGATTTCTGCTTTTTCTTAAACTAATATAAATTGGGTTTTAACCTTTTGCAATCCCTAAAAGTAACATGAAACAACATTATAACATTATGATTATGAAGTTAAAATCGAGGACAAAATAGAATTTGAATCAAGATTCTGCTATTTATTAATCTGTGTCATGGAGGACCAATTTATTAATTTATTAATCTCTTCAAAGTTTATCTTCTTTATTTAAAAAAGAGCAATAATAGAACCTATCTGATAAAGGCATTAGAAGGGTCAAATGTAATTATATATGCAGAGTTCTTAAAATGCCTGAATATATAGTAAGATCTTAGTTATGGATTTTTAATGTTTATAGCCTGGCCAAACGGTGAAAGTCTGCTTTAAATTGGTATTTCAAACCTACCCTCATTGATGTGTCTCATTTTCTGTGGCACATTCTTTCATGCGCATCCCTGTGAAGAGATCACCAAACAGGCTTTGTGTGAGCAATAAAGATTTTAATCACCTGGGTGCAGGCGGGCTGAGTCCAAAAAGAGAGTCAGCGAAGGGAGATAGGGGTGGGGCTGTTTTATAGGATTTGGGTAGGTAAAGGAAAAAGTGGGGTTGTTCTCTGGCAGGCAAGAGTGGGGGTCACAAGATGCTCAGTTGGGGAGCTTTTGAGCCAGGATGAGCCAGGAGAAGGAATTTCACAAGATAATGTCATCAGTTAAGGCAAGAACAGGCCATTTTAATTTCTTTTGTGGTGGAATGTCATCAGTTAAGGCAGGAACCGGCCATCTGGATGTGTACGTGCTGGTCACAGGGGATATGATGGCTTAGCTTGGGCTCAGAGGCCTGACACATTCTGCATTCCCATTTATTTCAGAATATTTCTTAGACTCCTGTTATGATTAGTATGTATTGAGAGTTGGGCTTTATACCTTATTCCATGAAAATTTATGCACATCTCCTTTTCTGATGTATCATTGTTTGCTAGATGTCCATAATAGGGCATTTGTGAATAAACAAAATACTTGGTGCTATGAAATTGGGGACATGATGACATGGATTGATCCTCTTCAAGTGTAGCTTGGTGAGTGCCAGGCAGTTATCCCATTCTGTGAAGAGAAGAGTAAGTTCACAAGTTGAGATCCTGAAAAACAAACAGCCGAAGGTTGCCCCTCCTACTGCTCTTGGTAATGGTCTTCGTTGCCTATTCTAAAATGTAGGTTGTTACAATAAGAACAAAGCTGTACATGGACATGAACCTGGAGAGGGGCTTGGACTAGATCAACCTTTGTGGATGAGGTTTGAGATACCACTTTTCTGCTCCATGGTAAAGACCTGTAGCCTAAGGTCTAGTCTGCAAAAATTCTGTAAGTGAGCTCCACTCTTACCACATTAACAAGCTAAATGTGTCACAGCAATGTGGTATGGTGGTGGGGGTGTTTGTGGGGAAGAGGCATGTCCCAAGACCAGTTAGACTAAAATCCAAGGAGTAATGAAGGATAGGATAAGCAAACGTAGCAGGGAGCAAAACACAGTTTTTTAGCTAACATGTATTTCCTAAAAATGTAAAAAGTTTTAAAAATGTAATTTTATAAAATGAAGTCTAAAGTATACAAGTAAAACATTTCTAAAACCTACATGAAATTTAATAATATTGATTCTAAAATTGTTGATATGTTTTAATATGTTCCCTCTCCTCAGCCAAAATTGTAAATCAGATTTTGCTTAGTGACAGAATAGGATCTCTGGTGGGCTTGCAATTCCCAGGCAAGGCTTAGGAGGAGATAATGGGGAAGGGGGGAAAAATGCAGCACAAAAAGACTAAGTATTTTTTAGTATAGCAGATCAGAGTAGATTCACAGGAGATTGAACACTTTTTTTTTTCTGCCAAATTTTGGACGTGGAATTCAGAAAAAGACCAGATTATGTGTGCTGTATTTTTTGTTTACATCCAAGTTGTGTGCGTGGAATTTTGTGACTCTTCCAATCCAGCAATAACCAGGTAAAAAATGTAATGGAAAAAAATCTTTCTAATTTTCACAAAAGTATAAACTTGCCAGAAGTCTATTAAAACATATTTATGAGTCCTATAAGAAAACTTGAATACATGGAGAGATAGAATGCTGCTATATATAGTCAAATATTATAAATTGATTATTGAAATCATCTATGTATTGCTAAGATAATGTAGTACTGCATTATTAAGTATTGTTTTAACATCCTATACAAATTACATTTGCTAGCATTTCTTCTAGAAATTTGCAATTACCTTCTTAAACATTACCCTCAGTATTTTTTAAAAATTTTCTGCGTGTTGTATTCTTTCTCATTTTTTTCCTGCTGCTTATTCCTTTTAAAATAGTAACGAATTTTTTTCTTTAAAAATATTAGTTCTGTGATTTACTTGTTGATTTTCCAATTTCTCTAATGCAATTAAATTTGTGTTCTTTCTAAGTTTCATCTTTGCTTTATTGTAGTCCAGTTAAGTTCCTGTGATAAAGACATGATTCTTTTATACTTCTTTTTAATAGACTGTTAAAGCCTATGAATTTGTCTCTAAGAAGAGCTTTGGTAATACATCAGTGTTGAAACGTGGTGCTGTAATTTAGTAGGTTCTTAAATGGCCTACAGTTATGGTTTAGTTTGCCTTTTGTCACAACAGTTATTTAGGCAAATGGTTTGCTTATTTTAATGTTGTTATTGATTTGTTGTTTGTTTTTAATATTTTTGGGGAATGTTTTTATGAAAAGATTATTTTTTTTGTATTATTAAGTTGTGACCTTATGTAATTCCTGAAATTTCTGTTATTTATTATTATTATCTTGTTCTTAACTAATACTAGTCTATTTTGGTAAATCATAGATGCTTGAAAAATGTATAGTTTCTGTTTATAGGGTACAAGTCCTTAAATAACTGTTAATAAATAACAGTTATTAACTTTGACTTTTATTGCCTTGATTTTAGTTATTTAAATTATATGATTCTTGACTAGTGATTTGATAATTATACACAATGTTTATATTTTATATTTATTTTGTACGTCTCCTTAAAATGTCTACATATATTTCTTATACTTTATACCTGTGTTAGTATCAAAGCCAAGAATGAAGCAGCACAGTTTTCCCTGCCCAATTAGGACAAAAATATGAATACATCTTTCCTTTTGTACTCCTTTTATTCCCTCTCTTCACATCCACATTCCCTTTCTACTTTTTGTCAATATAATCTATATTTTAACATCAAATTATTGTTGATTTGTAAATCTTTTTTAAACATTTAACTCTTTTAATTTTCCAATGATTTTCATATTTGTATTTATTCTAAACATATTACTAATTATTCTAGAAACTTACCTTTACGTTGGTTTACCACTGTGCTCCTGTCCCCTACACAGAGCCTAGCACATCATATGCTCTCTGGAATTATGTTAGGGAGCCATTGCAGACTGACAGGAGAAAGAAAATATGAACCTAAACCAAATGAAACTTTAACTCTCATAATAAATATTGCTTCTGTTAACACGTTACCACCAAGATTATGGTAAATCCATAGAGTGGATTTTACCATGATAATCCCATCTCTGCGTGGTCAAAACATTCAAAGACACACTGCTCAGAATGAAAACTTTATGATTTCCCATGTGTTAATACTTATTTTTATTTATTTATTTTTTTGAGACAGAGTTTCATTCTTGTTGCCCACGCTGGAGTACAATGGCAGGATCTCAGCTCACCGCAACCTCTGCCTCCCGGGTTCAAGCAATTCTTGTGCCTCAGGTGCCGAGTAGCTGGGATTACAGGGATGCACCACCATGCCTGGCTAATTTTGTATTTTTAATAGAGACGGGGTTTCACCATGTTGGTCAGGCTGGTCTTGAACTTACCTTGGGTGATCCGCCCGCCTTGGCCTCCCAAAGTGCTGGGATTACAGGTATGAGCCAACACGCCTGGCCTGTTAATACTCTTGAGAGGTGAGATGCGTACATTAACTTCATTGTTGTTAGCTCTTTTAATGAATTCACCTGTAAATAACGGTAAACATTGGTCTCAAACTCTCAGCTACACATTGTAATCACATGAGAAGATTTTTTAAAGATCCTAATGACCTGTGTCTACTCACCAGACCAATTCAGTTCAGTTCTCTCTGGTTGAGAGCCAGGCATCAGTATTTTCTAAAGCTCCTGATTTGACTGCAGAATGCAGTTAAGAACAAAAACATAGGAGAATGAATGGAGTCTAAACCTTCAGTCTAGTTATGCCTCTGGACATAATTCAACATAAGAAAGAGCTTTCTGGATACTTAAAAAGTGATCTTGCTAGGCCGGGCACAGTGGCTCACAACTGTAATCCCAGCACTTTGGGAGTCCAAGGCGGGCGGATCACGAGGTCAGGAGTTTGAGACCAGCCTGGCCAACATAGTGAAACCCTGTCTCTACTAAAAATACAAAAATTAGCCGGGCATGGTGGCACATGCCTGTAGTCTCAGCCACGCGGGAGGCTGAGGCAGGAGAATCGCTTGAACCCAGGAGGTGGAGGTTGTGGTGAGCCGAGATCGCGCCACTGCACTCCAGCCTGGGTGACAGAGCAAGACACCGTCTCAAAAAAAAAAAAAAAAAAAAAGATCTTGGGAAACAGAACTTTCTAAATGATCGAAAAGCACTTGTATCATTCAATAACCATTTCCTCATTTCCAGCATGCAGATGATTGGGAGTGTCACGCTCTGTTTTGCTGTGAAGATGGAGACAAGAGTTAGTCAAATCGCTTAGTTAAAATCAACTTGGAAAACAGATCATAATCCAGTTTTTCAATATCAAGACTTTGACCCAGTAGCTACTTTTTGATAAATTTAAAATTGATATGAACAGAATTAATAAACTTAGTTAACAAACTCAGTCTTCTTAGGAAAAAGACAATGTCTACAGACAAGAGTAAGCAAAATTGGCTTTGTAGAGCTGAAACTTCTAATTATTCCTGGCCTCTTCCTTGCTAAGTCAAATATTAAGCTGGTAATATCTATTCATTTTATTATTTGTGCTGTTGTTTATCAATATGCTATTATAAATATGCCTAATGCTTGGCATATAGCCTCTTTTTGTTTGTTTGTTTTTTCGAGATGGGGTCTCGCCCTGTCACCCAGGCTGGAGTGCAGTGGCACGATCTCAGCTCACTGCAACTTCTGCCTCCCGGGTTCAAGCGATTCTCCTGCCTCAGCCTCCTGAGTAGCTGGGATTACAGGTGCCCACCACCACACCTGGATAATTTTTGTATTTTTAGTAGAAACGGGGTTTCACCATGTTGGTCAGGCTGGTCTCAAACTTCTGACTTCGTGATCTGCCAGCCTCAAATTCCCATAGTGCTGCGATTACAGGTATGAGCCCCCGCGCCCGACCGGCATATAGTCTTAACTATATTTTGAAGATAGATTTATTTGTAAAGGAATCTAGATTTTCAAAGATAGATAGATAGCTTAATTGAAAAATATCAAGCAAGCTGGGCATGGTGGCTCATACCTGTAATCCTAGCACTTTGGGAGGCTGAAGTGAGAAGACCACTTGAGCCCAGGAGTTCAATACCAGCCTGGGCAACACAGTGAGTCCTTGTCTCTAAAAAATAAAAAGGAAAGAAAGCAAAATACCTAACAGAATAGAATCCATGGACTTGCATCTTAAAGAAAAATAATCAAGAAGATAATGTAAGTTAAGCGTCTTCTTTAGTGATTTTCACATAGTGCAGTGGTTCTCAAATAGTGGACCTGGGCCAGCAACATGAACACCAGTTGGGAATTTTAGAAATGCAAATTTTCTGGCTCTACCTAGCCTTATTGAACAGAATCTGAGATTGGAGACCGGCAATCTTTGTTTTAATAAGCCCTCTCTGTGTTTCAGTTACACTCTAAAGTTTGAGAATTTCTGACACAGTAGAAATGCTATGAAAAGGCACTCATTTTTACTGTTTAGAAAAAAAATTTGTCGGTAGCAAAAGATATTTGCCCAGAAGTTCATTTTTATCTCTAGCACAAATAATCAGGGTACTTATCATTCTATTATATTTTTTCATTACATGTCAAAGATTCATAAGTAGTTTGCAACAGCTTTCTTCATACACTTAAGTAATTATTAATTCCTTACATTTGCTTTCAAAAATTCTTTCAAACAGCAGAGTTAGATTTCACATGTACTTTACTTACCTCATCGAGATAATGTTTCTATAATGATCTTGCTTATATGTTGCATAATTAGATCTAGTATCTCTCTAATGAGACATACCATGTTATCTGGAACCAGCTGTTATATCCTGGATAGCAAAGGACACTTTACACTAAATTTTCTGAGACACTCAAGAATAATAAAAGTGGTCATTTCATAAAATTATATTTTCTTCCTTTCTTTAAGAAAGTTGTTATTAAATAGTTGTTTTTGAATTGATACTGATATTCACAACTCAAAGGACTAAGGCAGTCAGCTAGTTTTGGCAGGAAGCATAATGTGTAATAATTATTACACTGGGAGAATAAGGACTCTCACTCAGTTCTCACAACTGTAAACAGTAAACTGAGAATATAGACCAGTTTTTTCTAATATTGTTGCATTTGCATATTTACCATACATCTGAAATTTTTACATTACAGTTTTAAAAATAATATTTTTATATGAAGCATGTATTTATTTATTAAGAAACAGTTGTAAGTAGCCTTAGCAATGTTGTAGTCCTTTTTTCAGTGACTGCTTACATGTGTTTAATAAATATGAGATGGAGGTAGGTAGACATATATACCTATGGGGCTTGCTTTATTGATTATTCACTCACAAAAATATCTATGTGCATTTTTAATACAGACAAATGAATACACAATAGACATATGTGGATATGCAAAGTGAACTGCATGAAGCTGTAGCCACTTGTTTACATTCAGTAGCATTCTCACTTCCCTACTCAAATGTAAATACATAACTATTTATCTAAACTGTATTTGCTTGTTAATGAAACCAGAGCACGCAGCATTTTATGAAAGTGTGGTGAATTAATGGATAAGATTACCTCACCTCCCTACAGCCTGAGTCTCTACAGAAGAGGAAATTAAGGGAGACAAACTGAACTGTGATGCTTGGGGACTCCCTTGATTCTGCCTGTCACCGTTTTTAAGCTGGCTCAAGGCCTCAGGGGAGTCTGGCTGTTCTAACCTTCCTCAGCCAGCCAGACGGTAACGGTCCACTGCTTTTATTCATTACCCTGAATGTAATGCACTAAATTTAACAAGTAACACACTCAGCGGGAATTTATTGGCCTTTTGCAGCATGATTGCAAGGTAGGATATGGATATGGATTCCAATTACTGTTGACACCCAGATAAGAAGAACAAAGCCTGTATATAATTATTAATCAAAGTTGATATCTTAGGGAAATGAAATTAAATAAATAAATAAACATCTCTATACTATGTGATGCAAACATTCCCAAGTTTGGAAAACTCTTTCTGGTTACACAATAGAGGCATTCCAATTAAATATAGCAATAATAAAATAGCAACACGTAAAGGCAAATGTTCTTATAAAGCAGCAACTTTCACACACAAATAGCTCATGGAGCAGATGTATAGAAACTAACAAATTCCAAACAGAGACTCATATGTAATGTGTAAATAAATAGCCAAATGAACAGCAGTCTTTAAATAAAGATTTAATATTTTAATTAGAAAAAATAATCCACATAATATTGTTATTCCAGAAGGTAGTTATATAGAGATCTACTAAAATAGAAGTAATTTTTTAAGAAATGTAGTATTACATTTTCATATCCATAGTACTAGAGTTACCCAATCATGAAAATTATTGCTGGCCTATAGGTAGATATGATGATGACCCTCAAAGTCCTTGGGTTGCAACAGGAAAATGGGAGGAGCCAGATGCACTAACTCACTTCACGCAAGGATTTGCTATTGAAATTGTTTGTTTTATTTATAAAGGCCATAGGGAAACACAAATGTAAAGGTATAGAAGAGAATGAACATGATATTATTTTATCGCACTGTGGATGAAAAATGTTGAAGAATGCAAGTCATACAAAAACAAAATGGAACGTCACCTTCTATGTGATTAACCCAAATGACCAATTTAAATTAATGAAATAAGAGGCAACATGCATCACTGGTAAAGGCTTGAACCCTCACGTTACACAGAATCATACCCTGGCTTCAAGAATTACGAGCTTTCTGACCTTGGGCCACTAATTTAATCTCTCTTAGCCTGTTTCCTCAAGTGTAAAATAGGGACGATTATAGTAGCTACCTGCATTGTTAAACTAAAATAAAATAATCCCAGTAAATTACTTAAGATCGTAGTGGGTACAAAGTAAATACTCAATAAATATTAGCATTTTATGTTATTTTGTATTAATTTAACCTATTCAGTATTAAAACTTATTAAACTAGAAAGCAAATATCATCAAAACCTTTTTTTTAATTCCTGGATATGCTTTAGTATAAATTTGAGCTGAGAAGTTTTAATGAAGAAAACGGACATTTTACCCTCCTATGGATCAGTTTGGATTTAGTCATGGTTTTATAGCACAGTCTTGTCACATAACTGTGTGAAGTTAAATTTCACTTCTGATACTCAGCATATTTAATGTATAACATTGGCCCAATGATACCTGCCTTTGAGGGCATATAGGGGAAATTGGAGGAAACGTACATCTGTAAGTATGTCCCTGAGATTCAGCACGTGGGCTAGTACTATCCAAATATGGAGCTATTTATTATTACGGTTCTATACATGGACTCTTGTGTTTTGTCATCAATGTGATTCCTCCAGGTATGATTCCCAGTATGTAGCAAATGAAGGCTGAAACATGCTAATTGGTCTTTTCAAGACTTCAGAGTTAATAAAAATGGTAGAGCAAGAGCCTAACTCACCCTAGCTCAGAATAAGCATAAGTCAGTGTTCTTTCTACTACAGAAACTGCCCTCAGTAGTATGAGGAAGTAAAGGTAGATAACTAACAAAATGTGTGTGTGTGTGTGCACGTGTGTGTGTGTGTGTGTGTGTGTGTAAAAGCATATGCTGTTGATCATGATGGTTGGTACACAGTTTGGGTCTTAGAGAGTGGCTAAATGAAAATCATCGAAGTTGTGCCATGTTTTTTTCTGAATTTCCTAAGAATGTCATGGAGGTTACCTAATTGAAGCCATAAATAATTGAAATAATGAGATAAAATTATCTGCAGAGAGATAAAGAAGTACTTCAATGTCAATATCACCTACTGATGCTTTGGGGGCTAAGACTTCAAAAGGCCCATAAAGCCAAAGGAAGCAGTTAAGTAACATGGATTCTGTCAACCTATCCTAGTATAACAATAAAATGATTATTTAAGCCACACACATTAAACAAAACTAACAATCAAATAGTATCATACAGATATGTCTAATTATTTTTTCATTTGATTTTTGTCATTACACTGGAACAATTTTTATTTCAGAATACATGGGATCTTCATGTAAAAACTGTTCAGATAACTTAGAGGCCTAGTCTTCCGAATCAGAGAAACATGAATAATACATGATCTTTTAAACATTAAGAAAGGATAAATTAAACAAAATAGTACTTTAAGTAAATAGTGAGTAAATGTTTACATTGAAGGAAATTCATTCATTCATTCATTCATTCTTAAGTGATAAGTGCCTTCTCTTAACTAGTTCTGTGCTAGCAATGAGGATACAGCACTAAATCAGATAGATGAGGTCACTGGCCTCATAGGTATTTAGATTCCAGTAGTGGAGAAAAATATGAAACAATCATTGATATGGTTTGGCCATGTCCCCACCCAAATCTCATCTTGAATTGCAGCTCCCACAATTCCCACGTGTTGTGGGAGGAACCTGGTGGGAGGTGATTGAATTATGGGGGCAGGTCTTTCCTGCATTGTTCTCATGATGGTGAATGAGTCTCACGAGATCTGATGGTTTTAAAAACAGGAGTTTCCCTGGACAAGCTCTCTCTTTGCCTGTTGCCATCCATGTAAGACGTGACTTGCTCCTTTTTGCCCTCCACCATGATTGTGAGGCCTCCCCAGCCATGTGGAACTGTAAATCCATTAAACCTCTTTCTTCTGTAAATTGCCCAGTATTGGGTATGTCTTTATCAGCAGCATGAAAACAGACTAATACAATCATGTAATTACAATTTTAACAAGGACATTGACTGCAATGGAAGTCTATATGAGGATTTAAACCTACTCTTGGGTAAAGGGTTAGAAGGGTTTCAATGGGACCCAATTTTACATGTACTAACTCACTCAACCCTCAAACCAACCTAATGACATCAGTACTGCTACAGTCACCCTGTTCACAGATAAGAAAACTGAGGAACAAAGGCATTAAATACCTTAACAAATCACAGAGCCAGTAAGGGACAGACCCAGCATCCAAACCCAGGTTGCTTAGTTTTAGATTCTTTTTTTAACCACTCACTGTGCTGTAGAAGTCTGTGCATCTGTCCGGGAATAATGAGAACACACTCCAGCTAGAAATCGAGGCACCTGGGAAAGCCTGAGGTGGTAAGAGCTTGGTACTGGAGAACAGGACTGTCTCAAGTCCTGTTCTTGAGAACAAGAACTGTCTGGGTGCTGTTCTTTTGAAATGTGAAAAATTATTACAAATGTGAAAAATTATGTATGTAATTTTAAATTGTCTAATAGCCACAGTGAAAAAGAGCAAAATGCAACAGATGGGTACAGACACCATGGAAAACAATCAGGCAATCTTATAAAATAAACATGCCGTTACCATGTGATTTAGCAATTGGACTCTTGAGCCTTTAAACTAGACAAATATAATTCATGATTATACAAAAACCTGTACAGAAATGATTATAGCAAAAACAGGAACCAACTTGGTACTTCAATGGGCAAGTAGTTAAATAAAATTTGTGGTACATCCCTACCAGGGGATATTACTCAGCAAAAAAAGAAGAATGAACTGTTAAAATGACTTGGATTAATCTTCAGAGAATTATGCTAAGGAAAAAAAAGGCAATCCCAAAAGTTTACATACTGTATGATTTCATTTACACAAAATTCTTTAAAGGACAAAAATTTAGAAATGGAGAAAAGACCAGTAGTTGCTAGGGGTCAGGGCTGGGCAGGGACAGGGCACAGGAAGGAGGGCAGAGTGGCTATAAAAGGGAACTATAAGGAATCTGTGATGAAGGAACAGTTCTGTATTTTGATGTGGTGGTAGATACAACCTACACATGTGATAAAGTTGCACAGAACTAAACACCTACACACACTCACAAACACACAAAGGAGTACAATTAAAATTAGGAAAATATGAATAAGGTAGTATCATTGTCAATATTCTAGTAGCAATATTGTGACTAAGATTTGCAGGATATTGCTATTGGGAAAACTGGATAAAGGGTACACAGGATTTCTCTGTGTTATGTCTTACAACTGCATGGAAATCTAGAATTATCTCAAAACAAAAATGTTAATTACAAGAAAAGAAATATGGAATTCATTTTTCTTAATCAAATATATTCAAACTATTTGTATTTCAACGTATGAAACAATACGAAAAGTATTGAGATATTTTACATTTTTCTCATATTGTCCATTTGGGCTAGCCCCATTCCAAGTTCTCAGTAGACACATGTGGCTAGTGGTGACCATACAAGACAGCACAGGTATAGAGGAACACAGAGACAAGAGGTGAGGCAGACGCTAAAGGTAGGGAGGGTGAGCACTTTGGGAGGCCGAGGCAGGCGGATCACGAGGTCAGGAGATCGAGACCATCCTGGCTAACACTGTGAAACCCCGTCTCTACTAAAAAAAATGCAAAAAATTAGCCAGGCGAGGTGGCAGGCGCCTGTAGTCCCAGCTACTCGGGAGGCTGAGGCAGGAGAATGGCGTGAACCCGGGAGGCGGAGCTTGCAGTGAGCCGAGATCGCGCCACTGCACTCCGGCCTGGGCGGAAGAGCAAGACTCCGACTCAAAAAAAAAAAAAAAGCAGAGTCTTCGTAATGGCACACAGGGCTTCATGTGCACTCTCCTGCTGCTTTCTCCCTTGCTCATTCTCCTTCAGCCACACTAAATTCCTTGCTGCTCCTGGAAAATGCCAAGCACACATGCTCTGGCCTTGGGCACCTTGCTCTTCATGCTTTCTCTGCCTGGAACTGTTGCCCCTGGATACCTCTCTGACATGCTCCCACACCTGGAATGGTCTCTGCTCAGATATCTACCATGACATGGTCTTCCCTGATCTACTTCTATAAAATAGCAAATGGCACCTTTCTATGCCCCGCTCCATCACCCATTACATGGCTTTCATTTTCTTCATCATACTTACATCATCTGACAGTCTATATATACATATGCACTTGTATATTTGTCAGTCTTCCACAGAGGGCAGGGGTATTGTCTGCTTTCTTGGAGACATATTTCCCAGAGTCTGGAAGAGTTCCTGGCACACAGCATACATGCAATGAATATTTGTTGAATAAATTGTTTGAGGAATAAATGATTTATGTTTAATTCCTTCATAGTTTTCAAAACAAAACTACCTCAAATAAAATCTACACATATTTTCCTTGAAATAAAAAACTGACGTAATCAATTTCAGACTTGGGTAAAGTTTCCTGGATGTTTAAAGCATGAAGCACAGAAGAAATCTCTTTGCATTCCAGTAAAAATCAATAAAATATTTTTCATGCAAAGATTAAACTCATGGCTAAAAGTTATGTTTGTTTTTTTAACATTGCTAATTATTTTAGAGAGCTCTTATTTCTGTTATAATTTTGTTTAAAGTTTATTTCTATATTCATGATTAATTTATTTATATCTTGTTGCTAAATCTACTTTTTTACCAAGTAAATTCACTCAGAAATTCTCAAAGTTACTCACTACTGGGCCTTCAGGGACATAGTACCTTCTTGGAGATGCATTCTTCCAATGACCCCAATCAGATATTTTTTTCTGTCTTGGACTTCCATTGTTGTACTAGTTTTGTATCTGAATTTAACACCTACTCCAATCTACTTACATCAGAGATATTTATGAAAATGTCATCACTCCAGAAAGGCAGAAACTGTCTTCTTCTCTCTCAGTCACTAGCATAATGCTGTGCACTTCTCAGTTGAACTTAGATAAATATTTAATGAACTGAATTGAATTATGTTTTTAATAATGTATGCATACATCTAGTCTAGAAGACTTGATAAGCAAGCAGTGCTTAAGATACTTTTCACACACAAATTCAGACTGTCCAGTATTTGTCCCAAAAAATAACTAATATCTATCAAGCTCCTATGATGCATGAAAAATTTTACACGTGATCTCATTTAGCCTCCATAAAATATGAAGTGGGTATTATTCGTAACACTGTTATCTATGAAGAACTGGAAGTTCAGAAGGAACATCTAATGTTTCCAAGTTTTAACAGCTGTTAAATGTCAGGATTCTCCAAGTTGGCTGACCCTAAAGTATTATTTTACACTTCCTAGTGGGGTTCCAATACTTTAAATTAGAGATAGCTTCTGAAGACAAGCAATAGGAAGTATGTATGTCAAAAGAGGAAATTGAAATGTTAGAGATTATCTAGAGAAACACATCCAAGACATGTTGAACTTCATAAACTGTATCTCATGTAAGTTGAAGAAATTGGAGTATTTGGGGCCAAGAAAATAGCAAATGATACAGCATAGAAAGAAATTTGGCCTCACTCAAAGAGAGGCCCAGTCTTTGTATCTGGTTCTTTGGAGGTAATCTGTAAACCCTTGAAATTCACCAGGTGATAAGAATGTCTTTGTTATTCATCATGGGCTCTTTGGACAACTTGCTATATTGTTAATCAATCACTCATGCCTATGTATTGAAACTCCAACAAAATCTTTGAGTACAGAAGCTCAGTTGAGCTTCCCTGTTTGATAGTTCTTCATGTGTATTGCAGTGTTTTGAATACGTCCCCCAAAAAGCATGCATTTAAAAGTTAAATATCCAATTCCAGAGTGCTGAGTGGTAGGGCCTAATGAGAGGCGATTAGTCCATGAGGGCAAAGTGAATGGATTAATGCTGTTATCATGGGAGTGAGTTTGTTATAAAAGGCGTAGATTGACCCTCTTGTCCCTCTTTTACTCTCTCTCCCTCTCTTGCCCTTCCACCTTCTGCCACGGGATGACACATTGAGAAGGCCCAGATGCTGGTTGCTTGGTCTTGGACTCCCCAGCCTCCAGAACTGTGATAAATCAATTTCTGTTCATTATAAACTATCTAGTGTGTGGTATTCTGTTATACCAACACAAAATGGGCCAAAAATGTACCATCACACATCAGTAGTAGAAGAGGAATACATCCTAAAGACAGCACAAATCTCCCATTTGGAACCCTTCCAGACTCTGTACTATGTGTCTCTTTCTTTGACTGATTTTATGAATCATTCCCCTGTAATAAATAAAACTGTGAGTATAATAAGTTTCAGTGAGTTCTGTATTTCTAGTAAATTATGGAATCTGAAGGTGGTTTGGGGCAATATGGAACTTGTGGTTGGGTGTCAGAAGTAAAGGTGGTCTTCTCTTTAACTTTGTAGCTGGATTCTAATTTCGTTAAGTTAAACTCCAAAATTTTGGGCAGACTTCGTGGTCTGGAAAACTTTATCATAAGTCCATGTAGATGTATAACAATAATGCCGTAATTCCAGAGATCCTTAAAAATTTATTGTAACAAATTAAAGGTTTGTCTGGGGAGAAGGGCATGAAAACAGACCTCCAATATTCAAAGTGCTGTCATATAGACATATTTGGTATTAGTCCAGAGATAAAATTTGGTTCAAATAAGAAAGAACTTCCTAAAAATTAGAGTTATGCAAAAATGTGATTAGTTGCCTACGAAAGTAGTAACTTCCTTACCTTAGAAAATGTTAATTCCTTAATTAAAATGCTATAAGCCAGAGAGATGTGTTGCTTAGGAATTTCAGCCTAAGAGAGGGTGGGTGATTTTAACCGTGTCTTCTAACTCTTAAGATTCTGCTATTTTGGCCTGGCGCGGTGGCTCACGCCTGTAATCTCAACACTTTGGGAGGCCGAGGTGGGCGGATCACGAGGTCAGGAGATCGAGATCATTCTGGCTAACACGGCGAAATCCCGTCTCTACTAAAAATACAAAAAATTAGCCGGGCGTGGTGGTGCGCACCTGTAGTCCCAGCTACTCGGGACGCTGAGGCAAGAGAATGGCGTGAACCCGGGAGGCGAAGCTTGCAGTGAGCCGAGATCGCGCCACTGCACTGCAGCCTGGGTGACAGAGCGAGACTCTGCCTCAAGAAAAAAAAAAAAATACAAAAATACAAAAATTAGCTGGGCGTGATGGTGCATGCCTGTAGTCCCAGCTACTTGGGAGGCTGAAGCGGGATAATTGCTTGAATCGAGAGGCGGAGGCTGCAGTGAGCCGAGATCACGCCACTGCACTCCAGCCTGGGCGAAAGAGCGAGACTCTGTCTTTAAAAAAAAGAAAAAAAAAATTCTGCTATTTTGGTCAAGTCCTGTAATCCCAGCACTTTGGGAGGCCAAGGTGGGCAGATCATGAGGTCAGGCGATCGAGACCATCCTGGCTAACATGGTGAAACCTCGTCTCTACTAAAAATACAAAAAATTAGACTCCACCGCCCCCCGCAAAAAAAAAAAGATTCTGCTGTTTTTTGGTCACCATTACTATTTCTTTAAAATGACAACAAATAAAGCCTAGCTTACATGTATAATAGGCCAAAGTCTTTGATTTGGCTCTTACAAAGATCTGTTATTTTGTTTTGCTTAAAAATACCAGATCACTTAATGTAATCCAATTAGCTGGACAAATATAAGTTTACAAGATAGAAAATTGAAGCACTGTAAGACAAAACGTTAGAAGTTGTGTAGTGCTGGTTCACATCCTCCCATACAAGTTTTTGTCATTATCATTATCAGGATAAAGTGAGGAATACTTACTTTCAAATGTTAATGGAAAGTATCCTTTTTATAAAAAGCAGCTCTATCACTAACACAGAATTTTAATAATGTACCATGAGAATTGGCATTTTGTTACAAATCAATCAATTTACACAAAAACCCTTTCAAATGAATCATAAATGAATATAAACAAAATTAAAAATTGTCACACTAGAACATAAACTACACATTTGACAACAATTAAATTTAATGCAAATTTACATGAACATTCAAAACAGAAACTTTTTTTTTAACACTGTAATTATCAGTAAGTGCTGTCACATCGGTTTCTGAAATATACCTTCCAAGCCTCTCTAAGTAATTGCCATTTCTTTCTTTCTTTTTTTTTTGTTTATCCAAAAACAAATCTTTATTTCATTCTTACTCTTGAATAACACTTTTTTTTTTTTTTTGCTGGTTTTAGCTTCACAAGTTGGCCTTTTTTTTAAAATTATTTATTTTATTATTATTATACTTTAAGTTTTAGGGTACATGTGCAGAATGTGCAGGTTAGTGACATATGTATACCTGTGCCATGCTGGTGTGCTGCACCCATTAACTCGTCATTTAGCATTAGGTATATCTCCTAATGCTATCCCTCCCCCATCTCCCCCCCCCACAACAGTCCCCAGAGTGTGATGTTCCCCTTCCTGTGTCCATGTGTTCTCATTGTTCAATTCCCACTTACGAGTGAGAACATGCGGTGTTTGGTTTTTTGTCCTTGCGATAGTTTACTGAGAATGATGATTTCCAATTTCATCCATGTCCCTACAAAGGACATGAACTCATCCTTTGTTATGGCTGCATAGTATTCCATGGTGTATATGTGCCACATTTTCTTAATCCAGTCTATCATTGTTGGACATGTGGGTTGGTTCCAAGTCTTTGCTATTGTGAATAGTGCCACAATAAACATACATGTGCATGTGTCTTTATAGCAGCATGATTTATAGTCCTTTGGGTATATACCCAGTAATGGGATGGCTGGGTCAAATGGTATTTCTAGTTCTAGATCCCTGAGGAATCGCCACACTGACTTCCACAATGGTTGAACTAGTTTACAGTCCCACCAACAGTGTAAAAGTGTTCCTAGTTCTCCACATCCTCTCCAGCACCTGTTGTTTCCTGACTTTTTAATGATTGCCATTCTAACTGGTGTGGGATGGTATCTCATTGTGGTTTTGATTTGCATTTCTCTGATGGCCAGTGATGGTAAGCATTTTTTCATGTATTTTTTGGCTGCATAAATGTCTTCTTTTGAGAAGTGTCTGTTCATGTCCTTCGCCCACCTTATACAAAAATTAATTCAAAATGGATTAAAGACTTAAACGTTAGACCTAAAACCATAAAAACCCTAGAAGAAAACCTAGGCATTACCATTCAGGACATAGGCATGGGCAAGGACTTCATGTCTAAAACACCAAAAGCAATGGAAACAAAAGCCAAAATTGACAAATGGGATCTAATTAAACTAAAGAGCTTCTGCACAGCAAAAGAAACTACCATCAGAGTGAACAGGCAACCTACAAAATGGGAGAAAATTTTCGCAACCTACTCATCTGACAAAGGGCTAATATCCAGAATCTACAATGAACTCAAACAAATTTACAAGAAAAAAACAAACAACCCCATTTCTTTATATTCAACTGAATTTTAGGTTCTTTTGAGTAAAACTCTCAAAATATGGGTTTTATTGATTCAATAAAAACTAGCCCATTTGTTGGTAAAAGCTGCATTTCACGTTTGTATTAATATTCTAATCAGAATTGTCATAAGAAACAACACAAAAGCAACTTACTTAAGATAGCTAATTTCATGGACCTGATATATTACAAAATATGAAACAAAAATATAAGAATCCCATTTGATATAGGGTTAAGCTTCAAAATAGATAAGGAACTCAAACAACTCAATAGCAAAAAGCAAATAATCCAATTTAAAAATGAACTAGAAACTTGAATAGATGTTTCTCCAAAGAAGACATACAGGTGGCCAGCAGATATATAAAAAAAAGTCCAATGTCATTAGTTATCAGGGAAATGCAAATCAAAACTGTGATGAAATATCACCTTACATCTGCCAGGATGGCTATTAAAAAAAAAAAAAGACAAGTATTGGTAAGGATGTGGAGAAACTGGAACTCTTGAACACTGTAGGTGGAAATGCAAAATGGTACAGCTATGGGAAAAAGTACAAAGTTTCCTCAAAAAATTATAAATAGGCCGGGTGCGGTGGCCCATGCTTGTAACTCCAACACTTTGAGAGGCCGAGGTAGGTGGATCACCTGAGGTCAGGAGTCGAGACCAGCCAGGAGTCGAGACCAGCCAAATTGGTGAAACCCGATCTCTACTAAAAATACAAAAAAATTAGCCAGGCGTGGTGGCAGGTGCCTGTAATCCCAGCTACTCGGGAGGCCGAGGCAGGAGAATCGCTCGAACCTGGGAGGCAGAGGTTGCAGTGAGCTGAGATTGCGTCATTGCACTCCAGCCTGGGTGACAAGAGAGAAACTCCATTTCAAAAAAATTGTATTTATATATATAAATAAAACTAGAGGAGTGAGGGTTAAAAATTACATATTGGGTACGATGTACACTAATCAGGTGACAGATACACTAAAAGCCTAGACTGCACCACCATATAATTCATCCATGTAGCCAAAAACCACTGTACCCCTAAAACTATTGAAAAAAAAAGTTACCATATGATCCAGCAATATCGCTTTTGGCTGTATATCCAAAAGAATTGAAATCAAGATCCCAAAGAGATATTAGCACTCCCATGAATAGCACAATGCAGGAGTATGCACAACAGCCAAGATGTGGAAACACCCTTAATGCCCATCAATAGGTGAAATGGATAAAAAAACGTATACACAATGAAATACTATTTAGCCATTAAAAAAAAAAAAGGCGATTCTGCAGTGTGGGATGACATTGATGACCTGGACGACACTATGCTAAGTGAAATAAGCTAGTCAAAGAAAGACAAACACTTTCTGCTTCCGCTTACATGATGTATCTAAAATAGTCAAATTTGTAGAACCAAAGGGTAATCGTGTTGTCAGAAGCGGGGGAAAGGGGAAATGGGGAGTTACTATTCAATGGGCATAAAGTTTTAGTTAAGCAAGATGAATAAACTCTAGAAATCTGCTGTACAATGTTGTGCCTATCATCAGTGATAATAAACAGTACACTTAGAAAACCTGTTGAGTGTAGATCTCATGCTAAGTATTCTTACTACAATAAAATAAAACTTTTAAAAAAAGAATCCCATCATATGAGATGTGCAATAATCCTTGACTTAACTTTGTACAGAGTATCTTACTGCTATTGCTCTGCAAAATTATAAGCTTGAAGTTGCCTACAGCTATGATTTTATTTATTTATTTATTTATTTATTTATTTATTTGAGACAGAGTCTCACTCTGTCGCCCAGGTTGGAGTGCAGTGGTACAATCTCAGCTCACTGCAACCTCTGCCTCCGGGTTCAAGCGATTCTCCTGCCTCAGCCTCCAAAGTAGCTGGGACTACAGGTGTCCACCACCATTTCAGGCTAATTTTTGTAGTTTTAATAGAGACGGGGTTTTGCTGTGTTGGCCAGGCTGGTCTTGACCTCCTGACCTCAAGTGATCCAACCACCTCAGCCTCCCAAAGTGCTAGGATTATAGGCATATGCCACCACACCTGGTCTATGCTTTTCTGTTTTCATAATAACGGCATCATTTTGTCCAAAGGTTCAGTCTGCTCCAGGTTCCTAACTGTGGCAAGTTAGATATTATATGAAATAATAACTTTAAAATTACATATTAGGTGAAGGAGCTTAATTAAAACCTAGAAACATTCTTTTTTTAAAAAAATGGTAACAATAATATATCATAATGAAGCAATGTGTTACAATAAGCAAAATGTTTATATTCTTCCTCTGGGGGCAAAAACAGCAGGAAAATAGAAATACAAGAAGTGGGTCAAAATTCCCACATTGCATTTGATGCATTTAAGTAACACTTTTCTGGAAAAACCTCTCCAATTCCTGATACAAAATTAAAATAGATTCAAGGAACTTCAGAATTTCAAGATAACTAGTTAAACTAATATAATACAGCTCTCAGAATTCAAAGAAGATATTTTCTAACAGCTTCATAACAATATAGGTTTAATTTTAGTGATGTTTTACTGAATAATTGGCATATTTATACATAATACCATAGATTTGAACAAAAAGCATCAATGTAAATGGAATACTAACTATATTTAATTAACTCCAATCAATATATAATGGGAAAATGTATTATTTCATTTCTACCTAGTGAGATATGAGATTAAAGTTCTGTCATAATGTGCTAACTAACTATAAATTAAAGACTACTAATTTTTCCAGGTTTGTTTTTTTCGTAAGAGGAATCAAAAAGGCACTACAGAGGTGGCTTTTCAAAAGCCATTCATTTTTGAAAAGCCACAAATAATTACATACTTCCCCCCATTCCCAAGAATACACATATACTTAATGTTTTGCAAAGACAACTGACATTTTACATTGTGTCTTCATAGTTTTATCTGAACTCTGCTTCCCAGGATATTGACAGGGATGAACTATTTTCTTAGAGTAGGCTGGAATGCCTCATTGTGCTCCACCACAAGAATCCCCCAAAATTCTGATGCTTTGAAATGCTCCTGTTATCTGGTCCATATTGGTTTACTTAAGGGTCATCAAAGAAGTCCAGTTCTAAAACAATACTCCTCATTCTTCATTCTGACAAGAAGCAAGTATTCCTCTAGACTGGAGAAGGTCTAAATATGTATCTTGTATTTGTTCAGGAAATTCTTCATACTGTTATCCAATTTCAGGTACATGAATAGAATAATCGATAGTCTGATATTCACTAGGGTAATGCTACTCAAACTTGCTCAGTTGATGGAATCACTGATGGTTAATGTTGGTTTAGTTTTATTTTTTATTTTGGAAAAATGTAATGATGACTAATTTTAATATATGTGCTTGAATATTTGATTTTTAGATGACATAACCATAATATATAGTTTTAAAATCACAAACCTCCTCCCACTAACGTCAATAAAGTCAGGTTCTCTATGTTCTGTTGGGATTTATTACAATGTTATTTACTATCTGTTTTCATAAAAAAATTTTAACAATTTCTGTCCTTTTTCTGTTATTTCTTCTTTATTTCTATTTTTATTTCTATTTTCATGAACACATACAATATTATTTATGAAGAAATCTTGCTAAAAGAAAAAAAAAGGAATCTGATTAAAATATTTCTGCCTAGCTCAAAGCTTACAGAAAATACAGGAAAGAAGAATATGGTTAATGACATTACAGCATATTTCAGAATGAGAGAAACAATAAAGGACAAATAACCCAGTTTCATCAATGAATAAGTTGCAAAAGATTAAATGAGAGGGGGAACCTACAGATTAAAAGGAACTTTAGAAACATGTCAATCAAATAATCCAGGGAGTTAGGAATGAGCGAATGATGTTATAAATGAAACCAGATTGGCCATAAATTGATATAATTTAATTAGTTGAACCTATATGTGTGATAAGCACATAGAGGTTCATTATGCTATTCTCTCTAATTTGCATATATTTGGAATTTTCATAATAGAAGTTTTTAAAAACAAAGGCTATATTTACTGTGAACAGAAAGCCAAAAAAAATGTAGCCAAAGAAACATGTGGAATAATTCATTGACAACAGAGAAAACTCAACTGATTCAGTAATATTTGGACAACGGGGAGGGTTCTGCCCAGGACTTGGCTGGTGTTCCACAGATCATGTTGATCTAGAACAGAGAGCCCTCAAGAAGCAGAGAAGATTCAAAACTTCAAAACTAATGTATCTGAATTATGTGCTAATAGAAGCATGAGAAAAATATCAACATTAGCTAGAATGTAAAAAGAAATGCTTCCTTTTTAACCTTATTTCACAGACCAAACACTAAGTCATACCTTTTACAGATGTGCAGAAAGCGTTATAGATGGAGGGGAATGGGTGGAGGAGGTTTGAGAGTAAATGGTTCAGAAAGCACTTTTGTAGTGTTCAAAACAGGATAAGTTAGTCTTTTCTAATAAAAACTGAGTGTTTAAACCTAAACTGTGTATTAATGTATTTCAAGGTCCATATGCTTTTTTTTCATTAATTTCTCTTAGATGGATGCCCATTTTGGAATCCAGTTACCCAAACTGTTGTCAATATTTTTGCCTTTTATTTCACCAGTTTTGCACAACTGGGCTGGAACAGTATTGTATGTGACCAAATAATAGAAGGCATCCATATTACTACTTCTATCTGAGTGTTTGCCTCGAGACTTGAGTGGAAAACTTTACCCTTCTGTCGGCCCATCCCTGGTCTTAGAGTGTATTAGTTGGGATTATAGTCAACTTGAACCTACTATTCAATCAATAATTGAACTATTCTCTTAAGATGCATTCTGTTTAACACTGAAGGAAACTAACACAGCTTGACCCTTGTGAAGTGTTGCGAAGAGCTGCAGTCAAGTGGAGACTTCTTTTATTCTGGTTGGAGTATTTTGTTGCTATCTTTACCTTGAGCTGGGCAGAATCGTGAATAGCTACAAAAAAATTCCTTTATCTTTGTTGCTTCAATGTTAAGAGGCCTTATTAACACAATGACATTAAAACTGGATTGAGTCTGTAGCTAAACATTTAATTTTAATGCTTGCAATAACTTAAACTAAGACAATAATAGCTACCATTTACTGAGTATGTATTTTAACCAAACACTGAACTTGAGAGCTTTCTATACAGCGTTATATTTATATACTTTTTCATTATTTATTGGCATTGCAAAAGATTATTCAGCCAATTGCTCCTATCAAGCCTGCTACTCTTTCCTCCAGACTCTGCAATGGCAGTGAGCAGAGCTATTGTAGCTTTTAAATATGTGTTCAGCAGTGGGCTGGAACCAGCTCATACTTATTCAAGAGACTGTCTTTTCCCAACTCTACATCAAGTGACATCATATTGGTAGTTTCAGATGGCCAGGATGGGAGAATTTACACTACAGAAATCAGTAAGAGAGCCAGTTGCTAAACATTTACCAACACACCACTGTATGCAACCCTCATTCATTCTCCAAGAAGAAATTTTGTCATTGGGAGTATTTGACATGGCCCAGTTATTGCCACTTTAGAGACAGTTTAAAGTTAAGACCTGACTCACTTTAAAGAGATAAAAGGAAAGAAATCAGGCTCAATAGTCATGTCACAGGTAGGCGTTCCACCCTCCAACCATCCCTGAATTTGTCTCATTTCTTGAAAGAACCAGGTGAGGGAGCTATGGTCCTATGGGCATTCTTTCAATAACTTGGGAAGAGGATTTGGGGAAGACTCTCTAATTCAAGGGTCAGCAAACTACAGCCTGTGGACTAAATCTGCTGATTTCCTAGTTTTATAAATAACATTTTATTGGAACACAGCCACACCCATTTGTTTATGTGTTGTCTAGGGCTGATTCCACACCTCAACAGAAGTGCTGAGTAGTGGCGACACAGACTGTACGGTCCCCAAAGCCAAAAATATTTACTATCTATCTGTCCCTTTACAGATAAAGTATTCCATGAGTGGCTGAGGTAGGGATGTGCTTGGTATTTAAATGATGCTTTATTCTGGATTTAGTTCATGTAAGAATGAGGTGAGAATAAGCTCAATTTCTTTGTTTTTCCTCAATCTGAGGAAGAGACTTGCAGAAATCTAAACTACGTGCTTAATTTTATCCTTGTGTACTCATGCAAGTTCATCATTTAGAGGAATAATTGCGCTCACTATGTCACAGAAACATTCTTGTACTGGCTTCACATAGGTTGGGCTGCCCGGACACTCTACCTGGATATCTTTATTCAATTATTCATTCATTTTTTCATTCAACAAATGAATCTAATATTTATTAAAGCCCTACTAGGTTCTGGGCACTAGGGGTATACTCAGGAATAATCAAGGCTCCTGTTCAAATGGAGCTTATATTTTAGTGGGAACAGCATATACTTATTTGCTTGTTGTCTAACATAATATCAGGAAGTGATAAGTACTATGAAGAAAAAGCAGGAAAGGTGTTTCACAGTTCATGGGGTACTTTTAAAGATGTTTAGGAAAGCTATCTCTAAAAAGATGACATTTGAGCAGAGAGATCAGAATAAAGTAAAGAAGCCAGTCATGCATCCCTGGCAGAGAAAACACAAGGGCTAAGGCTCACTAGCAGGCATGGTTGGGAAAAGGCAAGATGGAGAGTGAAAAAGGGGAAGAGTCATGAGAGACGATGCCAGTAAGGTAGACGGGGCAAGGTCATACCTGGCTTTGCAAGCAAGGAATTTTGCATGTTATTCTTATGACAGGAAAAACCACTGGGAAATTACAAGAAGGGTGCTGATTTAAAATAATTTACACTTTAGATTAGCACCCTCTCTTCTTTGTGTAGCGGAGACGACTGTGGTTGATAAAGGAGAAGACTAGTTATTATGAGGCTATTGCAACAGTACAGGCAAGAAATGACCTGAGTTTTTTGGGCTTAGGTGTTACCGGGAACCATAAGAAGACAGTTAAAAGGATTTTTGATCAAAAATGTCTGCAGACTTTCTAAGTCCTCTTTATAATTGAATGCTAACTTAGTTCTTATTACATGGAACAGAGATTGGGGAAGAATTTATACATTCATTCAACAAACACTTACTGATCTTTAATATGAAAACAACAGCTGCTATGTGCTTGAGATTAGAAGTTAAAAGAAGGTCTGTTCAGTGGAAAATAATGCACAGCAATCAGTTCCTCACATATTAGCTCCCCTTTTTATTTTTTAAAAACTCTTCCCATTCTGACCTCAGCCTCCTCCATTAAGTTTTCTGCATCCGTGCGACAAGTCTGGGGCCATGGCTGCTCCTTGAGGCTGCTGCCTTTGAGGTGCTCTTGTCATCTAGAGTTTGAGAATGAAAGGCACGGATTAAAATAGAGTACAGTCTATGCGGGACATATGCCTGTGCACATGCGCACACGCACACACACACATACACACACACATCATAAGTCCAATATGCAATTGTTGAATCTTCTAATCTTCCCTTTCACAAATTTTACCTGTCACTATTAACATGGTTAGGTGATCCTTCGGCCAATTAGGGTATGGAATTCCTTTAACTCATGTTTTAATTCTGGTAAACTCAACTCTCCCTATTCCTTTCTTACCTTTTCATGTTAAGCTTCTAGGTGACATACACTAAAAATTTTAAACAGATTTCCTTGAAGGTCTTTCCCATTGTTTGACATACAAAGGTACATCTTCTCTTAGCAATTCCACAGCTCTCTGTGTTGCCATGGATATTGTGAATTCAATATCTGTTCCCAAAGTTATGTTTCTTTCTTTGTCTTAAACAAAGGGCAGCTATTTAACTGATTGAAATCTTCCAAATACAACATGCAAAAGAAGTAGCTGGTTTTCCAAGCCAGCAAGATTTAAGCCCTGAGTGAGCATTTTGGCATTTAGTAGAGTGGTAGCGGTGTTTCCTGTCATATGGGTCTGCCTGTGACTCCAATGGAACCTTTTAATGTCAGCTATAATTCAGGGTATATAAGAGCAGAGAGAGGAGTGTCAATGAACTGGCAGACAGTTCTCAAAGCTGAGAATAAAAGTACCCACCTAATATTTCTGAGAACAGAGGTTTTGAAATTGAAATTCTGTGGATTCCTAATTATAACAGAAGAAATTTCAGTGTGACTTAAAAATTATTAGAGACTCAAGGAAATAATATGACTACAAAAAGTTTCATGTAGTATATATAAAATACATAACTATATATCACATTGTTATATTTTTTATTTTGAAAATGCTCTATGTGTACAACCTTCACTATATTTTCTTTAGTGTTATGCTAAAGATAAAAAATAAAATGAGGACTTGGTAATCCTCCTCAAGGTATGGGTGACATACACTGGACTTCCTCTACCACACAAGCGGTGCTTAGGAGTGTGCCAGAGGAGCTTGGAAGGGTTAAAGTTTTGTCTGTGACACTGAAATTGAGGCCAGCTGTAGGTCATATTCACGTCCCAGTCACAGGAAAATGAACCTGTGAGACAGAACCTAATTATCTGCTAAACCAAAAGCCAGTCTCAGTTCAATAACTTACGACAGAGCTAGCAGCCAGATATAGTGTTACCATGGCAACTTTGGAACAAGCTCCACTGCAGTTGAGAATAAGGAGGAAGGGAAAGAGAGTGTAACCCTAAATGTGCTGTAGCCGTTTGATCTCCGACAAGTGGGTCCATCTAGGAAACCAGGTTATTCTGTATGTGACTGCCATTGTCTATTCACTTTCATATCTGCTACAATTATTGAAAAGGAAAATGCAAATACAATGTCTTCCCGGCTTAAAAACGATTCCACTCTTTAACGGCTAAATGGGAATTAATTTTAAAGAAAAAAGTATAAGCTTCCTCTTTCTCCTCCTTCATGCCATCCCTAAATACACATAAAGCAGGACACAAAGGGTGAGAAATCTTGAATACCTCATCATTGTCATGAATGAGGTTTGTGTCCATGAAATTCACTGTCAACCCTATTTTCCTCTGCCTTGCAAATGCCAAGATATTTTAAGGAAAAACTTTCAAGAATTGAAGGAATACCATTTGCTTTTCTAAGGGGTAGGAGTAGAACTGGAGAGTAGAAAAGAGAAATTTTTTTTTCTGCGGATTCTGCCTAAACTTTCAAGTGAAATAATTTCCTTGGGATATTGAGATAAGAAGAATCAAACATTAGAGAAAGGAAAAAGCCCTGTCAGGTTGGTCATCTTTCTTCTTGCCAGTTCACCTTCATAGTTCCTTCTGGAATATCACTGGAATTTCAATTTAGGAGATGATATGGCTTTATGCACATAAAAACTTCAGAAACCAGTTACCATGAATACTGTGACAACAGCATCTCACTAAAAATATTAGCAGGTAAGAAACAAGAGCTTATCGTACAGCCATATGCACTTTGAGGAAGAATTCAGAAATACATTCCTCTATCTCTTTTTCATTCCCAATGGAGGCAAATCATGCTAAAGCTTGTCAGTTACAATTGTTGGATTTCAACATATTTGACAATTTTGGTATATCATTAATGATGTAATAAGACACATGTAGCACATAATGTTATCACTTGGGGTTGCTATCCAGCTGTAATACCAAATTTGAATCACATAGATATCTATGTATAAACATATAGATATAGCAGTGTGTTTCTTTATGTATAACTCATAAAATCATTGGGTTTGGAATAAGGAGAGAAAGGAATACAGAGATGAATAATATCCTTTTCATATGCATGAATAACTTTGCAGTAATGCAAATGAGAAAACACAAAATGGAAAGTAGTTTTCTTCTAGCAGAAATATGACTAAGAACATAGCCTGAAATTTGCCAATAAATTAGACTCACTTATGATATCTGTGGATTTTCTTTAAGATGTCACATCTTTTAAAAACACTTTACCCTACCCTATTATATTATATATTCAGTATATAATTATGTAAATATGGAAATCCACAACTTCAAATTCCTTTAAACTGCCACGATGCAAGAAAGGGAGCTTTAGGATTGTACGACAGAAGGTGTGTTGAGATGTGGGGGCAGAAAAGCAATACAAAGGGCAAAATCAAATTTCTGATTAATTTCCAGGTAGAAGTAACCTAACCTCTGCTTATGACCCTAACTTAATTTATTTTCAAGTAAATGAAGCCAGAAAGTATACCCCTTTCTAAGATAGATGTTTCTGAGATCAGATCATTAAAAGGCTCGCAAAGATGCCAACTAAAACAATGAAGTTCAATACATTCTTTGGATCCTGTTACTCCTAATATTAGTTTTTCTCTTAATCTTTTCACTTACATAAATTAGTTAGGAAAGTAAATGAAGCAATTTTATCAGAAGAACATCTGAAAGAGCTATTGATTTAAATGCTTTTACATTTTAGCCTTATCACACATGATTACCTTGCAGATATGAGTTTAGTAATGATGCAAAGCACCAAATTTCACTGGATTCTCTGTTCCACTTGAATTCTTGGGAAAGATACTAGAAGCACTAACAAATAAATCATTCTTTTTTTTCTCTTGGTGTGTTTAGTCAATGATTTTGAAAAGATGTGCCACGACAGTCTTTCTGAACTGTTTCTTCACACATTTTCTTTAGCACCATCATCAATATTTCTTACAGGCTTGTGGGTAGGTGTGTCTCTGTGTGTTTGTGCTTTGTGTTCTGTTGTTGTAGTGTGTTTGTTTTTAAAAGTCTCGCTGTCACCCAAGCTGGAGTGCAGTGGTGCGATCTTGGCTCACTGCAACCTCTGCCTCCCAGGTTCAAGCAATTCTCCTGCCTCAGCCTCCCAAGTAGCTGGGAGTCATGCGCCACCACGCCTGGCTAATTTTTGTATTTTTAGTAGAGATGGAGTTTCGCCATGTTGGCCAGGCTGGTCTCAAACTCCTGACCTCAGGTGATCCACCTGCCTCAGCCTCCCAAAGTGCGAGGATTACAGGCATAAGTTACTGCGCCTGGCCTGCTTTGTTTATTTCTAATTATAATCTTAAAATACTAAGTGCGATCTGTGTGAAGCATATGCTCCAACCCGCATAAAGGCCTTGATATGTTCAATTAACATTAAAAAAATGTAATACAATAAATTGTAGCTGAAATTAATTTTACAACTTAAAATAATTTGCTTTCCATATGGAAGGTATTTAATGTATTTGTTGACTAAGTGAATAAATGAGCCTATCTGCTAAGGATCAAGTACTTGATTATCTGCATAAAGACAGAAGAAAAAGTAAAGTCTGAATGAAACTTAGGAAAAACAAAAAAGACTATGTCCTATGCTACCCCTGGATAAGCTCCATGAAAAAAAGATTCCAGTTTTCAAGGAATCTTGAAAAGGAAAAGAAAATCTAGAACAATAGTTATTACTATTGTATCTACAATATTAAAATGGACTAGAATATTCTAGAATGTATGAGAATTTAGTGTATAATAAAGGTGGAATTACACATCTCTGATTTTCACTCCCTCCCCTAGAGGTTGTAAAACTAGCAGTGAAATAGGGAATATTTGCCTATATTCAATTTTCTCTTTTCTCTCTAGGACACTAACGACCACTAGTGTAAAACTAGGAGTGAAATAAGGAATATTTGCCTATATTCAATTTTTTCTTCTCTCTCTAGGACACTAGTCTCTTCACTGACCCCAGTCTAGAAAGTATCATGGTGTTCTATATGATGGATGACTACCTTCAGATCATATCCTAAAGTCTTCTCTATTTGATAGTTAACTATGATAAGTTCTATGATCCAGGTCTCTAGGATTAGGCTAATATTTCTGGCCATGAACTTTAGAAATTAAAAGTAAAACCATTTTTTTTTCTTGTGAGTCTATCTCTTCCAAACCAGACCAATTTGTTTAGAGCTCATTACACTTGCTATAAGTTTAAAAAATAATCTACCAGTCACTTCAAATCTTCTGTTTATTCTATTCTTGATTGCATCTTCCTTCCCATGAAAGAAAGAAATGTTATAGATCAAATGAGCGGAGAACAATAGAGCAACAGCATAATGTTAGGAGGTAATTATTTTGGTTTAAGTTTTCCAGATATCATTCAACTATACAGTCAATCACTTGACTCTGTTAATTCTACCTTCTAAATTTTCTCTGATCCCTCTTTGCCTTGCTAATCCCACTGCCATCACCTTCATTCAGGCCATTATCATCTGTTCCAATGAATATACCCAGGGAATCACTACATATAATTATATGTATGTGTATTTATCAACATAGTAGTGTTTATATTAGTTAAAAATAAGGTGAAAGTAAATTCAATGTACACCTGTGAGCTGACTGGTTAAATAAATTATATTAGTGTATCATAAAACAATAACATAATAAGCATATGATAAAATAATATGTGGCAAAGTATTCAGTATATAACAATTGAAAAACAAGTTACAAAAGATTATAAAAATATTGAGTGCATGTATGTGATGGTGGAGAGAGATAGAGCACATGAGTTTACATTGTATGATAATAGGAGATATTCTCTGGCTGATGAGACTAATAGTTGTTTTTGTTTTTCTATTTAGTCTGGAATTTTTCATTTTATAATTTTATAAAATGAAGATTTGCTATCATCGATCTCTAAGAGTTTGTTACTTTTTCTTTTGTCCTTCCCCAGACTTTATTTTGTAAAAAACCTAGTTATCTTTAGATAATGTGAAAATATCTTAAATTGTTTTAAAATGGTTCAAGACTAGTAGGCTTAGTAACATTGGAATAGGTTTAACTGCATTTGCAACCAGTAATATTATCTTTCCAGTTGAACATGGAAGTGTTCTAATCTTTTCAGGATATGAATCACCTGTATAAGACAGGTGTTAAAATGTGTCATAAGATATGTTATAAAGAAATCTGTACATCTTTCTAAGCAAAATATATTATTTAAGGAGAAGGTTGAGATAAATGTCCTCATATTATGGTTGGGTTCATTTATTATCAGATGCTTCAAAATTGTTGATGTTCACTATGACAGGTTGATAGTTTTTCTTCAATATCTACTGCTTTTTTTCTTCTGATTTTTAGCTGGGTAAATAACTACCTAGAATTAAGTCTGCATTTTCATGCACCCCTCCGCTCCAAAACTTTGTGTAACTTGTGATTAAGTTCTAAGGACATAGTAGATTCTGTTTATAAAAATCCAAATTGTTTCCTTAAAAGGGAGTGCAGTGCCTTTATTTTTCTCCTTGCATTTCTACTAGAGCAACAAGATGGAAGCAACCTGATCCCTAACTTCAAAAGTGTTCAACTATGTTTCTAGAAGAATGATTTCTGAAGCTATGTAGTCATCTCTAAATTTTTCACTACTGCTTCAACAACTTCCTGTGGTGCCACATTCACACCATGCCTAATATCAAAGTTCTATTAACTGAAATACAAGTGTAAGAGGAAGTTAATGCTAATTCACAAAAGGAATATGATGATTCTAATTCTTTTAGTATCAACAGGTAGAAAAACTTTATGAAATCTTCTCTGCCTTTCTTTCTTGCCACAAATTTCATCCCTATGCAATCTACTCTGTCATTAAATACTTCCAATTGTAGATTCATGAACTTTCTCCCATTTACTTCATACTAACTGGCCCTAGTAGTTCTTAATTTTGGGTGATTTTAGTCTTTGAAAATATTATATACATGGTTAGATCACCTTTTCCAGAAAAAAAATAGACATACACTCAAAATATTACATGCACTCTCATAGGAATATAAAACCCCAAAAGTCTAGGGGCATGTGAAATTCATGTTAGGAAACCCTGGTTTATATCTCCATTTTTGTTCTTCCTACACATTGCAATAGTCTTTATTTCTATCTAATAATCCCTTATATTTTCTCATTTCAGCATTCTCTATCCAACTCTTTCTCAATTTGTGTGTTAGCCAGTCATCTAGGAGCTTTTACAAAACACACCTGCACATTCTCTACCCCAGACCTAGTGAGTCAGAATTTAAGGGGTAGGAAAAATGGTGTGTCTACATAAAGCTTGCTCAGTAATTCTGACAGGTCCTCTGGATTGGAGTATTAAGCCATATTGACTGGAAACAGATTAATCTTGCACTTTACATCCTTGCGTCTGTCCCCAAATATTTAAAAGGTCCTCAGTGCCTACTCCATTGTAAAATTGCACAATCCCCAGGACAACCTCCCTGAACTCTGTAGCTACTCCATCAACTGATTTCAGCTTACTTTTTATTAGGCACTCAATTACTAACTTTCCAACAATGCACCTAACTTTGCAACAACATTCATTGCCAAACATAGCCCAGCTTTCCTGTTCCTGCACATTTGTATATACTGTATAGTCTCCCAGAAACCCAAGCCCTTCCATCACTTTCTCTAGAAATCCTTCCTATCTAGGGACCAGCTAAATGCAGCCTCCACCAAGGAATTGTCCTTGATTTTCAATGACTAAAATAAATGACTTTTCAGGCCCAGCGCGGTGGCTCACGCCTGTAAACCCAGCACTTTGGGAGGCCGAGGCAGGCGGATCATGAGGTCAGGAGATCGAGACCATCCTGGCTAACACGGTGAAACCCCATCTCTACTAAAAATACAAAAAATTAGCCAGGTGTGGTGGTGGGAGCCTGTAGTCCCAGCTACTCTGGAGGCTGAAGCAGGAGACTCGCTTGAACTCAGGAGGCAGAGGTTGAAGGGAGCCAAGATCGTGCCACTGCACTCTAGCCTGGGTGACAGAGCGACTCCATCAAAAAAACAAACAACCAAAAAAAAAAACAACAACAAAAAATGCCTTTTCTAGAATCCCAAAACATCAGAACGTTGTGTTTACATCTCCTTTGTGGATAGATCACTTTCTGACTTGATAACTTTTTTGTTTTTTAAACAAATTCTCATAAGAACGTATTTTGTAAAGAAAGAATTCTAATTTTATTTTGTATTTCCCACCTACGTAGCATAGGATCGTGTTCTTTTTTCTTTTTCTTTTTCTTTTTCTTTTTTTTTTTTTTTGATGGAGTTTTGCTCTTGTTGCCCAGGCTGGAGTGCAATGGCGCAATCTCGGCTCACCACACCCTCTGCCTCCTGGGTTCAAGCGATTCTCCTGCCTCAGCCTCCCGAGTAGCTGGGATTACAGGCATGTGCCACCATGCCTGGCTAATTTTGTATTTTTAGTAGAGATGGGGTTTTTCCATGTTGGTCGGGCTGGTCTCGAACTCATGACCTCAGTAGGATCATGTTCTGTATAGATTATGAATGAATGAGTAGATGGATAGAAGGATGAATAAAAAGATTTAAGGGTTGGGAATCCTGTTTGTAACTGTGTGTAATTTCACTCGTTCATAGGGCTTTACAAAATAATGAATTTAACAATCAAAGTTTATCTGTTTAAAATTATGATTTGAGACAAAGTTGAGGACTAACAATGAAGATGAAGAGAAATCATCACAAGGCATTGTGGTAATCCCTCCATACTTAAAAAAGAGAGATAGGTAAGGTTAACATTTTCCATTAATATTGTGTCGAGAAGACCAAGGCTTTACTGAGCTTAGATCACTCTTGGAGAGGGATCAAGACAAAATACCAGGAAAGAAGAAATGTCTTCCCCTCCGTGCTTTTAAAGAAATGGTAGTATTCTTCTAAAGGAGAAAGATGTAACAGAATAAGTATATTAAACATTTTAAACATTCAATGCCAAGCTCCTAAAAGCCCCAAAAAGAATTTCTTTTCATACTAGTAAAGTATGAAATTATTTCTGTGTCACTTGGGTCGAATGGTCAAAAGATCGGATGCAATTTAATGCAAGGTCCCATCTAACATAATTAAGTACTTTTTACTCATCATTGGCTCTAGAATACTTAAAATTTAAGGCTTAAAACTTTCTTGTTATGTCTAAGAACGTAAAAGTGAAAATACTTTTCAAAAGATTTTAAGTTTCATTGAGACCTGCTTGATTGAAGTGCAAAATCACTTGATAATTGCTAATATTTATTATCAGGTAATCAAAGGTTAATCTGGATACGTGTGTACACAGCTTGTACTTTTAAATCAGAGAACATTTTACAAAAGTTTTGCAAAACTAAACAGCATTGGCTGCTATTGCCATTTTAAAAACTATCAGTGCTTATTAGTGATTTTTCTTACATAAAACTTTAAAAATCAATTTTCTCATGTTAGGAATGAAGAAGGAAGTAAGAATATGGTTTTATAGCTTTAAAAAGTCATAATATAACACTCAAATAATCCTCTGATGATCATGAAAATCCCAAATAAGTCTCAAGAAGACACAAGAAAAGGCTTGGAGTAGTCACCCAAGATTTGTGAAATGAAATTGATTTCCATTCAAATCAGGTCTTTTACTCTTCTTGAAAATGTCAAGGTGTCAGCCTTGGCCATTACGAGACTGTGATTTATAGTTGAGACAAAGCGATAGTACCAGCTGACTGTCTGGAGCCACGGTACAGTGTCTGGCAAGGCTGCCGATGACAGCCATCTCTTTTCTTAACCAATCAGCAAGGCTTAAGTAAGACCCGAGTCTTTTTTCCTCCGTCTTGATAAGAAAATGATAAAATACAATCTGGAAGATTTACTTCGTGGGAAATAAACAAGCATTGTGAAGGGAAGTAGGTATCATTTTTCCACGGACTAAATTGCAAACATTATTTATGGCAATCTATATTTCAGCCCTTTAGAAATACATATTCATAATAGGACCATAAACAGATGTTCCAAATATGACAACTTATTTTAATATACTGGAAGCCACAGCATAATTTTGTAATTTGATTAATTAGTAAGAAGAATTGTGAATGTTAAAATACATTTTCAAACTCTCTAAATTATATTTATGGCTTTGCTCATCTGCATCACAACAAAAGCCCAAAATGTTTTGCATTAGAACCATTATTCATAGTAAATTAATCTCTTTTTCATTGAGAAAGATTCCTAAATAGTAGTTCTTGATGGTAAAATGTTAAAAACCACCCAGGTCATACTATGATAAACAAAAGAGCAACAAGGTAAAGGATATGGAATAAGAATCTAACATCCTTATTTTATAACTGTAGCCATCATATATACATCATACACACAAACACACACACACATATGTATATATAATGCATATATATATGTATAATAGTAGTAGAGGAAGAAATTAATTCATAAACAAAAATAAAAATTTCCAAGAATCAGCACTAATTATCTCTAACATTAGAGGTAAAAGTGGGGAGGATATAAAATTTGCTGTAAGGAAATGGTCTGATCATATGGTGGTTAAGGATAGACACAATAGGCTACAGAAAAAAATAATCATCTCTTCTTTACCAAACAATTTCTAGTAATCTTAAATAATTTTTAAAATTTCAAATTCCTAAATGAGACCAAATGCTGACTTTCCTGGTATATGTCATATATTACATGCTTATGGAAAGTGTTAATAAAAGTAATTAATCTCATGACACTCAAGGTTGAGATTTGCTGCAGCAGATGTTTTATAGTTTCCATGCTGTAAGAGGACATTTGGCAAAATAAACTAATGTTGCCTACACATTGATAGGTACCAGTGAGTTTACCAAGACAAACATTTTCAAAAGCCTATCAATCATCATTATACTCAGTAATTAAAAAATGTGTAGTGGTGGTTGTGTGTTCCATTACATTCCCGCCTGCTTTAAATTCCTTTCACTTTCTACGACTGACAGACCCTCACTCATTCCTCATGACCTTGATAGGCTAGTCGTCTTTTGCCTCCCTACATTGGCCATCCAATCAGAGTAGTCCTTGTTTATCAAATAAGTGGATCCACATATGGGCATGTCACCAAAACAGAGCCAATCCAAGATTTTCTGACAACTGAAATTGATGTTGGCATAAAGAGAATCTTTTTGTTTGTTTATTTTTCCTGGATTCACAGGCTGTAGGATGACGCATGATGCAAGTCTGAAGTTGTATGTGGCCATCTTTGCCACCACATTCAGAAAGCTTACCTGAGAATGAAGTCAACACTGGAGAGAAAGAGAAAGAAAGAGGGAGAACATATCAGGTGAGAGGGAGAGGCAGAGCCAGCAGAGAGAACTTGGGGGAGGGTGGGAAGAATAGATGCATTAATAAATAAATATCTTATTTTAAGCTGACAAATTATACTGTGGAACTGATGAATTCCATGTGGGTTTCATTCTCAGGTAGAATCTCTCCACAATGGCAACAAAGATGGTCACTAGCAAGTCCAAGCCTCCATTCTCTTTAAAACTTGCAATCCTTGAGGACAAAGAAAAACGATCTTTTTTTTCCAATATCTATGTTACTTCTAAAAGAAGGTATTAAGGAAAGCCTGTATGAAATTTCATTCATCAGTCAAGACCATACTGGCCTTGAATAAAATTTATAAGCAGTTTTTTTTTTTTTTTTTTTTTTTTTTTTGAGACGGAGTCTCGCTCTGCCGCCCAGGCTGGAGTGCAGTGGCGCGATCTCGGCTCACTGCAAGCTCCGCCTCCCGGGTTCACGCCATTCTCCTGCCTCAGCCTCCCGAGTAGCTGGGACAACAGGCACCCGCCACCACGCCTGGCTAATTTTTTGTATTTTTAGTAGAGATGGGGTTTCACCGTGTTAGCCAGGATGGTCTCCATCTCCTGACCTCGTGATCCGCCCACCTCGGCCTCCCAAAGTGCTGGGATCTTTATAAGCAGTTTTTATAAAGAAAGTGAACATTGTGATTAATAAAATATATATTCTTATAGATGTGGGTATTCCTTATAGAAACACATGTCTTATAGATAGGTAAATAATGGGCAACGATAATTTCTTGACTCAATCACTAAGAGATAAGGTAGGGATCACTTTTTTATCTCTTAAATTTAGAAACACATAGTCCTATTATTTATCAGCAAATTGCTCTTTCAGAGTTACAATTAAAATATTTTAAATCGTAGAGCTGAATGTGAGAAAATGAACTAGAAAGAATATAAAGTTGAATATTTTTCTGTCAAAGTAAGATGAGCATTTGTTATGTCTAATTGCTAAAAAAAAAAAAAAATACATTATCTGTTTGTCCCATAAATATATTTGGTTGTTTTTAGTCAGTGCACTAGGTGGCCCTCACTAGAGAACATCCTATGGAAAGAAAACACGTTTTCTTTAAACATAAGATACAATTCCTTTGAGATTCTGTTAATCACTTTTCCTCTCTAATTGAAAAAGTCACCACATAAATTAGAGTACAAATTTCATTCTTCTAGAAAGAACCTTAAAAGTTGACATTTCTTTGAACAATTGTTTCAGAAATCCTTTTTTAAGTACATTTTCATTTTCTGGCATGGCTTGAATTGAATTCTAAACTTTCTGCTGCTTGTCCTCTAAGCCCCTCTGGTGAATTTAAATAGGCTTCCCTATATATTTAGTACATTCAAGAATTCTTTGTTGCAGTGCCTACTCTGCTTTATTATTAGAGAGCTGCCTCGGAAGTACAGCAGCCAGTTTGTTTTCTGCCATTAATAAAGAGTCTACTTTTTTTTCCCACTTCTTTGAAGAGTTGAAAAGGCTCCATGTTGGGTGGGAGGGGGGCCAGGAAGAGAGGGAGAAATGGAGGGAACTGACTGTGGTGTAATCCCTCAACAAAAACTGTTGTCTAAAGTAGAAACCTCCCCGAGGTTTACAAATGCCCAGGCTGGGCTTTAGCATGATGTATAAGACAGTAATAAGTTAGCTACAGACTGGTCTTCCCACCCCCAAGACTAGGAAGTGTACTATGAGTAAGGCACTACATTTCAAAATTCTACAAAATCAAATGCTTCCATTGGCTAGTGTTTCAATGCCACCCAAGTATTTTCTCAAAGATGTCCAGAAGCTGTAAAAACAACCACAATGTAAATCTATAATTTCTTATACTTCACTTATATGTCTAGAACGAATACATAGAAGAATTTCATAAAGACCTACCAATTTGGATGTATAAACTACTAATGTTGACTCATGGCCTAGGGAAAGCTAATTCAAAGGCAAGGACAGATGATTCCACAGAGTAGTCACTTGAGGCTCACAAATCATCAGACACCTATTGACAAAGAGGGAGAAACTTCTCAGAAGAGAGGCAAAGTTAAATCTATCAATCAACACAAAAGAACCCAAAACACCTCAAAGACCTTATATGGCCAAGACAAAACCTAGGAAGTTTTTATTCTTATTTACTTGACCTAATGAATATAGTCCATGATTATTTTTATACCTGTTTTGTTTGTTTAGAAATTAATTATTAAGGTAACAGATTTAAAGTCACGTTACTTATATCAATAATGAAAAATTTAGTTCACCTTATCAGAATTTTTCACTTTTAAGTTGTCCATAAAATATGCATGAAATTAACTGTTTATATAAAATGAAGCTATTTAATCTTAAATTCACTTAATCTCAATTACCTTCAAGTTCCACCTGCTTTCAAATTCCTACAAGTAAACTATTACATACAAGTTAATATTATTGGCTGCTAATGTACTTCATAAAGTTACATTTAACATGTAGAGACGTGGAGAAAAGCAACATTTAATGAAAATTGAAGCTAGCTCATTGAAGAAATGGTGTGAATCATTTTATGAAGATATGTCAATTTTTACACTGTTTTTACTAAACCTTTCAAGAAATAAAGACATATAGGAAATAAATATGTGACCGACTCTATAGTTGGTCACTGAAAGATAAGAAAACCAGGATGATGATAGATAATAAAGGTACCTAAGTTTCTGCACTCTAAATATGTATTTGCAGCGCTACACTAAAAGTCTATTTCTCAAATGTTTACAAGGGCCCAGGATTTTTTTTTTTTTTAAACTTCTCTATATTAGGAACTTTGTTTTCCTTATCCAAATGCAGTCTCTAAGGGATCAGTGGGATTTGAGTGCTAAGTTAAATGTCTAGTAAAAAATTAAACAAAAGAATTCAAGCAATCAAAATGATGCCTGCATTTGCTGCCTACAGAAATGTAGGCTGCATTGCATGTGTAAATGGCAAGAAAATTTGGGCGTTAGCTAACCCTTTATATACTGCTTTTCTCAAACTCATCCAAACATGACAGCTTGTAAAACCGTTTATATATTTAAGGTGTATTAGACCAAGCCTAGGCACATGTACCAGCCTGTCCATTTGAAGAGGAGTTTAAGGCAGAACATACCCTTTCTAATTTCATTAGTAATTAACTTGTACTATAATTCTCCTGAGATACTTATTTCTCTTCAAGACACTATTAATGTAGCCTAATGCTTAAATGATTTAAGAATATCTCTACACCTCTTCTGTAGCTCCACTGGAATACTAAAGTGTTTGGGACTTTTATACTGAAAAAGATATTGATCCCATGAACCCTGAAATGAAATATAATCATATTTAGATTTGGCAAAATTCCAGAGTGGCTTCCTTGATGGATCCTAAAAGGCTTTAAAAAATGCTATTTTGGAAAATTGATGTTTTCCTTACAGAGATTAAAAGTTAAAAGCATGAATATCACAATATTATCAGAGCAATACAAAAGAGACAAAAGAAAAGCTAATACTTCATTGGTCTTTGGTAGATGTTGAAGTTGAATGATGATTTTTTTTGCCAAAAAAAGGAACTTGAAGTTCACAGTAAATTAACAAACAATATGGGAAAGAAAATGAATCAGGCAGGGGTTAGTATATTTATGTAAAACAGTGATTGGCTATTTCAAAATTAAAATGTACAAATAAGCTGGTGTCAGAAAGGAGATGATTCCTCATTTCCACCGCATTGAGCAAGCTCACATCGGCAGCAGACAGCCCTTAATATATGCGTCTGGCTCAGGCTGGTCTCCCAACCAGGAAGCCATCGAATTGTTAATATCACTGTTTTTTTTGCATGCAACACACATCATTTTCTCGCTCTTTGTTGTAGATCTCTCCTTTTTATTTTAAGCTTAGTATGATCTGATTTTCCAAATCATATCATAAAGCCCTAAAACAATATTATCCTGTGACAGCTGAGATAGAAATGCAGAAAAAGTGGCATCTGTCTATGCACATACAGCATAAAGTAGCCTACATAAGCAAAGTCACCCACTTAAATCTATATACACCTTTATGAAGTAAAAGAAAAGCTTTGTCAATGACGCTCTTGAAAGACTGTTCATATAGGAGGGTTACATAGAGAAGTTCCAATTGTGCAGGATTATCAGTAAAAAACATTTTATATGTTTATGGTGAAAATGAACAAACATGACTGCATTCTCAATTCAGTTTTGGTATATTTCTTTTATGAGACAGAAGTTAATATATAGTGTGGTTCATGAATATGATAACATTAAAAAATTTTCACGTTTGAATAACCTATATCTGATATCACTATAGCCAATAAACATCTACCCCTTACATTGTTTTGGAACTAACTTGATGGAACCTTTCACAGATATTATTTATGATCATGTTAAAACAGATGTTAGTAAACACATACTTGTATGTGATATTCTTTTTTACAAGAAGTACTTTCAGATCCATTGTGTGAACATTGCTATTAAATGTAATCAAGCTTCTGTGTACATGTAGACACACATACATAGATTTCTTTGTATTAAGAAACTTATGGTTTTAAAAAATACTCAATTCCAATGAGAATGAGGTCAAAAGAAATAAAAGATAAATACTACCAAAGCTCTTTACTGTTTATATTACCTCCTTTCATTTGGAGCTTTAAAACTTATATTTATACATATACATACACACACCTAAAATTTCAGAACTTCTAGATAAATGAAGTAGATGATATAAATAAAGAATCTGAATAGGTACAGTGTGCATACATGCTTAAACATATTCTGCATGCTTTATATAGATGTGTATGTTTATGATATTGTTATAGTAATTTTTAATAACTATGACTAATAGATGATTTGTATTCTGTAATATTTCAAGTAGGTATTATAAGAAATTTTTAAAAAGATGAACAAAGACTCCGTACAGTATTCTAAAATACATTCATAAATTTATTTTAACAATGCAGAAGACACATAATTTATGGCACCCATCTAAGGCAATAGTTAAAAGAATGAAGCCACTTTGTTGCTTCTATTAAGGAAAGTCTGTCATCTCCATTTTGAATCTTGATATTTGTAACATTATTGTAAAATTTTTAAATAGATTTAGCATACTGATTCTATCTCCAAGAAAGACATATCTGATGTGGCAATGGCTATTAAACTTTCAAATATGACATATTACTTATGGTTGGAATAGTTACCTCCGATAAAGCTAAAATTCTTATAAAACTAAAACTATGCAGTTCATATGCAGTTGCTAGTCAAAGCAGTTTGACTTCATAGGTGGCGTTTACTGTTTTATCTCACGTAGGCCCATGATATGTACACAGTAAACTGTAAAAAATTTTAAAAAGACATATTTTCCCAGATTATTGGTGAAACTTTCACTCTTGGACTCTCGTAACAAAATAATTGTTAGAATTGTTAAGACATATAAAGTATGTTGGTTGGATAGAAGACTCAGAAAAGCCCTGGCAATAAATACAAAGTATAAAACAGCATTCTTCTTAAATCGGTAGTAAAATCTAATAGGGTCAATAAAGAAGATTGTAAATCATGTTATTTCTAGGCCTCAAGCATGCTTATAGCTGTATATGACATAGTCTGAGCCATAGTTATATGGAGGCATACAGGATTTATTTAAGTAGCTAATGTATATATTTCAATGCATATGAAAAGTTATAAATATAATCCCCTCTCTTCATTAACTGAAGAGATATCCTCTTATACTAGCCACCTTAAAATGCACCAAAAGAAGCATTTTAAAACACTTATATTTTAATTTTGCTTCTTACACAGGTTTCTTATATTGCTTTTGTATGATCGTTATAATACAAACGCTATTTCAGTGCAACTGTGTAATCACTTTAGAGTACAGTTTCTGACAATAGTATTTTTGGGGATGGGTCATGGTGAAAACGTTGCTGATGATAAAGAAAAGCATTGTTCTTTTCTCCTAGGCAGAATCTATGTATGTTCTTTTGTTCTGGTGGTAACTGCAGACAATCAATAAGGTCCAAAGCTGCTGGTTCCCCTCCGCCTAGGTCCCAAGAGCCTGACTTGTGATGTTACTAAAATACCTCACAAGTTAGGGTCTCAGGGACTAGGAAAAGTCTGGTTTGATGCGGTAGAATTCTTCTTCCAGAAATAAGGATAGCTTAGAAATTACAGTTGGGTTCACTTAGACTTTTACCTCTAAATACTATTTAAAATACTTCAGTAGAAATATATATGATATATAAAAGTTAGGATGAGCTGAGTAATCACGACGACCATTTATAGACTAATTCCAGACCTTAAAATAATGAAGAATATGAGAAACAATGCAGACAATGAACAGTTAAGAGTCATTCCATTAGATCCAAAGAAAGAGACTAAACATGGGTTAAAATCTGCTTCTAGCAGATTTGTACAGCAACACCATAGCCTCTATTACATTAAAGAAGGATTATATGCCAGTTAATGGGACCCTAATTGAAATTTTGCTTCCCATTACACTGCTATACAGCACAACTGGTAAGGTGGGCCCAGGACATATAATACTTTAAATCGGATTTAAATATATACCGTTGCAGTTAAGAACAAAACAAAAACTTTTCTGCATGTCATAATTTAATACCTCTGAAGCTTGATTTTTCTCTTTGAATCTCCAAACTATTCAGACAGCAAATATTTCCACGCATACTCTGTAGTTATTTGAGCAATGCCACTTAATAAACATGTAATTTAAAATGCTGGCAACATCATAAAAAAACCATGATTCTATTTCTTGAATAATTACATTATAAAGCTCAATACTTTTAAAAATACACAACCCCAATCCTGTATATTCACTGAATTTCCTCCGATCTTTTAGCCTTGTTTGTGGTTCGAGAACAGAATTTGTACTTTAGGAATGATCCAAGGTTTAGTAGCATAGAACGCAGGGTAAAACAATCGGACCAGCCATAATGTAAAAGTCCTGGCCACAGAAGTGGAATCTGGCTCTTCTGAGGTGGTTGATCTTAAAAGGGAAAAGAGGAGGAAAAAAAAAAAAATGGAAAGAATTAGAATGTTTTCCTGTAGAACAGGTGAATCATCCATTTCCAAGTAAGCTGCAAGGAAAGCTATACTGCACAAAATATTTGGTAATTGGCCCCCCTCCTCCACCCTAGTACCACACCCCTTTCCAACCACCACCCCCCACCCCCTGTCCAGATCTTTACTCTGCCTTGTAAGACTTTAAATATTCTGCTCCATGATGTAATGCATCATTATATAAGATCTCTTTCTGTTTATCATTTGATTTCCCATACTGAATCACTTATGGCTTAAAATAAATAGTTAAAAAACAAAAACCAAAAAAACAAAAAAGCAGCACTCACAAAAAGCGAAAAAATAAAACAGCCCTTAGATCTAAGTCCATGCTTTTCCCTAAAACTGAATATGGCTTTACAATTTTTGACCATAGCATTCAACCAATTATCAGAATGAAAAATCTCACCCCTCCATAAAAATGACATTAACATAATTATACCACCCCCATCACGGAGACCCATCCTCCTTAGGGAATACATCTGATGCTCCAAAGATGGAAATCAGTCAGATTTTAGTTGCTCTCCAACGTACCTTTGCTTCTCACTGACTGACTGGCTTTTACCCTCCACGCACTCACACGCCACCCCCTCCCCTCGGCTAGACACGGATGCCCGAGCGAGCACGCGCGCGCACACAGGCATACAGATACACAGCGAGAGGCGAGGCAAAGCATCTGATGCTGACTCAGAGCGCTTCTGTGAGCAGGGGGTGGCAGCGGCTGGTATTTTCACTGCGCTCATCATTAACATTAACTCACAGTCTAGCATCCACCCTCTCCCAGACCTGCTGGACTGCAGCATTTGCATGACGCTGTCACTCTAGCCTTTGCAGGTCAGATGATGGAAGCAAAAAAAAAGAAAGAAAAGAAAAAAGCCCCAAGGCTGTCTCATAGGAAATGCCTTCATTTCTTCCAGGGTCTCCTCATTTTTCCACCTTTCTACTTCCTCTCTGGCTGTTTCTCAGTTGTTTGACATCTTTCCGGAAGAAAATGTCTTGTGCTTCATTGAGCCAGTCGTCAGTTGGTCCTCCCCTCACCTCACACTCCTGATCCCCACCCCTTTCCCCCGCTAATCAATAAGACGGATCTCCAAATGCAGTTGTGGAAACAGGCTCCGGCACAGTCTCATCCTGGATCCCCTACCTCAGGAAGCAGGCAGCCAGGCTCACACGTGATAGAGAGAAGTAATGCCAGCAATTCTTTAATAGCCCTAGATTGTATTCTATGCCTTCATTTTCCCCACCTTGGTCGAAGGAAGAGCAAAGGGGACTTTCCACTTCTACATGAAGCTCCCAAGCAGCCCAAAAGACACATGAGTGAGACCAATCTGTATAGATCAATCATTTCTATGTGATAATGAAAAAAACCCTATGATTTTAATAAAAGTAATTGCTTAATATTTTTATTAGCTGTGCTCTCATTTCACAGGAATTGTAAGACCTGCCAGGATCTGAGTCATCAATATGATTTAAACTGTGTTGAAATCCTAAGTTGCTTAATAAAATCAACCAACAGAGATATTAGTATATTTTATTTTTTTTTTTAATTTAAGAACTTTTAAAATAATAACAAATAGCTGTGTGGGAGTGGATATGTAAAAGTCTTTGAGATTGAGAAATGTTTGCAGCCTATAAATATGAACAATTGACTATATACGTTTAAATAAAATATGGATTCTTGTACATATGTGGAGACAACCTACTATATGCGTTATTACAAAAGGAAGTAAAACATTTGGCTGAACACAAATGTGTTTGTGCTACAGTGTTTCGCAACACAAAAGGCAATATATAGGTATTTACTCAGTTCCTTTGTTCTTCAATTGCTCCCTTTAATGACAGAGTGTGGTAAAGTCCCTACCTTTCCTTTCTACATAAACAGCATTTTTGAATTACTTGCCAGACAGAGCTAGCCATCAGTGACTCGGCAGCATACAAGAAATACATACAAAGGGAAGCAAAGTACGGCAATTCTCAAGCCAACTCTAATGCTGTCTGGTGCTGTAGAAATTTCAGTTTACTCACACAGACAGATCCCAGCATGCAGTGCGGCACTGCAGGCTCAACTAAGGTAGCAGATTGGCAACAGATCTGTGGCAACAAACAAGAAGGACAACCATTCGCAGAGGTTCCAAAGAAAACATCACACAACCTATAAAGAGATAGAAGCATCGGTAGTAGGGTATGTATCTCTAAGATCAGTTCCTACAGGCTCCTGATTTGAAAGCAAAAGGAAAAAGAAACCTCTCAAACGCAAGAATAAAAATAGAAAAAGAAGTTGGCACCAGAAGGAAACAGAATTAAGAATATACTCTCATGAGAGAGAAAAGCAAGAAGGAAAATAATAACAGGGAAGAAGAAAGGGAAACACAGAAATGGGAAGAGGGAAGGGAAGAATGAAAAAGGAGAGAAAGAAACAGGTAGCAAAGAATCCCTAAGCATTGAAGCAACAATAAAATATGAAATTAAGTTTCTGACATGGAAGAATAGGAGTAGTATTCAACAAGCTTAGAATCTAATGAAAAACTAAAGCAAAAATTAACTCATGTGCAGCATAGCTTAAAATACTTGTCATTAACGTTGAGACACCTGCTGACTTCTTCCTGTTCTATGTGGATTAAATAAATTGGTCATCTCTTAATCTCTCTTTGCTCAGACCCACCTTTTTTTTTTTTTCTTTTTTAGTTCTCTGGCATCTGTGTCCTTTATGCTATTTATTTTTCTAGACAGTTGCCCACAATACTTTGGATAAATTAATGTCATGACCTCGCTATGGCTATCAGACATAAAATGTTGACTATTTTAATAATTGAACATGTGCTTACAGCAACTGCCTACTGATATTCCAGCTCTGTGGACTCCACATGAACACTGCACTCCTAGCTCTGTGAATCAGAAACAACAAATGCAAATACAACTTTTTTTTCCCCTAATCCATGCTATCTCTCTATTACATACAGAGATATACACACACACAGGCCTTAACTTTACAGAAGGCATAACAATGTTAACTGAGGAATTTAGAAAATCAAGAGGAATAAATACTCGCCAAAAAATTCATACTTAGAACTGAATGGCCATGCATTTAAAATATTTATATCCAGATAGAGGTTAGCCAGATCCGAGTGCACAGGCTTCTGGTAGGACTTCCGTTAAGGCCAATGGGAATGCAGACTTGATTAAATCAATATTTATTTGAAAGAAGATGTTGCAATCAATTAGTCCAATTACCACTGTCATATATACAGGTTTAAGGTCTCTTCTAATTCTTAACATCTTATCATCAATACAAAAGCATCCCTAAATCAGAGTTTATACTTTGACTATGGCTAAAATATTTACAAAGTAAAATTTTGATGCTGTTTTACATTTAATTTAAGTAGTATAATGCAAGTATTGCCTTGCTAGATCAACTATTTTTGTGATTTTGGAGATTTGTTCTGTTAACTTTCTAAAAAATAAGTAAGATAGATATGAATTTAATGTCAAAAAATATTTTCAGTTAAAGGAAGTAATAACTGACTACTCTGAAATACTTTAATACAACCTGCCTTCTACCTGACTACTAAGGCAGGAATCTTTTATTTCTTATAAACGCCATTTGAAATCAGTGCTAAGAAGGGGATCATATTTAAATTATTTAGTGAGATTTGGAGTAAGAAGGATAGAAGACAAAAGACAAAAAATCAACTACAGTTCAAATTTTGACTCAAAATTCATGGATGTGCAGAATTTATTGTTTATTACTTGCATTTTTTCTTTGTTTTACTTAACCTGCATTCTCCAATAAGCTGTGACCAGCCACGTGTAGCTATTTAAATTTAAATTAAAGTGAAAATTCATTTTTTTTTCTGTTGCCCTAGCCATATTTCAAATGTGTAGAAGGGCACATGGTGGTGGATACCATTTTGAACAGCCTGGATATAAAACATTTCCAACCCTGCAGAAAGTTTTATAGGAGACTGTTGACTTAAATTTTCCTTGTGAAAAGTTTTATAGCATAATTGATTATGGGATCTCAATATTTTCTTTCAAGTCTCTTTTAAGAGAATGAAACTATGTTGATTTATTTGAAGATCTAAAATAGAATTTCTTTTGACTGAAGAGTATCTATTATTTTTATTTACTAATAGTCTGGAAATATGCATGATTACTTAAGGAAAAAGGGTATATAGATACTAACTTTGAAATAGTTGATAACAATACTATCAGAAGACACAAAAAAACTACTCAAGCTAAAGTCTCCGAATAAATATGAGGTGTTTACTTGTCTAACTTTTCCAGAAATGACAGTCATTCTCTTTTTAGAGCCAAACAACACATATTACATATTTCTGCTTTCAATAAAGAAGTGATGTAATAGTAGTGTGAGTAGCAAAAATTCAAAAAAAAAAAAGTCTTTTCTAAAAATCCAGTTAAAATAAGGAGCAATCAGCAGTTAGGAGCATACAAAACTGTTTTTTTGTTTTTTTTTTTTGTTTTTTTTTTAGGAGACAAGGAAGAGTAATTAAAGGACAAGGGAGACAAAAATCAGATTCTTGTGGACTAGGATGAACTGGTTGGGAATTTTCTTTTTTTCTGTTTTTGTTTTTCAGATGGAAAGTTGCTCTGTCGCCCAGGCTGGAGTGCAATGGCACGATCTGGCTCACTGCAACCTCAGCTTCCCGGGTTCAAGTGATTCTCCTGCCTCAGCCTCGTGAGTAGCTGGGATTACAGGAGCATGCCACCATGACTGTCTAATTTTTGTATTTTTAGTTGAGACGGGGGTTTCACCATGTTGGCCAGGCTGGTCTCGAACTCCTGACCTTGTGGTCTGCCCACCTCGTCCTCCCAAAGTGCTGGGATTACAGGCATGAGCCACCACTCCCAGCCCTGGTTAGGAATTTTCTACAGAATTAACTGAGAAAAAATCCCAGATGATACGAGTGTGTTTGTGAGTGTGTGTGTGTGTGTGTGTGTGTGTGTGTGTACCTTGGTATGACAATTTTGATTTACAAATCAGATTCTAGAACTAATAATTATTTTAAGCCAAATTAAATAATGTAAAATGTAAATTTATATGAGTTATTACTTTAAAAGGTTCACGATGAAAGAGATCATTGGTTTTTAACAAGGAAAAAAAAAACTTGACCTATATTTTCTTTCAAGATTTTTGTATTTGGACAAGAAAATGACTCAGTGTTAAATTCAGGCACTTTATGACCAGGATGCAATAGGTTTGCCAACCTGAAATTACTTTCTTTCTCTTTCTTTTGATATATGTAAGTGTAGAATATCACAACTACCATGGAAAAACAAATAATCAGAGATTTCTCCTCCTTTTAGGAATGATCCTGGCATGTAAAAATCTAATGTTCATTCTTGCATTTAGTAATACAAAAAAGTTGTAATTCATTGTAGCAATCTCTTTTTCATGGCTTCCCTTCCCTGTTTTCTTTCCTCTTGCCCTCTCCCCTCTTCTGCTCTCCGGAAGTGTACAACCTACTTTCCAGTCTAGTCTGTTAGTCACCAGTATCCACAAGGGGACCTCATTCAAAGCACACTACAGAGATGACACTGAGATGAGGGAACAGAGCAAGAAGAGGAACTTGAGGAAGGTCTTGAGTTAAAAGTGATGTGAACTTTGTTGTGCAACCACACATAGGAACAACTAGGTCTTGAGGATGCTGGTGGAGTGTTTCTCTTTCAGGGAAAAGGCAGGGAATGATAATAAGGGGCAATTTGGAGACCACAAAAATTATACCCTAACAAATTATATACAAATCTGAGGCCAGGCACGGTGGCTCACTCCTGTAATCCCAGCACTTTGGGAGGCAGAGGCGGGTGGATCACCTGAGGTAAGGAGCTCAAGACCAGCCTGGCCAACATGGTGAAAACCCATCCTACTAAAAATATAAAAATTAGCCGAGCTTGTTGGTGCACACCTGTAGTTACAGCTACTCTAGAGGCTGAGGCAGGAGAATTGCTTGAACTCAGGAGGCAGATGCTGCAGTGAGCCGAGATCACGCCACCCTGGGTAACAGAGCGAGATTCTGTCTCAAAAAAATAAATAAATAAAATAAAAAAATATATATATATATACACACACAAATCTGGAAGAGTATTTTTCAATAGTTCTCCATATTGTACATACTAATAAGTAATGTTTCTGCTGGGTTGATGTGCTTCCTAACAGGTGAGAGAGAAAATAATTAATCCTGGCTTTTTAAGAATGAATATAAGTGAGAAGCCTTCAAATGACTTCAGAATCACTGTTGTATTTAGACTGTGAATATTATGGTACAGGATCAATAAAAATTTATGTTTTAAGTAACGTAACTATAGAAAAGTACTATTTTCCATATGGTAGGCCATGTACAACACCATGAAACGAAGTGAGAAAGTAGAAAAATAACTGATCTAAGAGTGAGAAAAACTGGTTCTAGTGCCAATTCTGTAATTAATAATGTCTATCATCTTGGATAAGTCATTTAACTCTTGGAACCTAAGTTCTCTTATTTTTAAAATGAGGAGAGAGGACTAGGTTATCTCCAAAGCCCAATTTAGCCCTAAATCCTGTGCAATGGAAGGACAGTACAATTGGAAACACATCCTGGTAATTACTATCTGCTATTTAGATATCTGTTTACATAATTATCTAATTTAACCCTCATAATAACTGTCCAGTAACATTTATCCCCAGTAAAGCTAATAACATAGCCTCTTCCTATATCCCTGTGGTATCTCACCTAGTAGCTGAATTTCAAAAATGTGTATGATCTCAGGCCAGGCGTGGTGGCTCATTCCTGTAATTGCAGCACTTTGGGAGGCTGAGGCAGGTCAATCACCTGAGGTCAGGAGTTCGAGACCAGTCTGACCAATATGGTGAAACCCCATCTCTACTAAAAATACAAAAATTAGCTGGGCGTTGTGGTGTGCGCCTGTAGTCCCAGATATTCAGGAGGCTGAAACAGGAGAATTGCTTGAGCCAGGAGGCAGAGGTTGCACCGAGCCGAGATCAGGCCACTGCACTCTAGCCTGGGCAACAGAGTGAGACTCCATCTCAAAAAAAAAAAAAAAAAAAAAATTGTACCATTTCACATTAGCTGCATAATATGGCAACTTCAAAATGTTATACTAGATCTTTTATGTAGATTACTTTATTCCCACTGAAATTTTTAATTATTTGAAATACTATATAAAGTATTTTCATTTTATAACTAGATAGTAATTTTCTAAGATTTAAAAATGTGTAAACACAGTTATGGCATAGGCACTGGGGAGAAAACCTCATAATTTCATTGGATGACTGCAAAAATTAGCCAATGTGGATTAAAAAAACATTTTAGGATTCATTGATCTAATAGACACACTTTAGCTTTAATAAGGCATTTAAAATTTGTCAGGATAAGATATATAGTTTATAAAACCTCCTTAAGTGGATTTCTGAAATTTGGAATACAAAGGAAACCAGAAAAACAGGTGAATCATAGGTTAAAAATTCTCTATCAACTTGCAAAAACTTTAAAAACATCTTTTTTGGTTTCAAAAAATATTCATTTTTCAAGTGCTCCTTAATTGAAGGGGAATAAAGTTATTAATGGATTGGTATTATACTGACTGTGTATAATCATTTTTATTCTAGATTTTTAGAGTTTTCTTTCATGTAAAAAATATGCTAATTTTGTAGGGTTCTTTTCATAAGAAAAGAAAATGCTTTATCTACTAATTATGACAGTTAGCAGGAGCACAAAATATAGAGTAAATTATTTTAAATTAAAAAGTGCTCTCTCTTTATAGATACTTTTTTCTTTTCTAAGTTTTTCATATTAATTTATATACTTTATTTTCAAGATTGAATTTCACTTTGCTATCTCTATGCTCAGTAATAGAAATTGCTCTCACTTTTAGAAGTATAAGTAATGTGAGATGAGTTTAACTTAAAAAAAAAAAACAAAAACCATGTTATTCTATGAAGGATGCCACTATAGCATATTCTCAAACTCTATTACTCAGGTCTTCAATCTTGGTTAAAGAAGCTTCCATTACATGGAGTTAGTGGAAAATGCTTCTAAGCATTATAAACATCATTTAAATATTTCTGAATAATGAAGGTTCAAGTGTATTCTGCATTCTCATGCTTTGTTCTATCTTTTCCAATCAATTGTATTGATTTTGTTAAGGGTTAGAAGGTATACTTTCATTGATCAAGAAAATAGCGTAACATAGCAAAACTGACTTTCAATTCAAGACAGATCAATCCCACCTTTGTCTCCTATTAGATATATTATGCTTATTTATTCTGCATCTTTAAATTCCATAATATATAGCTGTTTAAGAAAGGAAATAGCAAAGAATTGTCTATTTTCTTGGAAAATATAACACATTCCTGGGTGTTCCCCACACTGAACTGCTACTGAACTTAGGAGACCTTGTGACACCTAGTCAAGTGCTTGGCCTCAGTCTCAAGTTCACTGAAGAATGTGGGCCCTTTTCAGGAGTTTAGAAAGCATTAAAGAAAAAAATAAATTTCCAAAAAATATTGAAATCATTTAGCAAATCAGTGTTTGAGAAAATAATGATGAAGACATATCATCGTAGCTATCTGTTCCAGAGCCACCGCTCACTTTTTTAATGCCACAGTGGAACTGGGTGAGCTGTAAACAATTCATTGGTTCTGACAGCTTATAACTTAGGAAACAGAATGATCCAAGTTAAGTTACCTTAAAAAAATAATGCAATAGAACAAACAAAAAACTCCTCACACAAGATAGTGTTAGTATATTAGTCTCTTTGGGGAGGTATTTTGTTAGGCTCTGTATACCAAAGCTCCAAGAGTTAGCATTTTGACTTTTACTAGCCTGGAAAGTTATATGCTGATTAACGCTCTTCCAAACTCTCCATACAAAACTTTACTTTTATAACAAATAAAACATTCACAAATTCAAAAGCCTAATAGCCTAAGTGGCCCACAGGCATGTTAATTTTTTACAGTAATGTTTGACTATATTTCTTTATACAGCAATTTAATTAATGTATTTTCTCTTATGTGACACTAGCCATAACTCACTGAGGAAAAGGGTTAAGTTAGAACTTATGTTCAGATACTTTGCTATTATAAAGTATTGAGTTTAAGAGAAAATGTATTCCCATTCCCGTGCCTGACAAAGACATGTTTTAAAGTACACATTAAACAAAAGAAAACTGCTTTTCAATTACTAAATGCAGTGCTCAGTAGGACAGAAAACGTACTGCTTCTCTTAAATGCTAGACCTTTAAAACATTTGCTGGATGACAGCACTATAAAAAAATACAGTTTCTTTAGTAGAAGAATTAAAGCTGAATATGCAACATTTCTTAGAAGCATTGAATAAGTCTATTTGTCCAGCTTACTTTGCAAAGACTGCGTAGAAAACAGCACCATAAACACTTTCAGTCCCCACACAAGGGCTAAACAAAGAGTCCTCTTTCCAGCCATCTAATCGGGTAATTTATTTTTTCAACCATCACATAAATCGAAACACAGCTGTAACCAATGACTTGCAGATCCAGTTCCCAGCCAGCTGGAATCAGTTCTGCTGAAACAGCAAGATTTTTACATTGTTCACTTCTGTACATCTGGAGAAATCATTGAGGTTCAAAGGTGACCAGAAAAGCTCTTTAAATAAATTCAACTGACAGTGAAGATTTGCCTAAGGATCTACAAACTCTACATTCACTTCTACAAAATGTTCATGTCATGAAATTAATGCTTATAAAGGCTATTTGCATCCCAGTCAATATAGACTTTATGAGTTGCTAACTGAATTAAGCACTTAAATGCCAATTTCTTTCAAAAAGCTTGCATAGGTTTCCTCGAAACTTTTTCCTAGGAGTTGTTGCTATTTAAAGACGGTTCTATTAAAATACTACATTACAGGCAGAAAATCAACCATAAGAACCTGTAACAAAACCAGATACTAGAAAGGTACCTACTCATATCTCAAGTTCAATCGTTTTTAGCTAATATAATCCTTTATTTAGATAAAATGAATAGAAATATTATCTGAAAGAAAGCAGAGCTGGAATACCTCCATCCAGCTAGGCCGGCAAATCCCTCAAAGGAGCCAGAGTCCTGGGAGAAACAAATGTGGGTTAGGAATGTTCCATAAGCAGTCTTGCAGGGAAGTGATTCTGGCACAAGAAGGAGAGAAACCCACGAGCACCAACAACTTTTGCTCTGCCTTAGAAGCACAGAGCTGTACATAGGGCAAAAGCTAAGACTCCCCAGAGCAAAACCAGAGGCAGTCAATCTTTGATGTAAACAGCCCTACATAATAATTGGATAAACTTAGAATAAATAAAAATCTAGAAGAATAAGTGTATTATTGGCATTTATATTATGCACAATATATCAATTCCAATGCATCATTTTCTTCACAAAAGCCATCAAAAAGATACCTATTTGTGAAATAAATATATACGTCTGACAAACTTCTCAAGTCAGTTTTTATTGTGGTTAGAAAACAATGTACAAGCGAATCACAAATGCGTTTTACTTTCTTTAGTTAAATCAATATACAGGGAAACAAGTTATTTTCATTAACCATCTTTTTTCAAATGTGTGGGCATTTCAATTACGGTGGATCAATAATCAGTAACTTCCTTAGGCATTGTGCCTTGAAAAAGATTGAACCAATAAATAGTGATAATGTATAGTTCTCAGTTCATGCTGAATGACAGATGGCGATCACATAGTGAGTAGCAATTCACAATTAGATATTAAATTCATATAAAGATGTTTAAGTTCATGCACTTGTTAAATGTGACTGATTTTTATGTGTCAATCACTGTGTACACAGGCTATAGAAACATGGTCTGGAACAGTTAGAAATGTGATTTAATAAATAATAAAGTATTCGATATTCGAGGATTACCTTTAAGACTTTCAAGGTAATGAAAAATTACACCTACCCAAAAGGCAGGTGATCTGCATTCTTGCCCACCACTGGTTATTAACTCACTGTAGGATATGGAGGAAGGGGATCTAGAGAGGCACACAACCTCTCTAGATCTCCCGTAGAATAAAGGTCTCATGTTGTTTCCAGCTGGCTGGAATATGCATATTTTTGCAAGGAATTTTTAAAATCCTGATATACATCTGCCAATACTGTTGCTTCTGAAATGTAAAATGCCAAATTTTCTCCCTTAAAAGATGTCATTACTTTCTGAGTAAACACCATTTAAAAAAATCTCTCCTTTTTAAGATATGAACCAAGCAATCCAGAAGTAACTAGAGTCTACTAACTTATATTGTTGATTAGTGCAGGGAAAGTTAAATTTACAGGGAAAATTTGTGAATGAACATTGCTAAACTTTATGAATATATCATTTAAAAGTAAGCAGCCAGTTAAACATATCATTGTTTTAAAACTGGACTAAAATTAAACATCTCCCATACTCTGTTCTCTACTGTGATATTAAGGTATTCTTCATAAGTAAATTCACATGACTGAGTTTTCAGTTTATAAACATTTTAATGATTTTAATTCACACGTATTCCAGAATTCTGTGGTCCTGTGATGTATAGTTATTCAAATATACAATGTTTCTAAAGCATCTGTAACATATGACAATTTACATATATTATATATGTACAATTTACACATATTATATATGTACAATTTACACATATAATATATGTGCAATTTACATATATTATATATGTACAATTTACATATATTATATATGTACAATTTACATATATTATATATGTGCAATTTACATATATTATATATGTACAATTTACATATATAATATATGTACAATTTACATATCTTATATATGTACAATTTACATATATATGTACAATTTACATATATTATATATGTACAATTTACATATATTATATATGTACAATTTACATATATTATATATGTACAATTTACATATATTATATATGTACAATTTACATATATTATATATGTACAATTTACATATATTATATATGTACAATTTACATATATTAATATAAGTGAAGATTTACTATATTTGTAAGAGTAAAAATATCCAAGAATTTTTATTATTTATGATAGAATGTCAGCTGAACCAGTAGCAGTAGAAACTGTCACACAAATACTTGTTCAGAAAAAAACATAACAATTCAGCTAAAAGAAAAAAAACGGGGGCGGTGGGGGGTAAATCTTACTAGAAAACAACTTGTTTTAGGTGTTTCCCAACAGATGATATCTTGAAATATGCCCAGCTAACATGTAAATTTCAAAAGTTAGTTTCTTACTTAAACTTATTATTATCAAAGTTTGATCTAATATTTTTTACCCAGTTTCTTTTTTCATAATTCCTCTAGACTGTAAATTACAAAATAAATATTTAGTATGTGATCCATACAACATATGCTATGAAAACGCTATAGAAAAATGCTCTATGTGTCACTATGAGCTTGCTAAACTAAAAATGGGTGCCAGGCTTTATTCTTTTACAAGAACTAAAAATAGGTTTCTCATATAGATTTGAGCTGGTAGACTGAAGGAGAAAGTTCTAACATAGGTGAATATTCCATGTCCATTTGCAAACATATTTTACTCTTATTACTTAGTACATTGATATTAGCTTAACTCTTTTTAAAGAGTAGAGAAACATGGCATTTTATTAATATTGCGAGTTTTTTGTTAGTCATATATATAAAATATTGTGATAATAATAATTTTAATTTCTTAGAGCTAGGTGTTAAAGAGACACAACATACATTTTTAAAGTATGTATTGAAATATAATTGCCATTAAACTAGCTCTAAAATTATGTTTGATTACTATTTAGTAAGGGCTTTTTAATCCTAATAATGGTTTTGTAATGATTAAGGCAGCTTTCATTTATATTAGTTATTTGTTTATAGGCCTATTTTGTTTGTAATAGCACATAAGTCTCCTTGGAAAGTGGTAGAATTTTAGATATTTAAAAGTAGTTTGGTGGAAAGTAATGAAAATGTATATTCAGAGAAGGGTGAAAAGTTTAGTCTTTTTGGATAAAGTATAACATGATGAGAATATTGGAAGGTAGAACTGGAGAGAACCATGGAAACAGGGAAGGAGCTCATAGACAAAATCAGATTCTTAACATGCATTCTAGAATCTTCCACAATCAAACAATACTTCCAAATTAAGATTTAATAGGAATTAATTTGTCTCTTTATTATTTAAAGAAAAATATGTAATATTAAAAAAGTTCTTCTCCATTTCTGAAGAAGGAGAATTGGAGCTTATACTGACTTGCAAAATTCTCACGAATTGTTTAAGTTCACCATTGTATACAAACAGAAATAAAGATTTTTCAAAGTCTACAATGACCTTGATCATTTTAAAATTGGATGGGTTTTCTTTGCCAACCCAACTCTGGCAAGTCCAGCCACTTTTTTTTTGAGACGGAGTCTAGCTCCGTCTCCAGGATGGAGTGCAGTGGCACTATCTCAGCTCACTGCAAGCTCCGCCTCCCGGGTTCTGCCTCAGCCTCCCGAGTAGCTGGGATTACAAGCACCAGCCACCATGCCCAGCTAATTTTTGCATTTTCAGTAGAGACGGGGTTTCATCATGTTGGCCAGGATGGTCTCGATCTCCTGACCTGGTTATCCACCCACCTCGGTCTCCCAAAGTGCCGGGATTACAGGCGTGAGCCACTGCGCCCGGCCAGTCCAGCCCCAGCCCCACCTTTTTTTTTTTTTTTTAAATCAAGTTGGATCTTTGTTTTTTTTGTTTTGTTTTGTTTTGTTTTGTTTTTTGAGACGGAGTCTCTCTCTGTTGCCCAGACTGAAATGCAGTGGCTAGAACTCGGCTTACTGCGATCTCCGCCTACCGGGTTCAAGTGACTTCCTGCCTCAGCCTCCCAGTAGCTGGGATTACATGCGCCTGCCACCACGCCCAGCTAATTTTTGTATTTTTAGTAGAGGCAGGGTTTCACCATGTTGGCCAGGCTTGTCTCAAAGTCCTGACCTCCCGTGATCTGCCCGCCTCGGCCTCCCAAAGTGCTGTGATTTACAGGCGTGAGCCACTGCGCCCAGCCTATCAAGTTGGATCTTGGTGATATTCATTCAATATGAAGTACCAAGTGAAAATGATCAGGATATTTAAAAATCCTAAGATTATAGTTAAGCATTTTGAGTGTTTGATTGGGTTATTGATTACACTGACTCCTTGTCAGTAGGTAGATATCACTAGCCATTTTAGAATGTTTTACAAGAGGGTTTAGCCAAAGTCTTTGTCAAAAAGGAACACGCCATTAATTTGGGTGTAAATTTTTTGGGAGAAAATTACGTGTGTGTGTGTGTGTGTTTGTGTCTGTGTGTGTGTCTGTGTGAGAGACAGACACACACACATAGAGAGAGAAAGAGAGACAGAGAGAGAGACACACACATACACACAGAATTTTGTAGTTTAAATCTTTCAAGTCGCACACTTGAAACTCTAAGAGGGCACAGAGATTCCCGTAAAAGTGGTTCATAGAGGAGCTTTTCTTGTCTTTGGAGGCCTAATTAATATTATGTGGCAATAGGTGAAGCTATTAAAAATTTTTATTTTAATTACACTAAAATTAGAAACTCTTTCAAGATCAGCTGACACTCGTGTTCAGGCCAAGTTTTGGCCTATCCTTTCCCCCAGTCTTACCATCCTCATAGTTAATCAGTTTTAAAGAACTACAATTTCTTCCTTTCTAAAGAGAGAATTGTAAGACATTATATTTGAAAACTCTTGAGTTTATTTTCTTTCCAGAGGATCCATAAGTCTTCCAAATCGACCATGTAAATCAATTCACTTATCTCTCCCTCTCTTGAACTAGTAAAATTTCCCAAAATGTTACAGATACTGTTTTAAGCAAGCCAGGATATAGCTTGTAAATTACCTAATATGCTTTGTTCATGAACTAGCCCAGATGGAAAGATTATATCCATATAATTGTACCCATTAGTTTTCTATCTGTGCAATAAATTAAAATGAAATGTGAGGGGGGAGAGATTCTGTGTCAAGTATACCAGTACTTTTAGCCTTTTAGAACCAACTTTATGTATGTGAAAATTCAATATGTAAAAATTTAAAAAATCATATTCAAATGGGCACTTCAAATGGCACATCTGTGTCAAGAAGGGTTACACAAGGTTATTTCTAGAGCTTTCAGTCACTTGAATTTAATTTGACATATATTTTATAAATATCCACTGAGCACAAGTTACCAAGTTGCTAAAAGAATTACAAAAATGAAGGGAAAAATAGCTTCTGTCTTCAAGAAGTTTAATATATGGTAGAGAGTCAGATATAGAAATTATGATCTATGGAAAGTGTGAAGCATTCTATCAAATGCAAAGTGCTATAAAAGCACAGGAGAAAAAGACAGTAAATACTGAGTGCTTTATAGAAGGCTTCCAGCAGGAAGCTCCACTTGAGTTAAACCTTGAAGGAAAAGGACTGTTCAACAGGAAAATCTAGAAGAGGGAGAAAAGACATAGTCTGTGGGCTGAGCAGGAGGAAAGGCTCAGGCTGGGAATTCACACAGTTTGGGGGAAATGACTAGAACTGCAAAAATGCTGGCTTATACAAGGAATGTTACTAGGAAAAATGGCCAGGCAGTTGGATTGGGGGTTTGGTCAGACAGGGTGTTTGGTGTACTAAGAAGTAATACTTTGGGCATAAATGACCGACTAAAATCTTTTTGAGTAAAAGTTTTAGATTAGCATAAGACACACAACAACAATGCTAACAATTACTATGTAGTTAATACCAAATCCATACCTAGCTCGGTGCTAGTACATATAATGGCATTTTATCATCCACTGGGTAAACAGTATTTAATTGTTAGCAATTTATTGACAAGAAATCTGAGCTTCAAAGAAGTAATGTACCCAATGTGTTACCACTAGTAAGTGGCCAGAATTTGATTGTGGCCTATCTGATTCCATTCATTCCTTTCTTAAGTCTTCAGTCAGATTACCTCCCAAAATTAAATTGGTCTCTCTGCAAGCACAGTGTTAAATCTCAGTACACCATAGGATAAGTAGTCTGTGTCAGGTCAGAGAGGATTCTACAAAGAAACTAACAGTGCGCACAGATTCCAGGAGTTTCTTTATATTTGGAACATTTTGCAAGTGACAGAGGACGCAAATATAGGTTTTTCTGATCTCAAAGCTCATGTTCTTTCTTTTATGTTACTATTGGACTAATCAATATTTTAAGTAGCTGTGAAAAATTTCATCTCAGGAATGTATTTGTTTAACGAATTCGCAAATGTTGAGAATCTCTAAGGCTTCAAATTTGGGAACATGGCCAGGCACAGTGGCTCACGCCCATAATCCCAGCACTTTGGGAGGCCGAGGCGGGTGGATCATGAGGTCAGGAGATCGAGACCATCCTGGCTAACATGGTGAAACACCGTCTCTACTAAAAATACAAAAAATCAGCCGGGTGTGGTGGCACGATCCTGCAGTCTCAGCTACTCAGGAGGCTGAGGCAGGAGAATGGCTTGAACCTGGGAGGCAGAGGTTGCAGTGAGCCGAGATAGTGCCACTGCACTCCAGCCTGGGCAACGGAGTGAGACTCCGTCCCCCCCACCCCCCAAAAATATTGGGGATCAAATGTATAGTGTTAAAATGAATACTTTTTTCCATGTGTCTTTTTCCTCTATTTGAATTCTCTCCTTTGTATAACACTGTAGAAGTGAGAAGGTTATAATGATTTAAAGCAGCTGAATAACTTTGGCATAACTGAATAATTGATATCCTAGAGATATTTTCCATTTTTATTTGAATTCTATAATGTATCAAGCATAAAACCATAATATCTAATATGAATTCATTCAAGTCTTTGCTTGTCAGTTTCATTCATTCATTTTTCCATTGGCTCATTACTTAACTATTGTGTTGTCTATTCACTTCTTATCTGACTACACATTATATGACTGAAGATTCAGCTAAAGATTAGACTTTTCATTATCTAGTAAGCCTGTGAGAGTAGTCACTGAATACCTTAATGTTCAAGAAAACTTAAGTCATTAAGAAGTTCAGGAACTTAAATATTCTATCCCATGTGGTAGTCTCAAGTTTCATGACAAAGTAGACCACTTAGTGATACATCATGATGTCATTTCCAGAGGAATAAAGTCAGTTCTTGGAAAAAAATTTATAACAAAACTTCCAGGAGCGTTTTAGTTTTACCAGAATAAAATCTATCAGTCTGGAGGCTTCTTTTTGCATTCCTGGGTCATTCATATTTCTAACTACTTTTTTAAACTTTTTGAAAATAATCACTTAGACTATAGAAAAGTAAGCATAAATGTATCACAGAAAAAGTATTTTTTAGGGGTCTAAATTAAATTTGAAAGCACATCACACTTCTAATTTGAGAATTTAATATGTGAAAGAGAGACAGATGAAAGAAAACAAAACTTAGAAACTGAGTTCTAATTTTCTCTCTGCCATGTTCATTGTGCAACTACAGACAGGATACTTAACACCTCAAGGCTTCGGTTTCTTCCTTTGAAAATGCATTACACTACCACCGTGGAATGGAACATCAATTTTGCAACTTTAAAACCATTGAAAACAAAAAGCGCCATACAAACATAAAATAACATTTCCTTGTAACAGATTGATTTGGAGTTATTTTCCCTGCTATTTTTAAAGTAAATTTTGTTAAATGGAGAAAAAAAAATCCCAATTCATGACTATTTCTTAAACTTGGCTTTATGTGTCTGGAATTCTTTGACAGAGTTGTTGATTTTTGAAGATGTGAAATGCAGCAAAAACGAGGATAAAGTCTGAACTCCTATTGATTACGGTACATAAGCTGTAGTGGGGTAAAAATAAATAAAGACAAGTAGTTAAGTTTTCAGGATCTGAAGGCACTGTTATTTTGAGTTGAAGAAGCAGATGAATACAGTTTCCAAACTATAACAATGCCATCTCAAGTTACATATCCCTTCCAAAAGAGTTCTAGATTTAAAGAAAACAATGACAAATATGAAATGCATTTTAGACTCCTTTGAAAAAGCAACTTTTATGATTATATTTAAAAAAAACTGCTTGCACATAGACCCTAAAAAAAAGAGTACACTTATGGGAAGGAGGAAGAGGCAAGTGAACAAGTCAGAAAAATCTAATATTTACGGGTCCTTTTACTGGTTTCTTCCATGCACCATGATGATTTTGTCCTGAGTAGCAGCAGCCGAGGACTTCTTCACTAGAGCAGGAGCAGATACATTGGATGCATTCTCAAAATCCCCAACCAGTTTTAAAGGAATCTGACTTGTGAAAGCAGTAATTTATCCAAACCTCAGGCATCCAACTTCTACAACTGTAAAGTGAAAGTATACGCCCATATACCTTGGAAAAATTTGTTTAGTTTTTAATTTTTATGGGTACATAGTAGGTATATATATTTATGGATTACAGGAAATATTTTGACATAGGCATGCACTGTGTAATCACATCAGGGTAAACAGGGTATCCATCACGTCAAGCATTTCTCCTTCGTATTTCTTTTGGATAATATTTATATCTTCTTTCCCCCTTTATTATTTAGAAAATACTCAATAAATAGTATGAGAAAATAGAAGGCATATTTCTATTTCTGACTACCCTTCATCCCCTGTTCAGGCAGCTTTGAGGATACTTAAAAAGATTTTTATCAATATTCTAGACAACACTCTAAAGTAGGCCTCTATTAACTCAAAGAAAATTTCAAATATATGTATCACGTTGTTTAGAAGTGAAAGTATTTTAGTAAAGCTTGTTTCTTGAAGAGAGGGAAAACATGTTGGTATTGCGTGAATTAGAAGCATACATTACAACAACAAAGAGACAGCAGCAACAGAACAAAGTTGAGCTTGTTTAATAAAAACTGCTTACTCATTCATTCATTCTTTACAGTCAAAACCCTTCTCACAAAAAGGCTATCATGAACAAATCACGGAGGTGGAATTTCCAAACAAAGAGGTAGTATTTGACCTTCCTAATTTTTAGGATAGCTACCTAAACTGCAACTATGATTCATTAGGATCCACGTAATTTAGAGTTTTTACATACTTCAAATATGTCAGAAATGTTGTGTTCCTTTATTCGGAATGGTTTGCCTTGAAAAATACTGAGTTAAGAATTTAAAGAAACCCTAAAATTTCCTTAGAGATTTTGTACAAAACGTGTTAGAGACTATTTTTAAAAATATGAAGATAAGAAAGAAAAGTCACAGTCTATTCTTGAGGAGAAATAACAATGGAACATAATAATAATTTTAAAAGATGAAATTCCTAAGGGCTTCAGAACTTAACAACATGTGAGGTTCAAACATATTTCTATCACATTCCTCACTCTCCTGTTTCATGGCTTATATCCTCTTCCATTTAAGATTACCAGACAACCTCCATATCATCCACTACTCATCCACTGAGCAGATGTGTTGAGATAATGTGAAAACCATGCCTTCTAGTGTGCATTCTTAATCACTTAACGCAGCCTTGGATAACAGAAATCCTACTCCAGTTGGCCAGTTGAATGTACCTCTATTTCTACATTCAGGATGCTTTTTTGCTGCCATTCCTATCATTTCCATTGGCTTTTAATCACACTTTTAAGTAGTTAACTCATCAGACCTGGTAATTTTGTGACTGTCCTGTTTTCCTTTGAGACTTCAGTGATTACGTCAGAAAACATCTTACTCATTTTACTCAGTTGTCTTCATTTAAAGTTTAGGTGGGGGTAGTTTAGCTGGTGTTCTGTTTACATATGCTGATTCTATTTAACATAGTAATTTTTAAAAATGTGCTACACCTTGTTTTCAAGCAATAATGTACCTCTACTTCTTTCACCTTATATGTAAAAAATTCATTATATATTTTCTGATTGTGACTAGAACCAAGAAAACCTTTAAGTCCTCCCCAAGAGGAACAATGAAAGGGCTCTAAGGAAAGATAATTTAAATAAGAAAGAACTAGCTAGATTGGGTTCCATGTATGTAATAATAAGTTGGAGCTTTAGGTCACTCTAACCATGTTTCCAATAATGAAAGAAAATTCATATACCTTGAGATCTGGTTATTAGAGAACATGGCTTAGTTCTAGGTTAAGAGTATTGTAGAACAAGAAAACCATTGCCTATTAGCCTTATCTGAAATTAACAGTAATTTAAATTTTGAAAAATTATTAGGAGATGATTTACTAGTTTTAAAATTTTTATTGAAGGATGGATCTAATTTACATATGATTTAAATAATGTGTACATCTATGGAAAGCTAACATAACAGACTAATATTATAAGGCTCTCTCTTCCCTGGTGAAAATAACAAATGGAAAAGAAAATGCTGGAAATGATTAAAGAGGCATGCATCAAGAGGAAGGACAGCTGCCCATAGTTCAAAAAGCATTGCTCTAGCTATGTTGGTATGAACTGTTGACTCAATCACTTGATGTAGACTCACTAATCAGCTTACCTGCCAAACACATCCTTGTTCTTCCTGCACGAGACTGGACTCACCTCTGCTACTACTAGGTAAAAGGTGCTCAGAGGCAGGTGGAATAATGATTAATCGTAATAAATACTGTAAGTAGAACTGAACAAAGCCTGAAATCTGAGCTTCAAAAAACTATTTGAATATCAGCATTCTAAGTAATCCAGTGAAACTGAATTTGGTATAAGCAAAGATAATTACAGTGATAGACATTTGAAAAGAAAAATTCACGAAATAGATTAATTAATAAAGTGTGAAGAAAATATGTCCTTCTACTAGTGCATAATAACTTGACATTTTGGGTCTGTACACTGGCAAAGAGATATGAATTTTGGCTGCTCCAAAATATATGACTATCACTGAGAAAAAGTGCCCAAAACAACTTAAGCCACTCCCAAGATAAGCATTTCCTCTTTTTCAGAATGTGTATTAATGTAAAACAAATGCAAGAAACAGGAATATTATAATTATCAGCACATTAATTTTTTAAGATTTTCATATTCTAGTTATATGGATATGGTGATTCATAGCTATTCACAATTTAAAAGTTTTATTTAAATAAGTAGACATAATTAAAAGGAATATGCATTATTTAAAAAAAAGCAAGATTAATGCCAACAAAACAATTAAATAAACAACATGAGAGTAAGTCTTTCAAAAGAGACAGGTAACAAAGACTGTTTCATTTTGAAAACTTGTCATTTCCCTGCAAATAGATAATGAATAGCAAAATGCCTATTCAAACCCTCACAATAAAATAAAATAACATTTTCCCCCCAAAGTCTATGACTTTGCTGAGCGGAAAACGTTTCACGTATAGGTATATTAATTATGGAATTCAAAGTAATTATTATATTAAAATACAAATAGTAGTGTTCAAATACAAATAGTTTATTGTGCCAGTTTATTCTTGTGGCCCTCACTAACTCTTATATGTATATAAGCACAACTAATTCATCATAAGAAGACCTTTCTTGTTGCTTTCTTGTATTAGTGTAGTTTTAGTTCAGCTTATTAGACAGATTCAAGGAGAAAATGCACCTGTAATCAATTCTTCATCCCAAGATCCAGCAGAAAGAGAATATATACAGGCAACAGTTTTTGAGGCATTAAAAGTAGCAGCCCCAGGAGGGATAAACACAGACTAGGAAAGTTCACACTACATATTGTGAAGCGTTAATTAAAGAATGTTTATTTGGCACAAGAGACACCCCTTTTCTGTACATTCCATAAGATGGTGGTGTCATGTTTATATGGCTATGACACCTTGCAGCAATGCATTCTTCAAAACAATTTCTAAATGATTTTAATTACTTTTCTTCCAATACTATGCGGTATTCCCACACTAAATTCAATCTATGTTTTGGAACACTAGGTGCTGACAATGTATTTTCAAATAGATTAGATATCTTTCTACAATACTGAAAAACAGATCTCATATATAAACTGAGTTCATTGCAAAAGATTGCTATGCATGCACATGTGCACACGGGTCAACTGCCCAAGGGAAGAAGTGGTAAAATTGGATATTTTCTTATGTGTAATACTTACTTTTCTTGGTTTTCAAGAAATACAAAGCCCGAAGCTTTCTTTTATCCAACTGAACAAGAAAATTAGCAAAGAAATTAATCTAAGTCAACTACAGAGGCAAGAGAACCACATAAACATATAAGGAAGATTTTTTTTCCCCCAAGGAAAAACATTAGTGCTCACTGTTGAAAACATTACAATTAATCATTTTAAGTAAGAGCTCCTAGTATTGATGCACAAGGTTTGAGATTTTAACAGCCAGTGAGTAAATGAGAACATCAAAAATGTTAAGGTTTAAGTAGTCTCAGAGTAAATCCCTTAGAACATTGAAGATTGGGAAAATCTGAAAAAACATGGGAGTCTTGTATTAATCTTAATAGTTCAAAGTAAAACTTGATATTTTTAGTATACATTAAACTTGATTTAAGGATTATGGGATGAAAGTTGCTAGATTCCCACACACAAAAATACTTTTCTTTTAATTGACTATTTTACAATACAATCCATAATTTTCCACTTCTTAAATATTAACATTAGGTTTCACAACAGTAGTCAATCATTAGAGGAAGTAACTGGGTATCATGAATGCCTTTCAAATTTAAAAGATCTAGATTCTCTCTCTAAAGCTTTCCTTGAGAAAAAGAAAAATAACAAACCTGCTTTTAGGCAAGTGACAAAAGAATATTGTAAAGTTATAAACTCATAGTATTGAACATGGACAGAAACCTCAGAACCATCTAAAAGGAAACCCTAAAAATCTGCTCACCTATGTTCTATAAAAGAAATTTAAGAACCTAAAGCAATGATTAAGTAGGCTCTAGAATCAAATTAAAAATTGATCCATAATCAAATTAAAAACAAATCATTCCATTTGATGAAAAGTGTTAAGATTTTAAAAAATATACATTTTATGAATCTAGGCTACAAAATATATGGACATAGATATCATAGGCTGACAATGCAGGATGTAATTCACTACTCAAGTAACTCTTTACTAATTCTATTTAATATTCTATGCACTGTTCAACAGGCACAGTTTTAGGTTCATGTTGAAATAGTTATTATTATTTAGAATTTTATATTCACTTTTTAACTTTCAATCTTGAACATATACAATAACTCTTTTGATGTTTAAATTATAATATTTAGAATATTTAAAATGTTGTCCATATATTTATTTTCACACTTGTTCCCCAATTTATGTTTTTAAAAGCCATCACATTCCACACATAGCCCACAAGAGGAACTTTGGGGTACAAAGTCAAGTAAAAATGGGTAAAGAATATGGCAAGTATGAGTGGTAAGGAGTAGGCACCATCTTTAGTGGCATAGAGGGGACATATCGGACTAACAAGCCACATTGGTTTTAACATCAAAATCTTATTCAGAATGTTACAGGTACACTCCCTCCTAACTCTTGATGTCTCTCCGCTGACCCACAGACATAGATAAATTGCCTTTGAAGATCTCGTTTTGTAATGTATTATATCTTCTATAGATTATTAGTAAAGGCAAGACACTTGAGTTAATTTATTCTTCCTGAGAATGATAAAACTCACAAATGCCTAGAATAAGTAGCTTTAGTATTAGGAAAACACCATCCAAGTAACATCCAGGAACTGACAATTTTTAATTGGCAGAATGGCATAAGGAAATATACACATTTTGGGGAAAGTATATTTCTAGATATTTTTACTTGATTTTTTTTCTTTATAGAGACAGGGGTCTTGCTATATTGCACTGGCTGGTCTCAAACTTCTAGCCTCAAGCGATCCTCCTGCCTTAGTCTCCCAAAGTGCAGGCATTACAGGTATGAGCCAGCATGCCCAGCCTGTTTGTAGCTTTTGATCCCATAAAACTAACTTATTTTACTAACCCTATCTCATAAGAAGAATGGACTAGAATTTAATGCCTTAAGAATCAGAGTCAATTAAGTATAAAATTCACTTTTAATAGAAAATGACATAATAGGCAATGATAAAAACCATTTATCCTAAAATATCTTATTTAAACATTTACATAAAGACAAGTTTTATAAGCAAGATGGAAATATATCCAGGGTTTGTTCTGTGGCAAACACATACTTCCATACCTCCTATATCTATAATTAGAAGAGATGGATTGTTAAAGCAAGATTATGACCTCAAGTTAATATGCAATCAAAATGAAAAGTAAATGTTACATTTGGTTCCTCCTAGAATATGAAGCTGAAAGATAAAGATTTTTTTCAAACAATATTGAAGCAGTATGCCTATCTGATGAAACTGTGATCAATATATCTTACCACAGGTGCTAATACATAAGGACAATGTAAGAAAAAAAAACCCACAAGATTTATAATGAAATCATAGTAAACAGATAATTAGATTTCACTACAATTAACTTGCTTTATTACAGTAGAAATTTTAGTTAGGTAAGGCTCATTTTTTAAGCAAAACACAGCTGATATTGATAAAATGTGAAAGAATTGGGAGCAAGTCACTTACATATACATGAAGTTCTGGAGAGATATCCACAGATATCTGTATAGTAAAAACGAGTGACATAGTACAATTAGTCCAAGCAGGTGGTTGATGAACACTGGTAAGGACAGGGCTTTTTGTTTATGAACTCTATTTACCCTACTAAACCACAGGTTGGGTAGTCTAATCTAGAGTTAAACACCTTCTTCTCCATTCTTGAGCTGACAATATATATACAATAAGTTGGAAGTGGGAGTTTAAGCAAAGAATTCTAAATAGTGACCAGAAGAAAAAAAATACCTAGCAAATTCTGGAGTTTTTCTACACGGGCTACCTCATCTATGCCTGCTGCCCCGTCCACTTCCTTTGTCAGAACTTTTGGGTTCACACATTCCTGCTTTTCACAATGGGGCTGCAATGTTTTGTTTGTTTGTTTGTTTGTTTTTTGAGACGGAGTTTTGCTCTTGTTGCCCAAGCTGGAGTACAGTGGTGTGATCTCTGCTCACTGCAACCTCCAGCTCCCAGGTTCATGTGATTCTCCTGCCCCAGCCTCCTGAGTAGCTGGGATTACAGGCATGCACCACCACGCCCAGTTAATTTTGTGTTTTCAGTAGAGACAGGGTTTCGCCATGTTGGTCAGGCTGGTCTTGAACTCCTGGCCTCCGGTGATCCACCGGCCTTGGCCTCCCAAGTGCTGGGATTACAGGCGCGAGCCACCCCGCCCGGCAGAGACTTTCTTTATCCTGATTACAAGAGAAAGGGGCACCAGTGTGAAGCAATGTGACAAATCCAGAAAGGCATCTCTTTTGTTTTCCTATTAATTTTTGTGCAATGTGGCTAGAGGTGGAAGGCCACTGGCCTGAGCAGCCTGCAGCGGGGGAGGTGTGCTTGGAATGTGTTGAATGTGCATTCCTTAGATGCTTGAAAGGGGTGAATGCCCCCTTATTGGCTTCTACCCATTTTCACTGGTTTGGCTGCTTTAGAAGGGCACAGGTACTACTTTTAAACATCCAGTGTGCCTCCTAGCTTTTAATCACTGATGACTTGCAGCTCATAGGTTTTTGGAATTAGGCTTTTAAAGCAGAGTTTTCTTTTATCCTTATTTGGTTTATGTCTATTCAATTTTTGGTTTGTTTACTTATTTTTAAAGAACGAAGTTTTAGGCCGGGCGTGTTGGCTCATGCCTATAATCCCAGCACTTTGGGAGGCCGAGGGGGGTGGATCACTTGAGGTCAGGAGTTAGAGACCAGTCTGGCCAGCATGGCCAAACCCGGTCTCTATTGAAAATACAAAAATTAGCTGGGCATGGTAATCCCAGCTACTCGGGAGGCTGAGGCAGGAGAATCGCATGAACCTGGGAGCTGGAGGTTACAGTGAGCCGAGATCATGCCACTGCACTCCAGCCCAGGCGACAGAGACTCCATCCCAAAAAAAAAAAAAAAAAAAAAAAAAAGTCTTCAGTTGGGAGTCTTCTTGTTGTGGTTGAAGCCTTTCAACCACATATGAGATAAGCCATCGTGCTTAGCACTGGAGATACACAGATTGATAAAGGGAGATCCCCTCCCTCGAATTTCCTGGTAGGTTCATGGCTTGTTTTTTATGAGCTTCTCATTGCTCTCGGTTTGAATAGCTTGGTGATTATTAAGAAATGGAAATAAACTGATGTTGCCTATTGACATTTACTTTTTTTTAAATTCATTTGATAAAATATTTTGAATTACCATTATTAAATGCCATAATCTGCCATGGCTATTTTCTTTTGTCTGAAGAATAATTTAAAAACTATGAGAAGTAAAATAAATCTATTAATCCAGGCAACTATGAGAAGTAAAATAACTATTCATCCAGTTATTCTTTAAAAGATCTTTAACAACAGCAGATGAACTTCTGATCAAAACTCAGGCACACAGCTGCTTTATCGAAGGGTGTTGCTAGTTCCTGATTCACCCTAAGCCATCTCCATGCCATAGTGTACTCCTACCCCAGTTCTTCACTCATCTACTCTGGTAATGTGCTTATGATCATTCTCTTCAGAGAATCTTCTTTGGATTCCAAGTTATATAAATGACAATACTAATTTTTCTAAGCAATCCACTTAAAACTATTAGACTTCTGTTTGATATTCAAATTAATGTACAATATGAACAATCATGAAAACTAATTAGTTTAGAAATAACATTGCAATATTTAAACTTTCATTAAATTGAATAGGCCTTTGCCTACCTTCTTCTAAATGAGGGTAGTTATATACTAAAGTCAGACATAAAAGAGTATTAAAAGAATATTAAAATAAAATGGAGCGATTTAATATGCACAGACACTGATTCCTTCTTTAGAAATTCTACAGCACAGAGTACATGGTTCTGTCAAAGCCCTTATCATATTGAATTATAATTACTGTTTATAGTCTATCTCTGACTAGGCAGGGAGCTTCAGGAAATCTTAACCTATTTATCTTTGGATTCTCAGCTTTGACATAATGTCTGACACATAGAGGATGCTCAGCATAAATGTGTTGAATGAAAGAATAAGCAAGGAAAGAGAATGGGCTTGATTTCCTCACTCTGCCATTTATGGTGTGTGATCTCTTAGCCTGCCTGAGTCTCAGTTTCCTTGCCTGTCATCTGAGTGAAATAAAGTGTAGTAAAGAGCTTCAAAAGAGAGCCTGTGACTCTACGCTATAGGGACTTGCACAGGGACTAGTTAACTTGAGTATCCCTTCATTCAATCAGAGTTGATCACTTACTATGGGTGAAACACAGCTAGACCACTGGACACTCAGTTCCTGTTCTTGGGAAGTTGTCTCTCCAGCGAAATGACGCCAGGTAAACAGCCCACAGCATTCGATGTGCTGATTATATTGTGACAAAGGCTGACAAAGTACAGACTCTAAGGGGCGCACTGGACCATCCTTCCCACAGACACCGGGAGTCTGGGGAGGATTCTTGGAGAATCTAACATCTAAGACCCAGTCTTCTTTGGGTCACATAAATATTTCAGGCAATGGAACAGGCAGCACAAGGTCCTGGAGGGAGGGGCAAGAGTCTGATACAATGTATGTAAGGGGAGCTTCTTAAATTCCTCATGTCATAGCCTTGTTCCAGAGATCATGAAGTCATGCTTTGTAATCTGTGGTTCGTCTGTTTCTAAATTGTACAGAAAAATATCTAAGTTAACTTATTTTTTTCTTCCATCATTTAGGAAGTTTTCTTCCTGGAACCGCACTTCTAAAAATTACCTAACTTACCCTTATTAATCAGTGTTATCATTTAGTACATGTTCTATCAACAGAAATAGCAGAATTCAATCTTTGTGATGCAAAAAAACCAACTTAATAATGTTCCTGAATATATTGCCAATTACTAAATTAGTTTTTAAAAATCCGAAAGTATTTTACCATTGATTGGTTTCACCCCTCATAAATTGTTGGTATTATACGGCTTTCTGAAGGTGAAAAGAATACTCTCCTCAGAAATATTTATATTGACAGAATTAGCTATTTAATAAATATTTGTCACATTATATTGCTTTTTGCGATTCATCATCACATATTGGGCATCTCATTAGCATTTATATTTTGTATATTTTATCTAAACACCACAATAGCATGAAGTGTATTTTGTGCTGACAAACGGAGATACTGAACTATGTATTGAGGTCAGTTATCTCAAAGCCTTGACTTCATCAAAAAAAGCAGTTAAAAGAACATGGGCAAACCAGAAAATCTAAGTTTGATTCTTGGCATAGCCATGAACTAACTCTGTGGCTGCAGGCAGGTCACTTAACCTCTATTTTATTTAATAGTTATTTTCATTATCCTATTCATTTACACTGTAAACAACATGGAAACAGCGTTTGAAGGAGCTTTGAGTGGAGATTAGTTAAAAAATAAATACTTAAAGTTTATTTAAGTATGGGTAAATCCTAGATCTTAAATTTTTTTAGAAAAGACCCACATCTCCTTGGGTACTATTTATGCTTTCAGCACTATTTAAATTCTGTTTTGCTGAATCATTGCTGACTTCACAATTATCTTCAGGTGCCAATATTTGAAATAGACTGTAGCCATATCAATAGAAGAAATTTTTAAAATTACTTTAATGGATCTAGATATGCAGTATATTGAATGAAAATAATATAGAAAGAATTGTGATGTTATTATAAGATAAGATCCTTAGGTTTTTTTTTTAGGAATTTTGATTGCAAAATAAGCTTAAAAGATTGATTTCATGAATTGATGGGAAGAAATGAACTACAGAATAATTCTCATAATATTCACACCATAAATCAAATAGTTCACTTTGTTCAGTTTGACCCATCAAGTATTATACCCACAATTTTCCACAAAAAGAGCATCCTGAAGAAAAATCTGTTGCCTTCCTGGTTCCTGCAAATACAGAATTGCTAATTACCTTGGAGGATGAACGTGGCTTCAGATCATACATTTATTACACAAATCTTTATTTTTCCATCTCCAAATTTCCTAATGATACGAAACAGCTTATTTTAATCAAATTGGTTTTCCTCATGCTCCTTAAGTGCAAGAGACGCCCATCTGGGTCTGAAGATAATGATGCCATGAAATGGAAATCTAAGTTTTAGGCCACAGTCAGGGCAGTCTTCTACTAAAAATAAGTGGCCGTTTAAATGCTACCACATCTTGTTTTGCAAATCTGTCCTCACACAGCAAATAATCATTTTTGGTGCAGAATTCAGTCATAAAATCATCCATTAGTGGTTAGTAATGGACCATAATTTAACATGTTTTTAGAAAGTGCATTTGGAAAATGAAACACTGAAAATGATGGCCATATAAGGAATATTAATATTCATATGAAATAAACTTTAGGGACAGATATCCTCTTTTACTGACAACTACTGGCACAGAATATTTTCCACTTCCTTGAGGAAAAGGGCCTATGATGCCTCATCCAATGGTAGAGATAAATCTTAAGAAATTCTACAACTTATAGAATATATTCATATTTTGCTTTGTGGTATGCTAGCTTTAGTGGAAAAATGAGAAGAATTAATAGCTGTAAGTTTTAAGATACATAAGATAAATCAGAAAGCAGTTTTGGAATGTTAAATATATTGCAGGCAAACAATATTAGCCTGTGTCTAGATCAAATGTAAATGCTCACAGCAAATTTCCGCCCTCATTATTAACATATAACCCAAAAGAGATGAATTTCAAGCAAACGTCAAGACAGAATTACACTTGTAATTGTACTTTCACCATAAGATTATATACATTTCCAATGTGGTGCCAATAATGCCAGATGGGCTGTGTTCAGTTTCCAACATGGTCAAAACTGATAAAGATGCTTTTGCTGAAAATCAAATTAATTGAAATCATCTAGTTATAAATGAAGAAAGTAAATTCCACCCCATTTATTTCATGTTTGTAAAGAAATTTTTTTTAAATAAAGAAAAATATGCATGTGATCAACTCAGATTAGATGAAACTGTAACTTGATTTTTGCCAAGTACTGAATAATAATAATGATTAGGAGCTAATATTTACGGAGCACTCCTATGAGTCAGGCCCCGTGCTATTACATTTATAATTTCATTTACCCTTTCCAAGAAACTTTGAGATTGACACTGCTTTGCAGATGAGGCATCTGAAGTACAAAGAAATGAAAGAACTTGTTTAGTTCCATACATCCAACAAGTGATCCAGACTCTGACCATCTGACACTAGAGCACACTTAGTCTGTATTTGTTGATTTTTTCTCTCCCCAGAGCAGGAAAATGAGAGACTCATTGAAGGTTATTGCTAGGTTCAAGTGCTAATTACTAAACACAGACCTTGCAGCCCTAAACCACAATTTGAACTAGCCAGCTGTTTAACTTCAGGACTCCATGGGGGGTGGTGTGGGGGGGGACTTTAGCATGGGAATTCAGTGGTCCTATAGCCCAAGGCTGCTCTAGGAACTTTGCTAGAACTTACGGGGAGAATGGTTAGATTTCTTTCACTGTGGTAAAATATCTCAGCCATAGTTATTTATTTATTTATTTTTAAGACAGAGTCTTGCTGTGTTGTCCAGGCTGGAATGCAGTGGCATGATCTTGGCTCACTACAACACCTGCTTCCTGGGCTCAAGCAATCCTCCCACCTCAGCCTCCAGAGTAGCTAGGACCACAGGTGTGTGGCACCATGCCCAGCTAATTTTTTTGTATTTTTGGAAGAGACTTATTAATGGTAAGAACCTTAGAGACCATCTGGCTCATTTTCCAGATGACCAAACTGAGGCCCAGTTTCCTTTTTTTTTTTTTTTTTTTTTTTTTTAAGACAGAGTCTTGTTCTGTCGCCCAGGCTGGAGTACAGTGGCACAGTCTTGGCTCATTGCAACCTCTGCCTCCCAGATTCAAGCACTTCTCCTGCCTCAGTCTCTCAAGTAGGTGGGACTATAGGCATGCACCATCACACCCAGCTAGTTTTTGTATTTTTAGTAGAGACAGGGTTTCACGATGTTGCCTATGCTGGTCTCGAACTCCTGACCTCAAGCTATCCACATTCCTTGGCCTCCCAAAGTGCCGGGATTACAGGTGGAGGCCACCTCATCCTTAGCTCAACCATAGTTCTAAGGCAGCCCCAACCCAGTGAAGGGAGGCAAAACTGCACAACGTAAAAACAGTATGATGGCAGAGAGGGTATCTGAATTCAGACAAAGCCTTAGTTCCCTCATTTATAGAACACAAGTCCTATAAACTTTTCTGCTTCTCTCCGGGTTACTAAAGAGTAGAAATAAGCAACAAGAATGAAAGTAGTCTGCAGACAGCCAAGGTTAACACAAAATTGGTACTACTGTGAAATTAAGGTTGAAGCAATTAATTGTTAGACACAAGAAAGGAGCACCAAATTTGATGCCAAGGATAGAAGATCCACATGTCTAGATCATCTTAGCCAGGAAAAAGTAAGTAAGTAAGTAAGTAAATAAATAAGTTATTGCTTCAGCTTTACTTTTTCCTTGGTCTGTCTCTGGGGGTATGCATCATTAGACCTCCAAAAGCAGGTGATCACATTATACAACCAGGAGAGTTCCTGGATCTCATAACGATCAGTTTTATGTGGGCCACTCCAGGATATACAAAAACTTTCAGGAGAGATTTTTAATAAGTGAATCTGCAAAACAAGATGAGGTTTGAGTGAAAAGAAACATAGTATAACACAAAAAGCACCAGCCTACAATTAAGAAGTCTGGCCAGAAGTAGTTCCACAACATTCTCTTATTCCAGAAATATTCATCACTGAGAGTTCACCCTATATCAATCATTGTTGATACTAAGCCATTCACACAGACGTGGTTTTCTACTTTTTGGAAATTCACAGGCTACTACGAAGGCAGACATTATACAACAATCTCACAAAAATATGTTAGTTATCAACGAGTTTGAACTTCAGTTTTGTTAATTATTAGATGAGGATATTGGAGTAAATGACTGACAAATTCCCTTTACTCTGATTGCGTATGACTTTTTTTAAAGTGTTAATCTGGAGAAAAGTCAGACTAGGAAAAGATACAATGTCAACTAAGAAATAAGAGAGTGGCATGCAACATAATCATTATTAATTACATTTTAATGTGAATATAAAGGTTAGCAGATCTCAAAGATTATGCAATTTTGCCACAAATAAAAGTAATTCAAACCTTTTTAGACAGAATAACCAAAATAAGCAAAAACTTTCATGTCCATCTTTATTGTATCACAATAGCTTACACTTATTGCCTTCCCTGTACCAAACACTTCATAACATAATTTAAATTATGTTATATCATTTAATCCTATAGGAGCTCTATACTGTGTTATTATCTTTTTTTTTTTTTTTTTTTTTTTTTTTTTTTTTGAGACGGAGTCTCGCTCTGTCGCCCAGGCTGGAGTGCAGTGGCGCGATCTCGGCTCACTGCAAGCTCCGCCTCCCAGGTTCACGCCATTCTCCTGCCTCAGCCTCCCGAGTAGCTGGGACTTCAGGCGCCCGCCACCGCGCCCGGCTAATTTTTTGTATTTTTAGTAAAGATGGGGTTTCACCGTGTTAGCCAGGATGATCCCGATCTCCTGACCTTGTGATCTGCCCTCCTCGGCCTCCCAAAGTGCTGGGACTACAGGCGTGAGCCACCGTGCCCGGCATATTATTTTAGTCATAGGTAAAACAAGTGAGGTTGATGGAGACAGAGATAGCCGTGTAGCTACAAAATGATACAGCTACAGCTACATTTGAGCTCTGATTGCCTCATTCCAAAGCCTACGCTTATGGACTTTCTTGCCTTCTGCTACACACCACTGCTCATGTGCTACGTTGGTGCATGGAGCCCCAGTGTGAGTGAAATATAAAGTAGTGGTGTACACGTAGGGGCTGGGAAATGGTGGACACAGGAGATGAAGAGACAGCCTGATACGAGTTTATGTTGGTGCATTGGAAGCAGATTGTAAAGTTCCTTACTCTCCTGCTGAGGAATGTAAACTTTATTAGTAGGCAAGATTACAAAATCTTTACAAAATACATACTACTCTTTGAATAGAAGAGTAAAGAGAGAGAGGACAGAGCTTAAGCAGGCTAAAGAAAGCCAGAGGCTCAAACGAGGATCAAAGGTAAGTACTGTGCTGCAACTGTGTAAAAAATGTAACTTAGTATGTGGGACAATTTTTAAAAATCCAACTACTTAAAAATGTCCTAGAGTTTACTTTAAAATACCCACAGAACGGTGAAACCCCGTCTCTACCAATACAAAAAATTAGCCAGGCGTGGTGGCGGGCGCATGTAGTCCCAGCTACTCAGGAGGCTGAGGCAGGAGAATGGCGTGAACCCGGGAGGCGGGGCCTGCAGTGAGCTGAGATAGCGCCACTGCACTCCAGCCTGGGCGGCAGAGCGAGACTCCATCTAGAAAAACAAACAAACAAAAATCCACAGAAACAATAAAATACCTATGTCACTCTCAAATGTGTCATTAAACAATTGCAAAATATTTTGTATTATTTGTAGTAAAGCAAGGGATACCACCATTTACTCATGCATTTATTCATTTGAAAATTGTTGACTTGCAAAAAAAAAAAATTCTTGACTTGCTATATGCTAATTATTAAGTCAAATTTTAAACTGAAAAGATTATAGAAACATATAATCACAGAACAACCTTGTGTGACAAAGAAACATGTCCAAAAGCAAAAGAGTTAAATAAATTTGTCAGTGACTGGAAAACGAATGGAATTCTTAGCCTCAACCAGAATTAGGTCTCACAAATTGTCTCTCACACGTCTTCTTCACTTTAGTGAAAATTGCAGGGAAGAAACAAACATTTTCTGATAACTATAAGCACTTCAGCTAGGTATTTTAAGTTCTATTTTAACTCTGGGACCATACGATCCTGTATTACAGAGGAAGAACTTAAATCTCAAAACTTTGATTTGATGGCAGGGCTTGGGTTCCTGCCTTGACGTGTGACTATGCAAGTTTGAAAATAACCTCTTTGGGTTTTTTTGTTTGTTTGTTTTTTGTTTTTGAGAAGGAGTTTCACTCTTGTTGACCAGGCTGGAGTGCAGTGGCGCGATCTCGGTTCACTGCAACCTCTGCCTCCCGGGTTCAAGCGATTCTCCTGTCTCAGCCTCCTGAGTAGCTGGGATTATAGGTGTCTGCCACTAAGCCCGGCTAATTTTTGGTATTTTTAGTAGAGATGAGGTTTCACCATGTTGGCCACGGTGGTCTCGAACCCCTGACCTCAGGTGATCCACCTGCCTTGGCCTGCCAAAGTGCTGGGATTATAGGTGTGAGCCACCGCGACCGGCCGAAAATAACCTCTTAATCTTTAAGTGCTCATGTCCATCCATATAAAACAAAAAGAAATGGTGCCAAATTTACATAACAATTCCCTCATTAAATTAAAAAAAAATCATTATGTGTGAATACGTGGCCAAGCACATGTGTGTGCGGTGTGACTTTGGGTGACACTATGAAAGTTTCCAGGTTTGTTATTCTCTGCTCAGGGTTCAGGCTGCAAAAGTAGGACAGAATTGCCGCAGCCGGGCGGACGGAGGGCGGTGGCTGATGAATGTAGGGAGAAGACCTGGCTGGAGAGCTTGGCTCTGGTGAGGGTCTGAGCAAAACAGGAAATGGGGAGAGCCACTGAGCTGAGGATGGTGAGGATGGTCAGGAAGGAAGAGATCAGGATACGGGAAAGGGTTAGATTATGACGTGCAGGAACACAGCCAGTGAGCTGTTATCACAGATCTCTAGGCGCCATGTAAAACATTGACTTGACTCTGGGGCAAACACACAGCACAAGTAATGTGTGTAAGATTTATCTTCTTACAGCAACAGATGTTTAAAAAGCTAACAAACATTTTAAAGGAACCGATAGCAACAGATCATGTGAAAAACAAATGATGCTTTCTATTAATTGAAGAGTGAAATTCCTTTAATGGGAATGTTCATTTCTTAGAAAACTTTCCCTCCAGAACTTGCACCGAAAAATACTCTGTAGTAACTAATGCAAAGACCACATAGAATATCACAGAAACCCACCAGAAATATGGCTTAGACACTGTAACAAATTTTTAATCCTCTGAAGTTTATGCTAATGTTATAAACTGGCTTTTGTTTATTAAATGCCATTTGCTAAACCATTTTGTTTAATCATATAAAATAAACATAGCCTAATACAAATTTTATATGATTCTGGCATTTAGAAAAAGGGCATTTTCTTTGATTTTCTATTAATTTAATATAAATTATTTTAATTTTGTATTTTTCCCCTGATATTTCATACATGAATTTTATTCGTTAGTTTCTATTCCTTTACTTACTGTGAGTGGAAATATATGGAGAAACAGGAGTAAGACACTTCATTATGGAAAATACTATCTAAATAAAGTTGCCAAATAAAAATAGAAGATGTATAGTCAAAATTGAATTTCCAATAAGCAGTAAAAACAATATGACATATTGGACATACTAATATTCTAAAATTATTTATTGTCTAGCTAAAATTCAGACTTAACTGCATGTCTCATATTTTTATTTTGCTAAACTGGCAGTCCTATATCTAAAATCCATGTTTTGAAATGAAACTCTAAGCAAGGAAATAAGGTCTATCTTCCCTGCTCCCAAAATTATCCATCAAATGTGAAAAGACCTGCTCTGAACATCATAGCACTTTCATAGCCATTAGTAAAATAATCAACAGTTGAAATGGACAAACTCATTATCCCAGTTCCCCAAATCTCTGACAACACCATAAACAGAATAGATGTTAAGCTTAGATAAAAGTGGATGAAGATGCTATTTTCGGCCAGGCGTGTTGACTCACACCTGTAATCCCAGCACTTTGGAAGGCCAAGGCGGGCAGATCACCTGAGGTCAGCAGTTTGAGACAAGCCTGGTCAACATGGCAAAACCCCATCTCTCCTAAAAATAACAAATTAACCGGGTGTGGTGGCACACACCTGTAATCCCAGCTACTCGGGAGGCTGAGGCAGGAGAATCGCTTGAACCCAGGAGACGGAGGTTGCAGTGAGCCGAGATCATACCACTGCACTCCAGCCTGGGTGACAGAGTGAGACTCCATCTCAAAAAAGAAAAAAAAAAAAGGGGGTGTAAAAAAAAGATGCTATTTCTTGGAGAGTATTGATGCCCTCATATGTCTTTTCTGCAGATTTGTAGGCCAGGAACAGAGGAGTAATAAAAGTGCATTATACCACTGAACTTCAGACATCTGTGATGCTTCCTCCCTGGAAGTTATCCTGCTTTGGGAAACCATCCAATACCCTGCTATAGTACTCTATCCAGCCTAGGGAAAGAAGGAAGAACCATGCTCAAAACCTCACAAACTCATAACCCGGTTCAAACATCTCCTGGCCACTATCTAAAGTGAAAACTGGTTACAATGAAATTACTGCACATGCTTTCACTGGATCAGCACGGCACACTGAACTTAGTTTCTACAAAGTGAAAATTAAAATTAAACATAAAATATAGACTCATTTTCCTGTGAGAAATGTTTAATGTAATCAATCTTATCAAACAGGTATGGAGTGCATACCTAGCTTATATGGAAATAATTGGCTTTATTTAAAAAAAAAAAATAGGAAGAAATTACAGGACTGATCTAGCTTCCTATGGCATCCTCTGACCAAGACAATGACCAAGACTGACAAACTATTAATATATTAATTACAACGTAGCCAGTACCCTCCAGTTTCATGTGAACTAAAATCTACATTTCTCTAGCTGTTCTCATTAATTGATTTAATTAAAAAATTAATTGATATATCAAACATAATGTTATTTTGGCACTTGGCTAGATATGAAAAAAAATTACATGCAGACATGAAAATAGTAGAGGAGAGAAAATATTAACAGGATCTAGGCACACAGAACAGAGGCGGGTAGACAGAGAGGGAAAGAAAGACAGAGGTATCAAAAGATTGAGAGAGACAGCTTTTTCTTAGGGAATGAACAATTAAAGAATACTTTGCCACTTCTTTTCTGGAAGTCTACTTATCAAACTTCCTGTACATAGTCTAAATGGCTTAATTTTCTATTTATGAGAATACTGATGCTCTTTTCTCTACATTACGTGTTTTTATTTTCTCAACTGTCTGGAAAAGTGCAACAGGAAGGGATTATGACCCCTATTCTACAGATAGAAAAACGGAGACACTTAAGCAATTTATCATTTCACTTTATTTGCATATACACGGTAGTGACAAGATTGTTCATGTTTGCAAAATAAGCATGATACAAAAAAGAAAAGAATTAACTTCAGATGAATGAAGCGGGAATGCAATTTCAGAAAGAAAAGGTGAGACTTATTATTTGCCATGACCTGACAATGAGAAGAATAGCTGAAATGTGGCCTATTCAAACCAGCAAATCCAGGCAGCAGTGCCATGATGTTTTGAAGATAAGAGGACCGTCAGAAAAAACAAAAACAAAAACAAAAAAAACCACCTCCCAACATTTCTTGCGACGGCTCTGCCTATATAAATTCTGCAGCACTGAGCATGCGGAACCTTTATAAGCAAACAATACACTGCCTCAGTTAATATGCCTAATGATAGTAATTACCTTTTATTCAACTCCTATTACCTACTAGGCATCATGGTTGCTAAAGGTCATGTGCATATAATCTTTTAATTCTCTCGAAAATCTTGCAACATTGGTGTTATAATTTTCACATTACAGATAAAGACCACAAAGCACTGATGAAAAGGTCAGCTTTTATAGTTGGTGTTGACTCACACTCACTATAAACTCAGGGATCCTGACTCCAGGGTGGAGTTCAACCACTATATTACTGGAGAACAAGGGATAGTCATTGTGCTCTAAGTTAAATGTGCAATGTAAGACCAAGCTATTTTGAAGGAGGGGTAGCCTTTCCTTCGCCTCTGAAATAATATCACAGAATGGATTCTTACCGAAATGGGTGCCCATGCAGAGGTAAAATCTGAATAGTATTGAAGACTTTTCCAACCACACCCACCTCCCGCCTCACATTCCCCTCCCATTCATGCCCAGCTGAGGGTCATTGTTCTAAAAGGTCTTAAAACCCAGAGCAGGAAGGAAAACAGTAAGTGAGGGTCAAGTGATTCTTAATCATTCTTAATTCTTAAGATTCTTAATTCTTAAGCGGGGGAAGGAAAAACGGAGTCTTCTCTGGGCCCCTATATTATGTAAGAAACTGTGTTATCTAGATGCTTCCCAAATATTAGTCAGTTAATCTCAAGTAGTCTGTGACGTAAAGTTTATTGTTCTCCCATGTTTTGAAATACTTAGAATTTTTAAATGGAAATAATCTGAAGTTAAAAGACTGAGTGATAATGCACAATTTTTTTTTAATCCTCAAATAAACATATTACCACATTAACCTGATAAATCCCCAGTTAGAAGCAAATATATTTGCTGTTTTTAGATAGGTTAGGTTTAGTAACCATATGCTAGTCTATATTTTAAAAACTCAGAAAGAGAAGACAGCTCCTTGAACTTTTATTGTGTGGATCTCCAAATTGTAATACTGGTCTAGAAAAGGTCTCTGAAAGCACAGGAAGCTGGTCAGTTGGACTGGGGAGGCTGCACATTCATTCTAAATAAAACAGAGAAAAACCTTACTTGCAAATTTTTACTGTGGATACCTAATGCTTTCAAGTTTCTAATTCTCTGTCACAGGAGACATTATAACAAGATGATTAAAATCAAATCCTTTGGAGTAAGATATATCTGCTTCAGTCTGGGATTTACCTTTTATGTGGCTGTAAGGAATTTATATGTGTAACTCCCTGACCCTGGTTTTCTCACTTTTATAAGAAGACTAATACTATTGCAGTGGAAGCCATCCTACTTGATGTCTTTGGAATTGGTAGTTGATAGATTAAAAATGTCACAGTTGACTCTTGAACAACACAGGTTGGAATTGTACAGGTTCCCTTATATGTGAATTTTATTCAATAAAACTTACAACGAGTGTGCCTGCCTCTCCTGCCTCTGCCCTCGCCTCTCCCACCCCTGAGGCGACAAGGCCAATTCCTCCTCTCCCTCCTCCTCTTTGGCTTACTCAACTTGAAGACAATTAAGATAAAGGCTTTTATGATTATCCACTTTAACTTAATGAGCAGTGGAATATTTTCTCATACAATTTTCTTAATAACATTTTCTCTTCTCAAGAATACTTTTTTTTTTTTTGAGACAGAGTTTCGCTCTTGTTGCCCAGGCTGGAGTGCAATGGAGCGATCTTGGCTCACCACAACTTCCACCTCCCGGGTTCAAGCAATACTCCTGCCTCAGCCTCCCAAGTAGTTGGGATTACAGGCATGAGCTACCACGCCCAGCTAATTTTGTATTTTTAGTAGAGATGGGGTATCTCCATGTTTGTCAGGCTGGTCTCGAACTCCCAAACTCCCGCCTTCAGGTGATCCTCCCACCTTGGCCTCCCAAAGTGCTAGGATTACAGGCATGAGCCACTGTGTCCAGCCTCAAGTATACTTTAGAGTAAGAATATAGTATATAATGCATATAACATACAAAATATATGTTAATTAACTGTTTATGTTATCAGTAAGACTGTTTATGTTATCAGTAAGTAGGCTATTAGTACTTAAGCTTTTGAGGAGTCAAAAGTTATACCCAAATTTTCAACTACATCCGGGGGTGAGGACCCCTAACCCCTGTGATGTTCAAGGACCAACTGTGATTAAAAAGGGAAACATACAAATACATTAAAACAAATATTTTATTTTAAAAACATATAAAAGTACAGTTTTCTAATTTTCCCGATGTTTTCACATGAGGCAAGTTCTCTCATTTAGCATGAAACTGATGACTATCTTTTTATGTTTCATAAACCTCACTCGTAAAGCACCACTTTAATAAGCCCAGTTATTCATTAATAAAAAGTAAATGTACTTATATTGTAAAACTGAGAGATGGCTCAATCTATTTTATTTTATTTTTTTTAGAGATGGGATCTCCCTCCATCACCCAGGTTGGAGATGACAGCTCACAACACCCTCAAACTCCTGGACGCAAACAATCCTGTTACCTCTGTCTCCTGAATAGCTGAGACTACAGGCGCATGCCACCATGTGTGGCTTCAGTCTACATTTTTATGATATGTCCAGTAATTTAGAGTTAAATGTTCAAACTTAATATAATACCAATTTTACCTATCCAATTTAATTTAGTCCTTCCAAAGAATTAAGCTACCTTTTTTCTTATGTCAACTTTGTTCCACAGGTTTATCTAAGTAATTAAATTATAAATGTATTATTAATTACATATAAATTATATATTGTGCAATACATAAAATTTTTACATATTTAATAACATGTATACATTTTATAATTTAACATATATGTGGATTGATAGATTTACAATATTTGTAAATGAAGGCTTTCGATTCTATCACAGTTTACACTGAATTAAATTCAGGCACCTCAAAAAGTATTAAACAGTAACCTCATGGAGTTATTATTAACTTTTTGAGGAAATTATGCACTCTCTTGAAAATCTGACAGAGCCTGGGTTTTCCTTAGAAATACCAGCACGTTGGGCAGGGTGTGGTGGCTCACGCCTGTAATCCCAGCACTTTGGGAGGCTGAGGCAGGTGGATCACAAGGTCAGGAGTTCAAGACCAGCCTAACCAACATGGTGAAACCCCATCTCCACTAAAAATACAGAAATTAGCCGGGTGTGGTGGTACACACCTGTAATCCCAGCTACTCAGGAGGCTGAGGCAGGAGAATCACCTGAACCCGGGAGGCAGAGGTTACAGTGAGCGGAGATTGTGTCATTGCACTCCAGCCTGGGCAACAGAGTGAGACTCCAACTCAAAAACAAACAAACAAACAAAACAAACACAAGCACATTCGCATACATTTAAACTATTAATATAAATATTTCAAAGGTTCTAAAGACTCAACAAATTCATCCTATGGTTCCTATGGATCTATTATGCTGAATTAAGAACTTTTTTTTTGCCAATATGAGAAGGAATGTCATTACTTTCTGATTAGTTTTCGGTTGAATTGAATGCTACATAAAGAGCTGTAAATCTCTGTAGTGTTTAACGTTTTACTCATTGGCTTCCTTATTTCGAATAAAGTTTAAAAAATTCCTCAAAACTAAATTTAGACTCAAATATAAAAAAAGACAAATGTAAAAGATGATAAAATGAAACAAAAAAAGCAAAACAAACACATTCCAAATCAATCTGCATTTCCTAAGTGTATCTTAATTCAACTACAGTAGTATTCTTAACCATTAGCCACTTTGCAGATTATCTGATATTCTTAACAGATATCCTGGCTGCTAAATGCTAAATGCAAGTGAGCTACTCTCTAGAACTGCACAGCCTACTGCCTTAACTGCAAACCACATGTAGCTATTTAAATTTGAGTCAACTAAAATTAACTAAAATTTAAAATTCATTTTTCAGTCACACTAGACGTACTTCAAGTGCTCAATAGCTTCATGTGGCCAGTGGCTATTGTTTTGGACAGTGCAGAGAGAACAGTTCCGTCGCCATCAAGATTTCTGGAACACCCAGTTGAACATGTCTGCTCCCACCAAGTGGTTTACATGCCTCCCTGGAGTCCATTACGTTTGCTCCCAAACCAGTTTATGCCAGTTTTGCATATACCGAATTGCACAATTTAATTAAATATCACATAAACAAATTGAAATATAATTGTAAAGAAAATGAGAATTGTTGTTCTATACCTCTAAGTTGAATATTTAGGGAAGATTTAATAAAATTCAGTCACTTAAAAAAACCCACAATGCTATAGAATAACATGTGGGAAAGACAATTTCAGAAGCTTAGAAAAAAATTGGAGAAAGTAGAATTCTGCTCTTAGATTTCTTTGCATTGGATTTGAACTTACTTAAAGACATTCATGACGCGATGAAAAATTAGAAATCATATATGATGCATTATAGGATTTATTGAAAGGAAGGATGACTATAATCTGTAACCAACAACGTAAACCAAAAAAAAAAGTTCTTGGTTTACATAAAATTATTGGCAAATAAATATATAATCAAGTGTTTAAAATTTAAATAAAATGTAGGTTGTGTGTATGTATTTGTTTTTAAGATCAATTTATTTTAATATCTGAGTGCATTAACTCATTGACTATTGATCCCAATTATATTAAATAAGAGGGCTTCTACAACAGACAACAAAATTGACAATACATGTTTTTTTACTACTAGAAACTCTGTGTTTTCATAAGTGGTTTTGTCATTTCTCTTTTACACATTTAGATTCACTGGATTAAATTATATCGAAAATTTATGGACAGGAACCTGATCTAATTCCAGATTTATGTATAATTGGTCTTTTAATTATAACACAATAAAATATAATTAACAATACCAATGTTTCTTTACTTTTGAACTCTACTCAGTTGCCCGACTTTATATGGAGATGAGAATACTTGAACTTAGTCTTCATTCTATTTAACATTTTGTTTTTTCTAACTTGAAAATGCTATATATTTATCCATCTATAGCATCAATTACCTGAGCATAAGAATTATAAGAATTTCATTTTTTGTACATTGCGGTTTATATGCAAATACAAACTGAAAATTATATATTCCTACCAAGAATATTACAATTACTACTACTACTACACTTCTTTTATTAAAATGACATCAAAATAATATTGTGGTTGCTAATTATTGCTTGATGAATGAATATTTTTCATTAGTCAGTTAAATTCAAGAAACCATGTCGACTGTCATGCAACATACATATCTATTTGAAATAACAATGTCAGCATAGAAGTTGTCTTTTATATGAACTTTATAATGACTTGAGAGTAGTAAAACGATCCCAAATTATCTAGTTTAACTTTATGAAAAGATGCTGTTAGCTTCATCAAAATAATAAGTTTTTTGAAATTTTGCTTTACTATCTGATACCTTCATATCAGAAATGGAAAACTGGCTGCCCTTGGGATCCAAATTCATACTAACAAGAGTTATTTTAAAATATCTTTTTTTTTTTTTTTTTTTTTTTGAGACAGTCTCGCTCTGTGGCCCAGCCTGGAGTGCAGTGGCGTGATCTCAACTCACTGCAACCTCTGCCTCCCAGTTCAAGCGACTCTCCTGCCTCAGCCTCCTGAGTAGTTGGGATTACGAGTGCCCACCATCGCGCCCAGTTAATTTTTGTGTTTTCAGTAGCGAGGGGGTTTTACCATGTGGGCCAGGCTGATCTTGAACTCTTCACCTCAGGTGATCCGCCCACCTCGGCCCCCCAAAATGCTGGAATTACAGGCGTGAGCCACGGCGTTGGCCTATTTTGAAATATCTTAAAGGTAAATATGCCTTCTTTGGTCTACCACAGTCCCCATTACTTCCCCTTGTCTTAAAAGTCTGGCTTATACTACCTGGACCCAGAAGTTACTTAAGTTTATGATCCCTGTGAAAGCACCTTACATAATATCTTGCCTATCTCATGGAGGGCATGAACAATTGAAACTTGAAGTTGGATTTAGTTACGGTTACCATTTAATATTAACTTTCATTTTTCTGAGCAACACAGTGCTAACAGATTGAACAATATATAGTTTGTTTTTTTCCTTTTTGCTTAAGATACACCACCAACTGCTAGGCCATACTCTCCTCTCTTGGAGAAGTGTTCTAGAAGGAGGAGAAATATCAGAATGTAACTGAGGTAGATAACTTCCTCTCTTTGCCTAGAAGAATGAGGGTGCAATGGTACTTGGAAAGAAATAATTGAAGGGATGAGTTTATTTTAAATCATTTTAATTATATGTCTATCATATTTGAGCTTGAAGCTAAATTACTATGTGATTTATAGCCTTTCGGAAACAAAAGTCTATTCTCTAATTTCAATCAACTTTATTAAAATTTGTTTAATGACACATTAAAATGGAGTACTAACTAAAAATCTAATGACAGCAATTCTAAAATATTTCTTCTTGGATAGGTCACTGAAATGGTTTGAAATCTGAGTTATGTCCGTAACTAGTAGATTGACCTTGGCAGAATCATTAAAGAAACTGGGCCTCAGTTTGGTCATCTGGAAAATGGGCCATTTGATCTCTAAGGTTCTTATCATTAATAAGTGTCAATTTTATTTTTAATTTCAATAAAGCACAATTTATTAAGTGCCTATTGTGTACAAATTTACACAAATTATACAGCATATGATCTAATCTTCTTATATACTATATAAACATATAAAAAGTAATTAGAAACACAGACTGACTATGATTGTTGTCAAATAAGTACTCTAAGAGTTCAGATGAAGAGAAACAAAATTGGGATTTAAGAGATATTGGATGTAGGAGAGAAATATGATTTAATTCACGCCTTCACATAGCATAGAATAAGGTTAAAAATTAAGGGACACACAAGACAATGCCAATTTTAAGAGATCAAGAATTATCCCAGCCATCCCATTACTGGGTATATACCCAAAGGACTATAAATCATGCTGCTATAAAGACACATGCACACGTATGTTTATTGAGGCACTATTCACAATAGCAAAGACTTGGAACCAACCCAAATGTCCAACAATGATAGACTGGATTAAGAAAATGTGGCACATATACACCATGGAATACTATGCAGCCATAAAAAATGATGAGTTCATATCCTTTGTAGGGACATGGATGAAATTGGAAACCATCATTCTCAGTAAACTATCGCAAGAACAAAAAACCAAACACCGCATATTCTCACTCATAGGTGGGAATTGAACAATGAGATCACATGGACACAGGAAGGGGAATATCACACTCTGGGGACTGTGGTGGGGTCGGGGGAGGGGGGAGGGATAGCATTGGGAGATATACCTAATGCTAGATGACACATTAGTGGGTGCAGCGCACCAGCATGGCACATGTATACATATGTAACTAACCTGCACAATGTGCACATGTACCCTAAAACTTAGAGTATAATAAAAAAAAAAAAAAAAACAACAAAAAAAGAAAATTCTAGAGTCACAAACATATACACTTTAACATCTTTCAAGTAAAGACTCCTTCACTTTTGAAGACTGTACTTAAATCATGTAATACATGGAAAAATGCATTAAATCTATATTAATTATGGCTTATAAAAAAAAAAAAAAGAATTATCATCAAACAGAATTCCCCCCAAAAGTGATATTTCTAATTTATTTTAAATTCTAAACTTTAAAAGTTTGAAGAAGTCTACTTAAATATAGAATTGCTCCAATATATAACACTTTTTTATTTTGTTTAAAAAATTTTTGCTCATTCACCAAAATGGAGTGGTGAATGGATCCTATAAGCTAAACATTATGGTAGGAGCTGTCAGTTTGAAACAGACATGGATTTCTTACATAAAGGGGCTTAGATTTACTACAAATTATAGTGATTGGCTGGTTGCCTAAATCATTTCCACTGGTATATCACATGCTTAATCAAGAGTGGGCTGCAGACCTAGGCACCGTTAGAATACTCCTAATACCATGACAATACATTCTGGAGAGTCTAGAGATGTCTTGGGTAACCCATGACTTTACTGCTGAAACCAAGTTTATCGTAAGGTGTGTAGCAGTTCTCATCATTGCCCATAAATGATCTAAAGTTCAACTCAAGACGACAGGCATTGATTCAATATATCCATAGTTAAAAAAGTAAAGCATGTACATTACAAGAGGTACAAAGGCAAGTCACAGTCCCTTTGGACACTTGTAAATACTACTAATAGAAGTCAGAGAAATCCCTGTGGGAATGAAAGTGGCAAGGGCCTTGAGGATTCAAAACTGAGAAATTCTATCTTAGAGAATCAGTAAAGGATTTGTAGGTGAACATGATATTATCATGTTAAATGACATAATAATAACAGGTATTAGTTTTGCTTGGGCAGTAGGCATTAAAGTAAGAATAAAGTATTCTTCTGGTATATCTTTCACAAGCATTCCCAAAGGGTTTTAGAGGTCAAGTATAGGTAGAGTTAAGATAAGTTACCTCAGGAGTTATTCCTCTATCCTGTAGCAGAGAAACTAGCCATGGGTGTGAAATAATGCTCAGGAAGACGGAATCCTGTATCAGATCATTTGGGTAATCTTGAGGAATCACCTGTGCTCATTAGTCAGCATTTGATAATAGGGAATAAGAGAATCTAAATTATTATTTACAGAAATCATTCATTTATTCTAATAACATAGTTCATGGACTATTGGATGTTTTTCAAAAAGACCCAGTCCAATTGCCAAGTAATTTATCTGATTCTCTCATAGTTACTTTCTCTCATTAGTTCTTATAATCTAATAATGGACTTTTCTGGTGAGGCTCAATCGATTGCTTTGCACTTGATTTTACTTTTCTTCCCTCCTTCCCTTCTTCTCTCCCTCCCTCCCTTCCCACTCTAAAACTCCTTCCTGCCTCATCCCACAAAGCATTTGAGGTAAATCAACCAGTATGAACATAAAGACATATCCAACTTTGTGCCCCAAAATATCAAAAGAAATATTGGTTAAACGAAGTATGATTCACTGATATTTAATAATTTCCTGAATTGTCATACTCTGTTACCAGATGTGAAAACCCCAGTCTACAGTTAAACTTGACCACTTAAAATTCTTAAGGAAATTATTCAGTCTGGTTAGTTGTTTCCCCATAGCTGAACATAAGCCCTCTATATGAACAATCTTTCGCTTTGATTTCTTAGACATAATTTAACTATTTTTAATTACTGACATCAGCAGTGGTCCTATATCTTGGTTTCTCAAAAAATCCTATCAATTTCTATATCTGACATTTGCCATTTATTTATAAACCTGTAGCAAGTTACATAGCCCTCATACCTGGAGTAGCAAAATTTATTATGAATCAAAGGCAAACATACAATTCTTCCACGTAGTGTTCTTGTCCTACAGAGAAGTTTTAAAAATTTTCTTCATTGGTACTAACTATATCCTCCACCTTGCAGGTTTTTTTCTGTCTTATTGTTTTGTTTGTTTTGTGTTGTTGAGAACGGAGTCTCATTCTGTCGCCCAGGCTGCAGTGCAATGGCATGATCTAGGCTCACTGCAACCTCCGCTTCCCGAGTTCAAGTTATTCTCCTGCCCCAGCCTCCCAAGTAGCTGCGATTACAGGTGTGTGCCACCATGCCCAGTTAATTTTGTATTTTTAGTAGAGATGGGGTTTCACCATTTTGGTCAGGCTGATCTCGAACTCCTGACCTCAAGTGATCCACCTGCCTCAGACTCCCAAAGTGCTGGGATTACAGGCATGAGCCACCACACCTGGTCAGATTTTTTCTTATGATTTCTACATAACTAACATAATGAATCATAGAGACATCTTCACCATTCTTCAATTATTCTTCTATTATACTCATTCACTTTAGGTGATAGTATATAAAAGAGGCTGTAATTCTAACAATTCATTATAGTACTTTTGTAAGATTATCCTTAAACTGCACATCTTACTTGACCTCTGTGAGGCACTTAACTCCATTACACTGTAAGGAAATAGACATTTATTGGCAATCATATTCTATTTGGCCCATCAATAGATTTGGCTTCTAAATAAATACACCTAGTATTGGGAGATACATACATAGAAACACATAGGAAAGGGATCCTAGGCTCTCAAGGAAAAAACTATTTATAAAGATACAATTGTTTACCCATTTAGTTGTCCCTTTCTTTCATCCGTGGGTTGAACTGCCATCATTAGACACAATGGTGTTCCTATTTGCTATGAGTCACTTTCCTTTTCATCTCTTCATGTCTTTTTGTTTGTTTGTTTTAGGTCTATGTCTACTGCCTCTTATTCATTGCTTCTTGATTAGTCCTTGCAAATATTTTTCTTTCACAGAGAGAAAGAGTCTTTACTACTGTAGACCAATCAAATTATTTTGCTTGAAGTGACTGGTATTCACTTTCTAAGGCTCACATGTTCTACGTGTTGGGGGTAGCCATTCCTTCTTCACTACATTGTTAGCAAGTTCTAGGTATTAAGATATTTTGGATGCCTGAGCATTCTAGAAAGGTCAGCACCACATAGCCAGTATCTTGAGGTCCTTAATATATATTTGCATCTAAACGTCTCTTTAATGAATTCCATGTTTCATATTTGGAGTCTTAAATTAAAGTTCTAACATCAACAACTACTTAATCCTGTGTCTGAAAGATGATCTATGTAAGATAGCCTCACTACACAAATTACACCACTAACAGCTGCTAAAGTTGACAGCAAACTAAGGTTCCAAAGAGTCCCATTTGCTTTGTAACACAAAGAATATTATAAAGTGCCTTTCCTTTAAACAAAAATGTGTTCACATTCTCAAATTATACTTTATATACATATTTATTATTAATTTATTGACATGTTTCTGGTTTAGTTGCTTCTGGTTTATTCAACAGATATAGCTGTACAAAAATAAAGGGCAGGAGACGAGGGAAATACACAAAAGACACAAATCTAATTTTTAAAAATCATATTGTTAAATGAGACTTAAAATAGAATATTTAGTTGAAATTGATGCTAAAAGAAAAACGATTCATCTGGAAAGAAAGGTATTTAAATTCAACAGAAATATGAATTATCTAAGTGTAGGATCATAAACTGTCATGAACTAATTAGTAAAAATGAATTTACTCTATTATTTTTATTCTAGATAAAAAGTACTTCTAAATTTTAACTTATCTGTTTAGAATGAATGAACACATTCAACACAGTCAAAAATCGACACATGTATTACTGATGCGGAGCAGTCCAGGAATTAAATTTAAACAGTTTTAGGAGCAATAAATAAAACTCAGATGTTTGACCACTGCCATAACTCATTCAAATATTCAATAGAAACTCATCACAGAGTGAGGTCTTACACTCCATTCACTAATCCAATAAATAGTTAGTGCTCATTATGAGTAAGGCATTGGAGGGGATACAGTGAAAAATAAAACATGGACTTTGCCCTCAAGGGGCTTACAGTCTAGTGCGGAAAAAATCAGCAAGCACATAAATAGCCATAACATAAGGTAGAAAGTGATGTGTCATAAGGAAAACGCAAATAATGTGCTATGGGAGCTATTAACTCTAGCAGACATTTTTTATTATAGTGTCTAAGCAGCCAATATAAATAGACCAATGATCCATTTGAAAATTAAGGTCTGAATTTTGTTAATCTATAGATGATAAAAAGCTTTAATATTAATGCAATTTAAGTCACTACCTACAATTTTCTTAAAATGTTTGAACATGGAGTGACAACCCATTAGAAATACCATTTTGACATTGTTCATAAGCAGATACAAATGGAATAATCTAATAGGGCTGAAATGATCATTTTAATGTAATAAAGGCCCAAATCAATGATCCAAGATACTCATGACACATTACCTTCTTGCACACAAATTGGCTCAATCAGGTTAAAGTGATGAAGAATTCCTCGACGGCTCAAGTGTGCTCCAAGGAAAGCTAGAAGGTTGTACAGTTAACTCCCAGGGTGTAACTCTAAACCATACAACCTACTACCTCAACCCGGATGCACACAGCTTCCAATGTTGCTTCAAACTCCTTATCATATCTTCAGTCAGCTCCTCCAAATATGGCAGCCATACACCTAAGGGCTTGGCAAGGATATAGATATAATATTCTAACATTTTACCAGTAAACTTTGCTGCTAACTGTTTCTCATAGGACTAACCTAAACACTTGGGTTTCCAGCATAGGTCACGTAAAATGTCTTCTGACCATCTAACCTGCCATAGTTCTAGTCGCAATTAATAGTAAAAGTCAATTGCATTCAGCCTCATTTTTTCAGGAGAAATAGGCTCAATAAAAACATATAAATCCAATGGTAGTCTTTAATTTTCTTACTGAAGTTGAAGAGGTACACTAAGCACTACAGTATGCACTGAAGTTTCTGAACAGAATCTATTCAGATCCTGGTCCAAACCCTGCTATAAAGGTTCAACTTTCTTATGCAATTTACTGTACATGGAATCGAACTTGAATGGGTGTGATATAAACGCTTCCAAGTTGTTGAGAATTGAAGCCTGCCTTGTAAGACAGACAATGATTAAAATAAACATTAAAAACAAAGGAAAATATAATGACTTCAAAAGTATATAATCAACTGGAGTTTAACAGGATTTTACTGAACTATTGTTGAACGGCACTGTGTATAGCATTTTGTCAGATTACCACACTGACACAGACCCATAGAAGCGAGCTTGTGCGGTCCACTTCACCACAAGATCGGATCTACGGGTTTATGCCAATGGGCAACATCTTGCATGGGCCCCCTATTAATATAGAATTTGTTGTAAATATCTGATGCAATTAAGAGTCAAAAATAATATTGATCCTTTAGTATAAATGTTTTAAATGCTGAGTTCTAAGGATGCATATTCTCCATTAAAGGCCTTCATAAATATTCAAAACTAAATACAAATTTATATGCATGAGAATTTAAAAAGTAGTTTATTGAAAAATTTTTCACGAACTGCTTTTGTTTCAATAGTAAATATTTTGGAATTAAACTATTCTAATTGAGTTTTAAAAGAAAAAAGAATCCATACATGCATGTATGAATTATATAATTGTGAGGCATGAATGTAGTATTACGAGCCTATAATTAAAACCAAATTAACTATTAAGTTAATTGTGTATGAGTTAGACCGTGCTTATTTTAATTTTTATAAAACTAGTTTAGTTACTGGTTTCAAGGAATTGGTAACATTATAACTTTCTCATAAAACAGTAAGATCTTGTTCACTAGCTAGAGAATACAGGAAGTTATTATCAGCCTTAAATATATACATCTGTGTCTATAGTCGGAATGGTGCTAAAATTTACAATATTTGGATGAGTTAATATAAAACTAAACTAAATGGCACGATAATGGCATGATTACTAATACTCCACACTAACATTTATACTCCAGATGTATTACATGACATAGGATATCTTCTTTCCTAAATAAAATATATTTAAACTTATTGTTCAAAAAAGATACACTTAAAATGCATGGCTACATACAACTCTCATCTGGTCAACAGGTTGGGCAAAAATAAAATATTACTAAAAAATGTTTTAAACCACCAGACAACAAGCAAACACACAAACGAGTAAACATAAAGCCAGCCACATACACGTTTTTTTAAGATTGTAAACTCAACTGCAACAAAATGATAAGTTGTACAATCATTAATCATTTCACATCTATAATCACTTAGCATTTCCTAATTATATCTTTATTGTGTAAAATAATACTACATACTAATTGCTTAGTGATTTTGCATATTTTGAAATAAATACGTTTTATAGCCTTTATATAGATCATGTGTTCTACATAATTTTAAACCATTATTTATTCTTAAATTGTCCTCATAATTATTAAAAACTATAGTAAATAATCAACAATCATACATTCAGTTGTAGTAAAAATATTTCAACATATATTTATAAATGCAAATGTGAAATAAGAGGCAGCATTGGGTTTAGTTTTACCATAACTATAAGAAAGCATGTTTTGGTTTCATTGTCTTATCAGGTCATGTAAAAAAGATGAAAAAGCATGACCTTATTCCCCTCCTCCTGATTTCACTTCCTTTTATATGGTACAACAAATAAGAAAATATAATTTTTTTCTTTTCCTATAAAGCTTTCTAGTAAACCGTATTGCACCTATCTTAAGCGTATGGATACACAGACATATATTCAATGGGACACAAACTGCCCAATTGACCACAAGAAATTTTTCACAAAGGTAGGTCATAGCACACATTTTCAAATGAAAACCATCAATAAAATTTCAACAGTTACACTCATAAAGAATATGAAATTAATTCTTATAACAAAACACAGTCAAAAGAATGTTGTTTTTCTTTAAAAACAGTAAATCTTATTTGCTCTTTGTTTTTTATTTTTACCTGAAATGGTTTTCTCCTATGATCACTTTCTTCACTTTTCATATCCATTTTAAGTTTTTCCCTAAAACAACCACAAAAGGAGAAATATCAGACAACTGCTGTCTAGGAGGAGCATCTGAGTGGATCGTGGGAATGAGGGTAGACGATCGAGAAGAAAACACGATATCAAAATGGGCAAAACCTTTTAAAGTATTTTTTTTTTAAAGCCTTGGAAGACTCACAGGGCCCCACCCAGGCTACTCATATGACATATAAAGTGGTTTCATAGTTTGCATTTATGCGTTCATTTTGGTTCGTGTTGTTTTCACAGTAACAGTTTTGAAAGTGAAAGGACGATGGCTGTTAAAGAAGCGACTAGGTTTTGCACAATGAAGTAGCGAAAGCTGAAAAGAGATTTGGATTTGGCATGGAGCTTAATAAGATAATTAAGAGTGTAGAGATTAATGGCTGCTAAAAATAACATTTAAAATAATGTTTTTAAACGGATCTTGAAACATGGAAACAGGTTTATCAATATTAATTAAGCCAGTGAAAGTTGGTGTACCATTAGCTGAGGCAGCATGGAGGTACAAGAGCTATTTTGTAAATAATTAGTGAACAATAACCAACAGAACGTTTTATTTGAATGTTATCAGTATATAGGGATTTTGCAATTTCCTGTAATTGTTCATAGAATAGCAAACACAAAGGCAGAATTAATCAGTTCTACATTTTTCATTGTTTACCCTACATATTTGTAATATAAGAAAATATGATTTTAAAAGCATAACAGATTACCAAAGTATATTTTTACCGAAATATTATAACGTCAATTCTTAGTATGCAAATTATAGTTTTCATTGATACTTGCTGAATTTTTCAAAAGCATTCTCTTTTAAAAATTATTTTTACACTTGTTTAGAAACATTTTTTATCAAAACTAAAATAGCTGGAATGCATCTGCTAATCCTTTCACACTGAACCAGGCAAAACTGTTTTTTTAATAAAATGCTTAAATTGCTTAGCAATTTACTTCTACAAACAGACAAAATAATTATAATGCAATGCAGTTATCTGCTGAGCCAATACATTGCTCTGAACTTAAAACAAGTTTGCATGTACTTTTTCTAATACACTTGATATTTCCAATGCTTTTTGCAACTGCTCTAGGACAAGTACTTCTTTTAAAATGTATTTTAAAAGAGCATATTATTATGAAAGAAGCTTCTTTTCTACCTAGCAACTGAGAACATGCTCTTCTCATTCCTATTTTTGTTCTACTGAAATCTTTGTAAATAATTTGAATATAACTTCCCCAAAAGCAATCTTATTTATCAGTCATTCAACGCATATTCTAATATAACCCTTTTCTACAAGTTTAAAAAGTTTCTTCTTTCACATTTCAAATTATAAGTCACATGAAAGATTTACTTTTTTTACCCACTAGGTCTAAACATTCACTTTTCTTAGATAGCAAAAACTAATACTGGACACAAAAAGCACAGATATATTAATATCTTTCCAAAACTTCTGTGTATACCCCACATAAAAACATGTATTGTCTTTTTCATAGAGATTTTTCTATCTTTCCTTAAGTTTCTATTTTAATCAAGATTAGAGCAAGAGAGGAAAAGGAAAAAGTTAATAAGAGTAAAGTGGGCAATGAGTTAAATAAAAGTAAATTAAAAGTTCAAGGATTCCCTTTTATATAACAGTAGCCTTTAAAAGAAAAACAACAAAAAAAGTTATACCTGATATGAAAGGTGCGATTTCACCAAGTGCAATATATTGCTAATTATGCCATATGGTTTGAAATAATAAAAATAAAGAAGGCTCATTTGGTTATGTTGCCTTAAAAAGCTGATTTACAAAGCCCGATGTCTCTGTAGTTATACAGCCAATGTTTGCTTTTTTTGGTTTGTTTTGGTTTGGATTTTTGTTTGTTTGCTTTTGTTTTTGTTTTTGAGCAGGAGCGTCTCTTTTTTTTTTTTTTTTTTTTTTTTTTTCCAGCACTCTTGCATGTAGTAGGACACACTCAGATTTTTTCTTCAAGGGCGCCTGTAATTTCTTAGAAAAGGACCAGGGTGCTTGTCTTCTTTTTCTTCCTTCTCGGTATTCCAGGCACAAAGCACTGCGCAGAAGCTACACCAATCCTTGCCGTCACTGGCAGCAGAATGGTAGAAGGTGGGAGAGACCAGGAATCCTTCCAGGCTGTGCTGACTTTAGAAATGAGGATTACACACGTTTGTCTCCTGAACCAAAGGGGTGCAAAGGCAGGGTGCCAGTTTGCTACAGTGCTGCAATGCAATGATCTCATGCTCACTGCTGCTGTCGTCCTGTTTGCCCAGTTCAAATGCCTGTTCATTATAAACCAAAAAAAAAAAGACCCAACTACTTGGATTCTTCTACAAGCAGAAAGGTAGTAACCTAAAAAATAAATAAATAAATAAAACAAAAATACAAATCACCAGTCAGAAAAGGCAAAAAAAACAAAAAAAAAAAACAAAAAGCACATACAATTTTAGAATTCACTTGTTATGCCTCAATATTCTATTATTATTTTCCTTTTTTTTTTTTTCTATTTAGAGATAAGCAGCAGAATTTATCAGGCGTGAAAGGGACAGCCTCCTGGTGGCCTGCCAAAAACCCAGAATAAAGGCGAAGTTGTGCTTCAAAGCTCAGTCGCTTGCTGAGTCTGGCTAAAGTCAAGTATTAAGATCCACCATTTTCTGAGCCATGTTAGAAAAGAAGAAAAAAGTCAGGACGGTTGCTGCTTTCCAAGTCTCCGTTGGCACCATCACAAAATCTCAGTCGTAAGGTCACATGATTCTCTGCCAAATGTAGAGTGCACTCCCATCAACCATTCTGCTGATACTGCGAAGGCAGCTATTGTCTCGTTTAGACCCAAAGTTCAGCCCACTCTTCATTGAATTAGCTGAAAAACGCATCACCTTTGGGGGCTGGGAGTCATGGAAACGTCTACCTGGCAAGCTGCCCACTTTTTCTGCCCATCAACCAGAGATGGAATTGTGCTGCCTAACGCAATGATGACTTGGAATGTGAAGAGTCGTCCAAAGTGAATCTGATTCTTGCAACGCCTGTTTCGTTTGCACAGAAAACTCTGGCTTCTTGTAGTTAAGAGGGGAAAAAAAAAATCTTTCCTACCAAATGTAGCAAATAAAGGTCTGAACATGCCTACTCTGGCAACTTTTTTTCTCAACACACCCAAATGGTTCTCAAATGAAAAGACTGAAAGCCCTTCAAGTTTTCTGAGTTAAAGGCATCCCTTCATCTGTCTCCTTTTCCTTACAAGTGAATGAAACAAGCCCAGAACATTTGTTTTCGTCTCTCACTTTAAGATTTAAAAAAACTCCGAGTTTTCTTCTTGCTTTTTGTTACTTTCTGATTTTATCTGGCACTGATTTTGTACTACATGGTCACAATGTCTTCTAGCAACAGCAGGGATGCACTATTGCTGCAATCTCCAACAAAGTGCTCCCCTGAGAAAGCCAGTTGTCTCTTTATCCACATAAAACCCTGCAACTGGGTCTATAGTAATCCTCATCGGTACCTAGCACAGCTGCTATGCAAGTTTTCTGAGACTGACATATGTGAGAAGGGCTCTTTCTGTTTCTTCGCTGGCTACAGTTTGCCCGCGTGGCATGAAAGATGCCTTTGAAAGATGCAGGGACTGTGTCAACAGCTCTTAGGTAGTAAAATGAAATGGTTCCCCTCCCCAATGAATTTCCATTCTAGCAGGCAATGAATCCCATGCACGAACATTTCTATACTTTCTAACAAAAGTAGAGTGAATTAAATTTTTCACAATTTCCTTAAGCAGAATTTAAAGCCAAACAGGAAAGCAAGCATTATTAGTACAGAAACCAAACATACTGAGCGGCACTAAAAAGAACCATGTCCTTTAACTTTATTTTTTAAAAATGTTGCAATAATTGGAGAATCTTTATCTAAAGTATGATTGTTTGCAAAAAATTTAACATTATATTCAGTGTCTTCCCCAAATGATGGATTAATGTTGCCCCTTTTCCATGTGTAAACACATACACTGCACAATACATAACAATGACTTTCAAAGATAATCAAACTGTGACTTGTCTAATAGAAAAAAATCTGAAAAATGATTCAGGCATCTAGGAAACATAACTAAAAATGGTTTGTGGTTGTTTTTGTGCCATGTCCTTCAGGTGACTTTCTTTAGCAACGATAGGAGTGAATGTGTACACACACATACACACACGTGAGAACCATCATGTCGTCCTCCCCATTTGTAATTCAAAATAATGCAATTCTAAACCATAAACTAAAAATTTACACACGGGCTAAAATTAAAATTGCTTTTTTTCTAGATTGCAAAATTCTGGACAAATCTGCTAGTGTCCTAAGCACATATTTAAAGAGTGCTTGGCAGAAACTTAAGCCCCATGATTCAGCAAAACAAGAAAGCAGATGACACATTCATTGACATAAAAATTTAAATTTCCAGTTCTCATTCACTTATTCAGCAGATTATTTATTAAGTCCTAGTATGTGCCAGGCCTTCTGATAGGCATAGGAGAACATCAGTGAAAGAAACTGATGTGACTCCCATGTGGGAGTCTTTCAGTAAGTACTTTTAAATGAGAAAAGCTCACTACTAAACAGAGATGTTGCAGGTCCTAAAAGAGACAAACTTGTCAAGAAACAAACCGATGGAAATTGCAAAGTGGAAGTAAAATGGATATTAAAAAATAAATTAGAGATGTTTTCTCTGTCTGAAGGTTTCCTTTTTAATACTAAATTCATGGTTAGTTTTGTATAATTCTGTTGAACTTCCTGAAAGAATCTGATGTGAAAATTGTATGCTGTCTTCCCAATTAAAAACAATTTTTAAAAAGAAGCAAAGTAATGGGAGACTTTCACTTGTAGAAAGATGGAGTAGACGTAGTTTTTTCTAATTCCCCTTCTAGGTACAACTAAAATCTCTCCACATTACATATCAAAGAAATTTAAAGAGACTCTGAAAAGCTGAGAGAAGATGAAAAACTAGCTAGAGACTGAAGGACTCAAGGAATGACATGGATTTAAAATTTTTACCTTATACATCAAAACCTCAGAGCTGAAGAAGCCTGCAACCCAGAAATGCCAACTGGTTCAGACAAAAAAACCAAGTTCCAACGAAAGGCTGTTCTCTCTAGTCAAAGGAACAAGAAAGGGGCAGCCTAGAAAGACAGAAAGCAATATCATTTTGCTCTCGTTGAACACCACAAAAAGAATTATGGTCCCATCCCCATGTACACCTGCAAAGGCAAAGTGGCAAGCCCAGACGCTGATCCTTGCCAGGGTATTCCAACACCCTCTCCTTCCAGCACCCAGAGTAGTGTAAAAGAAGTCTGAGCAGGAATCTAGGAGTTTCATCCCTGCCGGGGGTTAGCAAGATTCTTCTCTTACCCTACATGCAGTGTCTATGTTGACTAAATGGGCAGTCTAGACTTCCACCCCAAACTCAACAATAATGAGGTATCCATCTCCCTCTCCACTGAGGTAGTATGAGAGGAGGTTTGGTGGAGATTGAGAACATTTGAAACTGTCCAGCTGTAATGAGGCTACCATGCTATCCCTCAACTTCTAAAGCACTGGTGAAGACCACAATAAGAGCAGCAACAAACTACTCCATTTTTTCTTGCCAGGAAGATATCAGTGGAGGTCAGTTTGGTAGCAGAAACCAACGGAGGTTCATTGAAGAGCAGGAGCTACTTCTATCCATATCTGGCAGTAACAAGGCGGCATGCTCCCTTTTCCCGGCCGGCGTGGTGTAAGAAGAAGCCAGATAAAACAGAAGGTTTAAATAAGAATTAGAACCTCATACCTAATACCTAAGATGTCCAGGTTTCAACCGAAAATCATTTGTCACCCAAAACAGAAAGAAGATCTCAAACTGAATTTTTACAAGGCTATTGATACATGTGAACATTGAGATGACAGAGATGTTAGAATTATCTGACAAAGATTTTAAAGCAGCTGTCATGAAAATGCTCCAAGAGGCAATTATAAGCATAGTGGAAACAAACGAAAAAGGTAAAAGTTTTGACAAAGAAATAGAAGATACAAAGAATAATCAGATAAAATTTTAGAACAGAAAAATAAAATAATTGAAATTATCAAAAACTAAGAGGATGTACTTGACAGCAGAGTGGAGAAGGCAGAAGAAAGAATCAGTGAACTGGAAGAAAGAATAATGGAAATAACTTAATCTGAACAACAGAAATAAACTATACTTAAAAACAGAGACTTAGGCAACTGTGAAACTATAACAAAAAATAAAACATTTGTATCTGTGTCACTAGAATCCCAGAAAGAGAGGAGAAAAAGGGCAATGCTTAAAATATCCTCAAAGAAATAGTGGCTATAGTGGCTGGAAACTTCCAAAATATAGCAAAAAGGACACAGATTCAAGAAGCTGAGCAAACCGCAAACAGAATAAAACCAAAGAAATTTATACCAAAGCATATCATAGTCAAACTTACAAAAACTTAAAGAAAAAATCTGAAAAGAGCAGGAAAAAACACAGTCTTATCTATAGAGGAAAAATGATTCAGACAGTGGGTTTCCCATCAGAAACCATGGGAGCCAAAAGGAAAGGACATGACCGTTTCACTTGCTGAAAGCAAAGAACTATCAACCTAGAGTTTTATATCCATAGAAAATATCCTTTAGAAATGAAGGGGAAAGGAAAACATTGTTAGATAAAGAAAACTAGAATAATTTTCAACTAGCAGGCCTAACCTGACAGAATGGCTAAGGAAGTTGTCCACACAGAATGGAAAAGACAAAAGAGGGAATCTTGGAAGTTTAGAAAGGAAGAAAGAATTCAGTACATACAAATATGGATAAATAGAACAGACTTTCCTTTTCTGGAGTTTTCTAAATTATGTTTGATTGTGGAAACATAAATAGAGCACTGTCTGGTATAGTGCTAAACGCATGTGGAGGAAATATCTAAGACAATTAATTATATTATAAATGGGTAAGAGTGAAGGTACAAAAGTAGGTAAGATTTTTTAACTGCTTGAAATGGTAAAATGAGGATACTAGTAGACTGTGATAAGTTATGTATATGTAACATAATACATAAAGCAGCCACTAAAAAATTACATAACGAAATTTAGTAAAAAAAAATTCTAGATATGTCAAAATTCTAAAAATGTTAAAATTTGTTTAAGTAAACCACAAAAAGGCAGGAGAAAAAACTCAGAGAAATAAAAAACAGAAAGAACAAACAAAAAAGAACTATTCAAATGGCAGGCTTAAATCATATAAATAAATTATTGAAGTAAATGTGAATTGTTTGAATATACCAATGAAATGGCAGAGATTTGCACAGTGGATTTAAAAACCATGGCCCAATTATATGCTGTCTACAATGAAAATTTAAATATAACAATATAAACAGGTTGAAAGTAAAATGATTAAAGTAAGCATATTAGTCAAACATTAGAAAACAGAAGTGTCTTTAATAATATCAAATAAAATAGACTTCCAAGGACAGAAAATTACCAGAGACACAGGTAGACATCACACAATGATAAAAGAAACAATCCAGCAAGAAGACATAGCATCCCTGAATGTGTATGCACCAAAACAAAGCTGCTCAATATGTAGAGTATGAAACAGAAAAGAGAAACAGACAAGTTCACCTTCATTTATTTTTATTTTTTTATTTTTATTTTTATTTTTATTTTTGAGATGGAGTCTCACTGTCACCCAGGCTGGAGCGCAGTGGTGCAATCTCGGCTCACTGCAACCTCTGCCTCCCAGGTTCAAGCAATACTCCTGCCTCAGCCTCCTGAGTAGCTGGGATTACAGGTGCATGCCACTACACCTGGCTAATTTTTGTATTTTTAGTAGAGACGGGGTTTCACCATGTTGGTCAGGCTGGTCTCCAACTCCTGACCTCGTGATCCCCCCGCCTTGGCCTCCCAAAGTGCTGGGATTACAGGGGTGAGCCACCGCTCCCGGCCGACAAGTTCACATTTATAGTTGTATACTTTGACACACATCTCCCAATAATGGGCAGAACAATTAAACAGATAATTATCAAGGATATAGAATCCAACAAATCATTCATCAACAGAATCTAGTTGACATTTATTAACCATACCACCCAACCACAGAAGTATACACATTATTTTCAAGTGCCCACAAACAAACATATTCCAAGATAGGTCACATTATATAGCACGTAAAGCACATCTCAACAAATTAAAAATAACTGAAATCATACAGAAAGTGTTTTCAGACCACAATATGATCAAAATAGCAATCAATAACAGAAAGATAACAGGAAAATCTCCAAACACTTGGAAACTAATTAACACACTCCTAAATAATTAATGAGTCAAAGAGGAAGTCTCAAGTGAAAGAAAAAGAAATTGGAGTGAATGAAAATGAAAATACCACATATCAAAATTTGTGGGACACAGCTACAGCAGTGCTCACAGCAAAAGTAATAGCAATAAATGTATAAACTAGAAAAGAGGAAAAGTCTCAAATCTATAATCAAAGGTCTAATATCAAAAAACAAGAGTAAGAAGAGCAAAATCAGCCTAAAGCAGAAGAGAAAGAAAATAAGAGCACAAGTACGCAAAAATGAAAACAGCACAACAGGGAGAAATCGATGAACAACATGCGTATTTGAAAAGATTAATAAAATCGGCATCCCCTCAGCAAGACTGAGAAATAAGAATATACAAATTATCAATATCAGAAATGAAACAGGGCATATCACACAGCAAAACATAATAAGGGAACACTGCAAACTACACTAAACACATAAATTGAATATCTTAGATGAAATGAACCAATTATTTAAAAACACATATTACCACAACTCACTCAACATGAATTAGATCACTTGACTGATCCCTATAATGAAATGAGTCCTATAACTATTAAGAAAACTGAAGGCCAGGCATGGTGGCTCATGTCTGTGATCCCAGTGCTTTGGGAGGCTAAGGCAGGAGGATCACTTGAGGCCAGGAGTTTGAGACCAGGCTGGGCAACATAGTGAGACACCATCTCTACGAAAAAATTTAAAAATTAGCTAGTTGTGGTGATGCACACCTGTAATCCTACCTAATTAGGAGGCTGAGGTGGGAGGATGGCTTTGGCCCCAGAGTTTGAGGCTGCAGTGGGCTATGACCATGCCACTACACTCCAGCCTGGGTGACAAAGCAAGACCCTGTCTCTATTTTAAAAAAAGAAAGAAAGAAAGAGATTGAATATGTAATTTAACAACTCTCTCAAAAAGAAATCTCCAGGCCTAGATAATTTAGCTGGATAATTGTAACAAATATTGAAAGGTTTTTTTTTTTTTTTTTTTTTTTTGAGATGGAGTTTCGCTCTTGTTGCCCAGGCTGGAGTGCAATGGTGCAATCTTGGCTCACTGCAAACTCTGCCTCCTAGGTTCAAGCAATACTTCTGCCTCAACCTGCCTAGTAGCTGGGATTATAGGCGCCCGCCACCACACCCAGCTAATTTTTGTATTTTTAGTATCGATGGGGTTTCACTATGTGGGCGAGGCTGGTCTCGAACTCCTGACTTCAGGTGATCCACCTGCCTCGGCATCCCAAAGTGCTGGGATTACAGGCATGAGCCACTGCATCTGGCCATTATTGAAAGTTTTATCACCAATTCTACATAAACTTTTTGAGAAAATAGGGAAGAGGGAACGTTTCACAATTTATTTTATGAAGTTGACATTATTGCGATACTTAAATCAGACAAGACAGTGTAAGAGGAGGAATCTATATGGACACAAAATTTCTTAACAAAATATTAGCAAATAAAATTCATCAATATATAAAAAAGAATTATATTAGGTGAGTACATGGTTGGAATTTGCCATTTGTATTGAAATACATTCTTGGCCGGGCTTGGTGGCTCACGCCTGTAATCCCAGTACTTTGGCTGGCCGAGGTGGGCAGATCACGAGGTCTGGAGATCGAGACCATCCTGGCCAACATGGTGAAACCCCGTCTCTACTAAAAAAAAAAAAATACAAAAAATTAGCTGGGCGTGGTGGTGGGCACCTGTAGTCCCAGCTACTTGGGAGGCTGAGGCAGGAGAATGGCGTGAACCTAGGAGGCGGAGTTTGCAGTGAGCCGAGATCGCGCCACCGCACTCCACCCTGGGCGACAGAGCAAGACTCTGTCTCAAAAAAAAAGAAAAAAAAAAAAAAGAAATACATTCTTAAATAAATGTGGTTATGTTATACATCATTTTAATGGGCATTTCTCACTTTATGTTTTTTACTAATGACTTATTACTTGCTGTTTATTTTACATTTATTTTAGACTATGGAAATAACATTAATCAACAAGCAAATTCAAGCAATTTTCTTATTTGAGTTCAAAATGGGTAATACATCAACGACAACAATACATTTGGCCCAGGAACTGCTAATAAGCCTACAGTACAGTCATGTTCAAGAAGTTTTGCACAGGAGACAAGAGCCTTGAAGATGAGGAGCATATTGGCTGGCCATTGGGAGTTAACAATGACCAATTGAGAAGCTGATCCTCTTACAACTATATGAGAAGTTGCCAAAGAACTCGACGTCGACCATTCTATGGTCTTTTGGCATTTGAAGCAAATTGGAAAGGTGAAAATCTCGATAAGTGGGTGTCTCATGAGCTGAGTGAAAATCAAAGAAATCGTCGTTTTGGAGTGTCATCTTCACTTATTTTACACAACATCAATGAGCCATTTCTTGATCAGATTGTGACGTGTGACGAAAAGTGGATTTTATACAACAACCTGTGATGACCAGCTCAGGGTTGGACTGAGAAGAAGCTCCAAAGCAATTCCCCAAGCCAAACTTGCACCCAAAATAGGTCATGGTCACTGTTTGGTGGTCTGCTGCCGGTCTGATCCACTACAGCTTTCTGATTCCTGGTGAAACCATTATAGCTGAGAAGTTTGCTCAGCAAATCGATAGGATGCACTGAAAACTGTAATCCCTGCAGCTGGCATTAGTCAACAGAAAGGGCCGAGTTATTCTCCACAATAATGCCTGACTGCATGTTGCACAACCAACGCTTCAAAAGTTGAACTAATTGGGCTATGAAGTTTTGCCTTATCCACCATATTCACCTGACCTCTCACCAACCGACTACCACTTCTTCAAGCATCTTGACAACTTTTTGCAGGGAAAACGCTTCCACAACCAGCAGGATGCAGAAAGTGCTTTCCAAAAGTTCCTCGAATCTCAAAGCACGGATTTTTATGCTACAGGAGTAAACAAACTTATTTCTTGTTGGCAAAATTGTGTTGATTGTAATGGTTCTTACTTTGATTAATACAGATGTGTTTGAGCCTAGTTTTAATGATTCAAAATTCATGGTCCAAAATGGCAAGCACTTTTGCACCAACCTAGTACACAGTGACCTGGTGAGGTATATTCTAGGGATGCAAAGCCAGTTTAATATTCAAATATCAATCAGTACAATTCACCACATCAACAGGCTAAAAAAGAAACATCACATAATAATATCAATCAAAGCAAAAATTAAAAAAAAGCGCTTGACAAAATTCAGCACCCATTCATGACTAAAAATTCTCAGACCACTAGGAACACAGGTGAACTTTCTCAACTCGATAAAGATCTTTTACAAAAAAAATCCTATAATTAACATTATACTTAATGGTAAAAAACTAAATGCTTTCTCCCTAAGATCAGCAATAAGCCAAGAAGATAAAAACACAATATTATCTAGAATTGCTAAAAAAATGAACTGGTTAGGTGTAGATAAAAGAACATGTACAGGACTTGTGTGATGAAAACTGCAAAATGCTGATAAGAAACCTAAGAGATCTGGAGAGAGATATTGTTATGTTCATGGATTGCAAGTCTCAACAAAGATGTTAGTTCTCTCCAAATTGATATACACGTTTAATTCAATTCTGACCAAAACCCCAGCAAGATTTATTATAGATATAGATAAAAGTATTCCAAATGTATTTGGAAATGTAATGGAACTAGAATAACTGAAACAATTTTGGGAAAAAATATATAGCAGCAGGAATTAGTCTATTTGATGTAAAGACTGATTTTTAACTAGTATAATATACTAACATTAGACCTAATAATATATGTAAAATAAATTAGTAATAATAAAAATAGTAGTAGGTTACTGTGTGACTCTAATCAAGACTGTGTGGCAGTATTGGCAGAGAGACAGACACACCAATCAACGGAATAGAACAGGGAACCTAGAACGAGGCTCGTATATACATGCCCAAGAAACAACTGATTTTTGACAAAGATACAAAACCATTTTTTTTTTTTTTGATACGGAGTCTTGCTCTGTCACCCAGGCTGGAGTGCAATGGCACGATCTTGGTTCACTGCAACCTCCACTTCCCAAGTTCAAGCTATTCTCCTGCCTCAGCCTCCCGAGTAGCTGAGATTACAGGCGTGTGCCACCATGCCTGGCTAACTTTTTGTATTTTTAGTAGAGACGGGGTTTTGCCATGTTGGCCTGGCTGGTCTCGAACTCCTGGCCTCAAATGATCCACCCGCCTCGGCCTCCCAAAGTACTGGGATTACAGCCATGACTGACCCAAAACCAATTCAATAGAAAAAAGATAGTCATTTCAGCAAATGGTGTCACAGCAATTGGACAGCCACAGGAGAGACAGAGAGAGAGAGAGGAAGAGAGAGAGACAAATAAAGAGAGGAGGGGAGTGAAGGGGAAGAGAGGGAGAATTTTGATCTACATAACACATCTTACATACAAATTAACTCAAAATGGATCACAGGCCTAAATGTAAAACATTGAACTATAAAACTTTTAGAAAATAACAAAACAAGATCTTTAGGACCTGGAACTAGGCAAAGAGTTACTGGAATTCATAACAAAATCACTATACATAAAGAAAAATTGGTAAGTTGATTCATCAAAATTAAACACTTTTGCTCCATAAAATACTCTGAAGGAAACCAGAGATGTCACCCCAAAATGTGCCTCTGTGACACAAATATTGTTGAGCTAAAGGCAATCACGAAACAGCCAACAAAGGAAGAGCTCTGTCTATCCTCACCCTTTTCCATGTAAGGAGAAGGTATAAATCCTTTCTGGAAACAACTCTTATCAGCTGAGAGATGGCACCAGAGGAATCTACAAACAAATCTTACTCCATTAGTTTTTTTCTATATATTTAACTTCCCACAGCTTCCTGCCTCTGGAAGCCTAAAACTGCTTTTCTTTGTCATGTCATTTCTCTAAAATACATTGTTGTTTGTCGAAGATTCTATATAAACCAGATTTCTAAGCCACTCCCTTGTGTTACCTTTCATTGAAGTTTCTCCCGAGTGATAGGCACTGTGCATATTAATAAACTTGATTGTTTTTCTCTTGTTTGTCTTTTGCTACTGAAGTCTGTTTGAACTATGAATTTATGAGCGTCGAGGAGAAATTACACTTCCTACCCAACAATTCCATTAAGAGAATGAAAAGACAAGCCACAGATTGGAAGAATATCTTTTCAAACCATCTATCTGAAAAAGGACCAGTATCTAGAAAACATAAAGACTTCTCACAACTCAACAGTCAAAAAATCAAACAGTCTAAATGGCAAATGGGCAAAACATATAAGACACATTCTACCCAAGAGGCTATATGGATGACAAACAAGCACATTAGGGAAATGCAAATTAAAACCACAATGAGATATCACCACATACCTGTTAGAAGGTCTAACATAAACAAACAAAACAGTAGTGGCAACACCAAATGTAGGTGAGTATATTGGATCATTCATATATTACTAACAAAAGCGTAAAATGATACAGCCACTCTGGGGATTGTTTGCCAAATTATTTTAAAAATGAAACAAACACTTAACATATGGTCCAGCAATTTGACTCATGGGAATGTATTCCCCCAAAATAAAAATTTCTATTTACATGAAAAATCTATACATGAAGCTTTATTCACAATAGCCCCAAACTGGAAACCACCTTGATGTATTTCAGCTGATGAGTGGTTAAAATGTAGTATATTCATACCCTGGAATACTACTCAATAAGAAGCAAACTATTGATAAACTCAGCAATGTGGTTGATTTCAAGAGAATTATGCTGAGTGAAAAAGGCCAATCCCCAAAGATCACATTCTGTGATTACATTTTCATACTCCTGAAATGTTAAAATTATAGAAATGGAAAACAGGTAAGTTGCTAAGGAGTGAAGGCAGAGATGGGATTGAGAGAGAAGCAGGTGTATCTATAGAAGGGCAACACAAGGGATTCTAATAGTAATGGAAACATTCTGTATCTTGTCTATATCAATGTTAACATCTGGGCTATAATATTGTTTTCAGTTGTACTGTTTTGTACAACTGTTTCGTTGTTTTCCAATTGTACTACAGTTTTCAAGATTTTAGCACTGGAGAAACTGGATAAAGATTAACCTAACTCTGTTTTATTTCTTACAACTGCATAAGTCTACAGTTATCCCAAAATGAACAGTTAATTTTTTGTAAAATGACAGATACACGAAGGTAACTGCTCTTACTGGTTATTTGCTCCCACCTTGTGTTACTGTAAAGAAAAACTCTAATGAAAAAATCTGAAGGTACTCCTTGGTTTATTTGAACTTGAAATTCCAGAGCTGATACTCAATAAACAGTGATGTAATCAGCTGGGAAAATTAACTTAGGGGAATGTTCTAAATCTGGAGACAGCAAACTTCTCTATGAAGGGCTAGATAATACATGTTTTACATGCTGCATGTCATATGATCTCTGTCGCAACTGCTTAATTCTGCTGTTACAGCATAAAAACAGTCATAGAAAATACATAAATGAAAGTGTGATGGTGTTCCAATAAAACTTTATTTATGGACAACAACATTTTATCAATTTTCACATCATAAAATATGACTTTCTAAACATTTTTCTAACACGTATCATTGTAAAAACCATTCTTAATGTGTAGATTGTACAAAAACAGACCTTGAATTTGGCCCATGGGTTGTAGTTTGCAGAAAGCTGAGATAAATTGACATTTTTTTGACTCTTCTATGGTCTCATGATTCAGTTTTGCTTACTTTTTCTTTTCTTCTTGAATATCTACATTTTCATAGCTGCTAACTGCTCCCATTTAGGAATTCCCCCTCAATGTTCTTCCATCTGTGTTTTTCTTTATCATGTTGTTAAAAGATAAAACAGAAGTTTTACTGTGAAAATGTAGAGCTTGGAAAAAAGTAGAAAATTGGATAAAGTTAGGTCTTTGAAATCACATTTGCTTCAATTTCTTCATAATTTTAGTAAAAAAATAATGTTTCCTTTTGACAAGACCGCTTTGATGATTCATGCCTTGAGAATCAATAGAGGAGAAAATTGCATGAGGCAAACTAGTTGAAAAATTCAGATTTATTTAGACCAAGAAGTTGGGAAAAAATAGATTAATAAAAAAGGCTATAAGAAGCAGGGCATAGTGGCTCACACCTGTAATCCCAGTACTTTGGGAGGCTGAGGCAGGTAGATCACTTGAGGTTGGGAGTTCGAGACCAGCCTGGCCTACATGGTGAAACCTCGTCTCTACTAAAAATACAAAAATTAGCTGAGCATGGTGATGGGCACCTGCAATTCCAGGTACTCAGGAGGCTGAGGCGGGAGACTCGCTTGAGCCCAGGAGGCGGAGGTTGAAGTGACCTGAGACGGTGCCACTGCACTCCAGCCTAGGCAACAGAAAAAAATAAAAAAGCCTATAAGAAACACTGTGGTATGGTGTGCTGTGGTTGTAGGTGGCACTTGACAGGGATGGATGGAGGGGCAGAGATGGCATGCAAAGCAGGAGGGTAAAGTAGTTGATGACAATAATAAGGATATTGAAATTAATTTGTCAGAAAGAAAGAAAACCATGTCGATCACAAAGAGAAATTTAAAAGCAAGGCCTAAATGCAGGTAATGATAGTAGGTAATAATGTATATTTTGAGGTAATAATGTATATATGCTGAGGATAATGGCTTCATCCATGCCCCTGCAAAGGACATGATCTCATTCCTTTTGATGGCTGCATAGTGGAATGATGAATTTTAAATAAACATAAGTTCTTAAAACACCAACCAAAAAGTGAAATGAGGTTTTATCATTACTGACATGAGTCAATATGTATTAACACACTTAAAAGTTATAGTTAAAACATTTTAGTTAATAAACACAAATAGGGCCAGGCGTGGTGGCTCACACCTGTAATCCCAGCACCTTGGGAGGCCGAGACAGGCGGATCACGAGGTCAGGAGATCGAGACCATCCTGGCTAACACGGTGAAACCCCGTCTCTACTAAAAATACAAAAAATTAGCTGGGCGTGGTGGCGGGCACCTGTAGTCCCAGCTACCTGGGAGGCTGAGGCAGGAGAATGGCGTGAACCCAGGAGGCGGAGCTTGCAGTGAGCGGAGATCATGCCACTGCACTTCAGCCTGGGCGACAGAGCAAGACTCCATCTCAAAAAACACACACACACACACACACACACACACACACACACACACAAATAGAAAAATAATAATAGTTTTAAGCACCTCTAAAGTACAGATATTGTGCCAAGCAATTTATGTGAATTGATTCGATTGATAACTCTAAAAATAGTTTCCCTAATCAACTTACACAAGTATGAAGTTCATAAAGTACGGTTATCTTTGCTAGTATAATGCTACCCATCACGCATTGGGGAAGAGTTCTGTGTTTAAGTGTGTGGTAAAACTGGTGTTTTAAGTGGTTTAGGGTTTTAACCCTTACTTTTGTAATAAATATAAAAATTGTACATTTAATTTTTAATTTTCCAAAACAGAGAAACTGAATAATATGTAATTTTTAATATAAGGGCTTTTTCTAAGTAATTTTGTATAATGCCTCTTCTGCTGCTTTTAGATATTTTGTCTTCTCAGATCTAGAGATTTGGCCTTCAGGTCTTCATTCAATCTTTGTCTGGCAGATTCAGTGGGGTTTTGACTGGTCTAAGAATTTGGGTTTCCACAGTCATCCCTCTGGGACCATATAAACCAGATTACAATGGCCTGAAATAAATTGATTTGAAATTTTTAAAAAAAATTAGCCAATAAATTTTAAATATATGTCATAAATCCTTTCTTTCTATGAAATTTTAAAGAGGTCCTAGTGCTGTATTGAGTTAAAAATGATAAATCACGTCAAGTTTAAAATGAATAAATTTGGGTAGTCAAAGATGTTGCAGACCAGTAAAACTATTAGTTGTTTTATTAATTGGACTTCGTTTAAGAAGACATTTACGGTAACCATTCACAATATTTCATTTTCTGGTTTACATGCCAAGTGAGGTTTGCATGTTAAGTATAGCAGTCTAGGAAGTCTGGCATCTTTCTTGACCACTTAGGAGTTATATTTTATGTATTAACTAATTTCAGATTTAAAGGAAAGGATGGGCTATAAGAACAACCATTTAGCAAATGAAAGGTTTTATTCAGACTTAAATAACAAAATCATAAATATTCAAGACATTTCTTTCTATTTAATGGGAGGCATCATCAGGGCTTTCTTGATTCAATATCAAATGTACATATGACATCATCAATTGCATCACCTCAAGTAAGTGGAAAAGCCTTTGGAAAGAAGTGAAGCTTGAGCCAGAGCTGCCCAGTGAAGAGCCAATCCCATATTTGAACCATTAATTGGGAGTACTGCTGGGTAGGGCATGACCCCCAGAACTGAAAATACCTGTTCATTATTCCCTTATTGCAACTGGATTATTTGATAAGTATGTTTCTCCACAGTCAAATGAATATGCTCAAGCAATATCTAGGTGCAAATGTGGGTGTTTTGAAGAATGAAAAATGAATAATAATTAATTAATGCCATCCTAGAAAGGTAGAGTGAATCCAGTGAACAACCCAGTATGGTGTCTGAGTGCACAAAAGGAGCTGCACCTCGGTTTTCTGTTTACCACAGCCCACCAGGCACTCTTCCTCTGTCTTTTCTCAGTTATAGAGAGTATATTCTGCTTTTGAAAAGTCACTCTATGACCTCACTTTACCCTCAAGTATGTGTTTTCAATTTTATAACAATTTTGACTTCAGATGAAATAATTTTGACTTCAGACTTTAATCTCCCCACTAACTTGAGGTTATGCTGGAGTAGTGATATCCCCCAGGCCTGAATGTCTTCTGCATGTGTAATGACAGATTCTCCTTAAAAAGCATGTCACTGAACCAAGAGCAGGCAGAATTAGCAAAACACATGGATTATTCATACACTGCCGTCTGTAGTGAATTGTGTTAAATTTGTTCCAGATCCACAATGGAATATTCCAGATTATCCCCATATTAATGGCCACTGGACTGAATACGTCAGTTTTTAAGCATCCCTTATCTCCAGGAGAACCAAATGGAAATCTCGTAAGATTTATACTTGCAATCATCTCATGGACTATAGAAGGAGTTTACTGTCCATGTTCTGCATACAAACTTTTCTAGATTACCATACTAATATGGGTGAAAACATTGATTTTTGTTTATCTATAACATTCATTTTTAGAGTAATGCAAGGATAATTTCATTCATATTATGTTTGTGAAGAATAACTTCATTTTACAAAATACCTGTGTAACTAAAAAGAAAAAAAAGAATGTATGTGATTTGTACATAAACTGATTCAGTAAAATCGCAGGATACAAAATCAATACACAAAAACCAGTAGCATTTCTATACGCGAACAGTAAACAACCTGAAAATGAAATTTAAAAAATTCCATTTACAAAAGCCACACATAAAATTCAGTATGTAGAAACTAACCAAAGAAATACCTAGAAATTAACTTAACCAAAGACTATTTAAAATAATTTTTAAAATAAAAAATATGTTTTTAAATATATTATATATTATTTTATCTAAATATATGTATCTAAATATATATATTATATATATTTAGAAACTATTGCATATTTGGAGTTACAAAACAGAAAACATTATCATAATTTTAGCTTTCTAGGTAAATTTAGTTTTCTAGGTGTCATGATTATAGGCTTTGATTTTGCACTTTGATTGAACAGAGTGTCCCATCTCCTTAATGGAACAAGATAGTCTTTCACAAAAAAGAATATGATCCTTTAAATTGCTGTAATATTCAATGTCTATGTAGCCTACTGCCCAAAGTAGAAGGTCCATACAGTTTTTAAAAAATAGAATTTATTTACCCCTAATCTACATCGTCTTTATATTTTATATTCTTTATTATATTATGTTATATTTATTTTTTATTTATATTTTGAGTTTCATTATCTTCATTTATACTTCTTTCTTTGTCTCTGTTAGGATGTCAACTTTCTACTATCTGTCAGGGTTTGTGCCAGCTCCTCGTTTATTCAACTTAATCTTCAGTGGCCCAGAAAAAACATACAGATAATCCAATCATAGAATAGTGTGAAGATGGCTTTCACTCCTTTAATATTTAATAAAAAATGAGTACTGCATATGTGTAAAGTGCTACACGAGAAATAGTTCCATGTCTTCAAAAAGCTTAAAATCTTGTAGAAATGATAAAACATGTGAAAAAGTTCTTTAACATAAGGCCAAATGTTTTTCCTCTGATGGCTTATGACAGTTAAGTCATGTGTACTTTTAAAAGTGTAAAGTGCTGGTCATAACTGAGAGCAGTTGTAAAAAGGAGGTTGGGTGAGAAGGGGTGAAAACAAAATCTGAAGAGTTTCATGTACACCTAGACACTGGTGGGTAAAAATTTCACAATCCTGTGAAATATTTTAAAATTTATTCTGTTCCTAAAGTATTACAAAAATCACATACTTGATGGAGTATGAATTTCAAGGCTTTGTCTGACATTCCAATGATGTAATATCTAGAAGGCTACAAAAAAAGTAAGCAGTCACTCTAGTGTTTGCTCTATGGTGGCTCATAGGCAGTAACATATCCCACTTTGGGCAGAAGATAGAAAGGAGAAAACACAAAGCTAGGTGTAATGTATATACATCAATAAATTTATTATTTGCATATTTTTGATAGAATAATTCAAGTACGCTATCAGGTGCATTATGTGTCTTGACCATGTTTTCAAAATATTTTTGAAATGGATTTCTAATGAACAAATCCCAGCACTACTTGGTCAAATCTGTGTTTCCTTATTACTTGAAAATGGAGCCAGGCATAGTGGTACATCCTTGCAGTTCCAGCTACTTGGGAGGCTGAGGTGGGAGGATCACTTGAACCCATGAGTTTGATTAAAGACTGGGTGATACAGTGATAGCCATGTCTCAAAAAATGCTTTTAAAGAAAAATAAAAATGGAAAGTGATATGAAAAGGGAAGAATGTGTGTACATAAATGTATTTGTGCATGTCTATATGTATATATGTGTGTATGTATACAGTTAAACAATTACAACTTTTTATATTATGTTTTCAATTTAAAAAGAAGACTATCTTTCTATTTGTTATTTTAAGATAGAAAAGAGAACTAGATTAGCAAAGCTAAAAGTAATATCTAGATATGCAGAGTATATACTTTTTTGTTTTTTGTTTTTTTCAATCCAACAACTTGAAATCAAACTTGTTTTTGGAAACAACTTTGTCTATAGTAGAGCTGGGGTCAGAATTGACTTCTGAATTTCATTTGCATTATTTACTTTACAGACAATGGATCTGTGATCATAGTGTTTAACTACAGATATGTGAATTTGATAAAGATGATAGTTTATCCAGAAACTTATCTAGATAAATTTACCTAAAAATGTATCTAGATAAATTTACCTAAAAATGTATCCAGATAAATTTATCTAAAAATGTATCTAGATAAATTTATCTAAAAATGTATCCAGATAAATTTATCTAAAAATGTAACTAGATAAATCTAGATGATAGTTTATTTACCCAGAAATTTATCTAGGATGTGGAGAATGGATCTATTTAACTATTTAGCCTGAGCTTCTGAAATGATAACACGTGCATATGTGTTTACAAAGATTTCTTACATATGTTGAGCAAGCATGATTAATATGTTTCATTTCAAAAGGTTATTGCTCAGACTACACTACAAAATGCCTTTCTCCATGTACATAATAAGCAGCATCTAATTTTACACTTATAAAGTCTTGTTGTGATGTATCAGAATTTTTTTTAGAAATATCCCCTCCTACTCCCTTCACTATCATTTGTCCAAATTATTACTGAAATTCCTTTTTTCAATAGAAGTGATATATTGTAGAAGTGTTTTATTCTACAGTTTCAGGTATTTATGCTTGTTAGTAATAAGTAAAAAATAAGTATCAACTTAATTCAACAAAATGCTTCTTCAAAGCTTTTGATAAAATCCAAAATCCTTTCATGATAAAAACCCTCAAGAAGCTAGACACTGAAAGAACATACCTCAAAATAATAGAAGCTACCTATGACAAACTCACAACCAACATCATACTGAATGGGCAAAAACTGGAAGCATTCCCTTTGAGAAGTAGAACAAAACAATGATGCCCGCTCTCACCACTCCTATTCAACATACAACTGGAAGTGCTAGCCAAAGCAATCAAACAAGAGAAAGAAATAAAAGGCAGCCAAATAGGAAAATAAGTCAAGCTATCTCTCTTCATATATGATATGATTCTTTATTAGAATCATAATTATTATAGTAGTGATTATTTTAATAATCATAGTTATTTCCATTATAACTAGTAGAAAACCATAGAGGCCACCAAAAGACTCCTGGAACTGATAAATAACTTAAATAGAGTTTCAAGATAAAAAATAAATGTATAAAAACCAGTAGAATTTCTATACATCAATAAAGCTCAAGCTGAGAGCCAAATTAAAAATGCAATCCCATTTACAATAGTCACACAAAAAATAAAATATTTCCGAATACATCTAACCCAGAGTGTGAAAGATCTCTACAAGGAGAACTACAAAACACTACTAAAAGACAAAGAAATGGAAAAACACTCCAGGCTCATGGATTGAAAGCATCAGTATCGTTAAAATGGCCAGACTGCCCAAAGCAATCTACAGATTCAGAGATATTCCTATTAAACTACCAATGTCATTTTTCACAGGATTTGAAAAAACTATTCTAAAATTCACATGGAACCATAAAAGAGCCTAAATAGGCAAAGCAATCCTAAGCAAAATGAACAAATCTGGAGGCATCACAATGACCTGACTTTATACTATAAGGCTATAGTAACCAAACAACATGGTCCTAGTAGAAAAATAGACACAAAGATCAATGGAACAGAATCAAGACCCCAAAAATAAAGTGGCACACCTACAGCCTATCTGATATTCAACAAAATTGATTTGAAAAGTAAGCAAGGGAGAAAGGACTTCCTATTCTTGATGCTGGCTAGCCATATGCAGCAGAATAAAACTGGACCTTTACTTTTCACCATATACAAAAATTTAACTCAAGATGAAATAAAAATGTAAATGTTAAGACTTCAAACTATAAGAATGCTAGAAGAAAACCTAGGCGACACCATTTGGACATTGGCCTTGGGAAAAAAATTTATGACTAAGTTCTCAGAAGCAATCACAACATAAACAAAAATTGACAAAGTGGGACCTAAAGAGCTTCTGCACAGCAAAAGAAACTATCAACAGAGGAAACAGACAACCTACAGAATGGGAGAAAACATTTACAAATTATGCATCAAACAAAGGCCTGATATCCAGGATCTATATGGAACTTATACAATTGAATAATTAAAAAAGCTATTAAAAAGTAGGCAAAAAACATGAACAGACACATCTTGAAAGACATACAAGTGGCCAAGAAATATATGAAAAAATGTTCCACATCACTAATCATCACAGAAATGCAAATTAAAACCACAATGAGGTACTGTCTCAGGCCAGTCAGAATGGCTATTGTCTAAAAGTAAGAAACAACAGATGCTGCTAAGACTGCGGGAAAAGGGAACACTTACACACTGGTCATGGGAATGTAAATGAGTTCAGCCACTGTGGAAAGCAGTCTGGTAATTTCTCAAAGAACCTGGACTATCATTCTACCCAGCGATCCCATTACTGGCTATATAGCCAAAAGAAAACAAAGCATTCTATGAAAAAGACACATGCACTGGCATGTTCATCAGAGCACTATTCACAATAGCAAAGACATGGAATCTACCTACGGGCCCAACAACAGAGGACTGCATAAAGAAAATGTGGTACATGGACTACTATGCAGCCGTAAAAAACAATGAGATCCTATCCTTTGCAGCAACATGGATGCAGCTGGAGGACACTGTCCCAAGTTAATTTTTTGCCAAATAGAAAACCAAATATCACATGTTTTCACTTATAAGTGGGAGCTAAATATTCGGTACGCATGGACATAAAGATGGCAATGATAGACACTTGGGACTCTAAAGGTGGGAGGAAGGGAGGAGGTCAATGGCTGTAAAACTAGCTATTGGGTACGAGGCTCAGTACCTGAGTGATGGGATCATTTGGCCCCAAACCTCAGCATTATGCAATACAGCCAGGTAACAAACCTGTACATGTTACCCCTGGATCTAAAATAAAAGTTGAAAAAAAAAAAAGGACAAAAGTTTGTTTTAAATCTATGGAGTTACTGTGGAAGGGAGTCTGCACAGAAAAATGAGCATACTAGCATGCCCTGCCTCATTTACCGGAATAAATTTCACAAGAGGCTGGAACATTGTGTGAAAGGATTCTATAGAAGAGATTGCCTGTCAAAACTAAGGGTAGACGAGATAACCTGAACCCCTTTTTGCATTGTAACCTGGGGTAAGCCATTTAGTCAACGTGTGTTCACTTTCCTCTCCTTTGCAATAAGAATAAAAGGAAATAATTACCTAATTGGGTCATTGAAATAATTAAATAAAAATATATTCATCTAAAAGAGTCAGAACATGTCTAGCACATACTAAAAATTAAATATTAGCCATCACAGTCATTTTTTTACACCTCAGGACTTTATACCTACATTGAAAATATTTATAAACAGAAAGCTATCTAGAAAAATTTCTCAGCATCATTTCTTAAAAAGGGCGATGATGCTACCATTATACATTTATATCATGTACATTATTGTACATCTATATGCACATATTACATGACTGTACATTTATATGATGCTACATATATTATGTCAGTTAATATCTTTGAAAGTTTAGCAGGGTAGATGCTATTATTCTCTTTTACAAATCAATAAACTGAAATAATACTTACTTCCAAGTAATAAACAATAGCCATGATGTAAAACCCAGGGTCCGTGCAACCCAAGGGCTAATTTTGTTCACTGAGTGTGCTTTTCAGGGAAAACATACATTCTATTGCATTTTTCTTCCTTTATCTCTTCCTCTATTTCTCTCTCGCTCCAGCCTGCCTGCCCCTATGAGGGTGATGAAGATAAGAGGAGGCATACAATATAAAATGATTTTCCCTGTATAATTTTATAGAACACTTTTTTTTTAGTCTGGTTTAGATCACTAGATTTTTAAGAGGGGAGTAAAATTCACTGACAATAAGTAAAAGTAAAGTTTGAGTTTGGCGAAATCCGGATTATCTGGATGGACTGTTTGCTTGTGCAGAAAAGAACAGGAAGAATGTTCAGAGTTCTGTTTTGCAATAACTTCTGGAAAAGAATTCAGTGAGAATTTAAGTAGAATCATAATAAACAAACATACCAAAAGATGGCTTTTTTAAAAAAGGAATTATTTTCCCAGCCTGGGCAACATGGTAAAACCCTGTCTCTACCAAAAATCCAAAAATGTTGGTTGGGCATGGTGACACACACCTGTAGTCCCAGCTACTCAGGAGGCCTAGGTTAGAAGGATTGCCTGAGCCAGGGAGGTGGAGGTTGCAGTGAGTCAAGATCCTGCCACTGCACTCCAGCCTGGGCGACAAATTAAAAATTCTTTTTTTGCAACAAAAGGCCTAATTTTAAACAGTATTTTGTATACAGATGTTTTTAATATAATTTGGAATCTCCATGATTACATTTTATTCCATTTGAATGTAATTGATTAATTTTTGTGATGTCATTTTGTTGACGACTTCCCCGAAGATAAATTAACTGTATAAATAATAATAGGACTGTATGTATTATTAAAGAGGAATAAATGAACTTAGATGTCTGTATAACCACTTTCAATGGAATCTTGAGGTTGAGATCTAAACTCAATCAATATCTCTATATAAGCTAAGGTTAAAGTTTTTTGTAAGCCACAAATAACATGTAGGATTCTTAAAGAATCTACTAAGAACTTAAAGAAATTTACAAGATAAAAACAAACAACCCCATCAAAAAGTAGCCAAAGGATATGAACACACACTTCTCAAAAAAAGACATTTGTGCAGCCAAAATACACATGAAAAAATGCTCATCATCACTGGTCATCAGAGAAATGCAAATCAAAACCAAAATAAGATACCATCTCATGCCATTTAGAATGGCAATCATTAAAAAGTCAGGAAACAACAGATGATGGAGAGGATGTGGAGAAAAATGAACCCTTTTACACTTGGTGGGAGTGTAAACTAGTTCAACCATTGTGGAAGACAGTGTGGTGATTCCTCAAGGATCTAGAACTAGAAATACCATTTGACCCAGCAATCCCATTACTGAGTATATACCCAAAAGATTATAAATCATTCTACTATAAAGACACATGCACACGTAGGTTTACTGTGGTACTATTCACAGCAAAGTCTTGGAACCAGCCCAATGTTCATCAATGATAGACCAGATAAAGAAAATGTGGCACATATACACCATGGAATACTATGCAGCCATAAAAAAGGATGAGTTCATGTCCTTTGCAAGGACATAGATGAAGCTGGAAACCATCATTCTCAGCAAACTATCACAAGGACAGAAAACCAAACACCGCATGTTCTCACTCATAGGTGGGAAGTGAACAATGAGAACACTTGGACACGGGGCAGGCAACATCACACACTGTGGCCTGTTGCAGGGGGTGCTGGGGGAGGGATAGCATTAGGAGAAATACCTAATGTAAATGACAAGTTGATGGGTGCAGCAAACCAACATGGCACATGTATGCCTATGTAACAAACCTGCACGTTGTGCACATGTACCCTAGACCTTAAAGCATAATAATAAAAAAAGAAAATCACAATGGCAGCAATGCAAATGCACTCCAAGAGTCTTTCTCTATAGACCATAACAGAGTAAAAAAAATACAAAACAGCATCTACAAAAAGCTGTTAATTATCATTTCTACAACTAAAATGTTATTTCAACTTACTATGCCATGAATTTATAGCTTTTTTAAAAGCAAACATCATTGAAAGATAAATTATCTATTCATAATTATTAGTAAACTAAACATCATAAAATATTACTACAAAGAACTTGCTCACATTATGGTTTTGATTAGTGTTTCCCAAACTTAAATTATCAAACAGCAGTTAGATGGGATTACTTACCAAAGTATGAAAAACATTGTGATAAAGTCAAACATTAAAGAGACGAAGTGCATTGTGAATCCCTAAAGGGAATATATCTGACATGTTTAAAGGATATATTCGACACATAACTTTTAAAAAAAAAAATGAGCTATCTCATTAGACTAATGTTATGTTGAGTTCATTGTTAATGATAATGAATTGGTAAATGGATAATTTCAGCAAAATATTTACTTTCAATTGGGCCCTTCCATCATTATTTGTAGGCATTTCCAAACAAAGCATTTCTTCATGATCATGATATTTGTGATCACAATGTGGCAGACATACTGGGAACCAACTACCCTTAGAAATTTGGGAGACCATGAGGAAAGACCATCACACTGCAACAGAGATACATTGATTCTTAGTAAGTTCACAAGTTTCTATCTACCACAATGGACATACAGTCTAAGTCTCAGTTTCTGGCATTTTTCTTGGTTTTCATCTTACACTGGCCATTTATCCAATTTAAAAATAAAATATATAGTTGAAGATGGAGGTGGCAGGAATTATTTTCCACTCTTGATTTTTTTTTTCATATGGAACAATCCAGGCCTCTCTCCTTCTCTCACTCAGTGTTAACCAGTGGCCCAATCTGATTTATATGTTTGTAAGAAAAACGATCTGTCCATATATGACAACACTCCCTTTCTCTTCCCTTTTTCTCCTTGGGGATGACCTTCCTACAAAAAGCGTTATCAGGCCACAAAGTGAGGCTGGTCGCACTGGGGAGACCTGTGTTTTCTTACTCTATGTTGGTGGGAAATGTCTCTAATTCTGAGGTTAGTGTTAAGGAGCCCACTTACCTGTGGGTCTAAACTACATCCTCTAGTCTTTATCTAAAACGAATGTGACATTTTGGCTTTCCATCTGCTTTCTCTCCTCCCTCTTTTGTCTTATTTCACAGCTGATTCAGAACTCTTCATCCAACACCTTAAAGACCTTTACAATCTACCAAGGAAAAATCAATGTGTGGGAATGACAGGGATTTTGCTTCCCTTGCCATTTGAAATAGATTCTATTTGTGGTTATGAATTAGCTATTTCCCATGTGCTCGTTAGGTAATTCCTAATATTACTTATTCCTCAATGTTTCATTTGAGGCCACAGAAAGTTTCCTGTGTGTCTTTTTGTGAGAGTACTGAGTTCATAACTAATGCTTCTCTTCATACATTAACAAGCAGATGCTGTATATAGTTTGAAGATGTGTTCCGGACCTGTTGAAGTTACTTTCTCTTGCCCAGTTTCTTATGGTCAGTGGCATGCATCCATGAGATACTTGGCCTGGGTTTGAACTGCAGTCTACGACCCAGGAATAGAGCAAAACTCACCAGCCCACGCAGAGATCAAACCCAGGCTTTGGCCTCATTAGCTCCATGATTCAACCAACTGAGCTAATTAACCACAGATGTGCAATTATTACCAACTGCTGATTCCACTTCTTGAAGAATTATAGGTTGACAAATTGTATCAAAATGTATTTAGAATAAATTTGGATGGGTTGTATTAAATATATTTGCAGAAGTAAAAAAATTCTCATTTTCCCCTAAAATTTGAATATCATTGTGGTAACTACATACAAATAAAAAACAAACCTAGAATAAAAAATACAATGATGCATCCTTTCTCCCCCCACTCCTCATCACACACACACACAGACACACACACAGACACATATACACACAGTTGTGTACAAATGTCCAGTAGCATTTATAAGCTCTCCCATGGATATCCAGTATTCTATGGTTATATCAACAGCATGTTTGCAATCAATTCACTTTGTTTTCATTACCATTTTCTTTTATTTATGAATCAGTTCCTTAATTTCTTCCTAAAAATCTTACACTCTACAGTTTGTTCATTCACTCACCATGCACCTTTTTATTTCTGTTTTTGCATTCTTTCTTCTTGATATTATAGACTGATGGAAAAATTCTTTTATGACAAAATGAACAATTTCTTGAAAAAAATGTAGTAAATGTTAATAAATCTAGCAAAATAATTTTTCCAATACAAATTACTACTGACACAGTGTCCTGAGAATACTCATCTACACATCGTGTGATTTGTAGAAACAAATAAACATAAATCAAAATATATTAAGTGGTTGCACCATGGTGCTTAGGCTACTTTGAAGACCTGGACTACATTATAAGCATTAAATTGAAGGTGAAAAATGCCTTGTACTCATATACATTGTTTTGTTTTTCCTATTTTGTTCTTTGATTACAAAATAATAAGATTTTGTGCCCTTTGAGCTTAAGAAACACATACAAGTTTTTTTATGATATTCTCTGAATGAAAATTAAATTATAAATAAGTACATTATAATTAAAATATAATAAATTGTATTTAAAATTTCTAACTTGTGAAATTTAAATATAGTTTCTCACACTGATCTAAACTTTTTGCATGGAAGTAGATTATTTATATGAGCAATTATCAGATAAACTTTGTGCTCATGTTTAGGGTGAGAATTTCCCCCAGGTGTAGTGGCTCATGCCTGTAATCCCAGCACTTTAGGAGGCTGAGGCAGGCAGACCACTTGAGGCCAGGAGTTCGAGACTAGCCTGGGCAACATGGTGAAATCCTCTCTCTACTAAAGACACAAAAATTAGCTGGGCGTGGTGGCGTACGCCTGTAGTCCCAGTTACTCAGGAGGCTGAGGCATGAGAATCGCTTGAACCCAGGAGGCAAAGGTCACAATGAGCAGAGATTGTGCCACTGTACTCCAGCCTGAGTGACAGAGTGGGACTCTGTCTCAAAAAAATATAAAACAAAAAAATAAATTAAAAAGAATTTCCAGTTCCTGGTTTGAATCTATACCAACTTCTATTAATTCAGTGTAGTTTTTTAAAGATACATCCATTTTGAGACTTTTTCTCTCAAATAATTACTTAATTTTTTGTTTTCTTTTTAGTATGTATAATCTGGTACTGTCAATTCTTGGTCCTTGTCATTTGATTCAATATTTTAAATATGCTTTATACTTTGTTCAATAATGTTCATTTTCTGAAGTGGTCATCAAAGATATCAAAATGCTTATTAAATATTGCTGTACTATTTATGCATCATTTGTTATTTTGAGTGTTACAGAAGCCTGTGATGTCTTCTCCCTCATCCCCAGGATCCCGGCACAGCTTCACTTCTTCCATCTTTATGTTCACCTCTAAATTACTTACAACTTTCTCTTCATCATTAACAAAGAAGTATTGTTTTGTTCTTTAGGTAAGTAACCTCCGCTTTAATGACTATGTTATAATTATCATCATATCTGCAGGAAAATAATAGACAAATTGTACCCAAAACAATGAACTCTCTATAAAATTTAAGTCTTATCTTCCCCCTCAAGCTTTGTTAGGTATTTTACAGCCAGGGATGATTAAACTACTTGTCAGGATCATACTAAAGCTCCAGTACAATTTTTCTGTAGACAAGTACAACCCAGAAAGTGAAGTTTTCTTCTCCGCCTTTAAAAATGAAAGCACTATATTGCCAAGAGAAAATTCCTAGACATTTTCAAATGTGGGTTTCTAATGTCTTTCTAAAATAGAAGTTGCAACCAGAAGGTCAAAGAGCCCTAATTGCTTCATTCAATAAAATTCACACAATATTTTACTTATATGTCTAGAATTCCTCCCTGATCAACAACATAGAGATAATTTGATTACAGCAATATAACAAATAAAGATGTATTATGTAAAAATCATGCTTTTCAGAGAGGCTTAGCTGGCCAGAATATACTAATAATGGATGCACAGAGACTTGGTATAAAGTTGTCTAAATGTCCAAGGGGAAGAAAGCATATTAAAAGCAATCTTTTTTAGATTGCTCATTTGGATAACTTAGTTGTCAATTTATTGACATAAGGAAATCAGTCATCAAAACAGGACAGATGGAATTGACTAGGCTGTTGCTGACAAAATTACGTGACATTGATACAATCAATACAATACGTGAAAACAATATATATTGACGCTTAGGTTAGAGGCTATAAAGCAAAAAATAACACACAATGGTTAAGGCTCTTTGATACAGCTCTAAAAGCAATCAAACAATAGCAAATATTGTTTACAACATTCACACTCCAATTACAAAATGGGCCTCACCCTTCCAAAGAGCAGGAAATAAATTTTCTATTTAATAGAAGGAATTCTCATGCTTGTATTGCTGAACCCCATAACATCATAAATGACCCCTAAATGGCATTCCAATTAATTAGTATGAATCAATACTCTAAATATATAAAATGTACTCCTTTATCATTCGTAAGATTCATATCAGAATCAACTCTATGTCTTCATCAAATTTGCTATAAGTTTAATTTGGACCTCGTATTCTGACAATCTACAGAATTAGTGAGAAGTTCAAAAGTGTTCATCAACACAGAACTCAAAGACAAATTCTGTTAGTTTACCTTTCTGCCATCTTCTGGCAGCTAGCTTACCTTCCATACTATACATAGTAGATTGGTTCAGTTGCTTAGTAGATGGCATTAATAACACTATTGGAAGATGGCAACCATTATGTATCAGCTGCCTTCTTCTATATGATGGATACAGAGCTTTCAGTCCCAAGCCATCAAATGGTTCACCAATTCTTACTAAGAATCTCAAAAGTACCAGCTATTGTTTATAATGAGGATGGACTGAGAGAGCATGTGTCTGTTTCAGCAAATTTTTCTGCAACTGTTGGAAAATAATTCAAAGTACATGCTCTCAGTGGATTATAATAGTGGATAGTACTATGTAGTACTATCTTTGCATAAGCAGGACAATGTGGATTTTTAAATAATGCCTTTAACAGAAAGATAAGGAATGCATTAATGGTAACCTATTTTGCCCATGGAACAAAACTGACAACTGTAACACCAAACATATAAGGGTAGTTATAAGATTAAAATATAGATATACAGTGTTATTATAAATTAAATGCCTCAGGTATCCTCTCCTTTTCAGTGTTCTAATTGCCACCACCAAAAGCTAAAAGCTTATCATTCACTTCACACCTGCATTCCTGGAAATGTTTCCTGTGGACTTTCAAAGCTTGAGCTGCCTCCAGATTCTCTCTCCACCCTCCAACTGTCACCTATATATTGCCTGTCACTTCTGGAATAATCCATATTAAATGCTGCTTTCATTATATTGTAACTCTGCTTAAAAATCGATTATGGTGCCCTATTTCAGACAACATCAAACATAAAACTATTCTATCTAGATGTCAAAGCCATACATAAGCTGTTTCCATAATACTCATCTGATTTATTTATTTATTTATTTTTACTGGAACATACCAAGAAATACTTCAGGGTTACCTTCTCACTGCTGTATCATTGAAAACTGCATTCTTTCATTCATGAGCTTGCCTTCATACAAAGTGCCCTCCACTTTTACCCTCGTCTCTCTAATAAAGTTCTACATAATCTTCAATACTGTAACCCTGATGCTTCCATGAGGCACTCGCTCATTATTGCCACTATCATTCGGCTCCACCTCCTGTCAATTCCTGTAACTCTAATATCACTTCCTGGTGAATGACTTTTTAATATGCAAGATCCTTTTATGTCTTTTAGAGACATTTCCATAATTATATCAAAACACATTTGAAGAGAACTATGTTAATTATCAGTCACTTTTATGATGACAAAAATGGTGTGGAAATACAGCAAGCACTCAAAAATTATTCATCACTTATAGTGCATTGTCACAAGCAATAAAAAACAGAACATGATATTTCTACCTATTTCTGAATTCATCTTGCTTTTCCAGTAATAAAAGTGGTTTGCAAAATATAACAAAATATTTTTTGCTATGGAAGTTAATATTTGTTACAAGGTACTATAGGAGTTAAAACTCTTATATATAAAAACATTTGAATTTCCATACATATGTGTGGCTCAAAATTTCTGAGCAATGAGAAGATATGTAAACAGCTTAATTTCTGCTAACCCCAAGAGATACATTTGTCCCTTGTTTAAAAATGTAGAAACTGGCAACCAAACACTACACATCACTTAACAATGTTTGCTATTTTCCCCAAAGTAGCACAACTATTTCAATAAATACAAGGAACTTGGCAATAAATTAACATTTAATAATTCTGCACTAAAGAATTATTTTTGGATTTCTGAAAAATATTTATTTTCTTTCTGATTCTTTTTATTCTTTTGAACCAAATAAGCTAGCAATTAAGGTTTTTCAACCTCTGTGATGAGTAACAGTACCACAAACCTCAAGGGTGATCAATTTTTGTTAAACTGCAATAATAGGTACTGGATAGAGTTAAACATTTAGAACTTTTTTTTGTGTGTGTAAAATTCTTAGTGTATTATTTTGTCTGTACATTTCTTTAAATGTTACTTACATTTCCAGAAAAGAACTTATATTGAAATTCTTGTAAAATTTTTACAGACTTTTAAAGAAGTGACATACTAAATTCAAAAGGTACAACACTTCTATTTTGTAGTTACTACTTTAAAAGCACAGGGATTACTGCCAAATTATCCCAACCAACCGAATATGTCATGCATTAGAAACTCTCCTAGACAAATATCCAGCTTTTCTGGACCTCACTATTGCACTCTGTACACATGGCTTTATCCTGTCCATTCTTCCTTTACAATCGAATCTGTCTATCCAAATACTTATGCATATATAGCATGTTTAAGAGTTGCACATAATGAATATTGGTATTAACATAGTTAATATTAACAATATTAATAATTGATAATATTGATGATAGACATTTTATTAATATGCCTAATATTAATAAAATAGTGAGATGCCTAGTACTCTGTAAAGAAATGCAGCTTAAAAATTGGTCAAAACACATAGAAGTGGGGGTTGAGAAATATGAGATCTGATATGAAAATATGAAATGTAAGGAAAAGGTAGAAGTCATAGGATGGTCTAGGGAAACTAATGGAATATGGTTTTTGATGTATGTTATACAAAAGTGCAAAATAAAGAGGTGAGCTGTGGTAACCAATTTATTTCTTTATGTATTCATTTCAATGTTGTAGGATTATTCCCAGAAACCTAATATTTTTCTCACTTTAAATTTCAATTAATAATTTTCAAAAACAACCTCAAGTGGGGGTATTATCTGTTTCTTCATAGAATACAGGGGTACTGTTTATCTTTTATAAACTTTACTGCAGAGAAAAAGCTCAAGTACAGAAATAAATCAAGAAAATCCCATCAATCTACAATCACCTATTTAAAATATGTCTTCTTCATACTTTTTCAAATTACTCTGGGTGCTAAATTTAAAATTCTCTTTTTATTCTGAAACTCAGATCATTGACTTAGTGTAGCAATGAGTCTGATGAGTCTGTTTTGCTCCCAGCAATATTTCTTATAATTATATCCTTTTTTCTTTCTTTCTTTCTTTTTTTTTTTTTGACAGAGTTTCACTCTTTCTCCCAGGCTGGAGTGAAGTGGTGTGATCTCGGCTCACTGCAAGCTCCGCCCCTCCTGGGTTCAAGTGATTCTCCTGCCTGAGTCTCCTGAGTAGCTGGGATTATAGGCACATGCCACCACGCCCGGCTAATTTTTGTATTTTTAGTAGAGACAGGGTTTCCTCATGTTGGCCAGGCTGGTCTCGAACTCCTGACCTCAGGTGATCCACCCATCTCAGCCTCCCAAAGTACTAGGATTACAGGCATGAGCCACCATGGCGATTATATTCTTGAATGCCATTTTTTTTGTGTTCTATTTCATTCTCTCCTCACATTAAGAAGGGCAACATTCAGTTTTGTGTTACGAACTCAGTTGCCATTTCCAAGTGTCAAAGCAGACAGGATGGCAGCCTTGGCCAAAAGACAATGTCCTTTGAGATGAGTAAGTGCCAACTTCACCTCCACAGTTTCTGTATGAATGCCCTGTTCATTCTGAAAGGTGTGTTTTTGTTTTGTTTTGTTTTGTTTTGTTTTGCTTTGCTCTATTTAGCGAGCAACCTCCATGTCTCTGTAAGAAAAGTATTACTATGATTAAAGTATGTGTGCTTGATGCCAAAATTGCCAACCAAGAGGTAAAACAAAATATTTTTGGTGGGTTATGTTTTACTTTGTTTTTGGCTATATAATTTATATACAAAAAAAAAAAGTCCTTTAAGTGTTAATGAACATTGTGTGGCCTGAAGTGATGCAGTTTGGTGCCATCTAGCCAGATGAGTTTCTATTCTTCTTAAGCTCTCAGACCTCTCTATATTCCCTGAGTCCAGAATGTATTTTCTACATAATATCTTTTTTAAATTTTTTAAATAAAGCAAAAGTAATTCATAGTGATATGAGATAAAGCGCCAGAAATCTGTAATTTAAAGATGGAAACTGTTGCTTCTTTGAGAAGTAGGAAAAGATTCTAATAATCAACATTTGTCAAATTTGAGGATATAGATAAACAATACTCCAAATTGATACCGAGAATTACAGGAAACGAAATTTGTATGTTGAGAATGTTTACGCAAATTACATCTACTGTGGTTTCATAAATTACGAAAATAGTAGAAACGGAACTGAGAAAGTTGAACAGTTTTGTTTGTGTATGCATATTCCAAGCAGACAAAAGTACTAGAACGCAAGGAGGTCTAATCATTAGATTCAAGCAGGAAGACATAGGAGAAGCTGAAGAAAAAGGGTGATGGAAAAAAGAGACTAAATAGAAAAGGAGTAAAATTAAGAGAGTAGAGATAAAAAACTAATAAAAGCAGGCGATAGACTGTTTAAAAAGAGAAATGCTGTTATGAAGAAAACCAAAAAGATTTGCAAAACACAGTACTTAGGTTTGGAAAATTTCATTTTGTTTCAAATGGGAGTTACAGCGAAGAAAAATTGAGGTTTGAACTGTTGAAAAGCCAACCTATGAGGCTTAGGATTTAATTTCAGACTCAGCTTTTCCCCATTTTCTAGCATGGAGGTTTTCTTTTTTCCCTTTTTTAAAAAAGAGTCTTTGATCTTTTGCCTTAACGAGCCTAGGCAATATGTAAAGAATCAAAATTGTGAGTGCTAATGCCCTTATTTTGTTAAACCAAGTATTAAACATTGTACTATTTGTGTGGTCTGAACACTCAATTGGAATTGAACCTTGCGTGATTGAGGTGTTTGAAGACTCGGGAAATAAATGCTGTAATCAAAAAGGCGAAGTCATGTCTTGCCAGAAAGCCATTTTCTTTATTTTAGATGAATTAAGCTAAATAATAAAAACATCACTTCTTTCCAGCTAAGAGTAATCAAGACTTACATTTGACAAGGCAAAACCATTAATAAATATGGATCCTCATAACTCATCATATGGTCTGATAATCTAAATAAATAACTATACTTTCTTTTAGTCCACTATTATAAATTAATAAACACTTCAAAAATTCAAACTCTACCACTGTTTATTAAAAGAAGGACTACCACAATTTGCTGATTAACAAATGTAAATACTATATTAAGTAAGACATAAGTATATGTAAAAATGCAAATGTAAATATAGATATGTATCCAAATGTCATAGATGATATTAACAGATGGAAAAGAAAAACCTTTTGATTCATTTTCCAGTTTTGAAGTGACAGCCCTAAACATAAGCTAACAGAACTGATTATCAAAGCAATTGGTCTATTTTTTCATCAGTTATTTACTTATAAATTGAGTGCATATCTTAATTATCATGTTCTCAATTTTTTTCTTTGGGAACAAACATATGTTTGGCTGAACAGAAAGCATAGCATCAAGAATAAAACACTTGTATTCCAAGAATACTACAAAAATAAATAGGGTTTAATGACTTCTATTTGGTTACGGTTATGCAAAGTTAGTTTGCATAATTTTTAAAATAAACTTAAATGTAGATATATGTAGAACAACCATACATACATTATTTTAAATAATCTTAATTTGTTCAAATGCTTAAAGTTATATACCTTTAAGCTATTTTTTGGTGACGCAGCAACCAAATTTTATAAACATTTCTGAAAAGCTCTGGACATGTAGACCTGAGGTTATTTTAAAACACAAAATATTAAAGAAATCTAATGGTTTGTAAATTAAATCTTAACAACAGTTGAACATGCTTTCAATGGCCTTTTAAAATGCCTGTCTCTCTCCTTCTCTCTCTCTCTTCTTTCCACCTTCCACCGTGATGAGCAAAAAGATCATCACCAGATGCTGGCACACTAATCTCGGACTTTCTAGAATTTCCAGAATTGTGAAAAAATTAATTTCTGTTCATTATAAATTACCCAGCCTATGGTATTCTGTTATAGTAGCACAGAACAGACTAAGACAAAATTTTACATAAATGTTGGGGCATATTTGCCAAATATTAAACCATAGGTAGGATTTCAATTAGTAAAATGGGAAAAATAAAGTTATAGGGAAAGGGACTGAAAATTATACCAGCTTGACACAGTTATAAGGCATGGGAGGAAGAGTTGAGAAATTAAGTGACAAGAAAGGACATTGGGACTGGGCTGTAAAGAACAGGTCATCTGGACCATGCATTTCGAATTTGTTTTGTGAATAACTGGGAATCATTGATATTCTCTGCACAATGCAGTCAGAGTGTGCTGTAAGGAGAGCTTTGTGGAAGTAGTGGATTAGAGGCAGTAAGTGGAAAGACGGGAGGCTAGAAAACCATCACAGAAAATGGTGTAAAACATGTTTAAAATTTACCATTAATTAGCATAAATGACAGAAACCTAGTTTAAAATGACAAATTACACACTTTAAATACTCATCTAATTAGCAGACATTAAACATTATGAGAATTTCCAATATTGGAGAGAGGTAAATTTGGAAATCTCACAAATTTCTCATAATAATATAAGTAGAGTACACAAATAGAAAAACAAAAAACCAAAAACATTAGATAGCTGATTCATTTGGATGTAAGGAAAGATCTAATTTTTAAAGAGAACATTTACTTTTCTTCATGTAACTTATTGTCAAAGTCTTCTCGGAAATTTTTATCTTTTTCATGAATACACAAATTCCTTATTTTAAATCTAAGATATCAAAAGCATTTATATTTTAATGTGTTCTTGACATTAAAAATACAAACTTTTTTTTTGCTCCTGAAATTCTTAGCTGGAATTATATGTTAGTAATTGAATTTAAGGAGTGATTTATGTTTCGATACTAAATTAAAGACATATTCCATAAAAATATGATAAAAGTCTCTTGCTAAAAGTAGATCAAAGCAATATTAAAACAAGCAAACACTTATCTTAATTATATATTGCATCAAGAAACTCGTGAAAAATACGTCTTAAATGACATAATTGTTAAGTATTCATTCAAACAACTATACTGTTCCACCTTCTCTTGACCCCTGCCCTGTCCTCCTGAAAACAACATCTGATAGTTTAGAAGAAGAGGAGGGAGATAATTTTTGTTTAATCTCCTCCTTTAACTTAAATATGGGCATGTTGCATGTGTATGTAAAGCCCAAAACAGCATCAGAGAGTTTTTGTTTGTTTGGTTGGTTGGTTGATTGGTTTTTTGAGACGGAGTCTTGCACTGACATGAAGAGAGTTGTAGGCCTGGGACGGCCATAGGAATGGGAGAAAGAAGCCTCTCAGAAATGACAATCATGAATTAGTGACTAAGAACCAGATGATGGAATCATGGAATCCTTGGTGAATAACTGAGTAGACAGATGACTGAATGGACCTGAGGTCCCCTACCAGAACTTAGACTAGACATCAGGCAAAATAAGGAGAAAGCCTGAATTGACTGTGGCTGGTTTTTACTACCTTGAGGACAAACGGGAACCTGAAATAAAAATTATGTTGAGATTTAATAAAAATAAAGTCAAATTTCTTGCAGAAGAGAATTTCCTCCTTTAGAAAAGTTTTTTCTTTAATTGTGTTACTTTTAAAAATTTTTTTTCCCATAGGTTTTTGGGGAACAGTTTGTATTTGGTTACATGAGTAACTTCTTGATTACATGAGTAAGTGGCGATTTCTGAGATTTTGGTGCACCCATCACCTGGGCAATAGACACTGAACTCAATTTGTAGTCTTTTATCCCTTGTCCCCCTCCCACCCTTTTCTACTTAGTCCCCAAAGTCCATTGTATCGTTCTCATGCCTGTGCATTCTCATAGCTTAGCTCCTACTTCAGAGTGAGAACATAAGATGTTTGGTTTTCATTTCTGAGTTACTTCACTTAGAATAATAGTCTCCAGTTCCATCCAGGTTGCTATGAATGCCATTGATTTGTTCCATTTTATGGCTGAGTAGTATTCCATACATATATCACAATTTCTTTATCTATTCATTGATTAATGGGAATTTAGTCTGGTTTCATATTTTTGGAATTGCAAGTTGTGCTGCTAGAAACATGTTTGTGCAAGTATCTTTTTCGTATAATGACTTCTTTTCCTCTGGGTAGATACCCAGTAGTGGGATTACCGGATCAAATGGTAGTTCTACTTTTAGCTCTTTAAGGAATCTCCACACTGTTTTCCATAGTGGTTGTACTAGTTTACATTCCCACTAGCAGTGTAGCAGTGTTTCCTTTTCACCACATCCATGCCAACATCCATTACTTCTTGATTCTGGCAATCTTGGAAGAGTAAGGTGGTATTGCATTGTGGTTTTGATTTGCATTTCCCTGCTCATTAGTGACGTTGAGCATTTTTTTCATATGTTTATTGGCATTTGTATACTTATAGCCAACTGATCTTTGAGAAAGCAAGCAAAAACATAAAGTGGGGAAGGGACACCCTATTCAACAAATGGTTCTGGGATAATTGGCTAGTCACATGTAGGAGAATGAAACTGGATCATCATCTCTCACCTCAAACAAAAATCAACTCAAGATGGATCAAAGACTTAAATCTAAGACCTGAAACTATAAAAATTCTAGAAGATAACATCAGAAAACCCTTCTAGACATTGGCTTAGGCAAACACCTCATGACCAAGAACCCAAATACAAATGTAACAAAAACAAAGATAAATAGGTGGGACTTAATTAAACTAAAGAGCTTCTGCACAGCAAAAGGAACAGTCAGCAGAGTAAACAGATAACCTACAGACTTACAGAGTGGGAGAAAATCTTCACAATCTACACATCCGACAAAGGACTAATATCCAGAATCTACATGGAACTCAAACAAATTAGCAAGAAAAATACCAAACAATCCCATCAAAAAGTGGGCCAAGGACATGAATAGGCAATTCACAAAAGATATACAAATGGCCAACAAACATATTTAATTGTCTTTTGAAAGCGTTCAAATGCTCTTGATATTTGTTGGCCATACACACGTCAGAGCTATTGTTCTGTTTGGTCAAGAAAATACTTCCTTAAAGGGAGAAGGGGGATAGGACTTGAAGGGGAATGAGGTAAGGATTTAGGTTAATAAAAGATCTACCAATCCCATGTGCTCATGAGTTATGACTGATCTTCAAATTATCTCAAAATATATTATTTTGTTTGTATTGTAAAATTTTTAAAAATTCAGTTTTTGAATGTGACTATAAAAATGACTTATAAAAGACAGAGGCTTTATATGTTTCTTTATGACTTGGACATGACTCAACATATGTATTTTAAAATGACAATTCTGTAATAAAATATGATATAAATTTTTTGGCAGTATAAATTAGAAAATAACTATTATCAAATTAAGTAATTAGGTTTTTATCTCCGGTTTTGTTAAAAGTTCATTGATTTGCTTGCATAATATGGCAATGATGATGAACTATAATAAAATCCAAGTGATAATGAATCCTAAAAGACTTCTAGACAATGAAATTGATTCATCTTTGTTACACTCAACTCCATTTTCCTTTACTAATATTGACCCCAAAGAGACCTCACTAATGCTTACAGATCTAATCAAAAGTCTAACAATAGCTTAAATAAAATATTGGCCTAAAGTATATTTTCTATGATGTAATAACTGCCTAAAACCTGTAGAATTCTCAAAGAAAAAAATACCTTCTCAGAGTGCATTTCTTTCTGTGGTTATTTAACCTTACTGTAACTTTGTTTTACAGCATAGAAAATAAAATCATTCTTATTTGTCAATTATGATAATTCATATGAAGGTGACATAAACATAATAAGAGTTGAGCAATATGTTATTAAGGTCAAATATTTAACTTATTTTTGCTCCAATTTATTTTTATATCATTGGCATTCTTTCCGATGAGCTAATGCAGGAAAACATTGCTGTATCCGGGTTAGATCACTGAAAACTGCACACTTTGAGAAGGCTGTTCTTCAAGCAAGTTGAGTGCTATAAAATTATAAAAAAACAAAAAAATCTGGTAGGAAGGAGTGATATCCTGAGTGCTGAGAAAATTTTAATCATGTTTTCATGTTTAAACTCATATTTGAACAGTACTGATTTGAAAATTTGCAAGTCAAAATAAAAGTGGATTTAAGAAAAATAAGATTTGCAGAAATACGACAAAGATCAAGATTTGGGTACTCGTCCATTTATTTAAAAAATATTTTTCCTAGATGTTGCATTTTTGTCTTTAAAAATACAAGGCATCTATTAAAGAAATCATCCCACATTAACATTCGAAGACATTAAGATTATGGTTGAGACTTTTGTCACATTGGTCCTGAATTTGTAATTTTATGTAATTTACTGGCTTACCAGGTTTCAAGCTCTGTTCATTTCCTGCCATATACATACTGCTGAATTAATCCACTTACATCAATGAATTAACTTCCATCTATATCATTATAATGATTACAGTCTAAGTTTCTCTAAGAAAGAAACCAGATTTGTCTATTCAGAACAATCTACTTAAATAACTAATTGAATATACCCTAGACACACCAACCTCTCAATATGTTCATAATTGAACTAATCATCTATCCCCCAAATCTGTTCTTTGTAGTAATTTATTGGCACCTTCATCTACCCAGTTTTTCTTGCAAACCTTTGGGAGTTTTAAGATTTACAGCTGTGCTAACCTACCACACATGAATGGTAAAGTACTGTCAATTTGATATTTAAAATACATTTCTTGGCTAACCTACTCAACTCTATCTTCTCACTCTTCTCTTCTTTGACCATGCTCTTCTTCCTTTATCTTTCTTGCTTGATCAACTTACACAGCTATCACAATTGCACACACTTCCAGATATCAGTCTAAAATGTAAATTTGATCAATTCATGCTCATTCTTAAATGTATTCATTTGTTCCTTGCTGTCTTTAAATTTTAGTTCAAAGTTGTTATTGCATGTAAAGCTCTTGTGATCTGGCATGTTCCTACTTATCTTGTCCCTCCTCCTCCTGCCCTCTACATTTCAAACACATCGTATTGCTATTTCTCAAGTGCCATTATTATTTGTTATGATGCTCGGAGCTCCCTTATCCATTTGGACCAAATGCCTGACTTTTGAAATCTTTTCCTTTACATTCCCTTCTCTGAGAGGCTACACCTGAAGCTTTCACTCCAGGTTAGGAATAATGCACTTCCCTCTAGGACAGATAATATAACTTATACCTACTGAGTCTTCAGAGCCTGCTAAAGTGCCTAATATGTAGTCTATGCTCAATGCTTTTTGATTTAACTCATAAATTAATAGACACTTTAGTAGATCAAAATAAATGGTGGAGACTACCTACATGTTTTATGAAATAGGAATGTTAAATATTTTTGATTTTTAAGGTGCTCAATTTAGGTTTATATATGTTGGATTCTATACATTTTAGATATTTAAGTGATGCTGACCACTAAAACTTGACATCTATTTTACTGACTGTGCAGGGAAAAGGAGTGTCATTACATAAATTTTGTCTACTTCTTTCATAGAAAAAAGGTCCAAAAAGGTATTTTGAGATGGTCATTATTTACTCATGCACTACCTTACTATTCTGGCTTTTTCATTAACTGAGTTGAAATAAAAATACTAAGTAGGTATTATGGATGAAGTGTATAATAATGTCTGTGCTGAAAAATCTCCATTTAGTTGAAGTCCTTAGGTTTTGGGTGCTAAATAGAAAAGCTGAGGTTGTGGTTGGGGGATAGAGAGGTGAGTCTTCTCTTCCTATGGATTCTAATTCATTTTGAGCTTCACTCGAAAGTGCTTGAATTGAATGGAGGCTTGATCTTCACAATACTGACCCTAATATATGGAGAATTCAAGAGTGTGTTTGGTTTCCGTGGATGTCTTAAATCAGAAGGTGCTCAAAGGTCACTACAGATAAGATTGAATCACTAACGTTTGTTGTGAAAAAGGAGTAAGAGGTAACTCAACTATCACATGATGACTGTGAAGTGAATACTAGTTAACTCTTTTCCCTTTGCTCCGTATACTATTCTCCATTATGGAGGCTTTATAAAATGTTAGTTCTCTGAATTGTAAAATATATTTTAAAGCTTTTATGGAACCATCAAAAAAGGAAATAAATTCTCCTTTCTAACAATGGTATTAATAGAACATGCGCATGTTCCCAAAGCAAGTCAAAGCTGAAGACTAAGGCAATTATAAGCATATATCAGGCACAAAGATTGTTTCTGCCTCAATAATCCAGGTAATTGAAACCAAAACAGGTTCAGGCATTTAATCGGCACAATTTTCCTCCTTGCTTTGGTAGTAGAGACACAAGATGTTTTTACACGTCTGGAACCAGTTTTAAGCTATGTCATTCTTCTCTGTCCATACTACATTTTGAAATATGGGACAAATTACTGGAGTTTCAAATGATATGTTCACGCAATAAATTAATGTGACAGCAACAAATGAGAAAGTAAAGCCTCCATATGATTCTGCACAGGCAGAACTGGCACACAGAGCTCTTGAGATATATGCATAAGCTGTATATTACGTATGCATACATACAAAAGTACATACATACATTTCTCCAGTTTGACCTTCTCTCACTCCTTTTTTTTTTTTTTTTGATGGAGTCTTGCTCTGTTGCCCAGGCTGGAGTGCAAGTGCAATGGCGTGATCTTGGTTCACTGCAACCTTCGCCTCCAGGGTTCAAGCGATTGTCCCGCCTCAGCCTCCGGAGTAGCCAGGACTACAGGCATGTGCCACCACGCCAGGCTAATTTTTGTATTTTTAGTAGAGATGGGGTTTCACCATGTTGGTCAGGCTGGTCACAAACTCCTGACCTCGTGATCCACCCACCTTGGCCTCCCAAAGTGCTGGCTTTACAGGTGTGAACCACTGTGCCCGGCCCCCTCTCTCTTCTTCTACAGGCACCTCAAATTTAATGTCCAAAACTGGACAGCTAAAAAACTAGTCAAGATCATGATTACCCAGTTCTATGAACATATCATGCACATTCCCAAATACACACACATGCCCATGCAAACATATATATGCGCACCCATGTGCACCCACATGTATGATATATGTGCACATACACAAGAGTACATGTGCACAGATAACAGTGCATAAAAGAAAGTTCACACATACAAACAGGCATACAAGTACACACATGCACACATATATGCATACACATATATTCTAACATTTTATTGTGCATAAATTGTCGAGCTCTATACTTTATGTTCTAGGTGGATTTTATCCATTCTTTGGGGTCTATGTCAAATCCCACCATGGTCTAGATCACATTTACACCACTCTACTTTAATCCCCCTAAAGCAATGAAGAATGGCCACCAACTGTGGTAAATAATTACATTTTAAAATTTCCACTCAATTATGGATCAATACAATGGAAAAATACAATGTAAATTAATAATCAGCTTAGTGTAATAAAAATACAGATAAAATGTGAGATGGTTTTGGAATTATTAGATAGCAAAAACAAAATTATTTTGTCAAAATGCTCAAAGATTTCTAAATTCTCATTTCCAATTTCTCTTCTTATGTCATCATGAATCTGAAACAACTTGTGACCTGGAAGCAGACCACAAACCACACTTTCAGAAGCCCTGCTCTAAAGAAACTAGTATTCACTTACACAGTGGCTAGCACCTGCCTGCTCACTATATACATTAAAGAACAGATCCCAGTGCTGCTAGGAGAAGACACCAGAGTCTGTGTTTTTGAGGGTTTCTTTTCTGATTTTAGACTTGTGTGTTTTCTATTTTTGACATTTTTTTTATTTAGAAAGTTTTGAAATACTTAGCATTAGCCTGGTGATTCAGAGGTGCACAATAGATATTTTCAATCATAATCCATTCCTCAATTAGTTATGAAACACAATCTCTATGCCAGACACTGTCCCAGACACTAGGATCCAAATTGGCATAAAACCTGATCCCTGAATTAAACCCAAATTAAATTCATTCTGCAGAACAGCTGGCATGTAATCTTCAAAAGTGTCAGGGTCAAGAAACTCAAGAAAAGTCTGTGGCACTTTCCTACACTGACAGAAACTAATAAAACATGACTACTAAACAGCGCACATCACTCAGAAACAAGTTCTTACACCTTAAAGGACAGTCATCGGAATTCACTTGGACAGCCCATAAAACTCGAATGGAATCTAAGGATTAGATGGTAGTCATTGCTATTTCCAGGCAGGCTGGACTTCCATAACACAATGCCATAGCTTAGGTGGCTTAAGCAACAGTATTTTTTTTTTCTTTCAGTTTTGGAAGTTGGAAAGTCCAAGATCAAGATATTGGCCAATGAGATACCCCAGCGAGCATTCTCCCGGCCTGCTAACAATGGCTTTCTTGCTCCACCCTCACGTGGGAAACAAGAGAAAGGAAACAAGCCCTCTTGTATCTCTTTTTATAAGGACCATAATCTAATCATGAACATCCCTCATAATTTTATCTAAACCTAATTATCTCACGTAGGCCCCACCTCCAAATGCTATCACATTGGGGGTTAGGGCTTTAACATATGAATTGCAAGGCAGGGGGCATAATTTAGTCCCTAGTCCTTGACCGACCTACCTTCTTTCCTTTCTTCCTTCCTTCCTTCCTTCCTTTTCTTTCTTTTTTCCTTTCTATCTTTGAGCCAACATTCAAAATCATGAAATTTTACATAAAAATTCCGATACTCAACTTCCTAAATCTTCAGAAGTGGTAGCCACTGGAACACACAATTTGTCAGAACATTTGACTAGAATGTTCATTATAGTATTCTAGAAGTAGCCCTTATAGCACAGATGTTAACCATACGATCACCTGTTCCTCAGTACCCACCATTTTCTATTATCTGATATTTGTTGTTACACTCATTTTTTTGCATGCCATAGGGGCTAGAGGTACTTATATTTGTATCCCTAGCAAAATAGAAAACAATGAGGAGATCAGAGCTTTTGTTGTTGTTGTTGTTGTTTTAAAAAAACAAAACAAAAAAGCATTGCTAAGATATGCATTTGAAACACTAAGTTTCAGCCTCTGGGTTTACAAAGCTCAGCAACAGCCTAAAAAAAATAAATAAATTAGAAAAGACTGACCAAGATACTCGCCTTCTTCCCAATGACTTATTGACCTGCTCAGTAATAGGCATGTGAAATCAGAGTTGGAGCTAGTGACTTTTGCAAGTGAGATAAGAAAAAGAACTCACTAGGCATTACATTCTGTTTCAAAGGGATATTTTACTTCCACTATTTTCTAATTTTTCTTTAAATTAAATTGCAATCGTTACATCTGTTCACTGTTTCGTTTTTGTTTTTGTTTTTTTTCCTAATTTATTTTACCAGTGAAATCAGACTAAGTGGACACAGGTTCTTTCAAGCATGATTCAAATGGTAAGACAATGTCAGAGATTTAAATGGCATGAGTAGCAATCTGCATTACACAAAGTACTGAAAACAGTACTCCCTTTTTATTTAATAGAATCCATATAAATAATTTCTTCTTTTACTTATTGCTGCTATTTTGTACATAAACATCTACATTTTTAATCCGCAGAGGCAATTCTATTACAGTATTAACAATAGCAATAATGTCTTCCATATGCACAATGCTTTGAAGCTGACACAATGTTTTCACATTGATATGCAGTAATATATATCCAAGTTCAGCACCACACAAACAACTTTTTCATACATTTATAAACATTTTTCTGAAATGCTTGACTTGTCGGTATGCTTTTTGAACATAAATACCACAAAAAATCACTAAAATTCAATTTAAAATAATTTCCATTATATATCAAACCCATGTGTTTATATTATTTGTGTCTCATCCATCAGGAGAATTGATTATAATTTACTCCAGGCATAATAGCAAGGCATATAGTGGCATCTTATAAAATCTGTGTAAGATTTAACAGTTCTACTTGATTACTTTTCTTTTTTTTTGAAACAGAGTCTTGCTCTGATGCCCGGGCTGGAGTGCAGTGGTGCGATCTTGGCTCACTGTAACCTCCACCTCCCGGGTTCAAGCGATTCTCCTGCCTCAGCCTCCCAAGTAGCTGGGATTACAGGTGTGAGCTGCCACTCCTGGCTAATTTTTTGTATTTTCAGTAGAGACAGGGTTTCACCATGTTGGCCAGGCTGGTCTCACACTCCTGACCTCAGGTGATCCACCCACTTTGGATTTCCAAAGTACTAGGATTACAGGTGTGAGCCACTGTGCCCTGCCGATTACTTTCTTTTCTTACACTTTGTTCCAATTTAATTGAATGAATATTTTTTTCTGCATCTATTAGGTTCAAAGATGAATAACACACAGTCATTACCCTCTAGGGGTTAACAGCCTAGTGAGGAAAAAAAAAGATGCATACAAAATGAATTTGTACATGGGACATAACATGAAAAGGTCTATTTTTCCCTGAATTTTTATAGCGATGTAAGACAACTGGTGAGAGTGGGAATGAAGGGAAAAGTCTCTGAGTGCTTATGGAAGGAGGTGCCATTTGAGATAAACTCTGAAGAAATGGGTAGCTGTTCCATTTTACACACCTACAACACACTTGCATGAATATCTATATTATTAGCTTTCCTTTACCCAGCCCACTAATACACACTTACTCAATACTATTTTCAATGACTCTTTACTGTAACACTTTTTCTTTACTCCTTAATTTCTTGATTCAGTATACAAGTGAGAATTATTCTTTTGTATGCCTGCCAAACCTGTAATTAAGAGAGGCCTCTTTTTATTCTATTTTAAAGTTCTATTTTTTAAACAAAAGCTTAGAGGACCTATTAAATAAATCATGATACATCCAAAATATTGACTAATGTGCAGCCATTACAAACGATGAAATAGAGAACATACATAGACTTAGAAGAATGCCCATAATTAAAATGGTAAACACCAAAAAAAAATCCAGAGGATCATATATATGATATGGAAACATTATATGCTCATATTGATATTGATGTTTCTGTATATAAAGAAAGAATCTGAAAGAATAAATACGAAAACTTTTGTAGTAGCTAACTTTGAGGGATATATCATTTTATGTTTAGTGTAATTCTTATTTTTTTATCTTAAATAATTAAAACAACAAAGATACTCATATTGAAAGAAGCGCAAAGGATACACCATTTATTTTACCCCTCTAAGAATTAAAATAAACAATTGCCACTTTTTTCGATAATTAATTTTTAGAAAATGTCAAAAATCATAAATTATATGCAGATATAAGTTCAAATCCTTGAACAAATTCTCGTGATAAGTGACAATAAAAATTAAGTTTATATTAAGGCAAAATTATAATTTTATTATCATTAAAGCCAAAAAGTAGTATACATCAACAAGCAGCAAGACTATTTTCTGTCAATATACCAAAAACATCAGCAATAATCACCTAAAGATAAGCAACAACAGGCTGGGCATGCTGGCTCACGCCTGTAATCCCAGTACTTGGGAGGCTGAGGTAGGCCTCCCAAATCACAAGGTAAGGAGTTCGAGACCAGCTTGGCCAACATGGTGAAACCCTGTCTCTACTAAAAATACAACAATTAGTCAGACATGGTGGCGGGTGCCTGTAATCCCAGCTACTCGGGAGGCTGAGGCAGGAGAATTGCTCGAACCTGGGAGACGGAGGTTGCAGTGAGCTGAGATTGCGCCACTGCAATCCAGCTTGAGTGACAGAGCAAGACTCCGTCTCAAATAAACAAATAAGCAAAAACAAATGTAACACATTTATGCAATGTGCTTTATGATTTTTCAATGCATCTATAAATGGAAATAAAATATTTGAAAATACAGCAGACAATATATAAAGATAAAATAGAATCATAAAACCTTAGCCATTCATCAGAAAATGATACAATGCTGCATCACAAAGGCATCCATAGATTAGAACTATAATGTAACAGCTCAAAAAATAAAAAGTTTATTTACTTTCTGCAATTGCACCGTATCTCAGTTGTCCTCACCTGCAGCTACAGAAGGCATTCTTGCCATCAGTGATCTTTGACTCAACCAGATCAAGAAAAACAGCATGTTCTTCCCGTATGGGATTTGAGGAGTCACACGTTCATTTTACAGTCCTTGATTTGTTTAATCCTTATTTCAGTTCAATGAGTAGACAATAATGATGCTATTGCATGTACTTTACAGATGAGAAAATTTAATATCCTAGAAGCACCATGAGTTTGCTTGCCACAAATCTCGTGAGCAGTGAGGAAACTGTTATCTACAAACATATAAAGCCTAAGAAATAATCAAGCAAAGTCTAAATAAATACAACCTGCCTATTCATTATTACAGAGACTTTCTGACTCCTGGTTGGTTTTTGTGTTACCATTCTGACACGGTTGGTTTTTATGTTACCATTGTTTTGTGTTTTTTTTTTTTTTTTGTCTTATGTCTCTAATCTGCACTGTTCAGCTCTTTTAGGCACTGCAAAGTTGTCTTGAATTAGGAAAGAGGTGCTAGAATGTGGGCGTGGGTGTTGACCTACATCTGAACAATTTACATATGATTCACCACAATTAAACAATTTGGTTTGAAATAGCTATAATTAAGTTATTATCAGAGAAGTATTTACTAGTCTAGAAATTCTAAATTTATCTTCACATACACCCTAACTGAGAAAAGGGCCACATTTTCTGCACTCTATTAAGTAAAGCAAATGCTGAACTAAATGCCTCCATGTTAACATTTATATTGTTAAGTTACTGACAGCATATTCTATGAATGATTACGTTAGTCGTTTCTTTAAAAATTATAGGTTTGAAATAGCAAGAAAAATATGAAATGATGGTAGACAAAAAAGAGTTTCAGTTTCTAACTTCTAACTATATATATACACACACACATGCACACAGAATTGCCTTCCTGATGTATAGAAATTATATACAGCAATGTCAAGGCACGATGAAATTATGGAGAATATCAAAATTTAGGATAAAGAGGAAATTCTGCCTATAGTAAAATATAAACTGTAATAGTATGAAAGAAAAATTCAAACTGACAATTAAACACTACATGTTTCTAATTGAGCAGTAAGTAGAAATAACACTTTTCACTTAGTCAGAATAAGCAATATCAATTCCATGTATATCTAACAAGGGGAATAAATTATTGAAACGCAGATGAAAGAAGTATATTTTCTAACCAAAAAAAATTTATTTTTCCTACCTTTGCAGCTCAGTAGTAAAATGCTCTCTGATGAATTTTTATGGATGTCCTGGAAAAGAAACAGAAAATAGATGAAATAGAGAATTTAAAAAAATAGCTAACTGCTTTAACATTATTATACACAGTGAGTGTTAGTGGTGTATTTGGTAACGATACACTGTGGCAAGGCATTCTCTGTTCCTTCTCATACATACATGAGACTGGCAACACTGATAGTGACAAAGGGCACATGAGCATTAGAATAAAAGCATGAGCATGTTTGTGCTCTGTAGAGCATGAATGTAATGATTAAAACTCTTGGTGGGGCGTGGTGGCTCATGCTTGTAATCCCAGCATGTTGAGAGGCTGAGGCAGGTTGATTGCTTGAGCTCCGGAGCTCAAGGCCAGCCTGGGCAACATGGTGAAACCCCATCTCTATCAAAAATACAAAAATTAGCCAGGCATGGTGGTGGCACCTCAGCTACTCAGGAGACTGAAGTGGGAGGATCACTTGAGCCCAGGAGGCAGAGGTGGCAGTGAGTTGAGATCATGCCACTGCACTCCAGCATGGGTGACAGAGCAAGACTCCATCTCAAAATTTAAAAAAAAAAAAAAAAGACTCATTGTTATTCAAAACGATTAGTCAATTTAGTAATGTTTAAATTGACAGTTGGTAAAGGTAAAAAGAAAAAAGAAAAATCACTCCATATTGCTACAATAAAACAAAATAACAGCTAAAAAATAACAAAATGACAAAACTAAGACTTTTAGATTTAATAACATCTTTTTAAATTATTAAAAAAATAGGTGCTGAGATTGAAATCCATTATGTGGACATGATCATAAGGTTTCAGCTTAAGTGGCCCAAGTTTTACATTCTAGAAATGTAACAGACTATTATCTGGTGTAGAGAATTATTATTAAAAATTATGATGCCCTTCATTAAAACAGCATTAGTCTTATAACTAGAAGGTAATTTAAAAATCAACTGGTTCAACTTCCTCACTTTACAGAGAAGCAAAGCAACGTCACATCACTAGTTCACGGCAGAACTAAGGGTAAAATTTCCATCTCTCTTCCTCATACCCATTTCACAACATTAAGTTTTTTAACCCTTCATAATTTCCAAGATTGGAAAGAAGTAAAGGAAGTAGAATTATGTATTTTCTTCTTGATAAGTTCCATCCGCTTGATGAAACATCATATTTCTGCCTGAATAATCTATGTCATCAACATTTACTGTATCCACCTCATTTAAAACTCCTTTCCTTGACCATTCTTGGCTGCCTTTGCCACCCGCTGATTGTGGGGCCTTGAGTGAACATAGGCAGTAGCCAGGGAATGGTTACAGCAGGCCCGTGCAAGACCTAGCGGTGTGCTGTCTTCACATCTGACTCAGTGCAGTCACAGTGGTGGTGGCCACAGGGGTGCTTGTGTCACTCCATTCCCAGTTTTAGGTGGCTCAGAACAGAGAGAGAGACTGTATGTTTGGGAGAAAGCACGGAAAGAGAACAAGAGTTTTTGCCTGGTAATCCAGAAAATTCTCCCGGATCTTGTCCAAGACCATCAAGTTGGTACCTCTGTGAGTCTGCAAGCACCACAGAGTTACTGGGCTTGGGATGCTCCCTATACCAGAAACGCCTTAGGTCATAACACCCAAGTTCTTTCAAATATCTGGTAAGCCTCCCCAAGAATTCTGGACAGCTACAAATAAGCCTAGACACTGAAGACTACAATAAATACCTGACTCTTCAACGCCCAGGCACTGAAGAACATCTACTAGCTTCAGTACCATCCAGGAAAACATGATGTCACCAGGTGAACTAAATAAGGCACCAGGGACCAATCCTGGAGAAACAGACATATGTGACCTTTCAGACAGAGAATTCAAAATAGCTGTGTTGAGTAAACTCAAAGAAATTCACGATAACACAGAGAAGCAATTCAAAATTATATCAGAAAAATTTAACAAAGAGATCAAAATAACCAAAAAGAAGCATAAATTCTTGAGCTGAAAAATGCATTTGGCATAATGAAGAATGCATGAGTCCATTAATAGCAGAATAGATCAAGAAGAAGAACAAATTTGTGAGTGTGAAGAACAGGCTACTTAAAAATACAGTCAGAGGAGACAAAAGATAAAAGAATAGAAAACAATAAAGCATGCATACAGAATCTGGAAAATACCCTCACAAGGGCAAGGCTTTAAGACCAATATCTAAGAGGGTTTCTGAGAAGAAACCCTACAAGCTAGAAGGGATTGGAGCCCCATCTTCAGCCTCCTAAAACAAAACAATTATCAGCCAAGAATTTTGTATCTAGCAAAACTAAGCTTCATAAAGGAAGAAAAAATAGTCTTTTTCAAACAATTGCTGAGAGAATTTGACAGTACCAAGCCAGCCAGCACTACAAGAACTGTTAAAAGGAGCTCTAAATCTTGAAACGAATCCTTGAAATACACCAAAATAGAACCTCCTTAAAACATAAATCTCACAGGACCTATGAAACAAAAACACAGTTGAAAAAACAAAGGATTCAGGCAAGAATTAGCATGATGGAAAGAAAAGTACCTCACATCTCAATACTAACATTGAGTGTAAATGACATAAATGCTCCACTTAAAAGACACAAAATCACAGAATGGATAAGAATTCACCAACTAAGTATGTGCTGTCTTCAAGAGACTCACCTAATGCATAAGGACTCACATAAACTTTAGGTAGAGGGGTGGAAAAAGTTATTCTATGCAAGTGGACACCAAAAACAAGCAGGAATAGCTATTCTTACATCAGACAAAACAAACTTTAAAGCAATAGCAATTAAAAAGACAAAGAAGGACATTATATAATGATAAGAGGACTAGTGTAACAGGAAAATATCACAATCCTATATATATGTGTATATATATGTATATATACGTATATGTATACATATATACGTATACATATACACACCTAACATATATATATAAAACATATATATAACACATATATAAAACATATATATAACACATATATAAAACATATATATAACATATATATAAAACATATATATAACATATATAACATATATATATAAAACATATATATATTACATATATATATATGTGCACCTAACATATATATATATATATATATATATATATATATATATATATATATGCACGCACCTAACATTGGGGCTCCCAAATTTATAAAACTTATATCAGACAAAACAAACTTTAAAGCAACAGCAATTAAAAAGAAAAAGAGGGACATTATATAATGATAAGAGAACTAGTGCAACAGGAAAATATCACAATCCTGTATATATACACATATATATACATATATGCACCTAACATATATATATAAAACATATATATAACATATATATAACATATATATAATATATAACATATATAACATATATATAACATATATATACACACACACACACCTAGCATATACATATACACGCACCTAACACTGGGGCTCCCAAATTTATAAAACTACTACTAGACCTAAGAAATGAGATAGGCAGCAACACAACAATAGTGAGGGACTTCAATACTCCACTGACAGTACTAGACAGGCCATCAAGACAGAAAGTCAAAAAAGACACAATGGATTTGAACTATACTCTACAACAAACGGACTTAACAGAAATTTACAGAACATTCTACCCAACAACTGCAGAATGTACACTCTATTTATCAGTGCATGGAACATTCGCCAAGATAGACCATATAATAATTGAGACAAAACAAGTCTCAATACATTTAAGAAAACTGAAATTATATCAGGTGCTCTCAGACCACAGTGGAATAAAATTGGAAATCAACTCCAGAAGGAAACCTTAAAACCATGGAAATACATGGAGATTAAATAACCTGCTCCTGAATGATCACTGGGTCAACAATAAAATCAAGATGGAAATTTAAATTTAAAAATTCTTTGAATTGAATAATAGTGACACAACATATCAAAACCTCTGAGATATGGCAAAGGCAGTGCTAAGAGGAAAGTTCACAGCTTTAAATACCTACATCAATAAGTCTGAAAGAGCACAAATAGACAATCTAAGGTTATACCTTGAAAAACTAGAGAAACAAGAACAAACCAAAACCAAACCCAGCAGAAGAAAAGAAATAGCAAAAATCAGAGCAGAACTAAATAAAACTGAAACAAAAAAAATCACAAAAAATAAATGAAACAAAAAGCTGGTTATTTAAAAATATAAATAAAATTGATAGACCATTAGTGAGATTAACCAAGAAAAGAAGAGGGAAGATCCAAAATAAGCTCAATTAGAAATGAAACAGGAGATATTACAACCAATACCACAGAAATACAAAAGATCATGCAAGGCTACCATGAACACCTTTAAATGCATAAACTAGAAAACCTAAAGGAGATGGGTACATTCCTGGAAATATACAACCCTCCAAGATTAAACCAGGAAGAAATAGAAACTCTGAACAGACCAATAACAAGCAGCAAGATTGAAATGGTGCTAAAAAAAAAAAAATTGCCGACAACAAAAGAAAAGTCTAGGACCTGTTGGATTCACAGCTGAATTACATCAGACTTTCAAAGAAGAACTGGTACTATCTATTGACACTATTCCACAAGATACAGAAAGAGGGAATCCTCTCTAAATTATTCTATTCATATGAAGCCTATATCACCCAAATACGAAAACCAGGAAAGGACATAACCAAAAAAGAAAACTACAGAACAATGTCCCTGATGAACATAGATGTTAAAATCATTAACACAATACTAGCTAACCAAATCCAACAACATTTCAAAAAGATAATCCACCACAATTAAGTGAGTTTCAAATCAGGAATGCAGGAATGATTTAACATACACAAGTCAGTAAATGTGATACACCACATAAACAGAATTAAAAACAAAAATCACATGATCATCTCAATAGATGCAGAAAAAGCACTTGACAAAACCCAACATCCTTTATGATTAAGACTCTCAGCAAAACTGGCATATAATGTAATAAAAGCCATGTGTAACAAACCCACAGCCAACATAATACTGCATGGGGGAAAGTTGAAAGAATTCCCTCTGAGAATTGAAACAAGACAAAGATGCCCACTCTCACCACTCCTCTTCAACATCGTACTGAAAGTCCTAGCCAGAGCAATCAGACAAGAGAAAGAAATAAAGGGCATCCAAATCAGTAAAGAGGAAGTCAAACTGTCACTGTTTGCTGATCATATAATTGTTTACCTATAAAACCCTAAAGACTCCTCCAGAAAGTTCCTAGAACTGATGAAAGAATTCAGCAAAGTCTCCAGATACAAAATTAATGTACACAAATCAGTAGCTCTTCTATACACCAAAATCGACCAAGCTGAGAATCAAATCAATAACTCAACCCCTGGCCAGGCGCAGTGGCTCACGCCTGTAATCCCAGCACCTTGGGAGGCCAAGGTGGGTGGATCATGAGGTCAGGAGATAAGACCATCCTGGCTAACATGGTGAAACCCCATCTCTACTAAAAATACAAAAAATTAGCCAGGCATGGTGGTGGGCACCTGTAGTCGCAGCTACTCGGGACGCTGAGGCAAGAGAATGGCGTGAACCCGGGAGGCGGAGCTTGCAGTGAGCCGAGATCGCACCACTGCACTCCAGCCTGGGTGACAGAGCGAGACTCTGTCTCAAAAAAATAAATAAATAAATAAATAAATAAGAAATAACACCTTTTACCATAGCTGCAAATAAAATGAAATGAAATGAAATAAAATAAAATAAAATAAAATAAAATAAAATAAAATAAAATAAAATAAAATAAAATAAAATACTTAGTAGTATACCTAACCAAAGAGGTGAAAGACCTCTACAAGGAAAACTACAAAACACTGCTGGATGAATTCACAGACAACACAAATAAAGGGAAACACATCCCATGCTCATGCATTGGTAGAATCAATATTGTGAAAATGGCAACACTGCCCAAAGCTCTACAAATTCAATGCAATTCCCATCAAAATAACACCAACATTCTTTACAGAACTATAAAAACAAATCTTAAAATTCATATGGAACCAAAATAGAGCCCACATAGCCAAAGCAAGACTAAGCAAAAATAACAAATCTGAAGGCATAGCACATTACCTGACTTCAAACTATACTATAAGGCCATAGTCACCAAAACAGCATGCTACTGGTATAAAAATAGGCACATAGACCAATGTAACAGAAAAGAGAACCCAGAAATAAAGCCAAATACTTGCAGCCAACTGATTTTTCACAAAGCAAACAAAAACACAAAGTATGGAAAAGACACTCTATTTGAGAAATGATGCTGTGATAATTATTAGCAAGCCACTTGTAGAAGAATGAAACTGAATCCTCATTTCTCACTTCGTACAACAATAAACACAAGATAGATCAAGGACTTAAATCTAAGAACTGAAACCATAAAGATTCTATAAGTTAACATTGGAAAAACCCTTCTAGATATTGGTTTAAGCAAACACTTCATGACCAAGAACCCAAAAGCAAATGCAGCAAAAACAAAGAAAAATAGATGGAACTTAATTAAACTAAAATGCTTCTGCATAGCAAAGAAACATCCGGCAGAGTAAACAGACAAACCACAGAGTGCGAGAACATCTTTGCAAGCTATACATCCAGCACAGGACTAATATCCAGAATCTACAAGGAACTCAAACAAATCAGCAAGAAGAAAACAAACAATCTCATTAAAAAGTGAACTAAGGACATAAATAGACAATTCTCAATAGAAGATATACAAATGGCCAACAAACATATGAAAAAATGCTCAACATCACTAATGATCAGGGAAATGCAAATCCAAATCACAATGCGATACCATCTCACTCCTGCAAGAATGGCCAGAATCAAAAGCAGTCTACAAATTTAACGCAATTTCCTTCAAAATAACACCATCATTCTTCACAGAATCAAAAAATAAAAAAAAATAGATGTTGGCATGAATGTGGTGGAAAGGGAGCACTTTTACACTGCTGATGAAAATGAAAACTAGTACAACCACTATGGAAAACAGTGTGGAGATTCCTTAAAGAACTAAAGTAGAACTACCATTTGATTCAGTAATCCCATATTGGGTATCTACTCAGCAGAAAAGTAGTGATTACAGGAAAAAGATATTTGCACACACAAGTTTATCGTAGCACAAATTGCAGTTGCAAAAATTGGAACCAGCACAAATGCCCATTAATCGACCAATGGATTAAAAAATTGTGGTGTGTATATATATACCACAATTTATATATATATATACACACACCATTGAATACTACTCAGCCATTAAAAAAGAATGAAATAATGGCATTCACAGGGAATTGGAGACCATTATTCTAAGCGAAATATTTCAGGAATGGAAATCCAAACATTGTATGTTCTCACTCATAAGTGGGATGCAAAGCTATAAGGATGCAAAGGCATAAGAATGATACAATGGACTTTGGCAACTTGGGGAAAATGGTAGGAGAAGGATGAAGGATAAAAGACTACACACTGGGTACATGGTACACTGCTTGGGTGTTGGATGCATCAAAAAATCACCACTAAAGAACTTAATAATGTAACCAAACACTATCTGTTCCCCAAAAACCTATTGAAATTAAAAAAAAGAACTTATACCAATCTTACTCAAACTATTTTAAAAAATAAAAGCAAAGAAAATACTTCCAAACACATTGTATGAGGGTGGTATTATCCTGATATGAAAACCAGACAAAGACACATCAAAAATAGAAAACCACAAGCCAATATTGCTGATGAATATTGATGAAAAAATTCTCAATAAAATACTAACAAACAGAATTCAACAACACATTACAAAAATCAATCATTATAACAATATATTACAAAAATCACTCATTAATCCCTGGGATGCAAGGATGGTTCAACATATGCAAACCAATCAATGTGATACATCCTATCAAGAGTATGAAGGATAAAAACCATGTGATTATTTCAATTGATGCTGAAAAAGCATTTGATAAAATTCAGCATCCCTTCATAATAAAAACCCTAAAAAAACTGGGCATAGAAGAAATATACCTCAACATAACAAAAGCCACATATGACAGACCCATAACTAGTATCATACTGAATGAGGAAATACTGAAAATTTTTCCTCTAAGATTGGGAATATATAAGAATGACCATTGCCATCACTGTTATTCAACATTGCACTGTAAATCCTCGCTACAGCAATCAAACAAGAGAAAGATATAAAGCTCATCCAAATTGAAAAGGAGGATAAGTAAAATTATCCTTGTTTGCAGATGATAAGATCTTATATCTGGAAAAATCTAAAGACTCCCCCCAAAACTATTAGAACTGATAAATTCAGTAAAGTTGCAGGATACAAAATCACCATATAAAAACCAGTAGCATTTCTATATACCAACAGTGAACAATCTGAAAAGGAAATATTTAAAAAATCCCATTTATGATAATCATATATAAAATTAAATATGCAGGAACTAACTTAACCAAACAAGTAAAAGATCTCTATAACGAAAACTATAAATTGATGAAAGAAGTTGAAGAGTACATCAAAAAAAAAATGAAAAAACAAATCCATGTTCAAGGATTGGAAAATCAATATTGTTAAAATGTCCATTCTACCCAAAGAAATCTATAGATTCAGTGTAATCCCTATCAAAATTCCCATGACATTCTTCAAAGAAATAGAAAAAAATCAATCCTCATACTAATATGGAACCACAAAAGACCGAGAATAGCCAAAGCTATCCTAAGCAAAAAGAATAAAACTGGAGGAATCACATTACCTGACCTCAAATTATACTACAGAGCTATGGTAACAAAAGCAGCATGGTACTGGCATAAAAACAGACACATAGAACAGTGGAACAGAATAGAAAACTCAGGCACAAATCCACGCACCTACAGTGAACTCATTTTTTTTTTTTTTTTTTTACAAAGGTGCCAAGAACATACACTGGGAAAAAGACAGTCTCTTCAATAAATAGTGCTGTGAAAACTGGATATCCATATGCAAAAACAAAACTAGACCCCTGTCTCTCTCAAATCAAATCAAAATGGATTGAAGACTTAAGTCTAAGACCTCAAACTGTGAAAGTACTACAAGAAAACATGGGGGAAAGCTCTACAACATGGGTCTAGGCAAAGACTTCTTGAGCAATACTCCACAAGCACAGGCAACCAAAGCAAACATGGACAAATGGGATCACACCAAGTTTAAAAGATTCTGCCCAGTAAAGAATACAATCAACAAAGTGAAGAGACAATCCACAGAGAATGGGAGAAAATATTTTCAAACTACCCATGTGATAAGGAATTAATAACTGGAATATATAAGGAACTCACACAACTCTAGGAAAAAAAATAATAATCCAGTCAAAAGATGGGCAAGTTTTGAAGAGACATTTCTCAAAAGAAGACATACAAATGGCAAAGCAGCATACGAAAAGGTGCTCAACATTACTCATCATCAGAGAAATGCAAATCAAAACTATAATGAGATATCATCTCACCTCAGTTAAAATGGCTTATGTCCAAAATACAGGCAGTAACAAATGCTTGCGAGGATGTGGACAAAAGAGAATCCTTGTACACTGTTGGGTGGAATGTAAATTTGTACAACCACTATGGAGAACAGTTTGGAGTTTCCTCAAAAAACAAAAATTGAGCTACTACATGATCCAGCAATTTCATTGCTGGTTATATACCTAAAAGAAAGGAAATGAGAATATTGAAGAGCTATCTGCACACCTATGTTTGTTGCAGCACTATTTACAATAGCTAAGAGTTGAAAACGACATAAGTGTCTATCAACAGATGAATGGATAAAGATAATGTGGTACATATACATATACACAATGGAGTATTATTCAGCTATAAAAAAGAATGATATCCTGTCATTTGCAACAACATGGATGGTACTGGAGATCGTTAAGTGAAATAATCCAGGCACAGAAAGACAAACACCCATGTTCTCAGTTGTTTTGGGGATCTAAAAATCAAAAAGACTGAAGTCATGGACAGAGAGAGTAGAAAGGATAGGTACCAGAAGCTGGGAAGTGGTAGTGGGGGATTGTGGGTAGAGGCGGGGATGGTGAATGGGTAAAAACATTTTTTAAAAAATAGAAAGAATGAATAAGAGCTACTATTTGATAACACAACATGGTGACTATATTGAAGAATAACATTTTAAAATAATAGTGTAATTGGATTGTTTGCAGCTCAATGAAGGTGATAGATACTCCATTCTTGATGATGTGCTTATTTCACATTGCATGCTTATATCAAAACATCTCATGTACCACATAAATATACACACCTACTCTGTACCCAGAAAAAAATTTTAACATAAAATAAAACTCCATTCCTTGGAGGGAGATACCAATGAATTAGATGACAGCATTCTGATCTTAAGCTGCTTACAAATCAATGAGAGAAAGCGGGAACAAAAATTAAGTTAAAAAGCACATGAGCTGCAGAGCTGGCAAAATCAGTCAATAACACTACTAGCTGGATATGAAAGAAGCCACCCAGTAGTCCGTCACATAAAATCTGTTTTCTAGGCAGACTTCAGACAAAGAAAATGTACCATTTGCTCTTTAAAATATGCTTCCTCATTCTAAATTGATCTGTCAAATTATAAGCAATAACGGAATTATTATTTTCTCTCTGGCTACATTTCATATTTTTAAAAATATATAAACATTTGTGACTATGAAATAAAATACAATTTTTGTAACAATTAACAAACTGTTTCTGGTAAATGCTTTCAGAAGATACATCATAATAACCCTTGGCCAAGTTTGTTTTGCTATTAACAGATAGTAACCTCTAGGTTTGCAGTGAGTACAATAACAGAATCAACACTACATAAGCATAGATTCCACTGCTGTACTATCACAACCTGGAATTCTAAGAGACTGGGAACTGAGCAAACAGCAACACAATAGCTGTGGGAATGTTTGCTTGTGCTATAATCTCAGAAACAGCTTGTGTGTACCACACTGGAAGCTCACAGTATCAGTAAGATGCATCTTTCCTTGTTGGACAAACTCAATGATTAATTCATGTTTCCCTTGCAGAATGTCAGAGGATGAATGTAGTAAGCTTAAAAGTCATATCAGATATAAAAAAGAGATTAGATTTAAAACTGTTTTTAAAATGTAGGCTTTAAATGATTTGAGAGTTCGAGCCAGGGTACCCAGCTAGAGCAGCTAGTAGCTGTAACAAGAAACAGCATTATTTAATAATGAGGTGTATTCACTGGATCTTATGACTCGAGTTTTTCAATTCTGCCTAAATCATTAAAAAAGAATGCTGAGACAAACATTTTTTGTGCCAAAGTTTAAGTAACTTGACCCAACCATATTTAAGAGGAATAAAGTCACAGAATGAATTATAAAGAAATGTGTTTTTTGAAATAGCAGTAATTGGTAAAGCACAAAGTGTGTCTACATTTTTCTATGAACAGTCATGTGAGTATAGTTCAGCATTCTTATTTTATAGATATATAAATTTATGCACATACACACACTACTGCAGGTGGACACAATTATGCTTTGCACAAGCAAATGTGCTTAAACACTGAAATCTATTCTTCTAATCCATCATCTCAAGCTAAGAATACTTGAGAAGGGCGTGGTGGCGGGCGCCTGTAGTCCCAGCTACTCGGGAGGCTGAGGCAGGAGAATGGCGTGAACCCAGGAGGCGGAGCTTGCAGTGAGCCGAGATCGCGCCACTGCACTCCAGCCTGGGCAACAGAGAGAGACTCTGTCTTAAAAATTAAAAAAAAAAAAAAAAAAGAGTACTTGAGAACATAAAACACATAATGCATTAGAATGCATTAGAAGAATATTTTTCTTAATTGGAGGTGAGATTTTTGGCTTTTTCACTATCTCCAAAATAAAGATGATGGAAAATAAACACACCTGCAAGTTTCAAAGTGACATACATGGTGTAAGTGACTACCAATTTAAGACAAGATTAGCAGAATGTGGAAGGCAAGATTTTGCAGACAGTTGAAGGACAAAGAGATAAATCAAATTACTAGTTTGTTATATAAATTACTTAGAAACTCTCTTCTTGTTCTCTGCTCCCTTTCTCTTTCACTGAAGAGAGAATTGTTTATGAAGATGCAACCAAAAGTATCTTCAAAACAATGTCCTATTTAAAAAATTAACAATCTCCTAGTTTAGAAAATCAACGTTTGAACAATCAAAAGAATTTAAAATATCGTGCAACTGTATTCTATCTTTCATTACAAAAAGCTTTAGCTTTTTCATCAGGATAAGCGGTCATAAGAAGTTGATATTCTACAAGGAAAGCAAGTTGCTCACAGTTGAAGAATAGGGACAAAATAGACCTTAGCATTTTTACAAAAGTGCATAGGAGCAAATAAACAATATTACAATGTCTATACTATGCACCTTTGACACAAAACAAACATACTCTTTATAATGAATACATAGGAAATTATAGTTAACATGTTTATTAAAACAGTATTTTTAAATATATTATCATTCGTAGGTTAACTGAGTTAAAAACTTTTTGATTGTCTAGATAAGTCCACTTATTTTACAGATGCATAAAGGAATTAAGATGTGCACTATAATATTTATGAGTAAAGTCTAATTTTATTATCACAGCACATGCTTTCTTTTGATTTTCTGCAAAGCTTGGCATTGCCACTTTAAAAATGAGGATTATTGAAATGCTCCAATTTTTCAGTTTTGAGATTCACCTCCCAGCTCCTCTTCATGATTCAAATCAAGTAATGCCTACTAGCAGTATATTTTAAAATTCAAAACATATATTCTTCTATTTAATTAATGCAGAAGAATAAACACCAGGTTAAAAAATAAAGCTTAATTAAAAAATATAAATTTCCCCACATTATTAACAATGCATATGCAACAATTGTGAATTTTTGTTCATAAGAAATATATATTTTTTCCTCTTAGCCTTTTGTGCACTCCATTTTCTCTTTAATATTCTACAATTTGAATAACCCAATTCTACACTCTGAATCCAAGTCCAGGATAGGATTAGAGTTAATATTAGTCTCCTAGCTTTGGTCTCTCTGATATTTATATCAGGAAGTTGTGGTTTAGTTAATAACACACAGTTTCTGCTCATGAAAGGGTAAAAGACCCAAAGCTTTTATAGTATTATAACTATCTTCACTTCCTAACAATCATAAGATGGTCTAAGTCATTATAAGGCCATTTCTGACCTTTCAGAAGCTGCAGCTTTTTGGCATGGTGATAGAATGGTTTGAGACGAGCATGGTTCCAACAGTAACTTCATGTCCAAGGAATGTGATAAGGCCTTTTCCCCACAAAGCCTCTTTTGGAGAGAATGATATGACTGGTTTTCTGCCAGAAGACCTGCTGTACAGATTGATCTCAAGTGATCATTTTTTTCCAAGTGACAGTTGGAACATGCCCATTAGGATGGTTCTAGAAGTGTTCTTAAGCAACTTGCAGAGGCCCAGCTGAGGTCTCGTCAGCTGATCTGAGAATAGCAGTGACAGTGTCCCAAGGACAGATTGTCAGATTGTCATGTTCAATATCTTTCTAGAACAAAAATCTCCATTTAAGTAAAATGTGCTGTATTTTTAAATCACAGTTTTAAAATCACACTTTTAGTATAGTTTTTAGCTATGTTTATTTTATACGTTACAAAGTAAGTTTAACCTTACTTGTTGAAAAACACACATGCATATATCCTCTTTAAATGCATTTTCTTTTGACCGCAATTAATGGAATGTATGATATTTCATTTCTAAAAATTATCCCAAATTATATCATGGAAAATACAAAATAATTAATAATTTTTATTAAGAGAAGACTACATACAAAATAACAAACTCTTGCTTTACAGACGTTATATACTACCAAAAGTAATAAATTGATAAATAAATATGTACCATCAATGGTGGTGAAGTGCTATGAAAAGAAATAATACAGGCAAATATGGAAGTGAGGGGTTGGGATCACATTTTTAGAAGAACTAGGAAGATTACGAAGGAAAAGAACAAAATACGAGGTCATAATGCTTCCTAAAGGCTATCAATTATCACCTTGCTTCTGCTATTTTGGACATTTGGACCTGAGATTCTCCTTTATGTCACCATCTGATCTTTCTGTGAAATGGATAACAACAGACACTTTGCAAAATTTTTAACACATGCTTGATTGCAAAATATCTGATGGGGGAGCACGGTGGCTCACACCTGTAATCTCAGCACTTTGGAAGGCCACAGTGGGAAGATTGTTTGAGCCCAGGAGTTTGAGATGAGTTTGGGCAGCATAGTGAGATCCCATCTCTATTTAAAATATTAAATTAAATATCTGATCAAATACTATAGGTAAATATCTAAAAACAAACCCACAGTGATGGGGAATATGGGGCTGGTTCATGGGTACAAAAATATAGTTAGAATGAATAAGATCTAGTAGTTGATAGCATAATTGTGTGATTATAGTTAACACAGATTTATTGTACCTTTAAAAATAACTAAAATAATATAATTGGAATGTTTGTAACACAAATGATAAATTCTTGAGGCGATAGACACCTCATTTACCCTAATGTGATTATTATGCATTATATTCCTTTATCAAAGTATCTTATGTACCCCATAAATATGTATAGCTACTATATAGTCATAAAATTAAGAATAAAAAATTTAAAAAGTAAAATAAACACAGTGATTAGAGAAAGGACTGGAAAAGTTTCATAGCATAATAAGCTTCACTGAGTTTTGGACACTTAACGACACTTACATATACTAGTTAAAACTTGTAAGTATTATTTCCATTTTATAGATAAGGAAACAGATACTTAAGAGAATTAAGTAACTTCCTAACATGACAAAGATTGTAAAGGAGAACAGCAGAGTTTTGACCTGGGTCCCTGTCACTCTCAAGCCCAGTTCCCCAGCTCCGCCATTTTCAAACAGAAAAGTGAGGCAAAGCCTCTCCGAATGAGACACTCAATCCTGTTTTTCCCTTGGGGTTGAACCTTTGTAATAACAAATAAAAGAATTGAAAATCAAGTTCTTGCATTTTCTAAAATTAGCATTTTCACTCTTTATCTCTCATAAGCTCATTTAACTCTTCCTTTACAATATAAGAAACCACTTTACACAAAAAAATCAAACAAACCAACTTAATCAATTCTAATTTGGGAACACATAAAGTTGTCCTCAATGTAATTCTACCAGTGCTAGACTTGATATAATTCAACTTGGTACAATTCTGCTAATGTTCTGGCATTTGCAAAGATATATATGATTTGTTGTTTCTATCACCCATGGTTATCTTAAAAGCAAACATCTATATTATTGTATAAATATATAATTTTAAAATATAAATACTAATATTTATAACTAAAAAGAAATTTAGTAATGTAAAATGAAAGATAAACTCAAAGGAATATTAAGCTCTAAATTGACTCCTAAATTTATATATTATCCCTTGAAAACTAACATTTCTTTTAAATTTTAAAAACAATTTTGTCTTTATTTGGCACGCCAGATTTGTTGTAAAAACATTTAATTACTTGGCTATAAAAACGAAGAAGATTTATCTGCCTGCAGTTATCAAACTGGTAATTAAGAAAAGCATAAATACTTACTGGCTTTTTTCTTCTTTTTCAGAATTCATTGATAGATACTACGGTCTGAGCACTAACATCTTTTTTCATTATATGATAAACTGAATGTTAGAAGAGCCGTATATTAAGATAACTGCTTTTGTTTTACAATAAATATAGGGAGCAATTTGAAGTACTTACATAAAATTTTAGTTGCTACCAACTTAGGTCCGATAAACCACTGAGATACTAGAGTAACCTGGTAGTCCCATTTTCTATGTAACTAAAGAGAAAGAGTCAATAATCAAATTTGACTACCATCCACATTGTCTCCACGGCAAACAATGGACCTCATTTGTCTCTAAAGATAGATCAATTAAGTTTTGTGGAAAATGACAAAACTCCAGGAGAATGAAGTCAAATGAATGGGAAATATCGGAGGGAACTGCTCAAAGGAAATTACTAAGCCAATCTTTTAAACTGGATGGCATTAACTATGCTCATGTTTCCTCATTGAGAATGGATCTTTATCACTTCTTCCAAGTCCCCAATAATAACTAATCACTTAGAACACGTTTCTTGTACAGAAGATACAGACTACCTCCAAAATATTAAAAGGATACCTATCACTAATACTTGAATTTTAAATGCTCTTTTTGGCAAGTGCTGAAAATTCCAGTTCTCGAATGACACTCTGAAGGACTGTGTTTTTTGGCTCGGCTTTAGTAATGAACATGCAACTCATGTGGCTCTTCTGTCCTTGGCCCAGGCCTTCTTGACCTTAAAATATTAGAATCCTTAAACTTGGAAAAGAATCACATAACCATTGCAGATACAATAGGAAACAGACAAAACAATATAAGAAACCACTTTACACACACACAAAAAGATTTTTCTCACAATGAACAAACTAGTGAGTTATCAAAATTCTCAGTCATTAGAATGAAGATGGTTGCCCAATCTTTGTCAAAGGTGATAATTATATGGGTTGTTGAAGGTGCAAAGCAGCTTATAAGGAGATCTCAAAATATTTAGCTAGTAAGTTCATCCATAGATGACAGCAAAAACTTCACCTACCTTTGCACTTCGAGTTTTCTGAGTGTAAAGGCCTATCTGGTTTTTTACAAATATATGTCCACATATTTGGAACAGAACCTGACAAATGGTAGCTGCAAGCTTAAAATTTCTTGAATGAATGGAAAATGTTAAATTCTTCAATGCAAAACCAATCATATCACTTTTACCCCTGCAAGAAAAACCATTCAACATCTTCCCATTGCTCCTAGAAAAGAGACTGAACTTCTTAACAATCTACAAGGACCTGCTGGCTTACTGCCTACCCAATTCTTTAGTTTCCTCTCACATGTAACTCTTACCTGTCAATGCCGAACTGGATTCTTTCAGGACCTAACAGACACCAGCTTCCCTCTGTCTATAGCAATATTATCCATCCTAATAGGCGGCTGAGGCGGACTCAACCAAACACAACTACACAAAGTCCTAGCCTACTCCTCAATCGCTCATCTAGGCTGAATGTGGCCCCAAGTGGTCACAAACATATGCATTATAAAATTACTTTTTAAATACTTCAAAATGCAAAAGCTCAGAAGAGTCAAAAATAATAAAAAAAAATAGGCTGTAAGTATGAAATCTAGAATAGGTATTACCATTTTGCCATGCTCGCTTTCATTATCTTTTTCTCTATCTCTTAAAAAAAGCTAAAAGAACCTAGCTCATTATTTACTATCTCACTTCATTCAGGTAACTTCTCAGAAAGGACTTCCTTTAACAGTCAATCTAAAACGACATCACTCCTAACCTTTCATTTTCTTATTCTGCTTTACTATTTTTTGTATCGTTTATTGCTGTCTATGTTACGTATTTGCTAAATGATAAAATGTTTATCTGGCTGACTTTCCAGAATGTAAGCTGCAAGCTGAATAAATGTCTTACTACAACCAAAGTTTCACCCAATGCATTCCCTTTCCCCTCTATCCCACGCAAATACCAACAACGGTCTGAAGTCAGCATATGTGCTTTGTATATGTAGCTTTTAACTTTCTAAGAAAGTGTGTATCCGTAATAAAGTTACTGCACAGCTGTCTTTCCTTTTGTTGCCTGGTTAACGTCCACCCATCCTCCAGATTTCAACCAAAGTGTTTCCTCCTTAGACAGGCCTTCCCCACCACCCTGATTATTCACTGTTTACTGTGCACTTCTCAGCAATTGTGACAGTAAAAATTTTACTTTTGTTTGTGTGGGTACTGAATAATCTGCCTCTTCTGCCACTAGACTATAAGCTCTACAAAAGTGGTCAATTCTGTGTTTATTATTCCTGGCATGTGTAAAGTGCTCAGGAAACACTAGTGGATGAGTGAATTAAGCTGTAATATATAAGAAATGATTCCTGTCTCTTCTCTCTCACATGAAGATACATACTTAATAAGAACAGGAATCAGTCAAACCCATGGCCAGATATTTTTTCTCCATTTTCCTACAGATGAAATTCATGTGTCTGGCTAACCTGAAACAAGGATAACAAGGTACTATTTCTGTTTACCACATGACTACTTTTCCGCATAATTTTTTATTATACTTCTGGGGAGCTTTCCATTCATCTCTATGAGTAGACCAGTTCACACAGTATTTCGTATTTTAAGGCAAAAAAATTTATTTCAACACCTTCTAAATCTAGTAGTCACCAAATTATATTCAGGCACCTAAGAGAAGACTACTTTGTGCTATTTACTGATGTTTCAGGGAATCAAGTACAAATATTTCAAATTGCTGTCTCATGATTCTCAAAAAATTTCATGAAAAATATGGGATCCTGCTCATATAAGTTCCTGCTCAAATTTTCATATTATTGGATCACATTACAGAGCATTTATATTTTGACACTGAGCCCTTTTTCTTTTGGCTTCTTTCTTCTTACATTTCTTTCAAACAATGTGTACTCACACATACACAACATGCACATATACACACCTTGATTGATAATTGAGACTCGGACAATACGGAAATCCTTTTACCAGCATATAATTATTTCTGTTTAGGTTTATAAAAACCAAATGAGTAAAATTCAAGAAAACTGAGAAAAAAGTTTTAGAACCTAAGGACTCTAAAACATATTGATATATAAGAATAAATTTTAACAGCAAATTTCTCCAGGACATATAGAGTTGTTTTGTTTTTTTCTGCCTTTTCTTTTTTGGAATGGTGTCTTGCTCTGCCACACAAGCACCCAGACTGGAGTGCAGTGGTGCAATTGCGGCTAACTGTAACCTCAACCTCACGGGTTCAAGCAATCCTCCCACCTCAGCCTCCCAAGTAGCTGGGACTATAGGCACATGGCACCATGCCTGGCTACTTTTTTTGTATTCTTTTGTAGAGATGGGTTTTTACCATGTTGCCCAGGCTGGTCTTGAACTCCTGGGTTCAAGTGATCTACCAACTCTGCCTCTCAAAATGCTGAGATTAAAGGCATGAGCCACCATGCTCGACCCATATAGAGATATTATATCTACTTTTAAATCTGCGAATCATGTCTTTGGTTTATGACTAAGAAGACCAGAAAAGTAGTATGAATTACAGTATAAACAATTTTGAAACACTTTTATTAGATATTTCTCAACCATATAAAACCAAAGCATATCTCTGTGGTGAATCAATAGTATATACAGTGAATATGTGTTTTTTAAACATTGGGAAGGAAAATAAATATAAAGTATACATGGCTTTAATATATAATATATAGTAATAATTCATGACAAAAGAAAACAGAATTTAGGTGTTTGGGAACAATTTCCCAAAAAAAGCTGGTTTTCTCTACAGTCTTTAACTATTCTTATTTTTTAAAACACATCATTTTCATCAGAAAATGTATTTAGTATTTCTATGCTTTACACAGGAGTTTAAAACTTAAATTCCCACAGCAGCCTAGCAATGTAAATTAATTATGTGGATTAAGGGAAGACTGGATTGCCTGAAGAGTGCATGATAGAAGTTTGTGAACTGTGCTTTAGGAAAAGACAAATAAATACCTCTCCTAAATAAATCTGATATTTTACATGTGCAGCAATACTTTCAAAGTTAATTGACTCATCTTATACAGTGCTTGCTGATGTGCTAGTTACTATATAAGTTGTCTGAAAATTGCTAGACTAATAAAATTGTGTTTCTCAGTGTCTATCAGTAGGCTAAACAAACACATAAGTGGAAAAATGACTAAGTATAGATATACTAAGAACAATAACAGGAATTGATAGAGATATGCATAGATTATTACAGGAATATGGACTAGAGTCATAATCTTTGGCTGGACTCAAGAAAAGGGTGAGAACTGGGCTGACTCTTTTCGACACAGGTAAAAATTAATTGGAATTGGCATTGGCAAAAAGGTAGGAGTGTAAGGAGAAAGCCTCCAAACAAAGGGAGCAATATAAGTAAAAGCCCGGAAAGAAGAAACAGCATGGTGTAAGCAAGAAACTGCTGTCACCAAAGTGTTTCACAGAATATGATGCAGGGAATGGCTGGAGACAAAGCAGGAAAATCGGACCAAGGTAAGATCATGGATGACACAGTGCTGCACTATGGGGTTTATCCTAATCAATATGGCAAATGCATTTACTCTTATTTGCCAAATCTTACATGATGTGATTGGGTGGCTTCTGTTTTGAGAATTCCTTAGAATCTTTCTAAATAAATATTAAAACAACAAAATAGAATATTTTAATTAATTAGTAATATTTTTCATAGATACAAAAATAGGGAGTCATGACATTGATGCTATATGTGCTATTTTTGCCATACAGGGATGGTGGACTTTCAGTGTATGTTTGAATTACTATGCCAAGATTTTTCTTTAATATAGATTATAGAAAAGGCAAGAGTTGGAATGGAGAAAAAAATAAGAGGCCTTTGTAGTAGCTCAGAAGGCAGATGATGAGAGTCCTAAACAAGGCAGTGGAAATACACAGGGAGAGGAGGGAAATTTTCAAGAAATATTTAGGAAGCTATATTGGAAAAAGTCAGATATGGGTAATGAGGCTTAAGGAGGAGTCATAGATGACTCCTAAATATCAGCTTGGTAAATTGGCTCATTCTGAAGTCATCACCTAGGAGAGCCAGCATAAGAGTAACCATAAACTTGAAGAAGAAAATGCTGAGGTATGGCTTTGAGATTTAAGATATACTAGTAGAGCTACCTAGAGGAAATGGCCATGTGGCTCAGGTACGAAGTCATTTTGTTGGAGACAAAAATTGGGAGAAATAGCAGCATACTAGCAAGAGTTGAAATGACGGAATTGATTTGCTCAGCTAAAACCTGTATTCAGAATGAGGGGATAAGGAATCCCAGAATGATAAATAATAAATCGTTCATAGGAGAAAGCAGCCCTTGAAGAAGACAGAGAGGAGCAATGATGAAAGATTAGAAGGAAAAGAGTGGAGAGACTCACAGAAGCCATGGGAATTTCAAACAGGGTGGCAGACCAAGTCAAACACGTCGAAGAAGTCCAATAAAGTAAAGACTACATATGCCCCTTGGGTTTCACAATTAAGAGCTTTTCAGGTGAACATAGATATGGGAGTCATTTCAATAGCATCTTACATACATACATACACACATATACACATAATATATATTAGAATGTATTCTAATACAGTGTCTATATAAGCAAGAAGAAAAACATTTTTCTCATGTTTATGGAATAAATAAAAGAAAGGCTATGGTCTGTTCCTTGTATGAATAAAATATTAATTTGAAAATAGTTCATTTCTATGCCATTTTAAATACGCAGCCGATACATCATATGTTAATGAAAATATTTATGAGCTTCAAGGTACCTATAGTCAAGTGGGTTAGACACCAGATATGAAAATGCTGTATGCCTATGATTATTATGTGTTTACTATTTATTTATTTATGACTATTGGTTTTCTTATTATTGCCTTTAGAAAATACTCTCTAAATTATTTCTCAAAGAAGCATACAGGGTATGTTAATATGTATTACTTAAACAATAATCTTTCAAAATATTTTGAACTAGAAGTTGGAGATATTTTATGTTATAAAAATTACCTTTGAAATATTATTTAAACATGGGCAAGAAATTTAGGGCTTTAATTTTTTTTAACATCTGAATCATAGGTAAAAATATGAAGACAGGCAGGCCAAGCTAAGTCAATCTACATCCAAAGCTCACAGGGAAGCAGGTCACTTTTCTAGAGAATGGGGTCTCTGGACATTTTGTCCAACAATGAATCCTTCAAATATTAGTGGGTCTTACAGCATGACTGTGAGAAGAAAGCCCTGGTTTGTTGTTACTGATCCAGAAAATACATCAGCATGACCTCCAAGTCCTGTAAAAATGCACATGGCACAGCCCCTCTCCAGGCCTACAGAAGCATCCAGGATTAGGTCCAGGGCACATGCATTTCACAAAGGCTCTCTAGGCAGCTCTGATGTGCAAATGTAGGTAAAAATTAGTGTCCTGCATGGGAGCAAGGATTGCTTACCCACAGAATCACAGCTCCCATTCTTAATTTATTATAAAAAAAGTCTTGATGTAGATAGAATTATTCCTCAAGTTTCTTCATCCACAGACGAATGAAACTTTTCTTCATCTGGACTAGAAGAGCTACAAGTTGGGCAACAGATTGGTATGAATTTCCCACTTTTCTGGTAGGAAACTGAAAGAGATCCTAGGAGCACCTCTGCGAGGTTTCAGCTACTGTTTCTAAAATTTCAGTTTGTAACCTTCCAGGTTTCCCAGTTAAGCAAAAGTCAAATGGGTGGCTGTATTAGTCCATTTTCATGCTGCTGATAAAGACATGCCCAAGACTGGGCAATTTACAAAGGAAAGAGGTTTAATGGAGAACTCACAGTTCCATGTGACTGGGAAGCCTCACACTCATGGTGGAAGGCAAGGAGCAAGTCATATCTTACATGGATGGTGGCAGGCAAAGAGAGGTTGTGCGGGCAAACTCCTGTTTTTAAAGCCATTAGATCTCATGAGACCCATTCATTATCACAAGAACAGCATTGGAAAGACCTGCCTCCATGATTCAATCATCTCCCACCAGGTCCCTCCCGTAACACATGGGAATTATGGGAGTTACAAAATAAGATTTGGGTGGGAACACAGAACCAAACTATATCATTCTGCCCCTGGCCCTTCCCAAATCTCATATCTTCACATTTCAAAACCAATCATGCCTTCCAAACAGTCTCCCAAACTCTCTACTCATTCAGCATTAACTGAAAAGTCCACAGTCCAAAGTCTCATCTGAGACAAGGCAAGTCCCTTCCACCTATGAGCCTGTAAAATCAAAAGGAAGTTATTTACCTCCTAGATACAATGGGGGTACAGGCTTTGGGTAAATACAGCTGTTCCAAATGGGAGAAATTGGCCAAAATAAAGGGGCTACGGGTCCCATGTGAGTCCAAAATCTAGCATGGTAGTCAAATCTTAAAGCTCCAAAATGATCTCCCTTGACTCCATGACTCACATCCATGTCACACTGATGCAAGACCTAGGTTCCCATAGTCTTGGAGAGCTCTGCCCCTGTGGCTTTGCAGGGTACAGCCTCCCTCCTGGCTGCTTTCACAAGCTGGTGTTGAGTGTCTGTGGCTTTTCCAGGCACACAGTGCAAGCTGTCAGTGGATCTACGATTCTGGGGTCTGGAGGATGGTGGCCCTCTTCTCACAGCTCCATTAGGCAGTGCCCCAGTAGGGACTCTGTGTGGGGGCTCCAACCCCACATTTCCCTTCCTCACTGCCCTAGCAGAGATTCTCCATGAGGGCCCTGCCCTTGCAGCAAACTTCCTGGGCATCCAGGCATTTCCATACATCTTCTGAAATCAAGGTGGAAGTTCCCAAACCTCAATTCTTGACTTCTCCACACACGCAGGATCAAAACCACATGGAAGCTGCCAAGGCTTGGGGCTTCCACCAGCTGAAGCAACAGCCTGAGCTGTACCTTGGCCCATTTTAGCTAGAGTGGCATAAAGTCCCTAGGCTGCACACAGCACAGGGACCCTGGGCAAGACCCATGAAACCACTTTTTCCTCCTAGGCCTCCAGGCCTGTGATGGGAGGGGCTGCCATGAAGACCTCTGACATGCCTTGGAGATATTTTCCCCATTGTCTTGGGGATTAACATTTGGGTCCTCATTACTTATGCAAATTTCTGCAGCTAACTTGAATTTCTCCTCAAAAACATGGGATTTTCTTTTCCATCGCATTGTCAGGCTTCAAATTTTCCAGTTTTATGCTCTTCTTCCCTTATAAAACTGATTGCCTTTAATAGCACTCTAGTCACCTCTTGAATCCTTTGCTGCTTAGAAATTTCTTCTGCCAGATACCCTAAATCATCTCTCTCAAGTTCAAAGTTCCACAAATCTCTAGGGCAGGGGCAAAATGCTGCCAGTCTCTTCGCTACAACATAACAAGTGTCACCTTTGTTCCAGTTCCCAACACATTCCTCATCTCCATCTGAGACCACTTCAGCCTGGATTTCATTGACCATACTATTATCAGTATTTTGGTCAAAGCTATTCAACAAGTCTCTAGGAGTTCCAAACTTTCCTACATTTTCCTGTCTTCTTCTCATCTCTCTAAACTGTTCCAACCTTTGCCTGTTACTTAGTTCCAAAGTCACATCCACATTTTCTGGTATCTTTTCAGCAACTCCCCACTCTACTGGTACTAGTTTACTGTATTAGTCCATTTTCATGCTGATGATAAAGACATACCCAAGACTGGGCAATTTACAAAAGAAAGAGGTTTAATGGAGAACTCACAGCTCCACATCACTGGGGAAGCCTCACAATCATGGTGGAAGGCACAGAGGAGCAAGTCACAGCTTATGTGGATGGTGGCAAGCAAAAAGAGAGCTTGTGCAGGCAAACTCCCATGTTTAAAGCCATCAGATGTCCTGAAGCCCATTGACTATCACAAGAAAAGCACGGGAAAGACCCACTCCTATGATTCAGTCATCTCCTACTGAGTTCTTCCCACAACATGTGGGAATTAGGGGAGTTACAAGATGAGATTTGGATGGGAACACAGAGCCAAACAACATCAGTGGTACACCAAGATAAAACAAAACAAATAGCATGTTTTTAAAAGGTGGACTTAAAATAATTGAATTTAGTCAATATTACACAAGCTATTTAGAAACATATTACAATTGTAAGAACTATATAAAAACATACAGTAATATAATTTCAATAACAAGAATATTAAATATTACATGAATTGTTTCATTTAAAATGGCCAAAAGACTAAAACAGTTTATTAATTATGCCCATCTCTTAGCCACACCCTTTTTTTTCGAATGATAAAATGGAACTTTAGGTGGGTCTAGATGAACACACAGCTACGTGTCCCCTCTTCCCTTCTTTCACTTCCTCACTTACTCTCCCCATGTAATTCCCTGAAATGTAGTCAGCTACACTTGTCCTTGTGGGAGAATCCACTGGCAAAATGCGTGTGTGTGTGTGTGTGTGTGTGTGTGTGTGTGTGTGTGTGTGTCTGTGCAGCAGAACATATTTTCCTTCCTGGTGAAGGGGAAGCTGTATTTCTAGTAATCACAGAAAGGGTGAACTGCTTATAATACAATCATTTAAAGAGCTAGAGATACAAATAGAGAAAGAGAGAGATTCTAATATATTGGTGTTTCGCTGATCCATAATATGCTTTAAGATTTTTCACAAATGTAATCACTATCATCATTATTTTTTACCGTGTTTAACCCACATACCAATTAATACTTTCCCTGTCAGTAAAGGAGAATGAAACATAATGTAGGCATCATTGAGAAATGTCATACAGGGAGCTGTGAGCGCTTTAACGGGGAGACATGGCCTAGTCTATGGAGTCAGAGCACATTACCTGAGGAAGTAATCTTTCACTTTTTGGTTGGCTATAAAGGGCAGGAAGAGAGGGTTGGACAGCTTCTTGAAAATATTCATCCTATTTCTGCTGCAGCACCTCACCCACCCTACAAATACTCCCACAAGAACTCCTGTTCTAAGGAATCCAACCCCTCCCAGATTCATCTGCTCTTAAATACAAATTTGTCTAAGCTGTTAAATCATCCTTTCTTGGTGCTTTTCATTTAAGCTGCATTCTGAGAACTTGGGAAACAGAAATCAACAAAGACAAAAAAGATGAATTTTGGACTTCTTTGATGGAAAAAAGAAAAGCATCGGATTTACTTAAACATATATAATATATTCTCCATTAAGAACAGAATAAAAAGGAACTATATGAAATTTTAAAAGGAAGAATTTAGGTTTTACCTATAAAATGATGGAGACTTGCAAATAGGATTGTAAATATCTATAAGTCTATTCTCATTGATTTTTAAGTCTGATTCTAAGACCCAAAGAATTACTCTGACTACATAGATGGATATTTCTTGGCTTTGTGCATGAGAACCAGGAAGTAAGTGAGTTAGGAAATGACCAATTACAAGCAACCCAAATCATTTTCAAATCAGAGATGAATAGCATTCCAAATTATCACCTAGATCCAAGTAGCCTATGAAGAAACAAATGAATCATTCTATAGGTTAGATGGTGTATTAGTCCGTGCTCATATTGCTATAAAGAACTACCTAAGACTGGGTAAGTTATGAAGAAAAGAGGTTCAATTGGCTCAGCATTCCACAGGCTGTACAGGAAGCCTGTCTGTGGAGGCCTCAGGAAACTTACAATCATGGAGGAAGATGAAGAAGAAGCTGGCACATCCTACGTGACTGAAGCAGGAGGAAGAGACAGAGTAAATGGGGAAGTGCCACACACTTCTAAATGAGCAGCCACTAGGGGGATGCTGCTGAACCATTGGAAACTACCCCCACGATGCAGTCACCTCCCAGCAGGGCCCTCCTCCAACACTGAGGATCACAATTAAATATAAGATTTAGGTGGGAATGCAAACTCAAACCACATCAGATGGTGTCCTGTTACCTAAATTTTGGAGATGATCAACATTTCATTTGAAGGCTGAGTATGCAGAGCATGGACACTGACAACAGAATGATCAAAATTTGATCAAAATTAACTTTTTTCAGCCAATATATGTTTGTTTAGCTAATCATATTCCTGCTATATGGCACTTTATTGTGAAATCAATGGTAGGTTTTAAATATAAAAATTGTTTTTATCTTAAGGCATTTGTTCTTCAACCAGTTCAATTGACTTAGGTTTTAGAAAAGGTTTAGAATCCAGAGCCCAATAAAACATTAAAACTCACCAATTACCTTCTAATCATTAATTTGTGTTATTTTCTCATTATTTTGTCCACAATTAAATCTTTCCTAGTGATTGATTTTGTAATTATTTTTAATTTCCTTTCACTTCTCTTCTAGCCATAGTGTGAGAGAATGTTCTTCCTCAGGCAATCAGGGTGAATCTTTGCAATAACTAGAGGCTGGGAAAGAAGTTTTAATCTATCTTAATTTTCCAGACCAATATTTCTCAACCAGATCATTTTTATTATATTTTATATATAGTACCTTAAAAAAAAGGAATATTTAAGGGTCATTGGGTTAACATTTTATTCAAGTTCTGGACTTAAGATTTTTTTACTATCTTGATATTTATTAATATTCATTTTTCTTGAAATATAAGCATTCAATTCTGTGACTGATTTTTAGGATTACAAATGAATATTTGCTCTTAATTCTTACATGATATAAACTTGGTAATTTTATTTCAAGTAAATCAATATCCTCTTTAAAGGTAATTCTGGCTGATTTGGTTTGGCTTTGTCCCCACCCAAATTTCATCTTGAATTGTAACTCCCACAATTCCCACCTGTTACGGGAGTAACCGGGAGGTGATTGAATTATGGGGTGGGTCTTTCCTGTGCTGTTCTCGTGATAGCGAATGAGTCTCATGAGATCTGATGGTTTTAAAAACAGGAGTTTTCCTGTACAAGCTCTCTCTTTGCCTGCCACCATCCATATAAGATGTGACTTGCTCCTTCTTGCCTTCTGCCATGATTGTGAGGCCTCCCCAGCCATGTGGAATTGTAAGTCTATTAAACCTCATGCTTTTGTAAATTGTCAGTATCGGGTATGTCTTTATCAGCAGCATGAAAATGGACTTATACCCAGTCTTCCCAGCAGAAATGCCTATATGAAATTAAATGCTTCTAACTTAAGATCAGCCTATATTGTTGCACTGGTGTCTTCTGAAGGGAAGGATTTTCTTGTTGTAATAGTAAAATTTACCGCAATTTCCCTATTGCTCCAGTTTTATCTTCTCTTTATTAAGTGAAAATAGTTCAATTTTTTCATTTACTTTCATTGCTTTTCAACTTCCATCTGCTCAGAATGTACCTGAGGGCAAATTCATCTTGAGACTTTTCTCCCATTAGAAAGCGGTGCTGGTACTACCTAGTTAACAAAATCAGAGGGTTCACACAAATTCCAGGTCTTTGAATTTCCAAAGAACTTGTACACTCTAACACTCATTTAGTATTTATGTATGTAAGACCTTAAATTGGTTAACTTTTCAAAGATTTAATCTTATTTCTCAACATAAAATACAAACCATGAAGGTTGGAAACCTTTTTATATTTCCGTTCATCTTAACAACACTCAACACTAATGAATATAGTTAGTGCTCTGTAAATATTTGTTAAGAAGATTAGTTAATTTGACCATGAACTGATTTAACCAAAATGAGCTTAAACTATCCCTACTTAAGATCAGCCTCAGAATTAATATGATCAAAGCACTGCATTGTTTGCTACCAACGAGGTTCAATTTCATTCAAATCATTAAAACAAACCTAATAAATTCCAAACATATTGGAATCCAAATCCAAAGATCAATTCCAAATACATTGGAATCCAAATCAGTTTTTGCCAAAACATACTATTTTAGGACATGAGAGACAGTGTAAGATGGAAAATGAAAGAGTCTGGAACTCTCACAACATCAAGTTCCCCTGAATGGGTTTGGCAGCAACAATGGCAGGATGGAATTCCATCCTGGGCAATTCTATTCAAGGAAGAGGTCCCCACTAAAATCCCTTAGAAACCTTTGCAAAAATTATGGAAAAAAACAATGTTTGGTTTTCTTCTCACCATGAATTCAAACAAAATACTCCTGTTTTTCGGGTTCTCTTTTCTTATTTGGAAAGGGAAATTAGAGAGAAAAAGTACTAATGGAAAAAAATGCTTTGAAGTCAGGAAAAAAATAAGCATTATTGTATTAATCTTTTACGTTCTTATGGTTCCTCAAATTGTCTATATATGTGCAAGCATGTACACACATACACATTATATTGATTTGATATATATATGTCTCAAATACATATATATTTGAATGTATATATGTATATGTATTTGATATACTTGAACATATATGTATATGTATATATACATTCAAGTGTATACACACATACACACACACGCACATTCATTTCATAAACATTGCCAAAATCTTACTTTGACTTCTGCATGGGTTACAGGATAGAAAAGTGGAATTTGTGAATCTACTCAAGAGCATTTGAACATCACAAAAATTTGCCATTATATTGATGAATTAATATATAATATTTCAGTCTCCACATCCCCTCCAAAGGTTGAAATATACAGATATCATGAGAGAGCACATAATCCCCAAATCTTGTCTTTATCACTTGCTTAGTACATGTATACTTTCTTATTATGTATTGACTAAATTATTATAAGAATCAGTTTGCACTCAAACACTAAGAAGCAAACTAGAGATAAATACACGGCCAAAAAAAAAGCCTTCTTGAAATGAAGTTGAGAGCTTATATAAGCCAGTCAAATGCAAATATCTTGTTTGTATATAGAGATATGAATATGTAAATACATAGGTATACTTTTTGTTTTAAAAGAATATGTAAATACATAGGTATACTTTTTGTTTTAAGACGAATTACATATATACAGGTTATATAATTACTACACATTGAATTCACTACTACTAACATTTTTATATTCCGAAAAAAAATGAAAATGAAAGTATTGCAAAATGGACCTCCTAAGAGGAGTCTTCAGTGGTTTTTAGGTTCAAGTCCTCACTTTAGAAACAAAGAAACCGAGGTCCAGAGAGTTTAACTGACTTTCATTTGAAACCTGAAATATAAGTCTATTTTTGCATTCCATTTCTAATAACTAAGAAGTCCGTCTGGCGATTCTTTAAATAGTAGTGTTATTTACGGCATCCACTTCATTCAAAGTGGTGTCCTTCATCTGCCTGGCAACTCATTTTCCAGAGTCATAAGGTTTCACCAATGCTAACCCCTGTCTGCAGTTTTTCCTCTGTTCCTGTGCCCATTCTTCAAAGGCTTGCTCAAATGCTACTCCTTCTTAATGATGTCTTCTTTGGTCCTCCCTGCTGGAAGCGATCTTTACCTCTTCTGATCCACTAGAGCAATTATCACATTCTGCCTTGTAATTCTACATGGCTTAGTAGAAGTGAATGGATGAGCTCTGAAGTTAAGCAGACAGGAGTTCAAATTTTGGTTTTGCTGCACACATGCAAATAAAATTTGGACATGTCTGTCAGCTTCTCTGAGCCACAGTTAAGTATAATTATAATTATCTTGCCTATATTTGTTTTTATCCTTGCTTTAACATGGTAACAAAACATATTAACTGGATAGATAAGTTTTAAATAAATGTCATACATTTAAAAAATATTTACTATCTTCAACGTACTGAACACTGAACTAGACTTTCCTAACACTTGAAAGTCACGTGGTCATTTTGTAACTGTATTTCCTATATCCCCAATCAGAACATTCACATCTTAAAAACAGGGACTACAGATATTATCATATAGTATGTATCACATAGCATCATGGTGCTATGGTGTGTATTTACAAAGTAGTGAAAACCTAAATGAATGAAAAATTATATTTATTATTATTGTTATTGGAAGATGGGTTGGCAAGTTGTCAGATAAAGCACTGTAAATTGTTTAATAGCTCATGCTACACAAGAATAAACTATTTTTATTACCAATGTTTATCTAAAAATGAGAAATAGACTTGTTCTCAAGATGTAATGAATGTATATCTTTTCACCAAGAAATATACATTTGATTCACTAATATATTGCATATGAAATTTTATTAAGTGACGTTAAGCTTTATTAAAGTTTCTACATGAATTGTCACAATATAAATACATCTGAGTTCTCTGCAAAAAATTGCTCAAAGAGAGAAATATGATTTCTACTGTTAAATATATCTATGATTTATTCTTCTCATATCATCAATCATAATTCCTTCAATACCCAAAGCCATCTAGTAACTATAGATAAATTACAAATGTCTGACACAGCTTGGCATAATGCTTTGCATACTTAAATGCTTCAACGCTCAAACCCTACAATTGTAAAGCAGTACAGTCAACATAAGCAGATTCATCTTTATGATGGGTTTTATTTTCTAAAAGGGTTAAATCTCAAAGAAGCCTTTGTTTTGTGACAAGTGTGATGTGAGGACCCTCAAAACTCTGATCTATCATTGCTCCTGTTTTTCCAGTTTCTTTCCTGGCATCATTTTTTAAGTACTTGCGATCCACGTTGGATTAACAAAAAAAAGACATTTGAGGTCGAGAGCTGTGGAGGTTGAGGGTGGGAGGGAGAAGGCTATTTTGAATCTTGTGACAGTGAGGTTTCGTTCACTAAGGAGCTCTCTGTGGGTTTCTGGCATTGTAAGTGTTTTGTCTGCTTGCAAGCGAGCAGCTGATGGATGGGGAAAATGTTCATTGATTTGTAGTGCCTGCACTGCAGCCAACCAGCACTAGAATGAGGAGGCACCATCATGAATCTCTCAACTATGCATATTTATATGCAGCTGCTGTACTTCTAAACCTCTAGTGAATACAAAGTACTTGTGTGGCCACCAGTTCACACAATGCCTTCCTGCCGCATGCTCTGATTTAACTACTGTATGAAAGAATAGACTTGGGGGGCTCGGTGGGTTATAGAAAGGAGAGGTAAGCACGGAGAGAGAAAAGACCTTTGCACAATTCCTTTTTCTTGGATAGTCAAGAGAATGAAATGAATGTGGGAACAAGTAGGGAACATTCTAATAAATGCTTTCCGTGCTTGAATTTCAAGTTCTGAAATTGATTAATGGAAACTAAATCCTTTTAAAGATGGTGTTTTCAGTGAGCAAGGCTTTGGGACTACATGATAATGATGTGGTTAAAATATGCTGGCACCACTGAAATCATCCCAGCACTGAGCAGTGTGCATGAGAAACTTCCTCCCCTGGGTAAACCACATCTTCAGTATAGAGAAATAGATGAGATGCTATACTTGGGTGAAGGGAGAAATAAAGAATCTTTAATAGCGTTGGGAAGAAAAATTAAGTAAAGTGCAGAATATGAGGTTGTTAAAAAAAAAGATGAAAGAGAACTCCATTTAGAATGGAAATGGGGCAGGAGGGGAAGTTTAGAAGCATAAAAGCTATAGGGCGAGGTTTGAGAGCTGGAAGCTAAGAAAAAATAAAGGGGTGCTGTGAGCAGGAAAATGAAATTAAAGGAATAAAAGAAACAAGGCAAAAGAATGATCAATGTGAGAATTCTTTCTTTCATATAACATAATCTTTACTTGAAATATAAAGACATATATTTAGAATTATAGATCCTAAATAGTTCTGTAAAAATGACTCAATTTTATTAGATTATAAAATTTAAAGCACAATAAATTTCTAAGGTTGGAGATTTTTAGATTTGATTAGTAGAGTTCCTTTTCCCAGCACTTAGAGAGAAAAAATTAAAGAGAGGAGAGGGGAATGGGGGGAAACTGAAAATAATATAGAGCTAATGCCTACTAGGAAATTATTCTCATTCATAAAGTCCTGAAGGCCAAATTCAGGCAAATGCTATGGACAATAATAGTCCCACAGGGCATCGTAGAGAAGCTCATTTTATTATAAGATTAGGCTCAGCTCCAAAATAAGCTATATCAAAGCAACATGAAATAAAAAGTCAAATTCAATACCTGGGTACAGTTTGATTTCATTATCAAAAAGAAGCTTTATGCCTTTCCATGTAGAGTTAAAACACTAATTCAGACCAAACTGCAGTTGCTCTTTTGACTAGAATATAAAATGGCCTTCATCCACATAATTCTCTCAGAGTCTTCTAGGCATATCTCCCAAAGGTGTAGGGATGATGGACTGAAACTTGAAAGTTATAATGCCAGAGCATAGTCAATGTTGGTATTATATTCTAGTCACTTAGCCATTGTTAAACATGTCCAGATTTTAGAAGCAATACATAAAACCTCAAAACTGATCAGGAGTTTCTTCTGGCACAGAAATTCTTACCTTTCAATAGAGTAATATTAGTCTCTGGGCTAGCAATGTACTCCACCCAGTGGTATGTCAGAGTAAAAGTGTCTTTTATAAAGGCTAACCCTGACCTAATTTCCTTCTATTTTTCAGCCCCAGAATTACAAAATGTTAGATAAACACATAAAGTGTAGCATGAATTTTCCTCTCCTAATGAAAAAATAGGAGTGATACATTCCCTTTTGTGAGAAGATCATGCCTTCCAATTTTTAATTAAAAATAAGTAAACGCTTTGGTACTGTGTTCATATATGAATTATAAATGAGTTAATCAACCTTCAAGTGTATACCCACACACACACATACACACACATATATACACACATGCATTGTTAAAAGTGAGCTTCTGAAGTCATATAAGAATGCACTGACTTACTATCATTTGAACTGAGAGCAGAGAAGTGCCATTTTCCTGAGAGTTTTTAATTATTTCCATAGAGATACCAAACCCCAGTGATTAAAAAAAAAAAAAAAAAAAAAAAAAAAAAACCAAAAAGAAAGAAAGGAAAACCAGAGCACCTATGACTTGAATGCATGGAGAATGGACTCCTCAGGTTTACAATAATACCTATGTAGAGGCTTAACAAGAATATCTTGTCCCAATTCTGTTGAAGTATCCAAAATCATTTCTTTATGCCCTTGCCCTAGATGGTAGAGCATACAGTAAATACAATGGAATTTTTCTTTTGTGATTTATCATTGTGATAATCAATGATCATTAGATGTCGAAGATACTGTGATTTGGGTAAACAATGTTCTGAGACTAGGTCTCCCCTGGGAAATTACATTGGAAAATTCTGGTTGTCATTTGCTTCTTATAAAGAATGAGCCAAAATAAAAACTGAATTACGATTTGGTTTTCTAATGCAATTTGGAATTTTTCCCTATTAAACATGAAAGCACATAAAAGGCGATGTTTCCATTTAATAGTATAGGAAAATGCAGAAAACAAATGCTTCAGGCTATATGGCTAGCGTTTGAAGAAACAATGAGATAATGTCAATGAGATAAAAACTATATGGTGGGTAACAAGCCTGGACTAGGTGACAAGACAACTTACTATTCTTATTCTAGATCTGTCATTAAACAATTACTTGACCTTAGGCAAGTCACGAAACTTCTGAACCAAAATTTCATCACATATGAAAACATATACCCCTCAAACTAGGTTATTTCCATTGCCAAGGAGAAAGAGGTTTAATAACTTCTAACTTTGTTAACATAATGAACCTTTTGAGAATCTAAAAAAGCTGATGAAATCCATGAACACCTTGCCTATGAAAATGTTCACATCCATAGACAGAAAGTGATTTGCATACAATTTTAGGGTTCTGTGAATGCCTTGAAACCTATTTATAGACCATACACTTCATGTAAAAAAACTTGGATAATCAATTATATACTTGTATATCTCAACCAATATATGAAATCATTTATTTCTGTCCTCAAGTCTCAAGCAGAGTATATAGCAGAGTTGGTACTCAATACAGTTAGAGCATATACAATTTTTTTAGTTATTTTAAAGTCAAAGCTATGAGTTAGAGACTTTAACATCATCCTCTCAATAACTTGAGTTCAAATGAAAAATAGAAACTAGGAACCACATTAATATTGACTCAACTCAGTGGATATTTACACTTTCCCACAGTTCAATTAGACAAAAAGAGAACATTGGAGAAGGTACTCATACATATACAAATGTAGAGAAGGTGGCATCTTTACTCAATTTTATAGTCATCTCTTTAGCTTTTATGCGATGTATTTGCTGCGCAATTTTGTCATCGAAAATGTAATTATTCCATCATCACTTCATGGAATGCAAAAATTTTTTCTTATAAAACATTTTCAATGAAAGGCAACATAAAATGCTTACAGTCATTGTTCACTAAGTACTTCTGCCATGGTTTGCATATGACAGCATCTGTAATATCATGTTTTCCAATCTCATCATACCATTGTGACTCTCATCAAATACACAGTCCTGTTCATTATAGCAATGTAGAAAACGAGGTACAATCAAAGCCCATTACCAAGTTGCTCCCAATTACACTGGACTCAGTGATAGAGTCCAAAGATGTCCCTGTTTAGAGTAATTTTCTTACTATTATCCAGAAAGACCAAAGAATTGACTCTACCCTGCCATATTACAGCACAATTACATTGCATGATCAAAGCAGATTTTCAAAAACTTAGCTTAACAAAGAAAGGAAGTCATTATTAGAAATAAATTTAAATTATGTAGAAGTTTAACCTTGGATGTTACCTAATTTTTTGAAACTGGTTTCTGCATGTGAAAAATGTCTAAGATAATACTAGTTTTGGTTTTTCAATCCCATCATCATCAATCTAAAGTATACAGCAACATGCCTGGCCACAAGTAAATATGGAATACGTGGTAACTGATATATTACTATTCTCAAAATTATGATTACAATCACACAACTAATTATGATCATAGCAGGACTTAGGCACCCCCAAATTTTCTTTTCCCTCCACAGTAAAATAAAAAACCCTGAAACTCTCTCTAATAGACACTGCTTATTGTAAATCTAGAACATCAACTAACCAACCTAATGTTTCAAAAATAATTATACATGACCAAATTTAGTTCCAGTATTGCTTAAAATTGTATTTAGTGTGTTCCTGCCTACAATGTTTGTTTCTAAAAGAAACAATGTAACAGTCACTATCGCTTGCCCTTTGCACTAAGTACAGCTCAAAATAGTTTCTTAAATTAAAAGACTGCTGAAATGTGTATAATATATTATAACTACAGTATCTGGTGTCTTTGAACAAGGATCTGGTAACAACAACCTTGACTCAGATCTTTGTGAAAATCAGTTTACTAGTTGTAACTACTGAGCAAGGTACCAGGACATTTTTGACACATTCAAAACCCTGAAATGAATGCAGTTGTGTTGTATATGTCCTTATAAGGCATCTGTTGAATAGCAAAACACCTGTACTTTAATTGATATTTAAATATTTATAGAAATGTATGATTACTTCTTAAGTGAAAAATTTTTTGATCCTCCTTTAGTCTTATTTATAGTAAAGAATTATAACAAAATAATGGTCAGACATTTCATATCATTCCAAATTACAGAAAGAGCTTGTAATTCTTCCTTTCATTAACATTAATATCTGTTATGTATAACTTTGTTTGTTTTTTTTAATCTTCTAAATCAAAGTAGAAACTGACAAGATTTGCTTTACTTTCAGTGGATTAAGATACTTTCGTTGCATAGAGCAATTTTGCTGATAATTCTTCTATAGAGTTGCTTCTCTCTTCTCTGAAAGATACAGGAATATTAGCAGAGGATTTGGGAGATGGGAACATTACTAGGGGACATAAAATGACTTGGTGATAAACTCCAACTGTGTCCTACTCCAGAGCAATAGTAACGTGGTCATTTTCCAAATTAGTCTAATTTTCCTGACTTTTGCTTTGTCCCCAATAGCATAAGGTGAGGAGTTCTGAAAAAATTACAAAAGAGGCTCTACGTTTATAAACATTATGAAAGAAAATCAAGGGTCATATATCTATCTAAATTGAAGATTAGTTTTGTAGAGAAATCCTGGCCTGAAAAATTAAGACAGATTTGAACTTCTTTTTCAGACTCTAGTTATCTCAGAGATTCACACTGATAGCTTGAGGAAGAAGACCATTCTCTAACACTCTTCTGATTTCATCCCTGGAAAAATGAACACTGGTACTTTATGGCTCCCATACCAGCTACACCAAAATAAATCTGTAGAAATAAATGCCAATGTGCAATGTACAGATAGTATCAGTCTTAAAGGATATATAAATAACCTCTGAATTATTACACTGCATCTTCAATATTCCAGCTTCACAACAAAAGTACCAGCCCAATGTAATATAGACAGTGAAATTACCCATTCTTTTCCTTTGTGTTCTGTGGATAATTATAGATATGAGGTGCTTTCATTAGTCCATTTGTTCAGTTATTTGATGAGACCTCAGCCTAACAATTGTATAACCTAGGCTCAGTTGAAACAACAGCTTTAGCAAAACTAAAAACTCAAAGACTTTTCAGAATCTTGCTCTACCTTATATTAAGAAGTGAGATTAGTAGTTTGAAAGTCTTGGGAAACCTCCAAAACATTAGAGCAAGGCTTCTAACTAATATTTTTGATGCTTGAATGAGTTCAGTGGTTATAGTTTTGTAGCATAATTTTCCAAATAATTTATTTTCATGTTATTTGTATTTTTCTCATCACTGATAGTCTTTCTAAAATGTTCAGTTACTTAGTGTACATACAAAGGGATTTTTAAAAATTATTGTGAACAAATTTGTTACAAATTACATTCTTCAGTTGTATTTTAAAATGTTTGTTAGTTAAGATTTTAGTATAGCTCCTCTGACCTCTGTTGCCTTAGAAGATAAGAGCGACAGATTTAGGAAACTGTGATATTTTATCTAAGGGAGACTCTTGGTATTGCCTATTGTCAACCTAAGCAAGTTTTAAATGGTCGAATATGAGTCACGATTATTAAGTCAAAATACCACAGGTCTAGAAGGAGGACACCTACCAGCAAAACACCATAACATGTTTGAATGCATCTGAATAACAAAATGATTGGATAAGGAATTAAACATTCCTTGAGAGGAACATTTGTAAAATTTTAATATTGCATCAGCGGTTCTCCAGTGTAGTTCTAGATATTCTGCTTCTGGTCCTCAGGTCACACCTAGGCCTACTGAAACTAAGTCTCCATACATGGGTGGGGCCCATCCATCTGCATCTTTAACAAAATCCTTACGAAGATTAATTAATTACGAAGAAAAGTCAGGCTTTATTAATCACAAAGAAATAATAAAAGGCAATGAATTAAATTCCCTTCTCAAAAAGCTTTAAGAAAGAACAAAAAAGGAAACAAAAACAAAGCATCATAATGAAGGAAATAATAAAAATAAAAGAAGAAAATGATTTGAGAATAAGATAATTGAAAAACTATATCTAATATATTATCCTATTTTTAAGGAAAACAAATGAGAGAAAAACTACTAGTTAACTTAATCAAGAAAATGCAGCAATAACATATAAACATTCAAAATAAGAAATGACAAAAAGGAAATAATCTTTGAAAGTAAAGAAATTAAAACATACACATGCACACGCCCCCGGAGGACTGCTTCTCAGAGCTCTAGTCAAATACAATTGAAAAGCTAGATAGTTTCCCTAGGGAAACAGATATTACCAAATTGACTCAACTTCCATTATAAATCTTAGCAGATCAATGCATAAAAACAAAGAGAGCTATCAAAGAATTACTTTACAAAAAAGCAACAGGCCCAGATGGTTTCACAGGAGATTTTTAACTAATTTCAACAACCATATAGCCTGAAGAGTCTAAAAATTATTCCAATGCCCTGAAAAGGAATTAAAATTTCATAATTCCTTCTATGAAACAAGTATAATAGTGATATCTAAAAATAAAGACATTGTAAGGAAGAAAACAAAATACCACTATCACTCATAAATAATTCCACATAAAAGATTAACAAACAGAATTCAATGATATGTTTTAAAAATAATGCACTGTGACTAAATGGGATTTATCTCAGGAATGTAAAAACATTTCTTACTGTCATACATTATATTAGAAAACTAAAGGTGAAAATTATGACTATCTCTATAGATGCTGAAAAAATCTTCAACAAAATTAAACAACCATTTATGATACAAAAATATTGAAGAACATAGGAATGGAGGAATACTTTAAAACCTATACTAAAGAAGATACAGCTTTTGGACTAATACATATTTGTGTGTGTGTGTGTGTGTGTGTGTATATATATATATATACATATATATATACACACATATATATACACATACACACACACACACATATTCCAGAAGCAATATATATGTGTGTATATATATATACACACACACGCACACATATATATGTTAGTCCAAGACCTGTATCTTCTTTAGTGAGAAAAGAGAAGAAGTATTTCCACTAAAATTGGGACAAAGGTAAGCTTGGCCATTATTTATGGATATTCAGCAATGTACTTGAAATACTAGCCGATATAATTAGATAACTGATATTAATTAGTGGCACAAGAATCGGTAAAGAAGAAGCAAAAACGATATCTGTTTCCAGATGATATGACAGTATACTATGAAACCCCTATAAAATCAATGTTAAAGCAAACTCAATTAAAGAAGCAGTAAGTAGCTTGATGCACATTAACATATAAAAATAAGTAGCTTCAATATACTAATAAATGAATAAAGAGTGTAATGATAGAGAAATCCTTTATATAATGTCAATAAAGAAGATTAAGTACTTAGGAATTAATATTTAGGAATTAATATATTAATTTAAGGAATTTTTAATGCTTCTTAAAAACATAAAAGTAGACTTGAGCAAATGGAAAAGACATATCCTGTTTTTGTCTAACACAACTCAACATTATAAAGATCTCAGTTCTAAGGTAAATTGTAAACTTGATGAAATTCCAATAAAACCTCCAGCAAGCTATTTTATGAAGTTAGGTTGATCTAAAGTTTATTTTAAAAGGCAACATGAAAAAATAGCCAGAAAAACACTAAAAAGAAAAACTATAAAAGGAATAAACACTACTATACTTTCAAATATACTATGAAGTCTCTGATACTAGCCTGTTGTACTGGCATATAAATAGAAAAATAATCCAAAAAAAAATAGAATGCAGAAACAGTCCTTGTATATACTGAAACTTGGCACATGTTAAAGGTGGCATCTCAAACCCTTAGGGTGAAGATAAACTTTTTCATAAACGGTGCTAGAACTACTGGCTAGCCATTGAAAAAAAGATAAAATTAGGTTCATATCTGATAGTATACACTAAAATAAACTCCAAACAAATTAGAGATCTAAATGCAAAAATGAAACAACACAAGTACCAGAAAATATGAATGAATATGAACTGGATTAAAAACAGGCTTTCTAAATACAAATCAAAATTCAGAAGCAATGAAATAAAAAATTCATAAATTTGACTACATACAAAATATAAAAATCTGCAGGATAAAATCTGCAAAGTTAAAATAAATCTGAAAAACTGGGAGAAAATATTCACAACCACAGACAAAAGGCTAATATCCACGATTTATCAAGAATTCTTAAAAATTGCAAAAAACGCATCAAAAACATAAAAACTGGAAAAACAAACAAACTGAAAATTTCTACAAAAGGTATACAAACAGAGTCTTGCTCTGTTGCCCAGGCTGGAGTGCAGTGGCACTCCCAGGTTCAAGCAATTATCCTGCCTCAGCCTCCCGAGTAGCTGGGATTGCAGGTGCATGCCACCACACCGGGCTAATTTTTGTATTTTTAGTAGAGATGGGGTTTCACCATGTTGGCCAGGCTGGTCTCAAACTCCTGACCTTGTGATCTGCCTGCCTCAGCATCTCAAAATCCTGGGATTACAGGCATGAGCCACTGAGTCTAGCCAGCCCCCCAACATATTAAAATATGTGAACTCAATCATAATCAGTGAAGTGCAAATTAAAACACTGCGATATTGTTTCTCAATTCTCGGATCAACCAAAATTAGTGACATTGCATTCTGTTCATGAGATTGTGGGAAAACAGGCACTGTAGTAATAGCTATACCAGTAGATTTAAACAGAGTATGTCTTTTCCATTTGCTCAAGTCTACTTTTATGTCTTTAAGCATCATTAACTCATTCATACACACTCCCAGCATTATTGGTGGAAATACAAACTGGTCTAACCCTTTTGGAGAGAAATCAGTCCAACTTCTAAGACTCTATCTTAAAGATATTGTAAACAATTAGAAAATACATGACACAAGGATATACTTTGCAATATTGTTTTTCATTGACAAATATTGGAAACAACCTATTGCTAATGGAAAGGAATTTTGTTGAATATACAGTTATGCATCACTCAAGTAATCAGGAATATGTTCTGAGAAATGGGTTGTTAGGTGATTTCATCATTGTGCAAACATCATACTTGTGTACTTAAACCTATTGGTATTGCCTACTTAAACCTATTGGTATAGACCTCTTAAGCCTATTGCTATAGCCTACTTAAGTATACATACTTAAATATACTGGTATAGCCTACTTAAGTATATATACTTAAGCATATTGGTATGGCTTACTTTAATATAGCCTACTTAAACCTATTGGTATAGCCTATTACACACATGGATTATATAGTATAGCCCATTGGAACAAATCTGTACAGAATGTTACTGTATTCAATACTGTAGCCAACTGTAACACAATGGTATCTGTACATCTAAAGAGCATGAAAATAGAAAAGATACGGTAAAAACACAGTGTAAAAGATAAAAAATGGCACATATATATAGGACACTTACCATCAATGGAGCTGTAGGATGAAAGTTGCTGTGGGTGAGTCAGTGGGTGAGTGGTGAGTGAATGTGAAGCCAAGGGCATTACTGTACACTACTATAAACATGATAAACGCTGTACACTTATGCTATACTAAATTTACTTAAAAATAGTTTTTTCTTCAATAATAAATGAACCTTAGCTTACTGTCACTTTTATTGCTTATAAACAATTTTTAAACATTATGACTCTTTTGTAATAATACCTAGCTTAAAATACTAACACACCGTACAGCTACACAAAAATATTTTTCCTTATATCACCGCTCTCTAAGCTTTTTATATTTTAATTTTGTTATTAAAAATGAAGATGTGAACACATACATTAGCCAAGGCTCTCACAGAATCAGAATCATCAATATCAGTGTTTTCCACCTTCACATTTTGTCCCATAGAAAAGTCTTCAAGACAATATCATGCATGGGGCTCTCATCTCATCCTGTAATAACAATGTCTTCTTCAGGAATGCCTCCTGGAGGACTTGCCTGAGGCTGTTTTACAATTAACCTTCTTTTAAAATATATAAGTAGAAGAAGTACACTCTAAAACAATGAGAAAGAGTATAGTACAGCAAATACATAAACCAGTAACATAGTTGTTTATTATCAAGGGTTATGTATTGTACATAATTGAATGTGCTACCCATTTATACAAATGGCCTCACAGTAGGTTTGTTTACACCAGAATCAACACAACTTCTTGAGTAATGCTTTGTGCCATGACATTTCAATGGCAACAATGTCACCAGGTGATAGAAATTTTTCAGCTCCATTATAATCTTATAGTACCACTCTCATATATGCAGTTCATAGTTAACGAAAACATCATTATGCAGTGCATGACTGTGTTATGTTAAATCAACACAACAGGGTAATCTGCAGTTGTAAAAAAGAAAGGAAGGTCTCTATGAACTGATTTGGAGTGGTTTCCAGGATAATCTCTTAATTGAAGAAAGCAAATTGTAAATGAGTATCTACTGTAGCTACCTTTCGTGTAAGAAAGAAAGGAATATAAGAAAATAAATATGTATCTTCTCCTTTGTGCAAAAGAAATACAGGAAGGAAAGCCCAGAAGCTGCAGGGAGTGGAAGAGAAATGAGTAGGGAAAAGGGTGTAATGGGAACACGGAGGGAAGGAGCTACAGGGAACAACACCTTTCTGGGTGTCACTTCTAAAAAATAGTTTTGCATCTTAGAACCATAGTGATTTTCACATATCCCCCCAAAACTTAAAAAAATCAAAATAAACCAGGATATCAGGTGGACATGGAGTGGAATACAAATAGTAAAAAATGAAGCTAGCTATATTATAAATGAATGACATCACCACACTGAATGGGGTGGGAAGAAAATAACAAACTATTACTTTAAATATATTAGCACTTAGTAAAAATATTTTGAATATACTGTACTCTATTACATTACTATGATCAGTCGATCTGTTTTTACAGAGACAAGGTTTAGCAACTTTGTAACTACTTGATGTGTGTACCGGGATTGAACAAATAAGTAAACATATTGTAGATAATGAGAGCTTAATTTTTCATTGTTTGAAAAAAATTAGAAACAAGGAAAGGCAGAAGACTAGAATTAATCTATCCCATTAGAATAAAATCAGAGAAGACTGGGCAGGAAAAATACAAAATGAATCTGGAATATCTTGTGATGGCAAGGAGTAAGAAAGTGCTAGAAAAAATGGGGGACATGTTGAATGGATATTGAAACCGGCCTGAAAAGCATTCTCAATGGCAGAAGCTGAAATAATTTGACAACAAAATACATAATGATACTATTTAGGGATTATAACCCCTAAAATAAATAAACAGCTATGTGTCCACACTGATGTAAATTATATAATTAAATAACCAAACAAATGGGGGAGAAGAACCACCTCCTTTAAAAGAATCCCAATTAATAAATGTAGAAGGAATGAAGAACATAACAAAATCACATAAAGCAAACACAAGATTAATAATTGTTACAGACAAGATCTACCATTAATGTTAAAATTAGTAGGTGAAAGATGGAAGAAAAACAGACTATTTCCTGCAAATATATTAATTATGAAGGAAGAAATAGTAACCTTACATGGAAAAAACCCGACAGGAACCACCTCACTCAAGTGCTGAAGGTTAACATCTTCAGTAATTAGATGTGTTGAAAACATGTACCTGCTGACAGGACGCACTGAGTCGGGCATAGCAGTTATTCTTTCCCAAATGCATAACTTCAAAGTACTCATGAGAAATGCAAATCAAAACCACAATGAGATACCATCTCACACCAGTTAGAATGGCCATCATTAAAAAGTCAGGAAACAACAGGTGCTGGAGAGGATGTGGAGAAATAGGAACACTTTTACACTTGTTGGTGGGACTGTAAACTAGTTCAACCATTGCGGAAGACAGTGTGGCGATTCCTCAAGGATCTAGAACTAGAAATACCATTTGACCCAGCCATCCCATTACTGGGTATATACCCAAAAGATTATAAATCATGCTGCTATCAAGACACATGCACACGTATGTTTATTGCAGCACTATTCACAATAGCAAAGACTTGGAACCAACACAAATGTCCATCAATGATAGACTGGATTAAGAAAATGTGGTATATACACACCATGGAATACTATGCAGCCATAAAAAATGATGAGTTCATGTCCTTTGTAGGGACATGGATGAAGCTGGAAACCATCATTCTCAGCAAACTATTGCAAGGACAAAAAGCCAAACACCACAAGTTCTCACTCATAGGTGGGAATTGAACAATGAGAACACTTGGACACAGGAAGGGGAACATCACACACTGGGGCCTGTTGTGGGGTGGGGGGAGGGGCGATGGATAGCATTAGGAGATATACCTAATGCTAAATGATGAGTTAATGGGTGCAGCACACCAACATGGCACATGTATACATATGTAACAAACCTGCACGTTGTGACATGTACCCTAGAACTTAAAGTATAATAATAAAAGAAAACAACAACAAAGTACTCATGAGAAAACATCAGACAAACCCAAATTGAGGGACATTCTACAAAATAACTGATCAGTACTCATCAAAAGTGTCAATGTCATAAAAGCCAAAGACTGAGAAACTACAACATAGTGAGAAGATGGAGACCCAACAAAAAAAGGCAATGTGGAATCCTGAATTTTATATTAATTTCTGGTTTTGATAATTATGCTATAGTTATGTACATTGTTACCATTAGGGGAAACTAGGTGAAGGACATATGTAAACTCTCTATGTTATTTGCACAACTTTTTCTGTAGGTCTATAATTATTACATGAAAATAAAAGTTAAAAAAGACACAGCACTTTAAAAGTGAGGATTTTACTTTTGACTTGGCATTGGGATCTGGGTTCTAATCCTAGCACAGATGCTAACAAATGTGACTTTAGGATGTTATTTCTAGCCTCTAGGCTTCAGTCATCCATTTATTTATTCAATGTCCATTCATGATGTAATTGAATAGGATGTCCTATAATGATTTTTTTCTATTCTAATTTTCTATTGTCTATGAAAAGCTGGCAGAGAGTTTTGAAAATTTCTTTATGACTTTATTTTCTTGTAGTATGCTATTTATACTGCTCTGACTATTTCATTTAAGTTATTCAAATAAATGCTTTCAAACAAATCTTGTTTCATTTCTAAATTTGATATTGTGTTTTTGTCATTGTTATTTACTTTTGTGGAGAAATACAAGGCAACAGAGAGCATAAACTACTGTTCGCCATCATATATCATTTCTCTGTAAATATATTACATTATTTTTCCAAAAGGCTGGTTTAATGCTTAGAAAGATTAACCAGCCTTTCATAGAATGCCAACTGTGAAAGGCATAATAAAAGATGGTTGGAATACAGAAATGAACAAGAAATAGTCCCGGCTGTGAGGAGCTGAAAATTTAGCCTGAGAGCAGACATGTATGTAAATGAATACTTGTAAGTCAAAGTGAAAAGCACTATGATACAGATAGGTAACATCTCAGACAGGAACAATCAACTCTGCCTGGAGGAGTAAAGCAAGCTTTTTCAAATGAGGTGTCAGAGTATTAAAGGATCAGCAGATATTTTTTTTCAGGTGAAAAAGGAATAAAAGAATTTTTATGCATATAGAACAGTATGTGCAAATGTATAGAGCTATGAAAAGCCAGTGAGAGTTTCACATCAACTGAATCATATGCTGAAGAATAGTGGGATGGGCTTTAAATGCTAAGCTAAAGTAGAAGGACTAACTTATCAGCTTCTAATTCTTGTCCTACTTACTGCTGTTCTTTCTTGCTCTCTTTCTATTACACCACAGTTCATATAAAAACAAACATCCTAGACTTATTCCATGAGCTTCGCCTTAGCCCTGCAGGCAACAAGAAGCAAAAGGCTCATTCTTGTTTCTAATGTCTAACTTTATTCTATAAACATTCATGAGGAAAGGATCCTCTATATACAAGACTGAATATATATAAATAAGAAACAGTCTCTACCCTGGAGGTGTTTAAGTGGGTGAGAAACACAGTCAAAAAGACTTTTATAAAAAATAACATTTTTGAAGTAACTTCTCCCTATATATATCCTCAACTAATCTACAACACTTTTTTTCTTTTTCTTTTCTTTTTTTTTTTTTTTTTTGAGACAGATTCTCACTCTGTCACCTAGGTTGGAGTGCAGTGGCGCGATCTTGGCTCACTGCAACCACTGCCTCCTGGGTTCAAGCAATTCTCCTGCCTCAGCCTCCCGAGTAACTGGGATTACAGGCGCCTGCCACCACACCCAGCTAATTTTTTTTTATTTTTAGTAGAGACAGGGTTTCACCATCTTGGCCAGGCTGGTCTCAAACTCCTGACCTCCTGATCCACCCACCTCAGCCTCCTAAAGTGCTGGGATTACAGACATGAGCCACCCCGCCTGGCCATCTACATCACTTTCTACAACACATGCATGGAGACCTATGAGCTGGTTTGTAGGTCAGGGTAAGACATTGGGAAGCTGCGTGAGCATTTTAGGCGGGTCCTTACATCATTCATCACATTAAACTGTAACATACTGTCAGAATTCACTGGGCATTAGAGTAGCTGTCTGGCTTTTGTGTAGACAAAATACTTTCTCAACTCCACCGCTTGGGCAAAGGCAAGGCTGTGCTGACCCAATTTCCATTCCTTCTAAGCAAGCATTTTTCTCATTTATTTGTTCAACTGTTTATACTTCATGCTAAAGCCATTTTTTAAATGAGCTATACATAGATTCATATGCAAAACTATCAACAATAAATGATATGTAATTACTAAACTATGTTTAATATTATACTAAATTCAGCTCAAGATTTGAAATTTAATTAAAGATTTTTTTTAAATATGAAGCTGTGGTGACTTATTTAAAAACGAACATCCTGGACGGGTGCGGTGGCTCATGCCTGTAATCCCAGCACTTTGGGAGGCCAAGGCAGGTAGATCACTTGAGGTCAGGAGTTCAAGACCAGCCTGGGCAGCATGGTGAAACCATGTCTCTACTAAAAATACAAAAATCAGCTGGGTGCAGCAGCAAGTGCCTGTAATCTCAGCTGCTTGGGAGGCTGAGGCAGGAGAATCACTTGAACCTCAGGGAGGTGGAGGTTGCAGTGAGCCAAGATTGTGCCACTACATTCCAGCCTGGGCAACACAGTGAGACTCCATCTCAAAAAAAAAAAAAAACAAAGATAATAAGAAACAAAACAAAACAAAAAAATGGACATCCTGAGGAATTCTTGGTATTGAATAAGACCTATAAAGGATAAATAAATAAATACATAAATAAATAAGAGAAGGAAAAAATGTTACTTCTAAGCTCAAATGACAATGTTTAAAATACTAAAACCCCCCTTTTCAGGTATTGCTTTACTAAAGATGAAATTGGTCATGCTTCTAAATACATACAGTTTTAAGTCTAAAACATAACTTCAGAATTATTCTGCATTTACCTAATATCATCATTGCATTTAGATAGGAGAAGGCTTTGATACCCAAAAGGTCAGGTAAAACAATTTGTATTGTTTTCAAAAATTACATGCAGCAATCAGGTACAAGGTAATGGCATTATTTTGACCATAATCTAGAAATCTGTCATTATTCCAGCTAGCTCTAACTGAAGTTATTTTTTTGCTTGAAGCAAATATGATATCTGAAGAACACTATTTTTCCCCAATAACATTTAAGTTATTTAAATTGCATTGAACACTTTTTTTTTTCTCTCACTGTGTTGCTCAGGCTGGAGTACAGTGGTGCAATCATGGCTCACTGCAATCTCCACCTTCCGGGCTTAGATGATCCTCCCACCTCAGCCTCCAAAGTAGATGGAACCACAGGCGCACACTACCATGCCTGGGTAATTTTTAAATTTATTGTAGAGGTGGGGTTTCACCATGTTGCCCAGGCTAGTCTTGAACTCCTGGGCTCAAGCCATCTCCCTGTCTCGGCCTCCCAAAGTGTGAATTACAGGCATGAGCCACCACACCCAGCCTACATCGAGCATTTTAATGTAGACATTAAATTTGACATTAATGTGGACATTAATGTGGACAAATGTGATAGTCCAGAATGGTAAGGCTTGTTTTCCTGTTTTATTCATTTTATCTTTCTGTAAACATAAGATTTCAAAAACTGTATCCTCTACTGACTTTTCTTGGCAAGTTTGACATCTATTATTAATCAGAATATTCACTTTAAATCTATTATTTTCAATATTCTATAAAGGCTGCCAGCAAAAATATTTTACAAGCAGACTCATTTGATTTTTAGAAATTTTAAAATGCATTATTCTGGATTACAATTGCATAGTGAGTTCAAATAATACATACTTATCATGTTAGAGTTGCAGTTATTAGCATTGAAATACTTTAGTCAATAACTTCTTTATAGAGTAAATAACCATGAGAAAAATGTTATTGAAATGATGGGAATTTTGTCTTTTTTAATTTGAACTCTTAAAAAATAAACATACAACTAAAATCACAACAGAATTTCTGTGTTATGGTAACTAAAGAGTTTCTTATTCTTTTCAGTCTTTAAATTCATATTTTTAAGGTTGAAGATGGTGACTCTAAAGAGAATTCCTGAAATTTCAAAAGCTATGGTTACTGGCCTTAGAGACCCAATGCATGGCTTACATGTAGAGCTCTTCTTGGAAACCAATGCTATTATCTTTCCTGTTATTTGTGGTGTTCATATTTTAAAGGATGGAGGCTGGGAAAGTTCAGCTTATTCAATAAGCCAGGTTAAGAAAACAAACAACCCACTAAATTCCATACAATGTGTTTCCCTTTCAGAATGCCATCAGTTTTCTCTCTCAACTTTATTCTTCACTCATTTCCATACACCTCGTAAAGGTCTTTCAGAATTTTTCTGCAACATTTCAATTGAGCTATTATAGGTGCTTATAAATACCTATAGGCAACACTAAGTAATGTTTCCTCACAGAAAGTCCTTCCAAGATCAATTTAGTATTATCAGTTAATGATACTCATCATGCAAGTTTTGGGGAAGAAACAAATATTAATAAAATAAAGGTTAAGCCGGGCATGGTGGCTCACACCTGTAATCCCAGCACTTTGGGAAGCCAAGGTGGGTGGATTACAAGGTCAAGAGATAGAGGCAATCCTGGCCAACATGGTGAAATCCTATCTCTGCTAAAAATACAAACATTAGCCGGGCATGGTGGTGGGCACCTGTAGTCCCAGCTACTCAGGAGGCTGAAGCAAGATAATTGCTTGAACCCAGGAGGTGGAGGCTACAGTGAGCCGAGATCGCGCCACTGCACTCCAGCCTGGTGACAGAGCGAGACTCCATCTCAAATAAATAAATAAATAAAATAAAGGTTATGTCCTCAAAAAAGTTAGTTGAATTCCATTTTCCTCTCTCATCATTCTACCTTCCTAACTCCAAACAACCTAACTAATTTTCAATTTTCTCTTCGTTATTATAAATCCAATGAATCAAGGGATTTTTGTTTATGTTAACCACAAAAGTTCTAAATTTACCTTTGTTTTTTTAATACTCTGAACCAAATTACTCTCCTGAACAAATTTTTTACTCTCCCAAATTAAAATTTCAAAGAATTTTGGAGGTCTATACACATGAGGAAAACAAAAAACTTAGACCTTCATAGTTTAAGTCCACATAAACTTATTAAGAAAATAAAATGTCATATTTTACACTCTCAACTAAAAACAAACTTTATTAAAATTTAAGCAGTTTTTCTGGTATAATTTATTTGATAATTTTAAATATCTGTGACAGTTCCTTCAAATTTTATCTGAAATAAGAGAGGACTTTATGAAAGGTACTAAGAACTATTACCCAAGTTAGAAGGCATTTACATTCTAGCAGCACCTAGCTTATCAGCCAGAAGCAGAGATCCTGTTCCAAGAAGGAATGTTTGCCTCTACTGCACATTAATGACAAGTTCCTGTCCGTAAGAGGCAAAATGGAGGAAGTCACAATTTCTCTGAATAAAAATAAGTTTTTCTACAAAGCCAAAATATTACTGGTTTTTTTCACTGGAAGTGGAGGACAAATCCAGAGGGAAGAGATAGAGATGCTATGGAATGCAGCTTGGAATGTGATGTGGATTTGAAAACATAAACTACTATTGCTATCAAATATTTTAAAGTTTGGGGTAGGTAAAAACAAACATATAAAAAACGAATCACACAAACAGGCAAAAAGTAACATCTGTAATGTTCTTATAAGAATTGTATAATAAATTCTGATTGGCTAGAAGGAATTTTTGCAGGCGACAAGGTTTTTAAATGAAACACCAGACAGGTGATGGTGATAATAACAGTTACAGATAATGATTGTTGACCATTCGCAAATTCTTTTTCTTTTTTTTTTTTTGTCTTTTTTGAGACCGAGTCTCACTGTATTGCTCAGGTTGGTGTACAGTGGCAAAATCTTGGCTTACTGGAGCCTTTATCTCCCAAGTTCAGACAATTCTCTTGCCTCAGCCTCCCAAGTAACTGAGGACTACAGGCCCACACCACCACACCTGGCTAATTTTTGTATTCTTTGTAGAGACAGGGTTTCACCATGTTGGCCAGGCTGGTCTAGAACTCCAGACCTCAGGTGATCCACCCACCTCAGCCTCCCAAAGTGCTGGGATTATAGGCATGAGCCACTGCACATAGCCTGCAAGTTCTTTAAATGTGTCGCCTCACTTAATCTTTACCTCAAGTCTGTGAGATTGGCACTAGAGATACATGGCTCCTTTTGGATTCTGAAATTCCAAATCACAATAATTTCTAAACATGAAAGACTTTTCAAGTTTGGAATCAATTAACATTAAAGCAAAAACTACTTATACTATCTATTTACTGACTTTAATGTTATTATTCATACATATTAATGTCCTTGGCCACCCAAGACCTTGCTGGGGATGTTACATAATGTATAGCATAACCACTCTAACTTTTCTAAAATTCAAACTATTCTAAATACATCTGGAACCAAAGAGTTTCATAGTGAGGCACGAAGCAATTTAATATGTTGCCCAAACTGATATAGTTAATAAAAATCAGAAGTGGAATTATTTTAGGTAAAGACAAAGAGCAGTAAGAGTTTTTATAGCAGAAGCAGCATGAACTAAAATAGATGGAAGTTGATATGATGTGTTAAAGAAAGAAGTGGCTTCCTGCAGCTCTAACTGTGGAAATAACCATCAGAGAAATAAGACCAGAAAGAGGGTTTAGGTAAGGCTATGATGAACCTTTACCTGTGCAGTTGGGACATGGACATCAAAGCAACAAAGTCATAAAAGATTCCTAGAAAATGTGAGATGTGATCTTAATTTTTGAGAGAAAATTTAGGCAAATGGAAAGAGTACACACAACATACCTGAAGGAATAAAGACTCGAAGATCGGTTGGAAAATTGCTGCTATATTCTAGCTACAATACTTTAGCTAAGGTATGCATGATGAACAGCACAGAGGAAGTCTGTCTTGAAAATAACCTGCAACTTGTATGAATAAAAATGTTATTTCCTGGTGAGACATGGTTAGAGGGTTGTTATCAGAATGGAGTGGCAGTGCATAGTGACAGATGATTTGGATTAATTATTACATTGGATAGATAGTATACAGACGTTCTAAGGAATTGCTAGATCATTTGGTTATTTTTCCTCCTTTTTGTTTAAATCGAAAAACATCCATACCCTAGACAAGGCCCCTCTGCTACATGTTTGTTTGTTTTACTGCATTTAAGAATTCTGGACACCCTTTATTGTACTTCAACCCTCTAGTTTCTTTAACCTGGTTGCATTAACCTAGTCTACAGTTTCACCCACCATCAAATCATCTCCCTTCGTAAAGCATCCTCTTTTTTCTTTTCTTTTTTTTTTTTGAGTTTTCCTTTCAGTTAATTTGTTTCTGATTTATGTCTTGTGTTAGCTCTTGAAGGCAAAAGAAAAAAAAATCACACCATCAGGACTGAAATTTGTGTGAAAATTTTAGAAAAGAGAAACACTGATGCTTTCAGTATCTGTAAGGCAAGAGATCTCAGATTGGAAAAAACTTCTTAGATTTAGATCAGCATACATCAGACACTGTGTTCCCCTCTGAAAGATATTCACCTTAAAAAGGTCTATCCTGCTCTTAAAATGGATCTACTGGACTTAGTATAAAGAGACTGAATTAGAGACAACCAGATTTTCCATACTGGAAACTACTATTATGTTTTTTTTAAAAAAATTAAATAGATCAAAACATAGAGCATTAAAAAAGATTGTTTTTAGCAGGGCAAGATACACTGAAACTAATACATCTTAATGAGAAATAGGTTAACTTGATTTTGGAACTCTATTTCATGTCTAAACAGCAGAATTAAGCTCAAGGATTGTTCCAAATGTAAATACTCAGACCTGTACATAAAAGACAATAATTAAGCTAAATATTGATTTCTTTTCCAGACTTTAAAAATCATACCAAGTTTCATCTGGTATTCCTTTCCCTTAATTTACTGAACAATGGAATTAGCATCAGAAGTAAAAAGAAGATAATTGTCAACACCATTCAGCCTTTTAATAGTAATCAAAATAACCCATTATGCCAGAAAAAAAGAAAAAAGAGAATGAGAAGATTGAGTTCAGAAAGAAATAGGAGAGTTGAGGATGTATATTTCATCTTCTCCCAACTGGAAAGCTGGGAATACATGAAACTTGGATTTTAAATTAATTGCTTTTTCTTATGTGAACTTGCACAAAGAAAAGTGAAGTAGGTCTTTTGAAGTTTTGCCCTAGTTTAATTAATGTACTTAAGGTTCCTTGAAGAAATGTTTCAAAAGAAAATATTCATGGAAGATATGGCTGGCATACCCTCCAGTTAATGATGATTTAAAGAAACATGAAGCAGTCAACATTTACTACTTTTTAATACTCTCAGAAACTTGCCACTCTGTTTTCTGTTTTTACCTTCATAATGGCAACATGTTGAATACTTTGATGCTTTTTTCAATGATGTTATACTAAAAAAGTGTAACATCTCAAAGGAACATGCTTCTTTTCCCATTTCATTCATGTTCACTCCTAAATCTGGATTAAATTGTATACATCTTCATTTAATTGGAAGAGACATTATTAATTTTTGATTGTTTAACAAATACTATGAAATCAAGTTTGTTATTATTACCAATTTACAGATAAAAAACAAAGGTAAGAAAAAAACGTCAAGATTTGATAACTGGTTAGTGGTAGAGGTGAGGTTTGAATTGGTGTTACCGTCTCCAGCATCAGTTCTTTTAAAAAAGCTCTACTTGTCTACTAGAACCCAGTACACTCTCTAGAGGCAGTGGTAGCTGCTAGTATTCTTTTTAATTTTTGCTGTTAACAACTATTTGTTCCCAACTATCTTCAATTTCTTTTTTTAGTGGAGGAGGAAGGGAGAGAAGTCATGGATTTTTATATCTGTGTTAACAATATGTAGTCAAATAATTCAATCGTTATACACTTCCCTTCTCTCTTTCCCCTAAGCTTACATTAGTTAGTAACTAAACTGATTTTGATTAAATCTTCCTGGTGATTAGTTAAGAAATTTCCTGATGAGAAGTTTTCACACAGAAAGCTAAAGGCAGCAGACATGAATGCTAGAATAGTAATACTATGATCTGGAGGATTTACCATTAAATCAAGTGGGGAAATACTTTTAGGAATAGAAATCATCTGCTCCATTTTACTGCACTAAATAAAAGATGCTCCAACATAGGTGCTATACCAATTCATTATTGATTATGCCATTTCTCTGTACATCTTCATTAAATACTAAGGTTTCTGAATAACTGAATACAAATATATACATTATGAGTACACTTGAATTTATAAATGGCAAAAATAAAAGTTGTTGGTTTTATGAAGATATGGTCTATATGTACCATGTTCAAAAAATGCCCAAAGAAATGACTAAACACATTGACAGACAATTACCTTTTGAAAACAAAATATGAGACTATAATACAACACAAAGAAACCAAAAACAGGCTGAGTGCCATTTTTACATCTCAGTTTTTAATCTATTTTTAAATTGTATTGCACACTAAATTATTACATCCTTGGTAACAATCTTCATTCCCTTGTGGACCAGATATAAGCACAATGATCACGAGTTACCACACATATATCTTCAGAAACTGTCATGTTCATTGACTGATATTATTACAAAATGATAAAGTGATTTCTCTGGATGCTTAAGATTTAATTAGATGTTATTTCTTTGTAAAGTAACTAAATCATTGAAAGATAAGCGACCCAGAAGGAGCTTTAAGAATCTTTTAGCATTTGAGGAAATGAGCCGTATTGAGAAAGAGAAACTCAGTTAGAGATACAAATATTCACTTTATTAGGGTTTTTCATTCATGTATTCATTTAACATATATTTGTTGAGCACCTATTATATGCTATGTTCTGTTCTTCAAGAGAAATAGGAATAGGGTGATAGATGCTAGAAGCATTATCAGGAAAGGTTTCAAATAAAATATCAATTAATGGTTTTGTTGAATTCGGTTACCTTCCAACAGGCTCATGTGGTAATTAAAAATGTGTTTTCCCTAGAAAGCCATTCAGAGAGATTTGTGCTGGCTTCAATTTTTGCCCATGATTGGCACATGATAAAGAAAATCTAGCTGCTTAGTTAAACTAATTTAGCCTATTTTCCATTTTTCTCATGTTGGTTCATTTCTGTTTAATATTCTCAACCAAGCTATAATTTTCATGAGGACAGAAGCACTGACAAATCGTGTTTTAATAAGGGTACAGAAGTGTATTCATTACATGGAAGACTACTGAGAGCTGGTTAACTGCTCTGACTGTAAATTGATTTTAATTATTCCAGAGAGAAGTTAGGAACTACTACGGTGTATGGACAGTGTATGCCCTTTGTTTATCTTATTCTTTCCTGAATCATTTAACTAGTAGCTTTTTCACGCCAGTCAGAGACTAGAATAACAAAATAGGGTAAAAACGATTCTCAGTTAATTTTGTAACATTTCCTATTATAGGAGTATTTGGTTTTCTTTGTAATCAAATTTTAAAAATCTCCTGCTACAAAATGAGATAATCTACATCTCTTTAATCCTTTATGGCTCAAATTTTACTTAATTTTTAAATATGATTCAAATTAGCCATGCATCAGAATGTTATTTCTTATCAAATGGGTATCAGAGCCTACAATGAATGAATAGTTCTAACTGGGCAAGAGAATATTTCACATATGGCAATTTTCTTAGTGGATTTGAGAGCTCTTAGGGTCCATGATGACCAGAATTCTCATTTGGTTTTCTATAAATGAGGCTTTCTTAGTAAAAGACAAAGAGAAATTTTTAAAAATTAGATGTATCCCTTCTGTCCAAAAGAAGGCTTATTGATAAATTACCTTAATAACTATCATGACTGTAAGATAGCTATTATAGATAGTAAGTTCTATGCATTAAAATGTTATATTTGGTAAGAAATGTACTTTATCACTTCACAATTAGTCTAGACAAAAGAAAAACATATTTAGTTATTTCATAATTAAATATCAATTTACTTTCTCTTACCAAAAATAAATAAATACAGTGAAAAAAATGATCACCTATCAATGTACTGTTTCTTGGTATATATCAAACAAACAAATAAATAGGATTTTCAGATTATAAATATCAATGTTTCAAAATAAAAATTATTATTAATAAAAAAGTGAAATATATTATTCTTTACTCCAGAGATCATTTCCAAAGCTTAAAATAATCTCCAGGAATTAAATTCATCTCAGTAAATAAACACACACACACAACTATATTTTTACTTGTATCTCTGCAAGGCATGCTAGTTTTATGAATTATACTTATTTCTCCATGAACATGATTGCTTTTATAGCAGTTGTATTAAAGGAAACAAACACATAATTGCAAAAAAAAAAAAAAAACAAGTGGAGACGGATGAACTAAGTAGTATATCTTTAAAAAAAAATTGCTTAAGTATTACAAAAAGAATAACAGGCATGTTTTAACTGAGGAATAAAAAAAAGTACTTCTAGTGAAAAGTTCAACACTTTCTTCATGAGAAAATGGATACAAAGTTGACAGATTTAGTCAAGGATACCTAAATGGAAGTGCTTTTAAAATATCCTGAAGTAATTCCATACTTGTTTTCTTCTTGATCTCTACCTATTTCTTATAAGCTCAATGTAAATAGACATTTTCTTTTTTTTTAAATCAGCTTCTTCCTCAAAGTTGATTCATTCTGCTGTTCTCAAATCCAAGCCATGAACCTGACCTTTCTACATGGTGAGATCAGACTAACTCCAGCCATTTTCATGGGTCAGTAAAAACCAATAGATACAAGGTGACATTCAGAGTGAAAAAGAACAATACTATGAATTCACCCATATTTTTACAAAACCAAACATATGTAGCATAGTAGTAGGACAAACAGGTACACATTTTCAAATGTCCACATGAGTTTGTTAATTCAGGTCTTCAGACACTGCGCATGTTTAAAAATGTTTTTAATACCTAGAATACAATTACAGGGACAAAGCATGGTGGAAAGTTAGTCTTCTCTTCCTATTAGATGCAAATACGTCTAATTAAGGAGAAGCCTAGCAGTGGAATTTTGTAGTGTCCACTGCATGTATGAATTATGAACAGGCCATCTATCACTTCATCTGAGAGGGAAGCTTACTGCCAGCTGATATCAGGAATGGAATCAATATCAGGCATTGTATAGTTGTCAAAAAATAATAATAGGATTTAAGAATCATTGACCTTGGCCAACTTTGAACTGATTATTTAAAACAAACAAAAAAATTAGAAAGTGATATTACCATTTTTAGGGGCTAAAATGTATTTAATACACAACCTCCAAGAAAATGTGTTAAATGATAAATAAATCATTTATCATATATGGTTGAAAATTTCCAGATCATATGAGAATTTTGTAGCATTATAGATACAAATAAAAAATATATTTTGTTTAAAAAATATTTTGAGAGATATATTAAGCCACTAGTTCACCACGGATCTGTTGTATGAAGTTCCATTATTTACAGAGATGTAGTTTGTTGCAATAAAAGATGACAGATTTACAGTAGAAAAATAATTTCAGTGCAGGTCATAGCTCAGTCTTTCTTAGCTACAGGATACTAATTATTTTACTGTCTGGGGTGGAAGACTGTGATATCCTCTCCCTCTCAATGTTAATGTGTATATGTATATGTGAAACGGCTTTGCAAACCACATTGTAATATACTACTTTCATGTTATTTATTTTATTAAAGCAGTTGCTTACTAGCAAGTGTGAAAAATATCCAGATGACAACCCCAGACTGTTTATCAATATAGTCAATGTAATAAATATATTCATTAGCTCTTGGATGATACACTCAATAGAAGCTTATAAATATATTCGATTGGTGACTTAAGAACTTCTAAATAACTTAATCTTTTTTCCATAATAAAAGAAAAATTTAAAAATCTTACAATTTTGTATTAGCAATGTTTGTGTTATCCTAGCAGAGGAAAAGATCTTAAATTTGAGTATAGTAACACCAACGGTGGAACCGTTAAAAAATATCACAGAAAATAGTTAGAAAATATCTCTAAAACTATTCCCATTACTTTCAAACAAATATTTATCCCTATTGTCAAAAATATTGGGTCTCATTTCACTCATATGGTACATAAAATGTTGAGTTTAAAATTTTTAAGAATTGGCCGGGCACGGGGGCTCACGCCTGTAATCCCAACACTCTGGGAGGACCAGGCGGGTGGACCATGAGGTCAAGAGATCGAGACCATCCTGGCCAACATGGTGAAACCCCGTCTTTACTAAATATACAAAAAATTAGCTGGGCGTGCTGGTGGGCGCCTGTAGTCCCAGCTACTCGGGAGGCTGAGGCAGGAGAATGGTGTGAACCCAGGGGGCGGAGCTTGCAGTGAGCCGAGATCGTGCCACTGCACTCCAGCCTGGGCGACAGAGCGAGACTCCGTCTCAAAAAAAAAAAAAAAAAAAAAAAAAAAAAAAAAAAAAAATTTAAGAATCATCCCTAACTATCCTATGTAAAACGCAATGGCTTAATTATTTTGCTTTAAACCAGAAAATTTTTGCCATCCAGAAGGAGTTTTAGAAAATAAAGTGACAACTGAGTTTAACTACATGGATATTTGGTCCAAACTATAATTACAGTTGTATATATGTAATAAATAACAGGAGCAAATGGGTGATGATAAAGTTTAAATATTGCAGGACTGGTTCTTCAGCATCTACTTAGGATAACACATACTAATTCTTTTTTCCAGGATTTTTTTTCATAGATAACTCAGAAATACTGAGTTATCACTTTTCAGAGTTCAAATATAAATGAATTTCAGTTAGCATGGGACCATGTAAAGCAATAACTGCCTGTAGTACTTTAATTAAAGTGATTCTAGTTTTATATTTCATCTATTAAAGAAAACAACTGACTACTATATTTTTGGTACCAGTTCTGCATTTAAAAAATTATGTAAACAGACATCTGAAAACACCCAACGAGTGTACTAACACAGCACAATAGATTAAAATTGTGCCATAATCACACAAATAAATACTGCAAAGCAAAAAAGAACAACCAACCAATATATGCAAGATGGGAAAATCACATGGACAAAATATTGAGTAACGTAAGCCAGACAAAAATATATACATACTGTGCAATTCTATTTATATGAAATCAAAGACTGGTAAACCTAATATATATGGTGACAGGTGTCAGAGGGGGATGAGAGAGTCCTAAGGAGTGCTGAAATTTTTATATTCTGGTATCTGGGAGAAGATGTACGAATGTTTATAACTACATATGGATGCATATGTAAGACATTCATCCAGATGTATGCTTAAGAATCATGCATCTTAGAAACTTTTATTTAAAACTTTTTAAAGCTCATAAAAAAGAAAAAAAACAAAAGATAATCTTCATTTTTCAGAAAGCACGCTCAGTGGGCGTTTCAACAAAATTCTTTAAAATGTCAGCGTGCCCTAGAATATACATCAAGAATGAAATTACAAACTAGACATTTTAATCGTGTGCATTTACAGAAACAATAACTTATGGGTAAGTTTATATTCAATACCTCTTATTAGTTATTTCTACATTTACCAACGAAGCCAAATCTCCTTCAATTGTATTTCTGTACTACTAAAGTTTTAGGAAAAGAAAAAGATATTTTATAACTAGATGTAAATGATTTAGAGGGTAAATGGCCTTATATAAATGAAGGAATAGAAAACTGGAAGGAAAATCTGTGATCAAAGCCAACTCTCCAGGCGCTAGTATTATGACCATGAGCAGAAAGGCCATTTTTCCCTCTTTAAGCCTTCATTTTCTGTTGCATAAAATAAAGGTATGAAAAAATAACATTCAATGATCCCAGCTCTAAAATCAACAACTCAAATGGGCCAGTGTTGAAAAAGTGACTTTGGCCCAAAATTTTCAGTGTTCATATCTTGACCTGTAACAGCCAACATTACATAAAACTTAAAAACAAGTTTATAAGAAGTATTTTATGCCCACATTCTCATTTCAAGTATAGTGCTATCAATAGAGGTTAGAAATCTAATTTTTATAACAATTGCCAACAACTAGACTATAATAGAGTTCAAATTTCTTTCTTCACAAGCATGTGATATGGGGAAATTCTGAATTTTAAAGTAAACGGACATTGTTGTCTAGTGAGAAACACCTGTTTCAAGGCAGTTAAGCACTTTGAGAAGGCTTCTGAGGATTTGCTTTTGTGGAATGCCACAGTAGAGTCCTGCACGGGATGGCACAGATGGCCACAGTGAAAACTCACCGTGAGTCTCTAACTCTTGTATGTCTCTGGGTATAGTAATGTATATGTTGACAAAACAAGCTAGTGCAATTTCCTGTCTGAGAGGTATTTCCCCCTATTATGCTATTCCACTACTCATTATTTTAAGCCACTGATGTGCAAAAGAGACTCACATTATAGAACCTTTGTTCATGGATATTATCTGTTTTTTTTTTTTTTTTTTTCTGGAGAGAAACTGCTTATGACCAAAATTGTTCATTGGTTATTGCTTAATTTAGAATAATACTAAAAGTACTTCAGGGAACCTTCTGTATTAAAAAAAGTATATTTCTCACTACTCTCTGTCTATGGCTGATTTTAATATTGTTAGAACTCTGTTTCTCCAATTGTTACAGAGGAGTGAGAGAGAGAACATTTATACCAAAGGGTTATATTTAATCGTCCTTCATACTCTGAAAGTCCAAGATTATTCAAAATGTGGTGCAACAGATAACAGCATCGACTAGAAACACCATTAACACAGGTTCAGATCCAGACATCAACACTTACTAGCACTGGAACTTGGGGAAAATTAAACACTCTTAGCCTCCCATCTGTACCATGAGATAATCATCAACTTTCATGGTTATTTAGAGGATTGAGATGAGATATATGAAGCACTCTGCATAGGACCTGAACAAGTCCATCAATCACTGGCCATGGATAATGCTTTCAAGGGCACGAGTCAATCACTTGAAAGAACGTCGTACATAGGATAAAGTGTTCTACCATCATACTCAAAACTAATGCGTCAGTTTTCTAATCACTTCCAAGGTCAAATTTTTGAAATTCTTTCAGCAGTGCGCTTTGAAAACTGTTGTGGAAATACTAATGGATTGTTTAATGATAAATTTCTGAGCTTACGTAGGGTAAAAGCTCTTTAATTCTCTATTCCAATGCAATGCCCCCACTTTTTACCTCCCATTCCTCGTTTAACCATCCACACGCCTTCCCGTAAGAGTTTTAGAAAAAACTTGGCTATTCCTGGCTGCAAAGAAAAGCCTATTTCAAGCCCAAGAAAACTTAGTCAAGAACAGGACTTTACTTAATGGGATAATATTTATGACAGTAGCTTATTGCTATTGGGCATGTAAGTAACTCTGAGTAAAATAGATGGATTTTTTTAAGTTGATATTACAGATATGTAGGTTCATAGTCATTGCTTATAATTTGATATGTAAAAACAATTTAATAGACTTGCATATTTCAAACAGTGTACTTGCATCTTATTCTTGCTATTTTCCTTTTCATTAGGCAAAGAAAATGTAAAAATCTCTTTCACACATACACACCCACACCTCCCCCCCACACATACCATTTTATGAACATATACACACGTTTCTTTCACCTATAGCTGAATAACTTTCATAGTGTCATAGAGTATATAATATAAATCTCATAAAGGCATGGAGTGTATCAACACACATACTAATCAATTTTTTCAAACCCAATGTAAGTTTTGGTCTTATTATAATTTCCAATACGTTAATGGCTCTGCTGCCACCTAAATGAAAATTGTACCAGGTACTCATAAGCATTAACTCTCTTCATCTGGTAAACCTAGTAATGATGTTTCAAATTCAATTTAAAAACCATTAAAACGTAGTGACTTTTAAACCCATTATAATTTAGCTCATTTCTGCAAAATTTAGTTTAGGAGAAAGCAGCTGTGCATTTGAACATCTGGAAATTACTTTTAATTGCACTTTTCTCAAGTGAGAAATGAGAAACTCTACCTGTGATTCTATTTGTATATCTGACCACACAAATCCTAGCAAACACCTGCACTTTATTTATAATTTCATTTTGGGCTACATAATCTCATTTTGCTATTAATCCAGACTTTTATGTGATTTAGCAACTGCAAATTTGATCTTGCACGGGCTTTAAGATGGAAAATGGAAATTGCAAGATATTTGATTACTCATAAGTTACTTATCTAAGGAGAAAACAAATTTCAAAGGTAGACATGACTAATCTGAAAGTTGAAAATATGCAAATACTATTACATTTACACTTAATGACTTGGGTATTGAAAATAAAAACAAATTCCAGATATGGGTTGGCCCAATAGCTTACATTTTATCTAAGACCTATTCATTCAATAAATCAGCCCTTGGTCTTGAATAAAGCATTTAAAACTACTGATTACCAAAATTGATTACTGCCTTCTAGTAACAAATACCAGTTTCCAAATTAAATTTGTTGGCACAAAAATATATCAACAGGAAAATGTTATCATTCCATAAATATTCTGAACTGATTATTTCTCTGTTTATCTGCCAAGATTACAAATCATTGTTTGTTTCTATATCATTGATTCATTTCCTGACAACCAAAGATGTTTTAGAGATATCTATAACACACTTCAGTAGGAATTTTCTCTCCATCAACTTTTTCAAATGTCATGCTATCTGAATACATCTACAATTGGTGGTTGAGGTGGGAGAATCTCTTGAGCCCAGGACTTCAAGACTATAGTGGGCCATGATCACACCTGTGAAGAGCCACTACACTCCAGGCCTGGCAGCATAGTAGGATCCTATCTCTAAAAAGAAATAAATTAAAATAAAGACTAAAATTGGCTGTTGACAGGAAAAAAAAAATAACTCTCCATAGAATATTTATGAATGGGCCCAAGGAATGGAGAGGAAAGAGCATGTGATCAGATTAGAATCCCACAGAACATGCAATAGTCATATACTTGTATTTTTCCCAAACTCCTGTACTAGCAGAAAATTCATATCCAGATCACTATACTTCATGAAGACTGTAACAGGAAATTTTCAAAGCAGTGCTTTCGAAAAGTAATTTTGGATGACATCTCAAGTAGAATTGGAATAAAGCCAATCCCATAACTTAAATTTCAGAACAACTGTTTCTATCACTGTTTAAATATTCTGTACACAAAACATGTATTTATATATACTATTTTGAACACAAAACACAACTTAGTAACTCATAAGTAGAACATGCATGTTCTATAATTTTTAGCAACTTGACCTTTCATGCACAACTGTCCATATTCTTCAGGAAAATGCCCAGGTTTAGGGCAAAATGAAAAACTAGTGATCCTTGCTAAGGCTGAGTCAGCTTGGTTATAATGCTGATTTGTCCAACTGAACGAGCTGAACTACCTAAACAGGGATTTAAAAAAAATCACTATACAGAGAAGAACCCTGCTTCTGCCAAGGAAACGCTATCACAGATCCTCCAGTGAACAAGAATGAGTGTGTAACTCCTCTCTCCTTGTAAAAATATCTCAGATTGGTGATTGGGGCTCTGAGGCAAGACTCGGGGATTTAAATATGGTAAATGACTGTATAAGCTTAAAGCACCATGGACCATACAGAATGGATCACCACCATCCCTTTGACACCATTTTCACGAGTTCTTACAGACTGAGTAAATGAAAGCTGCTCTCAAAGCCCACTGTCTACCTTTCCAGCGTGTTGTTTATGTATGAACAGCAAGTTGTAATTAGTTGCTATAAAATATATCATTTTATTACTCTCCATCTTACTTTCTATTTTAGTTTTAAAACTGAAGTCCACAGAAAGCCCATATATTCCTCACATTTATCTAAGCATTCAAATAAAACAGTTACTCCTTTCAAAATCTCTGCAAATGATAAAGCAGTTGATTATCACAGGAAAGAAAATGTTTTTGAAATATTTTCAGATATTTCCTCTTACAGACGTTGACCTCAGATGTTAGTGGGAGAAATGGAAAGAAAGGCACGATAGCTTAGTCTCATGATATTTTTAAACAAGAGATTATGTAATATTTCAATAATAGCAAAGCAGAGACAATTACAACTTTAGTAGATATTAGTTTTTTAAGCAAACGATAGTTCTCCAGATTTTCAAAGAATTAGTAAATCTTTAAAACGAATACTAATCAAATATTTAGAATCACTCTATAAACACGTAAATTAGCACAAATTTATGCTGAATATTCAGCGCTTTAAAGGAAGCAAATCCTCAGATTTGATGTGATCATTAATATTGATTCATATATCGACTTACTCTCAGTAAGAAACTCAATAAATTTGTTTATAAAAAATAATATGGAATAAGAATAAACTTAAGAGCCTGCTATCAGACTTTCCAACCTCGAGTTCAAAAGACATATATTTCAGGATGTAGGCAAAAACACAGGTTGGCAAATACACATGAACACATAAACAAAAGAAAACTAAAAAAATTCTTTGTTTTTTAAGAAAAAATTTTGAGCATTAAAAAAGAGGTTCTTTTACTGATCTATTTGTCTTGACTTTGAGAGAAGAATTTATAGCAAGATATAAATCATCATTGTTTAAACAGCTAATAGGTCAGGTGGCTTGTAAAATGAATGTTTAAGAATGATATCAAACAGTAATATTTACTTTGTGATAATTTTAAAATTAAACCAATATAAAGTAAAAAAATTGCAACAAGTGCAAATCAATGCTTCTTTTATTTGAACAAGACTTAAAATCAGCTAACGTGATTCTTTCTATACAATATCAATTGTATATAAATCAAAGTAACATTAAAAAATTATTTGGTTATATAAGCTATAGTTCTATGTTGGCTGCTTGGAAATATGACATTTGTTCATCTAATAAAAGAGTAAAATATGGCAGTTAATTTTATGAGAAAAGCCTTACAAATGCATTACAGATTATAATTACTGTTTTAATATTTCACTTTTATTGTATTAATGAAATAACAAAGTATTATTATTAGCAGTTTATATGAAAGGTATCATCTTTTATTTTAGTGCATACTTTCTCCAAAACAACAAAGGTTGGTGTCTTCACGTGCTTCTATATCTAGTTTTGTTACTGCAAATTCCAAATCATCCTGACTATACTAGTTTTTATGGCCGAGGTCACTGAAGTTGTGCCAAAAATTCAACAATGATGTTCAATCTAATGTAGCAATGCATTTATCTTATTGCTGAATTTTAGACTCCTCAGAACAAAGCACTTCATTTAAATGATAAATGCTCACCTAAAATACCCTGTTGTAAACATTTCTCACATTTAAACAATTGTGGATAAAATACTGCAATGGTAAAGCTTTCTTTTCAATACAGAATAAAAGTTGATGTTTAATTATTTAATGTCTCTTTTAATTGGAGGGAAAGAAAGTATTTTAAGTGCCTGTTGCATAATTAAAATAAACAAACAAAAAACCCTGTCACATTTAAAATGGTAAAAGTCCATAATTTGAATTGACAACTATAAATGAATTTAACTTTTTCTGAAGAGTAAAAGAGATTCCACATTGTAAAATTTCATAGATTTTAATATTTCCAATATAAGTATGGGGGAAAAGATGAACGAAAAACTTGTTCGAGCTATTCTTTATAAATTGAAGAAATTCAACAAAAATATTAAAATATTTTTCTTTTTAAAAGTAATTACATTTCCATATAGTATTTTTAAAATGTTAACTCAATGAAGGAAATGTAATCAGTGTTTTGCATTTTTGGTCCTAAGGAAAACTAGCTAATAATTCTGCTAAAAAGCCTAGATTATGGAAATAATTACAACGCATTGCCATAGCAAAAGAAAGCAATTTTTTTAGCTATTTCAGTAAGGAAGATAATTTAAATTGTCCTTAATACTTACTTGTTTCTACCTCAACTAAAAAACATTTGTCAGTAATCGTGTACAAGTAAGTTTCTTCTGAACTCGCAAACTAACACTTCTGTGTACTCCAAAAGTTCTATATTTGATGGCATTTACTTTGCTATGGGCTCTGATTAACAAAGAATACCCTATAATTTTCAGTTAAAACATTTCTTAGTAAATATTAGAAAAATAATCTATCAATTTCAAATGCTAAGTACAACAACTGATTCAAAATAATCAAAAAATAAAAACAGAAGATGTGTGTAAGAGCTAAAATTAAAATTAAAATTGAATTCAAAATTAATTTTTAAGTGAGAATCATGCTCAACAAGAGAAGCTATCTTATTTTTCCTGCACCTGTTTCATGATAATAAATGTGAAAATGTTTGGTTTTTAATCCAAGTTTTGAAATATTTACCTTTATTAACTGCTTTTATATAAATTACAAAGATTACATTAAATAAGAATTCAGCTGTAAACTCACATACAAAGAGACCTTATCTAGGTAAATTTCTATTAATAACAATTTATAACTTCTATGGCTTTTAATGTTGACTAGTATGAAAATTCCAAACACTCCATTCCTCGGTTAAACTAATAGCAAGGTTTTTACAGTATCATAATTTGGTCCACAGCAAAACAAATATAAATTGTATATTTACAAAAAATGACCTGAAGGAAATCAGGAGGCAATTTCTAATCCTAAAATTTACCTAAAATTAATATGATTTTTTCTATCACCAAAATTTGCAATATTCTATACTGTAAAGGGAAGACAAATACAGAATAAACATGCCTATTAAGAAATCTCTTAATTAGGTCACTCTTAAAAAATAATGTATCTGATTCTCATCAATATTTTAAAGAGAAATATGACTGTTTCTAGTAAAATAAAGTTGCACTCTGGATTACTACAGATTAACACACAAGGCATAATAGTATTTACGATAGTGATAATAAAATTTCTTTTAAAAAAACAAAATAGAGCAACTGATATTACACTTTTCTACTTCTAATTATTCTGTAGAGTACCTATGTTTAATGTCTAAAGATATTATTGAAAATGGCTATAGAAAATTTGAGGTGTTAATATTTGATTGCTATAGTATTTCATTGCCACTCGTGAATTTAACTCTTAAAACACTAGAGTATAAAATTGGCTTACAGAACAAAATTCAGTTATAGTAATATCAAAATTAATAACAGTTCCAGAAATTGGATGTTAAGTACCTTTGAGCTTCAAAATTTATTTCATGAAAAATTATCCTTTTATTGCAAAACAGCAATTAAACACAATTACTTAAAAGTTATTCAGCCATGTTTATATACCAAGCATTTCTATTAAAACATTTGTTAGAAATAATATCAAGGTGTTAATACGTTTTTAAAATTATATAGCAAATGCTGACATTTTTAAAAATCCCAAATGCTACCTTTTAACATAGACAAAAACACTATAAAAATGTTAAGCTTAATTGCGCGCACGATGAAACTTCTAGAAAACTCCATTACTTACTGTTCACTGAGTATTACTTACAGAGATTAACAGTTTTAAGAATTCATTTGTTATTTATCCTGTAGTGTTTTGAAAAACCTTTTTTGCACTGTATACTTCTCAATAAGATGATCATACCTACTCTGGTCTGCTGAGAAAAACAAAAAATCAGCAAATCTTCTTTAAGACTGTGCTTGCTCCATCGTATCTTAGGTGGCAACAAGCAAGGAATTCATAATGATAAAAGCAACAACATGAGAAAAAATATTTAATGCTTGTTTCATATTGACTGTATAAAGTCATTTTGACATGCCTATACAACTGGTTGTGGCAGCTTTCAGACATGATTCCTGATTTAAAAAAAAAAAAAAAAAGAAAGAAATTGCTCCAGGTTCTTTAGAGAAAGCTTGCCGCTGGGAAGTTGATTTTGGCCAAGTGCCAAAATCATGTGCAAAGGGGCCTCATTACGGATTCATGGCAGCCTTCAGCACTAACAAAAAATGTGACCCAACAGGCTAAATCAGCGACTAAAATTAAAAAGTAAGAGACAAAGACAACTTACTTAATATTCCTTCCAAAGCAACATTAAACTTTTTTTGGTAATTAAACCCTTATTAGTATAATGCAGTGTTCCTCTGTCCTCAAATGATTGTACAATTACTCTTTAAAACTTGTCAATTTCCCTTCTAAATAACACTTTCTTTCTGTGGCAGTTTACAAAGATTTCGCTATATAATAAAACTCTATATCCACTGTAATGGGTTCAATAGAAGAAAACAAAATCGTAAAAACGCAGACGACAGTATTCCTTTAAGATTTAAACAAACAAACAAAAAATAAGCAAACAATCGTCAGTACATTTTGAACTTCTACAAAAGTGAACATGCACCCTCTAAACTCACATTGGTTGCGATTAAGCAGTCTCACTGCCCAACTTTCCCCCAAAAAAGTAGATTTGATATCGTAGCCTTACCTAGATGTCTTCTGGCTTTTCTGCAGATCAAAAAGTTTCCTCCCTAAGCACACAGATATTCTTTCACAAACCATAAAGGCCCTTTTATGAATCCAGCACTGTAACAGGCTACCTTCCACACCACGTTGAGAGCCCAGTGTACAAGCTCTCAAGATAAAATACGTTGCTAATACACAATTAGTGGGAGAGGTTGTCTACTGGAGAATTTATCTTAACGACAGGAGGAAAAAAATAGAAGCTTTTTTTTTTTTTTAATAGCAAAAAGGGTGCGGTCAGATGTTAGGTTTTGCCTGAGAAAAGGGTTCTACACTGCACTAGTACCTAAACACTAGCAGAAGCTGCCTGGGAAGGGAGCCAATGGAAGGACTTTGTTTGACCCAGCTGCCAATCTCCCCTGAAGCCGTGCGCCAGACTAAACACTCACACTATTTTAACTCAAATCAGGCTACAGCAGCTGTTTGCTTTCCGGCTCTGAGCTCTGCACCCACCATGGCCTGTGCAGTTCACCCGCGAGCTTTGCTAGCTGCCTGGCTGAAATCTGTTCCGGGTTGGGATTTGTCATTGGGGAGCAAATATTAACCCTATTCCTCATGGTAAATCTGGACTGTTTGTTGTTCAGCATTTGGATCTGGTCATTGGGGTAATTTCTGATCTTTTAAAAGAAGACTGATATTTTATATCATGGAGAAAATTTGAGATTTAAAGGTAACAAGGATTCCTACGTTTCTTTGAAATTCTGATGTAAACTCTTCTGATGTGTTCAAATTAACACTAAAATAGCCCTTGTGTGTTCCTACAAAAACAAGGTCCTTAGAGTCCACCTCTAAGAACAAAGATGGTACCCATTCACTCCAACCTAAAGCTCTTCGACTACAGCAAGATGGTAAGTTGGCATCACAGAGTCGGAGAGACTCACATGCTTGCAGGAGTTAGCACTGACTCCTCAATGCTCAGGAAAGTTTCTCCAAAAGCAACACCTAGGCACACAAGAAGTTTGCTTTCCTTGTACGAAAAGGTACCAAGTGACCTAATTTACCGTACCTAAATTTCTAAGCTTATTTAGTTATTAGGCTAAGTGTAAAATTCACATTCTGAATTGTACAACGTTATGCCCACAGGTAGCCTGAAGTTAAAAACAAACTAGAGAGAAGTTAGTTAGGGAATGTACAATTAAAGTAATAATCAAAATGATCTGATTGTAGGGGGGAAAGAGATCCAATAATTAAGATTGATTGCACATGAGATAGGAGCCAAACATTATGTATGTGGCAAAAATAAACCAGTAAGTCATTCAACATGTGGAAGAGAGAAAGAAGCTCAGAGGAGTGTAATAACATGGATCATAACTGAGTTATTTTTACTCCTGACCAAATTCCTTCCTATTGGACAACGATGGTGAGAGAAGCCAGCATGTTTTTCGTTAGAGATTTTAGTTTCTGTTGTTGCATCAGGCAAAAGGATATCTCTTAATGTAAGGCAAATAGACAGAATTTTTGTTTTTGTTTATTAACATAACTAATTTTGATCTAGCTATGATGGTTCACAATGCAGTCAGAAGATGAGCAAAAGTGAAATGTTCCTAAAATACATGAAAGGTGTGTCTTCAATTTTTTTTTTCAGAAAGTTGTTTCCCTTGCTTTAAGAGGAGAGTTTATTTTGTTTCTATTCTTGCCCCAAATGATAGATCTGTTTTCTTATCTTAGAAACTAGAGATCTAAATTACAAAAAATTGTAATTTTATAATAAAACATTATTTCCTCAGATAGGAAGTAGCAAAGATGCCTACAGAGAGGCTGAACTATTAGGCTTTATAGATGCACAAAAACTGAAAGACCCAATAAATTAAAAATATATGTCATGATAATATTGCACAGCAAATAAGGCTAGTATCCTTATTTTGAAAGTGATCGATATGTAAAATCAAAAGATTCCCATTGGATCTGGCTTCATATATAGCAGTGTATAGTTTGATGCTCAGAATTCTTATGGAATCTAATAAAATGCTGGGAAATCATTTCTTTTGTGTCCCCCTTTTTTTCCAATGTAAGAAAATATTCAGCTTGTTTCTCTGAATGGTCTATTACCATCTACAAATCACCCACTATCACATTGTTTTATGTATATATATATATATATATATATATATATCTGCAGTAGCTATAGACTGGCAGTCCTATAGCAACATTTGTTGATCTCAGTAATCACTTCTTTACACTTCTTTTCTGTCTTTTCGTTAGACATCTCATGCACAATAGCAGTTAATTCATATCATGACTGTTACAGGCTGAATTGTCTCCCCCCAAATTCAGATGCTGAAGTCCTTACTCCCAGTACCTCAAAATCCGACTGTAGGTGGAGTTAGTGTCTTTAAAGAGGTAATTAAATTAAAGGAGATCAGTAGGATGGGCCTGAATCCAGTGACTGGTGTCCTTATAAGAAGAGGAGGTTAGGACACAAAAACACAGAGAAGACCATGTGAAGACACAGGGAGAAGATATCCATTTGCAAAGCAAAGGATGGGGCTCGGAAAAACCTACCCTGCCAATACCTTGAGCTGGTACTCCTTGCCTCCAGAATCGTGAAAAAATAAATTCCTGTTGTTTAAGTCGTTCAGTCTATAGTTGTTATTTGTAGAAAACTAATACAATGCCTAAGTTGAAAGGAGTGAAAAATTGTCCTATCTACTACTGGAATACAATTCATTTCTATACTCAAGTGTTTGATTTTGTCTAAGACAGCATGGAATGTACAAAGGAAATGTAATTTATTCACATTTTCCAGAAAAGAGGAAAAACTGTGTGTACACCAGAGTTTTATATAAAAGGAATAACAAGGTGCTAAAAATGAAGGAACACAAGACACATTTGCCACTTTTCCATGATACTTATTTTCATATTTTGAACAGGAATACTGTGCTTAACTCACTTTGTAAATAATAAAATAGTATGTACACAATTAATACATACAGACTTTAAAAATAATTGTGGAATAAATAGGTGCCTAGCATTTCCTTTGGGTTAATTGAAAATGGTATGTGAAACTTTTGATTTTGAAAGACAGTTCTGACACATGGACAACTCACATTCAAGTTCTGATGCTAGATAAAAACTTTATATCAAGAGTTGGAAGCATAAAAGCTAGTCTTTGTAAGTGGAGAGTTCCAATAATCTATGCAAAGGGAAGAGACCCTAAAGGAAAAAGGAAAAGAAAAGTGGCCTTATAAAAAAGTCTGTATAAAGGTAAATGAAGGAAGACTGAAGGTGTCAAAGATAAAAGAAATTAGAAGGTTAATCAAATATCTCCCCCAAAAAATCATCTTTGCCCATAAGCAAAGCAACAAACACACCACTCACACGAAGTTGGAAGACACAAGGTAGCTATGGGAAACATAATGGAGTAGGAATATTTTGCTGCTTGTGGTGGGCAGGATTCTAAGATGGCCCCAAGATTTCCACTACCTGTATACTTTTACTTCCCTAGTAGGTGGGGTAGAACCTGTGAATATGGTAAGATAATTGCTTTGTTGTTAAGAGTCAATGAGATTTCCATCTAGTATTAGTAGAGTGAGAAAGAAGAAAAGAAGCCAATTGCAAATCAATCCGCCTGCCCAGAAGAGGTAAGGAATAGGTGACTGAAATTACCATTGTAACAAGATGCCATTTTACCTAGCCACAATTCCCACCTGATGCCACCTGAACGTGAGTACTCATTTATTCATCCTTTGGCTCACCTGATCCTATCAAAAATTCAGTTTAATGCTGACCCTGTGTGGGGCATCGGGCTGTCATGTGGTATAAAAAACACAGCTTTTGATCTCATGATGATAGTCTAGGAAGCAAACTGAAAGCAAAACAACCAGTCCTAAAGAAAATGGCACTGTGGTGAGCAATTAAAATGCTGAGGTGGTAACGTCCAGTGTTTTCGTAAATGTGGCAGACTATTATGACAATATTAGTAATTATCACATATTCAAATAATTATAATAAACAAATTATGGAGAAAGGTGCTATTTGAAAAATGCCATTTTTTTTGTCATCCTACAGCTACATGATGTCATTGTCTTAAAACAACTAATATAATATTGGTTGCGTGAAACTACAATTGTTAGTCTCTTTTACTTTTTATGAAAATATTTCCCCTCTACTTCTCATGCTAGTTGAGACCAAGAAGACTATTTATCTCTTGAAATTCTAACATTTTAAAATAAAATCTGAGACATAATCTTTCTTCACAAAACCCCATTGTTACTCCAAAGTAAATTGCAAACCATGCTACAATGGCTTTCACTTTAAGCAAGATATGCTAATAATGACATGGTATTTTGAACACCTATTTCTTAATGAGAATAACCAGAATACATTGAGAAACAATTTCAAATAAAGTTAAATTAAGTTGAATGTGATCATGAAACAACTCAAACTATTATAAAGAAAATAAGCTTAAATGATTAAGTAAATCTTCTCCACAAAGGTCATATGGAAATAATTTAAAATAAAACATAATATGACATGTAATTGTCAAAATAGAAATTTTTTTAATTTAGCAAACAGAGAGGCACACAGATACATGCAAACAAACAAACAAAAATATGGTACATTGAAGTAATGGAGGGAAGATATCTATCTTATTAATTTGACCAGAATTTCAAAAATGATTTTGCATTCTCAGTATAATTTTTTTTAAACATTACCAGCTTCATTCCATTTTCTAAGCCTATAAATCTGCTTTTTTTTTTTGAGGGAATCTCTAGAGGCACTTTTATATTTTATCAAATATATTTTTTAGTTTCAGAAAGATTAAGAACAATCTAAACACACACAGAGAAATTGATGACACGAACAGCCATATATCTAAAATAAGTTGAGATAATAATTCATAATCTTTCCCCAAAGAAACCACTGGATCCAAATGGTTTCACAGGTGAGTTCTACCAAATATTTAAGGAAGAACTCACATCAGTTTCCCATAATCCCCTCCAAAACATAAAAGCAGAGGAACGCTTTCTAACGCATTGAATGAGGCCAGCATTACTCCTAATGCCAAAATTAGATAAATATATTACAAGAAAGGAAATTTGTACACCCTTATCCTTCATGGAGGTAGACATAAAAATCCTTAATAAAACATTAGCCAGTATAATTTAGCAATGTATTGAAATAATTATACCCGAAGACCAAGTGGTCTTTATTTCATATATGCGAGGTTGGTTCAATTTTTGAAAGTCAACACAAAATATGATCATATCAATTGACACAAGACACAACATTTCACAAAATCCAACACTCAAGCAGGATAAAAACTGTTAGCAAACTAAAAATAGAGGAGAACATCTTCAGATTGATGAAGAACATCTACAAAATAGCTACTAGCATCATACCTAACAGTGAGAAACTAGATACTCTCCCCCAAGACAGAGAAAAGACAAGGATGTTCCCTGTCACTGCTCCTATTCAGCATCATACCAGCAGTCCTAGCTGATGAAATAATACAAGACAAGGAAATGAAACATAAATATTGGAAAGGAATATATAAAACTGTCTAGTCACACATGATATGTCTATATAGAAAATCCCAAAGAAATTAAAAAAAAAAAAGCCAATTTGGCAAGGTTTTAGGACACAAGCTTAATACACAACAGTCAAATGCTTTCCCCTTTACCAGAAATAAACACTTGACTTTTGAAATTTTAAAAATATTATTCATAATAGAATCTAAACATTATGTACTTAGATATACATGTAACAGAATATGTATGGCATGTATATGTGCAAAACTACAAAACACTGATAAAAAAATTAAAGAAGATCAAAATAAATCTATGTTCATGTTCTGTCAGCTGAGAAGGTCTAGAAGCAATGACAGCACCGTGGAAGTGAGCATACCTAGAAACCAGATATTAGTTTCTAATACCATTCTCCAATCAAAGACACTAGGACTCCTTAGAGAAATGCTTGATTCTAGGACTTGACAAGAAATATATAAGGTGGACCTGGAGCATAGTGCCACAAAGAAAGTAAGTGCTAAAAAATAAAATAAAAATAAACAATGGTGGGATATTTAAAAAAAGCATATAAGTGACAGCTGAAAGAAGTCCCAATTACTAATGCTGAAACAATTTAAACAACAAAGTAAAGTAGTATTGGTTGATAACCCAAGTATAAAATAAATATCCATGAATCCATACTGATGTAAGTAAATGATTAGATGAATAAACAATAAACATACAGAGAATAAACAGATATTCCATGCAGAAAATTGTTTTGTTGCTTTTTTTTTTTTTGAGATGGAGTTTCACTCTCGTTGCCCAGGCTTTAGTGAGTGGTGCAATCTCAGCTCACTGCAACCTCCGCCTCCCAGGTTCAACTGATTCTCCTGCCTCAGCCTTTCAAGTAGCTGGAAAGCTGGGATTACAGGCATTTGCCATCAAGTCCGATAATTTTCGTATTTTCGGTAGAGATGGTGTTTCACCATGTTGCTAAGGCTGGTCTTGAACTCCTGACCTCAAGTGATCCACCCACCTCTCTCTCCCAAAGTGTTGGGATTATAGGCATGAGCCACCGCACCTGGCTCTCTCTCTCTCTCTCTCTCTCTCTCTCTCTATATATATATATATATATATATATATATATATATGATTGTGATATATAGGATTTAGGAATATATATATATATATTCTTAAAGAGGTAGAACATAATTTTTCACTTGTTTGTTAACTGGCGGCTGAGTGTAGTGACCTCTTTTCAAAAAGCATGATGTTAACTGAAGGAGGCAGAGACACAAAAAGCCCTTCAAAAAATCAATGAATCCAGGAGCTGGTCTTTTGAAAAGATCAACAAAATTGATAGACCACTAGCAAGACTAATAAAGAAGAAAAGAGGGAAGAATCAAATAGACGCAATAAAAAATGATAAAGGGGATATCACCACCGATCCCACAGAAATACAAACTACCATCAGAAAAGACTATAAACAACTCTATGCAAATAAACTAGAAAATCTAGAAGAAATTGATAAATTCCTGGACACATACACCCTCCCAAGACTAAATAAGGAAGAAGTTGAATCTCTGAGTAGACCAATAACAGGCTCTGAACTTGAGGCAATAATTAATAGCCTACCAACCAAAAAAAGTCCAGGACCAGACAGATTCACAGCCAAATTATACCAGAGGTACAAGAAGGAGTTTGTACTGTTCCTTCTGAAACTATTCCAATCAATAGAAAAAGAGGGAATCCTCCCTAACTCATTTTATGAGGCCAGCATCATCCTGATACCAAAGCCTGGCAGAGACACAACAAAAAAAGAGAATTTTCGACCAATATCTCTGATGAACACCGATGCAAAAATCCTCAATAAATACTGGCAAACGGGATCCAGCAGCACATCAAAAAGCTTATCCACCATGATCAAGTGGGCTTCATCCCTGGGATGGAAGGCTGGTTCAACATACGCAAATCAATAAATGTAATCCAGAATATAAACAGAACCAAAGACAAAAACCACATGATTATCTCAATAGATGCAGAAAAGGCCTCTGACAAAATTCAACAGCCCTTCATGCTAAAAAACTCTCAATAAATTAGGTATTGATGGGACGTATCTCAAACTAATAAGAGCTATTTATGACAAACCCACAGCTAATATCATACTGAATGGGCAAAAACTGGAAGCATTCCCTTTGAAAACTGGCACAATACAGGGATGCCATCTCTCACCACTCCTATTCAACATAGTGTTGGAAGTTCTGGCCAGGCATTCAGGCAGGAGAAAGAAATAAAGGGTATTCAATTAGGAAAAGAGGAAGTCAAATTGTCCCTGTTTGCAGATGACATGATTGTATATCTAGAAAACCCCATCGTCTCAGCTCAAAATCTCCTTAAGCTGATAAGCAACTTCAGCAAAGTCTCAGGATACAAAATCAATGTGCAAAAATCACAAACATTCTTACACATCAATAACAGACAAACAGAGAGCCAAATCATGAGTGAACTCCCATTCACAATTGTTTCAAAGAGAATAAAATACCTAGGAATCCAACTTACCAGGGATGTGAAGGACCTCTTCAAGGGGAATTACAAAACACTGCTCAATGAAATAAAAGAGGACACAAACAAAGGGAAGAAAATTCCATGCTCATGGATAGGAAGAATCAGTATCGTGAAAATGGCCATACTGCCCAAGGTAATTTATGGATTCAATGCCATCCCCATCAAGCTACCAATGACTTTCTTCACAGAATTGGAAAAAACTACTTTAAAGTTCATATGGAACCAAGAAAGAGCCCGCATTGCCAAGTCAATCCTAAGCCAAAAGAACAAAGCTGGAGGCATCACGCTACCTGACTTCAAACTATACTACAAGGCTACAGTAACCAAAACAGCATGGTACTGGTACCAAAACAGAGATATAGACCAATGGAACAGAACAGAGGCCTCAGAAATAATACCACACATCTAAACTATCTGATCTTTGACAAACCTGACAAAAACAAGAAATGGGGAAAGGATTCCCTATTTAATGGTGCTGGGAAAACTGGCTAGCCATACGTAGAAAGCTGAAACTGTATCCCTTCCTTACACCTTATACAAAAATTAATTCAAGATGGATTAAAGACTTAAAGGTTAGACCTAAAACCGTAAAAACCCTAGAAGATAACCTAGGCAATACCATTCAAGACATAGGCATGGTCAAGGACTTCATGTCTAAAACAACAAAAGCAACAAAAGCCAAAATTGACAAATGGGATCTAATTAAACTCAAGAGCTTCTGCACAGCAAAAGAAACTACCATCAGAGTAAAGAGGCAACCTACAGAATGGGAGAAAGTTTTTGCAATTTATTCATCTGACAAAGGGCTAATATCCAGAATCTACAATGAACTCAAACAAATTTACAAGAAAAAAACAAACAACCCCATCAAAAAGTGGGCAAAGGATATGAACAGACACTTCTCAAAAGAAGACATTTATGCAGCCAACAGACACATGAAAAAATGCTCGTCATCACTGGCAATCAGAGAAATGCAAATCAAAATCACAATGAGATATCATCTCACACCAGTTAGAATGGCGATCATTAAAAAGTCAGGAAACAACAGGTGCTGGAGAGGTTGTGGAGAAATAGGAACACCTTTACACTGTTGGTGGGACTGTAAACTAGTTCAACCATTGTGGAAGACAGTGTGGCGATTCCTCAGGGATCTAGAACTAGAAATACCATTTGACCCAGCCATCCCATTACTGGGTATATACCCAAAGGATTATAAATCATGCTGCTATAAAGACACATGCACACAGTATGTTTATTGTGGCACTACTCACAATAGCAAAGACTTGGAACCAACCCAAATGTCCAACAATGATAGACTGGATTAAGAAAATGTGGCACATATACACCATGGAATATTATGCAGCCATAAAAAAGGATGAGTTCATGTCCTTTGTAGGGACATGGATGAAGCTGGAAACCATCATTCTCAGCAAACTATTCCAAGGACAGAAAACCAAACACTACATGTTCTCACTAATAGGTGGGAATTGAACAATGAGAACACTTGGACACAGGAAGGGGGACATTACACACCGGGGCCTGTTGTGGGGTGGGGGGAGGGGGGAGGGATAGCATTAGGAGAAATACCTAATGTAAATGACGAGTTAATGGGTGCAGCACACCAACATGGCTCATGTATACATGTATCATGTATACATGTATACGTGGCTCATGTATACATATGTATACATGGCACATGTATACGTATGTAACAAACCTGCACATTGTGCACATGTACCCTAGAACTTAAAGTGTAATAAAAATACATATATAGTGTGTGTGTGTGTATATATATATATATGTGTGTATATATATATATGTGTGTGTGTATATATATATATATATATATATATATATACACACATATATATAAAAGCACGATGTTGAAAGAGACAGAAAGAAAATAATTGGCTTTACAGTGGGGAAATCTGATTAACACTTCCACAAGCTAGCTGATCAATGTCAACATCAATAATGATAAGTTATTTTGATAGTATTCATCTTTGATAACAGGTGATGAGAATGGCAATTTATCTTTGTGGTCCTCCTCTTAAAATGCATGACTCCAGTCTAAGCCTGAGATAAATATCAGATAAATTCCAATTGAGGAATGTTACACAGAACAAGTGACCCGTAAGCCACAAAATTATAAAGGTCATTAGAAGCAAGAAATGTCTGAGAAACTGTCACAACCAAGAATAGACTAAGGTGATACGACTACTAAATGGAATGTGGTACCCCTGCACATCATCATGGAATAGAAAGAGGGTGTTGGGGAAACACTGAGGAGATTTAAATAACATATAGACTTTGGTGTGTTACCAGGTATCAATTATGTTTCATTAATTGTGATAAATATATCATACTAATATGATAGATTTGAGAAACTGAGTGTGGGGAGCTCTCTGTATTATCTTTTCAATAATTTTGTAAATATACAATTGTACTAAAATTAAAAATTAAAAGATACATGAGCAAAATGTTTTAATCAGAAAAAAATAATTAATCTAAACACTTGAATAGGTATGTTACAGAAATATTTTCTCAAGTATGGAAGTAATGTCCAAAAAGCAATTTCTGAGAAATATACATTAAAGTAGTAAAACTACTCCCTTAGTTTCCATGACATTGTTTCTCCTGTTTTGTTCTTCTCTTATATCTGATTTTCTTTTCAATTCTTTTAAATCTCATTGACTCTTACATATAGGTTGTTTGATGACCTCCAAATCTTCAGCACATACACCAGTATAGTGCTCCAACCTTATTTCTAAATGTCGACAGGCACCCATCTCCATTCATAAAACCAAAACAGTTTTTTCCTACTAATATTCCCCTACTGCGTTTAACAACCAATCATTCTCCATGCTTAACGAGTCAGAAGAGATCCCAAGACACCTCAACACTTTCCCAATAAAACACTGGGACAAGTGAAGAAATGTGGAATACAAATATGTCATCAAAAAGTTCCTGACTGAAAGAAAAAAAAAATCAAATTAACATTTTGGTTAAAACTTGAAGATAGTATAACATGTATTAAAATGCAGAGTAGGTCTCTCAAGAAAAGAACATTGAGGGCCAACAGAATCCCATTTTCATCTGGCCAGATCATTCTCCGCAATATTCACCACACCATAAAACATACTAAGTTGTAAATTTATAACCTTCAAAAGAAGTCGGAAATACTCAGCAGTGGGAACAAAAAGCCCATTGCAGTTCTGAAGTGTGGAGTCTGTCTTTTACAAGTCCCATGTGAATCATAATATATGGAATGTTGATGAGGTTTTAGAGTTAAAATCTTAAGTCCATTAAAAAAATTATTACATTAGCCTTTTGGAGCAAAGGTCTAAAATATAATGCATTTTGGTTTACAAATAAAACTAGTATGATAAAAAACTAAACAGAAACACAAGGATAAACCCACAACTTTCAATGATCCTTTTGAAGAAAGCGGTACCTCTAATCTCACAACTGTCACTGCGATTAAATGTAGTGAGAGCACATATCAAAAATGAGTACTGCCATGAGGGACTTTAGCCAAAGTGTAAAGTATGCTGTTTGTCTTGGAAATGTCCCACCTCTTGGCAAATTCTCTTAATCTTTGCCCAGGCATCCAGTACCCTCATGCTTCCCTCTGGCTATCTCAGGCTCTTCTAACTCACTGAACACCCACAATCCCTCCTCCTCCAGCAAGAGCCCTGTGCTTTCAAACCAAACTTCCTGTCAGTTCCACTTTTCAATCAAAACTCCAATTTCCTCAGGGTGGCTGATTTTGGCAGTCACTAAGCAAAATCCTAATCTGATAATCTGATTAAATTAATTCAAAGTAAGTTGTAAATGGCTAATAGCCTAAATTTCTGAGAGAAGCTGAATATTTGACAATCTAATTTGTAGAATATGCATAGGAGATGTATTGAATTGGAAACCTGAGTGCCCTCTGTTAATACTCAAATTTCTTCCATTACTTCTTTCTTTTCTACCTTTCTTTCTTTTCTTTTCTTTTCTTTTTCTTCCATTCTCTTTCCTTCTTTCTTTCTATTTCTTTTTCTTTCTTTCTCTTTTCTTTCTGCCTTTTTTCTTTTCCTTTTCTTTCCTTTATCTCCTCCCTCCCTTCCTCCTTTTTTTCCTTTCTTCCTTCTTTCCTTCCTTTTTTCTCTCCTTCCTTCCCTCTTTTTTCTTTCCCTCCAGGTTTTCTAGACTCTCAAAATTCTCCCTTACTAGTCACTTTTTAAAATCTGTAATGAGAAAAAAAATTGACTAAGATTTAGGATTATCTTTCCTATTTCTTGTAATAATCTGTCTCCAACTTAAAATGTGAACAGTGCATTTGGAAGTATCACAATGAATTACTGCTTTTTTTTTTTTAATTCAAACACTTAACCTACCACAGATAGCAACTATTGATTAGAATGTCTTTCCCAGAAATGTTAGCCATCCTGTGTAAGTAATTACTGCTATTTGCATCAGGCCATCAATGCAAAGCACTGCAATATATATCATATATTCATTTTTACTAATTATTCCTTCAACATATTCATTAATAATAAGTAATACCATGACATTTCTTTCTATGAAATAATCAAAATGGTCTATCTTTATTTCATATTTTTCTGTGCTAGGTGCTGCTTTAAGTACTTTGGGTACAATAATTCATTTCATCCTCAAAATGAAATTGTAAGTTGGTAATTTTTATATACTTTCTTTTAACATATTTGGAAACTAAGATTTAGAGAAGCTAAGAAACTTGCCAAAAATTACATAATAGCTAAATTGTATTTAAACCCCACTGCATGAGTCTATAAAAAATGTGTACTGTCTACTCCTCCAAGAATATATATGTATGCATGTTAAAATAACTTATATATGAGTATTGATACTATCAGAAGCTCAGTCTCAGTAGAAGGTGTGAAATCAGAAAGTGGGAGTTAGACTTGTGTTAAAAGATTACCTTGCATAGGAAACATTATTAGGGTATCTTGGATAAACCTGGAAGAAGGTGAACGGGATATGATAGCCAGGAGGATCAATAAGAAGTAGTGTTACTTCCAGGTCATTTCATCTAAGGAGTAGGCGAGAGTAGAGGTACAGACTTCACAGTCAGGCTTTGCCAGGCTTGTGAATGATAGTCCTGGTTGCAAAATGGTGAACTGAACTGACTAGATAAGGGAGATGGGAAGTAATGTCCCCAGAAATCCTAACAGCAAGTGAAAGAGAAAGTCAGTCAGCCTAATCACTGTGAAATAAGAAGAGAAAAATATAACAGACATTCTTATCAGAAAAAAACTTTTATGTAATCCAATAATACAGTCTAATAATATAGTACAATGTTATTTCATTTATTTATATTGGATATACTGGGACCTTCCAATAGACATTGCTAAGCAGAATACCACCAAGTAGTAAACTATGCAAAGGAAACATTTGAATACTTGTTCAATAAATATCATAGCAGACTGTTTGGAAAGGTAATACCTTCATGAGGTTTAAAAAATCTAGTCATACAGAAGCATACAAAGCATAAAATAAAGATGCCTTCCTTTCCATAATGATAGTATTCTGTTCCCCTAATGTAACTACTAAACTGAATGTGTTTTCAGGAAATATGCATTGTATGAAAAATACATAATCACTTGTACCTTTTTTGTAATATTAATTTATTTTTGAGACAGGGGTCTTGCCCTGTCGACCAGGCTGGAGTGAAGTGGTGCGATCTTGGCTAACTGCAACCTCCACCTCCTGGGTTCAAGTAATTAGAGACAGCGTTCCACCATGTTGGCCAGGCTGGTCTTGAACTCCTGACCTCAAGTGATCTGCACATCTTGGCCCCCACAAAGTGCTAGGTTTACAGGCGTGGCCCACCGTACCTACCCTATTTTTAATTTTTAGAAATTTATTTATTTATTTATTTATTTTGTGAAGACAATGGTCTCACTATATTTCTCAGGCTGGTCTCAGACTCCTGGGCTCAAGCTATCCTTCTGTCTCAGCCTCCCAAAGAGCTAGGATTACAGGCTTGAGCCACCACCCCCAGCCCTCACTTGTAAAACAGATTAAATTATATTCCATATATGTGACTTTAATTTGCTTGATATAGTTGGCTTTATAAGAAAGGAAATCTTACTGCATATATTGTGTTGTAACTTGATTTACTTACATTCTTAATATGATGTGTGTGTGTGTCTGTGTGTGTGTAAACCTTTTGTAATTAGGGACCTAAGTTCTTCCTCATTATCACTCCTGTTTAATATTCTAAAAATTCAAGCTGTATCTGGTGTGTTTAATCATGGGAATATTTTATATTTGTTCTCTATTATCTGGCAGAAATAAGATACCAAGGTCTTAAAAAAATTACTTTATCCAATTAGTTCTCATACATTTCACACTGCTGCACATTTGGGGGTGGGGGTAAAAAAGCAGATCTAAACCCAAATGGCAGAGTTTAAAATACCCTGTAGACCATAGTTAAGTATGTAAAAGTTTAATAAACTTAAATTTCCAGTTACTCTGGCCAAAAGTTTATGTTCAAGCAATATTAACTGACCATCTTAAAAGTAAATCCTAGATGTTGGGGTAGGTGGTTAGGCAAAGCATTCCTCCGAGAATTATAAGGAAAAATGAAACTTGCTGAAGGAGTCAGAGTGAATGGGGTCATCCATGCAACAGCAGCTATATTTTCATCTCTTTCCACTTATCCCCCTTGGCACTAAAGAAATTCAGTACAGAGGAATGTTGCAGCTGGGGAGAAGAGACAAGCATCTGGTTAAGAAATAACCCCATTGCTCAGGACAACTTTTGGCCTTCTATATTGATCTTATTAAGTTTCAACTCTTTTTTCTGGAAAAGAAATTCACTAAGAGAAGAAAAAATATTACACTACTTCTGGCACCATGAGTAAAGCTAATGGGCTTCAGACATCTTTTAGGTGGGGAACATATTTACTATCAAATAAAGACATGAGCTAGCATGGGAAGCATTCTTGGGCTGTCAGAAAGCAGCATAAGCTCCTTGTGAGATTGTGAATTTTAATAACATATACAACTAACCCTTGAATAACACAGCCTTGAACTGTGAAGGCTCACTGTTATGCAGATTTTTTTCAATAGATACATTTGAATTTTTTTGTGAAATTTGTGACAATTTGAAAAAACTCACAGTGTAGCACAGAAATTTTGAAAAAATTCAGAAAAGGTTAGATATGTCATGAAAATGCATAAAATATATGTAAATACTGCTCTATTTTATCATTTATTACTATAAAATAGATACAAATCTACAATTAAAAGTTAAAATTTACCAAACTGTACAAACACAAACACTTACAAAGATATTTGCAGTCCAGAGAAATGTAACCAAACATAAAGATGCTGTATTATATAACTGCATAAAATTAAGTCATATAAGCTGTACTATTTTAATAATTTTATAGCCATCTTTTGTTGCCAATTCATGTTGAAAGGATCAAGTATGCATTTAAAGCACCATGTGAAGCTAATCATCTTCAAGTGATCAGTTCTTTCTCCAGTAAAATATGTTACATAGTAAACATATCTCTTGTAGTTTTCATGTATTTTTCATGTTAGCGCAATATTGTAAACCTTGAATAACAGCATGGGCCCATATGAAGTGCTATTAGTGTTACTGAAAGTGCTCCCAAGAAACAGAGAGAAGTCACCACATTACAAGAAAAAGTTGAATTGTTTGATACATATCATAGATTGAGGTCTGCAGTTGCAGTTGCCCAGCGTTTCAAGAGAAATGAATCCAGCTTAACAACCATTGCAAAAAAAGAAAAATTCATTAAGCTATAGCTGCAATTACACCAGTACTTTCTGCAAAATACTTTTTTATATTGTATAGAACGTGCACCTTTTATGTGGTTTTAAGATCAATGTGAGAAAGACATATGTATAGACACTAATATGATTTGAGAAAGAGTGAAATTATTATTTGGCAACTTAAAGCAAAAGGAAGGTGAAGGAGGTAAAACTAGAAAATTTAATGCCAGCAAAGGATGGCTTGATAATTTCAGAATGAGGTGTTGCTTGAAATTGTCAAGATAACAGAAGAAGGCTGGGTGCCGTGGCTCATGCCTGTAATCCCAGCACTTTGGGACGCCGAGGCGGGCAGATCACCTGAGGTCAGGAGGTCAAGACCAGCCTGGCCAACATGGTGAAACCCCATCTCTACTAAAAATAGAGCCAGGCGTGGTGGTATATGCCTGTAGTCCCAGCTACTCAGGAGGCTGAGGCAGGAGAATCGCTTGAACCTGGGAGGCAGAGGTTGCAGTGAGCCAAGATCATGCCACTGCACCCCAGCCCAGGCGACAGACTTCGTCTCAAAAAATAAAAAAATAAAATAAAATAACAGAAGAAGAAGCAGCTTCTGCTGACCAAGAAGTAGCAAATGAGCTCCCAGACACCATTAAGAAAATCATTGAGGAGAAAGGTTTTCTGCCTGAACTGGTTTTTAATGCAGACAAAAGTGCCCAAAAAGTCACAATGGACATTTTTTTTTCAGTAAGGAAGAGAAGCAAGCAAGCACCACAATTTAAGGCAGGAAGGCATAGGCTAACTCTACTGTTTTGTGCAAATGCAGTCTGGCTTATGATTAGGACTGCCCTTGTCCATAAAGCTGCTAACTCCCAAGCCTTGAGGGTAAAAGATAAACACCAGCTGCCAGTCTTTTGGTTGTACAACAAGAATGCCTGGACAACAAGAACTCTTTCACTCTTTCTGGATTGGTTCCATCAATGCTTTGACCCTGAATCAGAAAGTACTTTGCCAGTAAAGTGCCTTTAAAGTTCTCATGATACTGGGCAATGACACCAGCCACCCAGAACCCCATGAGTTCAACACTGATGGTGTAGAAGTGGCCTACCTGCCCCCAAACATAACATCTCTAATTCATCCTCTAGACAAGGGAGTCATAAGAATCTTTAAAGCTCATTATGCATGGTAATTTATGGAAAGGATTGTCAGTGCTATGGAAGAGAACCCCAGTAGAACATCATGAAAGTCTGGAAGAATTACACCATTGAAGATGCCACTGTTGCTACAGAAAAAGCTGTGAAAGCCATCAAGCCTAAAACAATAAATTCCTACTGGAAAAATTGTGTCCAGATGTTGTGCATGACCTTAAGGACTTACAACAGAGACAATCAAACAAATCATGAAAGAGATAGCGGATATGGCAAAAATGATGTGTTGGAGGGGGGTTCAAGATATGAATCTTGGAGAATCTTGGAGTTAATAGACAGCACACAGGAGGAATTAATGGAAGGAGATTTGATGGAGGTAAGTGGTTCCAAACCAGTACCAGGTGATGAGGAAGAAGATGTAGAAGAAGTAATGCCAGAAAACAAACTGACAGTAGACAATTTGGCAGGGGGATTTCGGTTATTCTAGACCCATTTTGACTTATTTTATGACATAAACTGTTTTGTGATAGGGGCGGAAAAATTAAAGAAAATGGTGGAAGAGTTGTTGCCATACAGAAACATTTTTAGAGAAATTAAAAAGCAATTAGACATCAGTTAGGATGTCTTTTCATAACCCAAGTGTATCTGCCTCTCTTGCCTCTCTTTCTACCTTCCCCACCTCCTCCACCTCTGTCAACTGAGACAGCAGGACCACCCCCTTTTCTTCCTCCCCCACCTCAGCCTACTCAATGTGAAGATGAGGACGATGAAGAGCTTTATGATGATCCTCTTCCACTTAATAAATAGTAGATATATTTTTTCTTTATAGTTTTCCTAACATTTTTCTCTCTAGCTAACTTTATTGTGAAAATACAATACACAATGCATATAAAATAAAATACGTGTTAATTGACTGCTTATGTTATCAGTAAGGCTTCCAGTCAACAGTAGGCTATTAATTAAGCTTTTGGGGACTCAAAATTTCTAAGTGGATTTTTTACTGTGCCACCCCTAACCCCTGCATTTTTGCATGGTCACTTGTATATATATTTGTTCTTCATCCTTGTTTCCTGATATATAGCTCTTATAACTTCTGGAATCTCTAGAGTCATAAGAGTATCTAGGATGCAAATAAGATGACCACAGGGCTGGTCACAGGAAAAACCAAGGCATGATTAGAGGGTTTGGACTTTTTGCCTGCCCCTCCAGCTTTGGGGGATAGAATAAAGGCTGGAGGTTAAGTTGATCACTAATGGCAGATAATTCAATCAATCGTGACTATATAATGAGGCTTCCATGAAACATGAAAATCTAAAAGGACTGGGTTCAGAGCTTCCAGATAGCTGAACAAGTGGAGGTTCCCTGTGGGGTGACACACCTAAAGAGGGCATGGAAGCTCTGCACCTGTATTTTTTGTTGTTGTTGTTGTTTTGTTTTGTTTTGAGATACAGTCTTATTCCGAGCTGGAGTGCAGTAGCATGATCTTGGCTCACTGAAACCTCTGACTCCCAGGTTCAAGCAATTTTTGTGCCTCAGCCTCCCAAGTAGCTGGGATTACAGGTGTGGCCACACCCAGCCTGCACCTGTTCTTGAATGCCTTGCCCTCTGCATCTCTTCCATTTGTCTGATCACTGATATGTATCCTTTGTAATATGCTTTATAATAAACCAGTAAACATAAGTGTTTCCTTGACTTCTGTGAGCTACTCTAGCAAATTAATCAAACTCAAAGAGAAGATCAGCCAGGCGCGGTGGTGCACGCCTGTAATCTCGGAACTTTGGGAGGCCGAGGCAGGCGGATCACCTGAGGTCAGGAGTTTGAGATCAGCCAGGCCAACATGTTGAAATCCCATCTCTCTACTAAAAATACAAAAATTAGGTGGGAGTGGTGGTGTACGCCTGTAGCCCCGGCTACTCGGGAGGCTGAGGCAGGAGAATCGCTTGAACCTGGGAGTCAGTGGTTGCAGTGAGCCGAGATTGCGAATTGTACTCCACCCTAAGTGACAAGAGCGAAACTCCATCTCAAAAAAAAACAAAAACAAAAAAACAATGACTGGGCATGGTGGCTCATGCCTGTAATCTCAGCACTTTGGGAGGCCTAGGTGGGCAGATCACGAGGTCAGGAGTTCGCGACCAGCCTGGCCAACATGGTGAAATCCTGTCTCTACTAAAAATTAAAAAAATTAGCCAGGCGTGGTGGCAGACCCCTGTAATCCCAGTTACTTGGGAGGCTGAGGCAGAAGAATCACTTGAAACAGGAAGGCAGAGGTAGCAGTGAGCCGAGATCGCACCACTGCACTCCAGCCTGGGTGAAAGAGCAAGACTCCATCTCAAAAAAAAAAAAAAAAAGAGAGAGAAGATCGTGGGAACCCTGATTTACAGACAGTTGGTCAGAAGTATGGGCTCTACTACTTGTGACTGGTATCTGAAGTAGTGTGTGGGGTCAGTAAGAGGACTGGGCCCTCAACTTGTGGGCTCAGAAACTATCTTGAGGTTGAGAGTCAGAACTGAATAGAATTAGAGGACACCCAGCTGGTGTCCACTGCAGAATTAATTGCTGGAGAATTGCTTAGTGTGTGTGGGGAAAAAAATCCACACACATTTGGTCACAGACATGTTCTGTGTTGTGAGAGTATAGCAGGAGAATCTGAGTTTATTTTCTTCTATATCCTTACACTCCTCTTTTCCCCCACCAAAGAAATCGTCAAAATATCTAGAGTATTTCTTTATAATTAGCATATCTAATGAAAGAGAATAAAACTGGTGATCAGTTAGTGTAGACATGGGCTGGAGAATCTTTGTTAATAGAGTTTGATGAAGATAAAATATGCTGCTGTAATACTAAAGAATAAGTATCTTCATGAGTATAAACAGAGGTAGGAGGCCATACATTGGCATTAGCAGGGAGAGAGATACTATGTAGGAGACAAAACAAATAATTTCCAGAATTTCCAGGTAAGTAAAGAAAAATTATGTTTGGGTCAGAACTGGTTTTTCTATTTATAATTGTGACAGAAAGCAAGCAAAAAAAACAAAAAACAAAAAACAAAATAATCTGGAGATAATAGAGATCAATATTCAGATAACAAAGCCAATATCATGGGAATATTTGTAAAATAATAGATATCTTTAAAAAATATACATTTAGCCACAGGTTAACTAAGAGCCTATTTTAGGAATTTGTAAAATGACTACAGAACAAACATGAATAAAATTTTATGTTTTTTTTATTTGCAAGAATAACTATGCAAATTTGTTTTAGGTTTCAGAGAATGACAAAAGGGAAAGTAGGAACTAAACTCTTTTGAAATGTTTTTATTTCTCTAAAAAAAATCATTAAAATGAGTCATAAGTGTACAAATTTTACAGTCAACACAATCTGGAGAATTCATGATAATAAAATACAAACAAACTCCACAATTCTTTCAAAATCTTCATTTTAATCACATCTATTCTAAATTTGTAAAACCATTTTAGACAACTTTTTCTGTCATCACTATCGCTGAACAATTAATAAAAACCAACTGATGGTCTCCACAGGAAAAAAAAATATAAACACAATGTATCGCATATAATTTCGGAGTGATTACTTATTATTTTGTATAAAACTTACTCTTTGATCCAAATTTAAGGGCTTCTAGTATAGAAGAATGTTTCTAACTAAATAAAGTAGGACCTACAAATGTCTTTTGAAATTTGACTACTACAGAAAAAGGTAGTTTGTGCCTGGATGACACTGTAAACATGCAGCATTTTCCTGGGCCCTTGATGGGGTGGGATGGTAGTGGGAGGGGTAGAGTACACAGCTAGCAACGTGTCTATATTCACACACCACAAATGACTCTGGAACTCTCTGCTCTTATTTTTTCTTTACTCTCTCAACTGTCTTACTACTCATTGTCTGGGAGACCCTGAATAGCACAAGAAGTAAAAAAGAGACTTACCTAATAAATACATTCTTAATATACTCACTGTAGTAAACACAGCAAGAAAAGAAAATAACACGTTAAAGATTCTTACAAACTACATAAAACTAACTTACTTTTGTAAACAAATAAAAAGCCCTGTAAATATCAGGATATATTTATTTAACTGTCGCATATGTGTGTTGAATAGTCTGAATAAGAAATAAGCCACATTTTAAGACACTGTAAATTCCTGGCTTGCTATTAAAACCAGTATTATAATCCTAAATGTCATCTTAAGAAACTCCATGGTTGTAGGATCACAAATATGTATGTTCTAATTGTCAGGCCTCTGAGCCCAAGCTAAGCCATCATATCCCCTGTGACCTGCACGTATACATCCAGATGGCCTGAAGCAGCTGAAGATCCACAAAAGAAGTGAAAATAGCCAGGTGCTGCCTTAGCTGATGACATTCCACCACTGTGACCTGTTCCTGCCCCACCCTAACTGATCAATTGACCTATGACAATACACCCTCCCTGCCCTTGTGATAATGTACTTTGTGATATTCCCCTGCCCTTAAGAAGGTACTTTGTGATATTCCCCCGCCCTTAAGAAGGTACTGTGTGATATTCCCCCGCCCCTAAGAAGGTACTTTGTGATATTCCCCCGCCCTTAAGAAGGTACTTTGTGATATTCCCCCGCCCTTAAGAAGGTACTTTGTGATATTCCCCCGCCCTTAAGAAGGTACTTTGTGATATTCCCCCGCCCTTAAGAAGGTACTTTGTGATATTCCCCCGCCCTTAAGAAGGTACTTTGTGATATTCCCCCGCCCTTAAGAAGGTACTTTGTGATATTCCCCCGCCCTTAAGAAGGTACTTTGTGATATTCCCCCGCCCTTAAGAAGGTACTTGTGATATTCCCCCGCCCTTAAGAAGGTACTTTGTGAGATCCACCCCCTGCCCACAACAAATTGCTCCTAACTCCACCGCCTATCCCAAACCTGTAAGAACTAATGATAATCCCACCACCCTTTGCTGACTCTCTTTTCGGACTCAGCCCGCCTGCACCCAGGTGATTAAAAAGCTTTATTGCTCACACAAAGCCTGTTTGGTGGTCTCTTCACATGGATGTGCGCGACATTTGGTGCCAAAACCCGAGAATGGTTCTAAATGGCCAGAAAATGACACTTTTGATTTCTCCATCCTACAAGATCTAGATAATTTTGTCGAAAAATGGGCAAATGGTCTGAGGTGACTGACATCCCGGCATTCTTTCACACATCGGTCCCTCCCTAGTCTCTGCTCCCAGTGCGACTTGTCCCACATCTTTCTTCTTTCTCTTCTGTCTGTTCCTTCAGTCCCAACCCCAAGCGTCACTAAGTCTTTTGAATCTTCCTTTTCTACCCACCCATCTGACCTCTCCCCTTCTTCCCACACTGCTCCTCCTCAGGTCGCTCCCTGCCAGGCTGAATCAGGCTCCAGCTTTTCTTGAGCTTCCGCTCCCCTACCCTACAACCCCTCTATCACCTCCCCTGCCACACCCAGTCTGGCTTACAGTTTCATTCCATGACGAGCCCTCCCCTACCTGCCCAACAATTTCCTCTTAAAGAGGTGGCTGGAGCTAAAGGCATAGTCAAGGTTAATGCTCCTTTTTCTCTATCAGACCTTTCCCAAATCAGTTAGTGTTTAGGCTCTTTTCCATCAAATATAAAAACCCAGCCCAGTTCATGGCCCGTTTGGCAACAACCCTTAGATGCTTTACCGCCCTAGACCCAGAGGGGCCAGAAAGCCATCTTATTCTCAATATGCGTTTTATTACCCAATCTGCTCCTGATACTAGAAAAAGCTCCAAAAATTAGATTCCAGCCCTCAAACCCCACAATAGGACTTAATTAACCTCGCCTTCAAGGTGTACAATAATAAAAAAGAGTCAGCCAAGTGGCAACATATTTCTGAGTTGCGATTACTTGCCTCTGCCGTGAGAGAAACCCTAGCCGTATCCCCAGCACACAAGACCTTCAAATTGCCTAAACCGCAGAGGACAGGCGTTCCTTCAGGACCTCCTCCCCCAGGATGTTGCTCCACGTGACGGAAATCTGACCACTGGGCCAAGGAATGCCAGCAGCCTGGGATTCCTCCTAAGCTGCGTCCCATCTCTGCGGGACCCCACTGGAAATTGGACTGTCCAACTATCCCAGCAGCCACTCCCAGAGCCCCTGGAACTCTGGCCCAAGGCTCTCTGACTCCTTCCCAGATCTTCTTGGTTCAGCAGCTGAAGACTGATGCTGCCCGATCGCCTCGGAAGCCTCCTGGACCATCACAGATGCTTTGGGTAACTCTTACAGTGGAGGGTAAGTCTGTCCCTTTCTTAATCAATACGGAGGCTACCCACTCCACATTACCTTCTTTTCAAGGGCCTTTTCCCTTGCCTCCGTAACTGTTGTGGGTATTGACAGCCAGGCTTCTAAACCTCTTAAAACTCCCCAACTCTGGTGCCAACTTGGACAATACTCTTTTAAGCACTCCTTTTCAGATATTCCCACCTGCCCAGCTTCCTTATTAGGTCGAGACATTTTAGCCAAATTATTTGCTTCCCTGACTATTCCTGGGCTACAGCCACACCTCAATAACCTCCCTTCACAACCCATCATTCTGTTCTGGTTCTCAAATATGCTTCCTTTACTATTCTTTTCCATCCTTCATCCCAGCCTCTCTTCGCTTTCACTTGGACTGATCCTGACACCCATCAGGCTCAGCAAATTACCTGGGCTGTACTGCCGCAAGGCTTCACAGACAGCCCCCGTTACTTCAGTCAAGCCCTTTCTCATGATTTACTTTCATTCTGTCCATCTGCTTCTCACCTTATTCAATATTTTCACGACCTTCTACTTTATAGCTGCCCCCCCCCACCAAAATCTTCTCAACAGGACACCCTCCTGTTCCTCTAACATCTATTCTCAAAGGGATATCACATATTCCCCTCCAAAGCACAAATTTCTTCCTCATCGGTTACCTATCTCGGCATGATTCTTCATAAAAACACACGTGTTTTCCCTGCTGATCATGTCCAGCTAATCTCCCAAACCCCAACCCCTTCTACAAAGCCACAGCTCCTTTCCTTCCTAGGCATGGTTAAGTACTTTCACCTTTGGATACCTGATTTTGCCATCCTGACTAAACCATTACATAAACTCACAAAAGGAAACCTACCTGGCCCCATAGATCCTAGATCCTTTCCCCACTCCTCTTTCCATTCCTTAAAAACAGCCCTAGAAGCTGCTCCCACACTAGCTCTCCCTAACTCATCCCAACCCTTTTCATTACACACAACCAAAGTACAGGACTGTGCAGTCGGAATTCTTACACAAGAGCTGGGACCGTGCCCTATAGCCTTTCTATCCAAACAACTCAACTTCACAATTCTGGGCTGGCCCTCATGTTTGTGCCATTTAAATACTTCTAGAGGCCATCAAAAATCACAGGCTATGCTCCACTTACCCTTTACAGCTCTCACAACCTTCAAGCATTAATATCCTCCTCATACCTTTCACATTTATTGTCTGCCCCCCAACTCCTCCAGCTCTATTCACTCTTTGTTGAAACTCCAATAGTAACTATTACCCATGGGCCTGATTTCAACCCAGCTTCTCATTTAGCACCCAACACAAGTCCTGAACCACATGACTGTATTTCCCTAACACACATAGGATCTTCTCCCTTTCCTCATATTTCTAATCTTCCCATTCCAAACCCGGACCACACTTGGTTTATTGATGGCGGTTCTTCTAAACCCAATCAATTTTCACCAGCTAAAGCTGGATATGCTGTCATGTCCCACACCTCTATTATTGAAGCTGCTGCACTTCCTCCCTCCACCACTTCCCAACAAGCCAAACTGATTGCTTTAACTCGTGTGCTCTCTCTAGCTAAAGGAATGCACATTAACATTTATACTGACTCCATATATGCTTTCCACATCCTCCATAACCATGCTGCCATCTGGGTCAAAAGAGGCTTCCTTACCACACAAAGCTCTTCCACTAATAATGCCTCCCTAATAGAGGCCCTTAAGGTTGTTCTCCTGCCAGCCAAGGCTGGAATCATTCATTGTAAAGGACACCAGAAACCTACTGATCTTATTGCAAAAAAAAAATAACCAATGCCTCCACACCCGCTAATATTCCAGCCCCCACTCCGGAGGGCCAGTATTTTTTTTTCTCCTCTATCACTCCCACCTACTCTTCTTCTGAAAACCTGCTCTACCAGTCTTTTCCAACTCAGGGCAAGTGGTTCTTAGATCATGGAAAACTCATCCTTCCTGCCTCACAAGCTCAGTCCATTCTTTCGTCTTTTCATAACCTCTTCCATGTAAGTTACAAGCCACTAGCCCGCCTCTTAGAACCTCTCATTTCCTTTAAGACATTTGCCCTGCATTTCACTCCATCCTTAGCTACCTTCCCCTTGTTCTTTGGACTCTCCTCTTAGCCCCTCCTCTTGCTTGCTTATACCCAGCCCCATGAATAGCAGTGAACGGTTACTCGTAGACACTTTGTACTTTCTCATACACCATAAAAATCAAACCTCCCCTTCTACCCAGTTGCTCCATCAATCCCCATTACAACCTCTAACGGCTGCTGCCCTTACTAAATCCCTAAGAGTCTGGGTGCAAGACACCTGTTTTGGTGCTCCCTCTTGTCTTTTCACTTTACATTTCCAGTTTTGCCTTACAAAGTTCTCTTCTTGGACATGAACAGACACTTCTCAAACGAAGACATTTATGCAGCCAAAAAACACATGAAGAAATGCTCACCATCACTGGCCATCAGAGAAATGCAAATCAAAACCACAATGAGATACCATCTCACACCAGTTAGAATGGCAATCATTAAAAAGTCGGGAAACAACAGGTGCTGGAGAGGTTGTGGAGAAATAGGAACACTTTTACACTGTTGGTGGGACTGTAAACTAGTTCAACCATTGTGGAAGTCAGTGTGGCGATTCCTCAGGGATCTAGAACTAGGAATACCATTTGACCCAGCCATCCCATTACTGGGTATATACCCAAAGGACTATAAATCATGCTGCTATAAAGTCACGTGCACACGTATGTTTATTGCACTATTCACAATAGCAAAGACTTGGAACCAATCCAAACGACCAACAATGATAGACTGGATTAAGAAAACGTGGCACATATACACCATGGAATACTATGCAGCCATAAAAAATGAGAAGTTCGTGTCCTTTATAGGGACATGGATGAAATTGGAAATCATCATTCTCAGTAAACTATCGCAAGGACAAAAATCCAAACACCGCATGTTCTCACTCATAGGTGAGATTTGAACAATGAGAACCCATGGACACAGGAAGGGGAACGTCACACTCTGGTGACTGTTGTGGGGTGGGGGGAAGGGGGAGGGATAGCATTAGGAGATATACCTAAAGCTAAATGACGAGTTAATGGGTGCAGCACAGCAGCATGGCACACGTATACATATGTAACTAACCTGCACATTGTGCACATGTACCCTAAAACTTAAAGTATAATAATAATAATAATAATAATAATAAAAAAGATGTCTTCCTCCTCTGTGGCTCCTTCACCTACATGTGTCTACCTATTAATTAGACAGGCACATGTACACTAGTTAGCCTTACCCCCAAAATCAATTTGCAAATAGGACCGAACAGCTTCCTGTTCCCCTCATGACACTAACACTTTACTTCTATTTTGTTTTTTTATTATTATTATTAATATAAGAAAACAGGAACAGGCCTTGACTTACTCACTGCTGAAAAAGGAAGACTCTGTGTATTTTTAAATGAAGAGTGTTGTTTTTACCTAAATCAGTCTGGCCTGGTATATGACAACATAAAAAAATGCAAGGATAGAGCCCAAAAACTCATCAAACAAGCAAATAATTAGGCTGAACCCCCTTGGGCACTCTCTAGTTGAATGTCCTGGGTCCTCCCAATTCTTAGTCCTTTGATACCTGTTTTTCTCTTTCTCTTACTTGGCCCTTGTGTCTTCCAATTAATCTCTCAATTCCTACAAAACTGCATCCAGACTATCACTAATCACTCTATATGACAAATGCTGCTTCTAACAACCCCACAATATCACCCCTTACCCCAAAATCTTTCTTCAGTTTAATCACTCCCACTCTAGGTTCCCACACTGCCCCTAATCCTGCTCAAAGCAGCCCTGAGAAACATCGCCCATTATCTCTCCATACCACCCGCAAAAATTTTTGCCACCCCAACACTTCACCACCATTTTGTTTTGTTTTTCTTATTAACAGAAGAAGACAGGAATGTCAGGCCTCTGAGCTCAAGCTAAGCCATCATATCCCCTGTGACCTGCATGTATACATCCAGATGGCCTGAAGCAACTGAAGATCCACAAAAGAAGTGCAAATAGCCAGGTCCTGCCTTAGCTGACGACATTCCACCATTGTGACCTGTTCCTGCCGCACCCTAACTGATCAATTGACCTTATGACAATACACCCTCCCCGCCCTTGCGATAATGTACTTTGAGATATTCCCCTACCCTTGAGAAGGTACTTTGTGATATTTCCCCACCCTTGAGAAGGTACTTTGTGATATTCTCCCACCCTTGAGAAGTTACTTTGTGATATTCCCCCACCCTTGAGAAGGTACTTTGTGATATTCCCCCACCCTTGAAAAGGTACTTTGTAATACTCTCCCTGCCCTTGAGAATGTACTTTGTGAGATCTACCCCCTGCTCCTAACTCCACCGCCTATCCCAAACCTATAAGAACTAACGATAATCCCACCACACTTTGCTCACTCTCTTTTCAGACTCAGCCCACCTGCACCCAGGTGATTAAAAAGCTTTATTGCTCACACAAAGCCTGTTTGGTGGTCTCTTCACATGGACGTGCGTGACATTAATCACATAAGCAACCTTAATTTTCCCTAATTAAAAATTAGAGTAAAATCACCTGCCATGAGTGATAGCCAAGTATCTTTTACACCAAGTTTATCAAAATAAGCTTTTAGGAGTGGAACAATTTTGATCAACTGTGTTAATATTTCAGAACTGCTTGCAACAGTGACTACCATAAGTATGCATTTTTCTATGCATGCAACTTACAAGTGATAACTGCCCAATGGAGCACTAGAAATGTGGTCACATTGATCTTTTTTGCAAGTCACTTACCATATTGTGTATTCCATTCTCTTCTTGTTCAAATCTTGACATTGAGAATTCTCTTCATCTCAGAAAGAGCTCCTGAAAAGTATTTTTAGATTATAAAAGATTGCATTTATGCATACACATACATTTCCCCTAAATAATGATCCATATCTTTTAGATATTTGCAATATTTATTAAGAGTTACAGGTCCAGAAACAATCAGCAACTTAGTAGATTATCTCTAAGCACACTTGATTTTTACTGAATGCTGTCGAGGCATCAAAATGTACATATTCACCTTTAAAAAGTGTTAACTTTGCATTTATTGTTTCATCCGCAGGGCTAACAGCTGGGTATTACTGTTGTTTTTGTTGTTGTTGTTTTAAGCGACTATCTGAGGTGTTAAGAGGTCCTAATTAAGTAAATTTAACAAACACAGCATTAAGTTTCAAAATCGAAGTGTTAGAACAGATACCTGTTTGATCTGCAGGTAACTAATGAGAGCAACAGTACATCACAAACACCTTTGATGTTATTCCTGCCTCAGCATATTTGGTTTGATAAAAAATATCTCACTCAAGTAACTGCCCAACATATTGCCCTGAGAGACCGAGAGAGAATTAACGATTTAATTCTAGTTTTTCCTGCCCTTGTTTTGCAAATAAATGAAGACATGGATGGATGGGTTTTTTGAAACACCAATGATCTGTGTTACAGTGTAGCATTATCATTCCTGGGAGGAGCATGCCGTTTACAGGGCTGAATCACAAAACACAACACAACAACAACAAAGCAGGGATGAGTTATTTCAGGCCAATTCACAAATCATTATAGAAATAAGGTAATGAGCGGCCGGGTGTGGTGGCTCATGCCTGTAATCCCAGCACTTTGGGAGGCTGAGGCGGCCGGATCACGAGGTCAGGAGATCGAGACCATCCTGGCTAACAAGGTGAAACCCCACCTCTACTAAAAATACAAAAAATTAGCCGGGCATGGTGGCGGGCGCCTGTAGTCCCAGCTACTCAGGAGGCTGAGGCAGGAGAATGGTGTGAACCTGGGAGGCGGAGCTTGCAGTGAGTGGAGATTGCACCACTGCACTCCAGCTTGGGCGACGGGGCGAGACTCTGTCTCAAAAAAAAAAAAAAAAAGAAAGAAAGAAAGAAGGTAATGACCGACTTACAAGTTCCACAAAGATCGCTTGAGAGACTTACATTCTGATGAGGAAAACAATACAGACATGTCTACAACTAATGATGAAACACGATGCAATGAAGTTAATTACATGAGAGTTCTTTCATTCTTTCTGAATTGAATAGGGTAGGTATCACTGAGATAGAACTCAAGCTGTACCTAAATGAAAAATTATCATGTTCAAACATAAAGTGACAGAGGGAGAGAATAGTCCAGATTAAAAGAATAATATGGTTTAGGAGGCAGAGGACAAGTGGGATGGGAGAACCTAAACACTGAATTTAACTTCAGCCCAAATCAGGGAGTGAGAGTAGGAGAAATAAATTGATGTTTATAAGGGGAACTAATAATCTCAGTTTAGTGCCTAGTTGAATCTGTAGTACCTATGGGAAATTCAGAACAAAAAGTTCAGGATGAATATGCAAATTCAAGGTAAAGATTGAGTCAGTTGCACGAAGGTGATAACTGAAGTTTTGGGAGCATTTGAGCATTCTCTAAACACGGCATGGTTGGAGAATAAACCTGTGGAATGCCTATATTTGAAAAGACAAGCAGCAAAAATGAGAATAGAAGATATGTTTGGAGAAGCAGCAAGGGAACCAAGAGATAATGTTTGTCAGATGTTACAAGAGGGTAAGAATTTCACTGAAAAAGAAAGTGGCCAGCATTGTCAATGATGCACGCAAGTAGCAGATTTAGCTTAGAAAGTCATTTGCACTTCTTGAGGGAGCAAAGCAGTCTCATGAAGTGGTAGGGAAAGAAATCAGATTGCAAATTGATTAGGGTAAATTAGTCAAGGCAGGAATTGGTCAAAATGAATAAGGAAGTTAGTGAAAAAGCAGAGTCTGGAAACTTTGAGAGAGAGGCACACTGGAAAATGAAAGAAGGAAAGCAAGTGTGTCAAAGAATTAACACATTGGTTTAACAGTATCACATTTTAATGTGATTTCTCTGCGCTATTCATTAAAGAGGTACACCAATCAAGCCTGATTTTCTAACCAGGATAATTAATGGATAACTTGAAACAATTAAATTTCAACATTTCAAGTTGTCTAATACTCCTACCTAGTAGTCACTAAGAAAGAAAATGGATAACTTGTGTGGTTTAAAAAAAAAAAAAGACTGTGATGATTAATTTTAGGTGTCAACTTTATTGGATTAAAGACTACCTGGAGAGCTAGTAAAGCATTAGTTCTGGGTGTGTCTAGTAGGATGTTTCCAGAGAAGATTACTGTGTGAGTCGGTGGAGTGGGTGGAGAAGATCCACCCTCAATATAGGTGGAAAAGGCAGAGGAAAGGTAAATTCTCATTCCCTCTCTCTCCTGGAGATAGGACACCCCTCTTCTCCTGACCTGGTGTCAGAGGCTTTCAAACCAGAGTGACTCCATCATGAGTGAGGGCTAGGGAAATGAGGCTGGGACTTGTTGGGCTGCATTCCCAGGAAGTTAGGTATTCCTAGCCTCTAGATGTTTACGGGCAAGGGAACAGATTGATAATGTTTACTAAACAGACCCAGACTTAGGAGTGTCCTGATATCCTGTTATCTTGAGAAAAGAAGCATTCCTAATTTTGCTTTAAAGATCATAATACTGATTCTTGCAAAATATACTAATTAAGAAAATTAATCCTTTATCACAAACCCTAGTAGCAGAGCACAGGTCCCCATGATTTTTTTTTATACTATACATAAACAAGTATTGTATCTAGTGTGGATGCATTTCTCCTCTTACTTTCAGGAACACCCTACTCTATCTATGGAGTAGCTGTACTTTCACCACTTTACTATTAATAAACTTGAAAGCTTTGCACTGTGGACTCACCCTGAATTTTTTCTTGCACAAGATCCAAGAACCCTCTTTTGGGGTCTGGATCAGGACCCCTTTCCTATAACACTCCGACACCAAAAATTCCAGGCTCTCCAGCATTTGGACCCTGGTATTTGCATCAGAGGCTCCTCAGGTTTTCAGGACTTCAGCCTCAGACTGAGAGTTCCACCCTCGACTTCGCTGATTCTGAGGATTGAAGACTTGCACTGAGTCACGCTACAGGCATCCCAGGATCTCCAGCTTGCAGGTGGCCTGTGATGGGACTTCTCAGCCTCCATAATCACATGAGCCAATTCCCCTAACAAATTACCTCTCATATATCTATCTACATATATACCTTATTGATTTTGTTTCTCTGGAGAATGCTAATATAAATAACTTCACATTTTAAAAATATTTTTTGATAAAGGATGTATACTCGTGAACAGAGGCTTACAAAGCTCTGAAACTCAATCTCATTATAAATCTTTCCAAAGACTATTATAGGACAAATCATCAGGAAAGGGGAAAATAAGATATTTCTGCCTTTTTTTTTTTTTAGACGCTAAAACATGCATTTTTTCACATGGAAAGTAATGATGCAAGTCAACAAAGCATTTGGGAAACAAATGCTTTCCACACAAGTAATCTTCAGAAATATGCCTAAGACTATTTTTCAAAGGATATAATGGCTACTTACATAGCAGACAACCTGAAATTGATGTTCTACAAAATAACTGGATAACGCTCTTGATAAATATCAAATTCTCGACGCACAAAGAAAGATTGAAGAAATATCAGATTGGAGGCAAAGTGCCTGACAGCTACCTGCAATGTTGGATCAGGGATTGGATCCTAGACTGAGGAAATAAGTCCTCAGGGAGACAACTAAGGAAACTTAAGTAGGTCTACAGATGAGTTAATAGGATGGTTTCAATGTTAATCTTTTGTTTTCAATATCTGTTCCCTGATTATGTAAGATGTTAACCTTTAAGGAAGCTGCTTAAAAACTGTAAGGAAATTTCTGTACTACTTTTGAAACTTTTTCATAAGTCTGAAATTATTTAAAAGTTTATTTTAAAGAATTCTAACTTAGGAATAAAATGGATGAAGAACAATTATCTGGAAAGAATAAGGAGAGCCAAAATTAACAATGTAATTGTAGGTGTCATATTGCTTTGAAATTTTTTTTTTTTTTAATTTTGACCAGTTGAAAAATGGCCAAAACCAAGTGACAACAAGAAAATGTACCAATAATGCCAGGATCCTCAAGAAATAAATTCTTTGTTTACATGTGAAGTAGCCAGAGTATATCTTAGTAAATAAATTAAAAAAAAAAAACTCAAAATGTGATTTTCAACCTGCATTTTCATGTGACTCCCCTAGTGTAAAAGAAATGGTCAAGGCCAATTTTTAAGTTGCCATGCCGTATGATTTTGCATTTCTACTCCGTGAAAGACACTAGTTATCATAAGCAAAACGTCGTCTGTGATTATGAAAACGTTGGTGGAATATTATACGTGTTTCCCAGTAACAGTATTTCATAGAATCTGTTATGACAAAGAGGCAAGCAAAGTCCCGTTTAGACACAGAGAAAAGAGGAAACATTTCGATTACCTCAGCACAGCCTGGACAAACAGCTGTCACCATGGTGAGAATGAGGAAAGGTGTGAGGGAGGAAGGGTCATTTGAAGGTAGCACAGAATTATGAAGGGCACTGATTGAGGCATAAAGGAGAAGGACATTTTAGGAAGAGAAAAAGGCTAAGCAGAGGCATAGGATAGAAAATGACAGGGTTGTTTTGATTATCTAATTCCAATGAAAGATGGAGGAGCTCCAAAGCTGGAATTTCATTGAGTGATAGGATGTGAGGAAAACACTTTGGAGTCTAAAGAGCCTTAAGGCTCCCAAAAAATTATGTGTTGCAAATAAACACGAAGCCCTCCCACATTTAAGACCAGTTATATTGAATGCTGCTTAATGCATTTCTGTCTCCAAATTCAGCAAAGTTCCATAGAATCCAATATATGAAATGCTTGCTTTAGTTGCCATTTCCAAAGTAGTGCTGGCAAATTTCCAAGTGCGGAACTTAAAATAATGCTCTAAGTGCATTGCTGTGTATGTGGCCAATTATTATTCACCTGCAGACTTCTTAAAAGGTCAATAATTCAAGAACCTAAACCAGTATCAAATTGTCCACAAGGTTATACAACACTGAAAAACGCTGTTAACTGGATATGGATTTCATTCTCACAGAAATTGCTAAGGTGTTTTAGCAGCATTTGCTTCCCGAAATGCTAGTCTCAGAATATGTTAATTGGTCTGATGTAAATGTAATTGGTCTGATGTAAATATGTAATTGGTCTGTCAGTAAATACATTTGGTAAACATTGGGTTAAGCAAGGTTAATCAGATTTCTTTGCTGTAGAAGATATTAAAACCTTGAAAGGCCGGGCGCGGTGGCTCACGCCTGTAATCCCAGCACTTTGGGCAGCCAAAGTGGGCAGATCACCTGAGGTCAGGAGTTCGAGACCAACCTGACCAACATGGCAAAACCCCATCTCTACTAAAAATATAAAAATTAGCCGGTTATGGTGGGGTGCCTGTAATCCCAACTACTCGGTAGGCTGAGACAGGAGAATCACTTGATCCCAGAAGGTGGAGGTTGCAGTGAGCCGAGATTGTGCCATTGCACTCCAGCCTGGGTGACAGAGCAAGACTCCATCTCAAAACAACACAAAACAAAAAAACAAAAAACAAACAAGCAAAAAACCTTGAAACAATGAATGAGAAATAAGGTATTTAATGAAGAGGGAGATAAGATGCACTGTCACACAAACCCAGCAGAAATCTAGTGATAAAAGTGTTCTAGAACACACACTTTGGAAAACTGTGAACCAACTGCATGTCTTCTTGGCCTCATTTTAAATATATCAGACATTTGACGGAATAGCTTGTCCAAATATTCATGAAGAAAGAGAAAATTTCTTCTAAACAACTAGATTTCTGCATACTTGTTATTGTCATTACAACGTTTCCAATTAATGCCGTCTGTGGGAAAATCTTCTCTACTTGAGAACATGTCTCTTAAAGTAGAAATTGGTGAGGAAAAAAAATCATAAATAGATATGTCCTTTTCTGCCAATTTCTTCAGGGAACAAAAGCTAGTTAGTTAACTGGAAGCCTGAATTTTATTCATCTTATAATATAATTAAATCACTTAAAATAATCAGTTAGATGACAATCAAACACTGCAATAGGAAATCAAAAGCAAATCACTAGATCAGTTTCAAAAAGTATAAGAAATAGAACAGTAGTTTGAAGATATTTATATATTTCACAGTTTTCTCGGTCCTACTACATGCCAGCCATAACATGTACATCCATGAAAAATGACTGTATAATGTCAACACTTTGGAATTGGTTCAGACTTTCAGATATTAGAAGCTAAAAAACAGAATAGATATCTATGCCAATCATGTTATGGTTCTCTGGCTTGAGAAGTGAAAAGCATATAAATGTCTAACACTAGAATCTGGGGCAGCAGAAAGAGTGATACTCAACCAAAAACATTAACATTTCAAACTTAATTTCAAAATGTCAGTACATAGTCATCAGATTGTTTCTCTGAGAAGTTAAATTTTGTGATTGTAATAGGGATTGAGATTAAAGCTATTTATCATATCTACCATCATATTTATTACATTTCTTAATCATGCAAGTGTTAATTAAAGTTTTCTTGGTACTTTCGTCAGGCTGCTTACATAATAATTTTCAGTTTACAGCCATCTCAACTGACAAACAGTGAGATTATCCCTTCTCAAGTGGATGATAAGAATTGCCAGTCATGGGACAGACACCATACACTCTTCAAAGGAAATCAAGATGTATGTTTTAATATAACTTTTCATTTGGGGGATTTATCAGCATCCAAAAGCACCTCTTTTTCTTACAGAGTTCTGGAGTTAGATCCTCCCACACAAATAAATTACTTAATTGGGGTAGTCACCTCTTGTCCAGAAGTGACATGTTTTAGAAAGATGTGAGTCTTGAGGCAAGTGCTGGATTTGATTGTTCTTACTCCTAATAAGAATGTACCTAACTTCACTCCAACTATCTCTAAGTTGCTATTACATTATTTTTTCTCACGATTTTTGTTAATCTTCACTCTCCACAATACTCAGCAAACTCATGAGGAAGAAAGATTGTTTGTCAGAGTATGTATACAAAGTTTTTAGTAAAGATTAATGATCAGAATTATATAATACTTGATTTCAAAATATTGGAATGGTTAGATATAATATTATTTAGAGTACAAAAATAACAGGTTTGCTAAAGCAAAATTAGTCCTTTTTTCTTCTCTGAGCAATAAGTGTTTGCCTCTTCCTCGATACTCCCTACCTTGAAAGGGAAGTACTAGCCTTATGTGGCAGCCACCTGCAGTGAAGAAAACAGCCTTCAGTTTCCCCGCCTGGAAGGTTCTTCCCCCAGATATAGATGATATTAGCCTCATGTCTTCCAAGTTGTTACTCAAGAATTATCTCTTCAGGGAAGTTCTCACCAACTACCACCAACTACCCTACCTACAATTGTTATTAACCTCCTGGGCTCAAATGGGTCCTCCCACTTCAGCCACCCAAGTAGCTGGGACTAGAGGTGTGTGCCTGGATAATTTTCGTACTTTTTTGTTGGTACAGACAGGGTTTCACCATGTTGCCCAGGTCTTGAATCCCTTGGCCTAAGCGATCCATCCACCTCAGCCTCCCAAACCGCTGGGATTACAGGCATGAGCCACTGTACCCAGCATCTCTTTATTATTAATCATTATCAACACACTGTATACTTTAGCTACTTATATTATTTATTACCTACTTACATAATTAAAATGTAGGCTCCACAAAGATAAGGAGTTTTGTCTTTTTCTTTTAGTTCTATATCACCAGCACCTAAGACAGTCCATGGCTCATAACAGGTACTCAATAAATAATCATTGAATGACTAAATCATCATCATTATAAAAAAAATCGCTTCTATGTATACAGATAATTCTGCTAGTTGGTGCACTTTGTTAAATAATTACATACCCAAAGCCCTTTAAAAAGTTCAACAGAAATTACATACCCAAAGCCCTTTAAAAGTTCAACAGAAATTATTAAATTATTAAATGCTGACATAGGGAGATGTCAGCACTGGACAATCAATAAAATGGATAAACAATAAAATGAATATTGGACAATCAATAAAATGTGATAAAATATGCATTACGATGAATGAATGTTCATGTAACGTGTAAAAACAACTAAAATAAAACACCTTAAAAAAGAATAGTAAAACAAAATGGATATTGAAAGAAAACATTAACAGTCTGTGTTATATCTATACCCCTCTAAATTTTAAACACAGGCTCACCTTTTTTCAATTTCTTTTTCTTCATAAGTCCCAATAAGCACTCTCAAATTGGTCATCTAGTTATTACATTCTTTATCCAGGTTTTATATTAATTTGCTATTATTTTATTTTATGGCTCTTGTCTTTTCAACTTGGTTGTAAGTTTCTGGAAGGCAAGATCACACACAACAGTGGCCCTACAGCATCTAACTCAGGAGTAAATGCACTGCCAACTTTGATTACATATGTGTTGACTGATTGATTGACTCATGTATGGTATCAAATATAGAATCTATAGATATTGACATATGGTATTACATATAGTATCTATAGAAGTAAGTCTCTGTCACCTTCAAGTCAATGAGCTCTACAGAATGACACTAAGGAAACAAGCAAAAGACATGAGCACTTCCAGCACTTACTCTACAATAATATGTCATTTAGGATATCATGAGAAGTTCTAATTTAAAAGTTGAAGGAGAAGTCACATTTTACAAACAAAGGACACACAACTATGGAACCAAAAGCACTATCTTGGAAGCAATTTTCAAAGACATTTAATTTTTTTATATATCGAATATCAAAATTAGGAAAATGATATTCGACATCATTAATACTTGCACAATATGAAATTTACTTAAAGAAACTTTATTGTCAAACATTTGGGTTATTCTTAAATTTTTGTTATATGTAAGTTTATAATGTACTTTAGCTAAATATCTGTATGATCATAGAATTTGTTCGTTCATAATTTTTTTCCTCATCGTATGTTGAGTAGCTTCCATGCTTAGGCTTGGACTTCCAAAAGGCCAATGAGTCACACTTGGGAAGTCTGCAGCACAGTTTAAACATGTGATTATATTAGAATCCTGAGAGCACTCTGATTTTTTACCAGGAGCGACGATTCTTGCAGTGGATTTAAAATACAAAACATATGATGCAGTTTCCAACGGATGATATAAAACCATTACCAGGGACATGCTACTTTTTCCTGAAAGAGAATTTGTGAAGTCCTCAAATAGCAATGAGATACAATTTCTTGAAATAATGATATTTAATATACTTATATTTGGAATAGCACCATGAAAATCATAAAACACCTGCCTTTCACTCAAAAACAGTTCTCTGCTAATTAAATTCAAAACGTGAAGGAATTAAGCTTACTTCCAAAATTATCTCCTTAGCCAAAAGTTTTGGAGAATAATCTAAACATTGTTCAGGGCCACCGGAGTCTGACAGTCAAAGAGAGAAATCAGACTAAAATGGTAAGGATATTTATCAATAGCAAAAATTGCTTACCAAAACATAAAACAGAAACTGATATGAAAGCTGCATTTAAGTCATGACCGATTTGAAAAGAGTTGTGACTATTTAAAATATGTAAACCATCTTGAATGTTAGTTATTCAGCAATAAATGCCGAGTAGTTAGGCATTTAAAGATTTTAAGATGGTCAATATTTTTATTGGCATGTTTAAAATGCTCTCTTTTTAATTAAGGAATGCAACTTTAAAGGCTAAGAGTAGAATGAATGGAGCTATATTAAGTTTTGAGCCACTTTTAAAAATGTCATATCTACTCATATAATTTCATTTAACACAAATTTAATTATATACATATATTTTTAAAAATTTTACTAGCAGTTTATTAAGTTTCATTAAAACATCACATTTGGATAATTAGTGAGATTGCATTGAGTAATAGATTAATGTACCATCTTTCAATCTGGGAACATGGTATGTCTTTTAATTGATTATATATGTTTAGTAGATGATATTTCAGCCAACTTTCAGCATAAAAAATCAAAGTCAAACAACAAAAATGTTAGTGTACCTAAAAGCCTTTCTGAGAACATACTACATGCAAGTAGATGAAACAAAATCCAGAATAATTTCATAGAAATCTTTCAGGATAGACAATCACTTGGAAACTACCTCTGCCATAAACAGGAGCAAGGGTACCTTCGGGAGGGGATTAAGTTAAAAGGGATGATGTCAATTTTTAGATCATACATTCATATTCCAGAGAGAATAAGAAATCGACATGTCCTATAAACATCTGTTCTAAATCCAGGTAAAATACATTTCAGAGAAACTTGTTTTGGTAACACAAGTTCCTGCTTTTCTCCCAATCAGAATGGTGGCACTCATAATCTCACATTTTAAAATTCAATTAAATCAGCTTTTAGCTATGTACCAAATATTGGTTGGAACACAGGTGAGATAGTTCTCTTTGCTGTATGTTTTACCCATCTTTTGTTTAGGAGGAAACAGTTTTTTAAGAAACAAATTATCTGTCACTTGACGTGTCTTCTTTTCTAATAGAAAAGGAGTTCTTTACTTAAAAAACTGCATTTACATTATTTGTATAAACTTCTAGCAGCTATGTACTTATTCACATAGACTAACCTTCAAAAATTATCTACAATTTGTTTTTACTTCACGCTGTCACCAGTTACCAATTTACAATGTATACTTTTAATCATTTAAGAACCATTTTATAGAGTTTATTCTTAACAAACATCAGTACAAATACCATCTATATCCCATATAAATATATTTTCAATAACTGAAATTACAACCTTTGGTGAGACATTACTCCTAAAAACAAATACATTTGGTAAATATATCTTATAAATTTACCTTAAAAGGTACTTTATGAGCAAAGTATGAGTATACATTACTATTAATGTGTACTATTAATAACTTTCCTACAACCAAACAATTTAAATTCAGTGTATCCAAGGTCATGATTTAGGGGGAAAAACACAAAAAGAACCTTTCAAATTTTTGCCATGTCCATATTGTTCAGAGGTATCTTTCTCAAAACATATTAAATTTTAACTTGTGGTATATATGCAAAGTGATCATTTCAATGTGAAAGAATTCTAGCATTTGCAAACAATAAAAGAACAGATTTTCTCATGTTGCAACATCAAAGCAACCAGCCATTTTGTCATACTGGATGCCCAAGGTTCAAAGGCTTAAATCGCCATATCCTCATGAGACCACCCGGCATTTACTTCTTTTAATATCTCTTGTTGAAAACATGACAGCGATGAGGCACAAAGCACCACAGTGCACTCTACTTTAAATGCCCCATCTTGTCATAATTGTTCTTTTTAAAGAGAAGAGTCCTTAATATATTAATGAGCACTATTGTGAAGTAGAAAAGCCTCACCACAAAGGATGGCCACGTCCCCTGAACTGATGCAGATTTCAGCTTAGAAACTAGAAGGGAATTGAAATACTTAAACAATCAATCAATAGTCACCTCTCCAAGAATGCTGTGAACCCGGGAGGTGGAGCTTGCAGTGAGCTGAGATCGTGCCACTGCACTCCAGCCTGGGTGACAGAGCGAGACTCCGTCTCAAAAAAAAAAAAAAAAAAAAAAAAAAAAAGTCACCTCTCCAAAAGCAGGACTGTTTAATAGTGAGAGAATAAAATATAAGTTTTAACTTGAAATCTTTGTTTAAAACAGTATTTTTAATTCATCAAAGTTCTCATCTCATTACTTTGTACAATACACTTAGTATAATTCACTAGGTATCATCTGGGTTCTGTATTATTTTCTTACATGTAAAACATGTACATGTGCCTGCCCCTTGTTGAGCTGGATATCACCAAGGACATTGGGCATAGCAAGAGGACCCACTGGGGACACAGAAACAAATCAGTGAAACAAACCGCAATTACTTTTGCACCAACCTGAAACATAGAAAAGGGAAATAATGCTTGTTTTGCTTTGTCTCCTAGTAGCTCCTGGCTAAATGTTTTATAAATATCATAAATGAAGGGATTAGTAGCAAACATTAAGACTAAAAAGTGACTAAATAGCTTTAAATAAATCTTAGTTAAAATTTTTTATGTATGCTTAGATTAAGTATTTAGAAAAGTATAAATAACTTAGTCTATCGTGTTTTCGTCTCAACTAATTTTTTTCAGTTATTTGTACAAAACCTCATCTCCATGACACTTTCTGTGCTGGGGTGCAGAATGTTCAGACAAAGTAGAACATTCCTCTTACAGATGCTGGTGGAACCAACGTTATCCCCGGAGAGGTATTATACATGTTCACGAGAACTTCTGATTCAACAATACTACAACAAAACCATGTCTCTATGGTCTCCATCACACAGTATCACCAAAAGCAGCTTTTATTAATTAGGTTGGGGTTAAAGTACATGTTCTCCTGAATGCACACAGCTCAATAACTGGATCAATGCAATTATCTTGAAAATGACTAGAAGCCATGAATACAAAGATAGAGGACATATACATAGCTATTAAAGTCTCTGACGGGTTTTTGTGAAAATAAATTGCTATAAAGTAAGCTATTACTGGTACTGGTACTTGCTAAACAAAGCAGAAATGGGACAGAAAAGAGAAAACAATATGAAAGTAATCACTGAGAGAACCACAAAATTCCAGGAAAAGTATTTGAAATTACTAGCAATGAGGAGTTGAAGGCTGGAGCAAAATGGCTCCTCTGAGTGGCACGCATAAGGAAAGTGTCTTTTCAGGAGACACTTCTAATTCTGTAGTCTATAGAGGAAGGAATGTCTTCTGCAGGGAGCTGCCCTTGCTCTTCCTCTGTTGACACACATACTTTCAGGAAGGTTAAATATAACTCCTTTCTGGAAAATATCCTATAACCTTCCCGAGAGAGTTAATGGCTCTTGTTCAATATTTTCAAGAATTTGGGTCATATGGCTGGATTGTAATTATTTACTCATTACTTTTTTCCCCCAAACCAGCACGTGCACTCTCTCAGGGTGAGAACTGTATTTTAATCATCTTAGCATTTATCAAGCCTAATCACAGTACAGTATTCAAATTTTTCCAATTTTGTGCTTAGAATAGACCTATGCATTTATTCTGTCTCTCCTTCAGAATTTTTAAGGATAATATTCTTTGTTCTCACACTAATTGCAACTATTTTAGACTACATCTGAATTATGTAGAATAAATATATTAAGGGCCTTTTATTTCCTTACCTCTTCCTAATAGGTAGAAAACCCAGACTTTAACTCTAACTAATGTACCTTATTTTTTGTAGGTACATGTCCTGGGTCCCTGTTCATGTTACGCAGTCTCTCTAATTGGAGATTAACATAGGGATGCACCTAGAAATGGTTATCACATCCTCTCTTTATTGTCTCTTAGCCATTTAAACCTTCCAGTTCTAGCTCTGACGTGTTAAAAAAATAAATAACACAATTAATGTAGCAGAGTTATTGTTAAACTTTCACATTACCAGAGTGAAGTCAGGATAATATGATTCCCAAAATAAACATTCTGGAATGACACTAAACTAAATGGGCAGGCTGTTGTAATTCTGTCATTGGACAAAAAATGACATTAACCACAAGTTAGCCTTCAGAATAGGAGTCTAAAAATAGCTGTTATCCTAACAAAATCAATGACTGTATACTTTTATATTTGAGTGTGTATTATATATATGTGTATGTATATACACACACATGCATTTGTATACATATTTGTGTGTATATGTGCACATATACATATATACACACATTTATGTTTTTGTATATATGTGTGTCTGTAAGTGTGTGTACACATGTACAATATACACTCAAATACAGACGTGTGTATGTTGGATCCCCACTTGGAAAGACACTCAAACAAGTCCTAATACAGGGTAGAAAGAGGGGAAATAGAATAAGAGAAAAGAACATTTTCTGCAAAAATTTAACAGCATGTAGAAAGCCAAAATCACAGACGGGGTTTGGTCTAGTGGGAGATTTTTTTTTCCCATTCATTCTGTATTCTTGACCTACAGACTGAGGGGTAGAGTGGAGAGGAGATGGTGAGAGAGGCTGCAGAGGGCTCTGACTGTTGATGCTGGACTGCCTCCTTCTTCTGGACACTGTGGCTTTCTCAGAGGTGGTGAAGGAGGAAACCCACAAAAGGGCAGGAATGGAACATAGTTGAGTCCTTTAAATCCTGGGAGCTCAGATGTGGTGGTGGCAGGCCACCATCTGCGGACCGTGGTTAGAGTGTTGGAGTGCCTGACTTCATCTGGTGGAGAGCCACAAAAGCGCCTCTGGTGAAGGCCCTGACTCGATGGCAGTGCATTCAAATGGCAGCATCCTGAGGTTTTGCCCATGGGCGTTAAATAAAGAGGAAAAATTCTCTCTGGTCTGCTACCAAATTTTTGGTACTTAAAATAACTAGTTTTCTCATCCTGAGAACTAATGACTTAAGGCAGTTATAAACAAAGTATCTGCTTGAAATTCAGAGTTTAGTCTGTATGGCTAGGGGGCAACCTTATTTAGCAGCACAAATTATGTCTAAATATGGAAAGAGACAGGTGGTCAGTGTAGAAAATTATACTGAAAGATCTTTTTCCCTTGGTTGACAGAGTTAGCTCTTTGAAAATGAGGGCGAGCTGGTCAGTTATCAGGGAAAGGTTGTTCAGGGACAGTGAGAAGACAGGGACATTCTTTAGACACTCTGGAATGCTCTCTAGAGGCGAGAAACAGGGTCTGGTTTTTGCTCTGCTAGGTTCTATTTTTAATCTTCTGTTACTTTGTTTTCCACAGTTATTCCAATAAAATAAAATAAATTGTGAATATAAACTTTGTTACTTGTTTTGTAATATTTGGTCACACAGTGTGTGTGGCCCCTAATAATTTTCCATAGCAAATATTCATTATCAGAAAAATGTAGTACAGACTTCTAAACTTCCTGAGTCCCCCTTGCCTCATGTATAAAAGGTGAATAATGATGATGCCAGCCATGAATGGTTGTTAAATCTGGTACTATGAATATATACTGTTATTAGGGAGAAGAATTTTGTTTTTCCAAAAGCATTTGGAATGGCCTGTGAATAATGAGTTTAACTCCCAAACAGTTAAATGTGGTTGGAAAAAGAAGAAAACAGAAATGTAATTATATTGTAACATTGAGCAGCAGCAACATACAACCTAAGACGGGTATAATTTAGATGTATCTAGTGTACTGTGTACCATTGCTGATGAAACTTGCAAGAAGGTGAAAGTAACATATTCTATACGTTCAAGCCTCATGCCTATCTTAGAGATTAAAAACCACAAGTCCTCAGAAGCAGTTTTATCTGGTGTTATATTGTTAAAGCAAGGCCTTAAGATATGATTGGTTTGGTTGCCTGGAGTATAAAATCAATACAACTGACAAGCAAGTTGGGAGGACTAGTCAGTCATAAACATTGGGGTTTATGGAAGATGTTTACTCTCTCAGTTACAAGTGAGGCTGAACAAATGGAGAACAGGAGAACAAATTCCAAGAGGCTGCATGAAATTCTACTTCCAGGGAAAGGCCAGGAAGCAAATCATTATCAAAGAAGAAGTTTTGTGTGCTTATATAATTATGACGCACTCACCAGGGCCACAAAAGACAGATGAATCTCCTCTGTGAATTGGTATATTTTAAACTATATTTGACTGTGAATATTATCTGCTAGATGGAAAGCTCTCTTCATGAACACAGAAAGGCCTAACATATTTTTTCAGACAGAGGAAAACTTTATACCATTGTCCTGATTGATCAAAATAGTTGCTCTTTCCCTACAGATATGTAATAGGCAGATGAAGAGCCCTACCACAATAGCTCCTGAAGGAAGTTCTTCTCGACTCATTTTCCCCAGCGGATCCTTCTTGCCACTGCCAAAACTCAAAAGGTGGAAGTCTCTTAGCCTCTTGGCACTGGAATATGGGCATGTGACATAGCAGTAAGGCGTCTTCAAGCCACAGTAGGATATTCAACCCTCACTGACATTTTAAATCCAGGATTTTATATCTGTTCCCAACTTTCCATGTCAAATGCTATTGCCTTTGTTCATTCATGAGTTCACTCAGGAAATGTCTAAGTATCTACTCTGTTAGACACATACTAGAAAAAGGCAGATACAATCCCTACCTTCATTTTCTTTACAGTCATCTGCCTTACAAAAATAAAAGTCTGATGAAATGGTTAAAAGTGTCAAGATTTATAAAGACCCACCTGGTAGACTGCCTTAGCTCAATTTGATATCGTAGCCATTTACCGCCCCTAGCAGCTCTCTGAGAGAGCACCGTCAGAGGGAAAGACAGGTTCCAAGACGTGCCCAAGATCACGCAACCTTCAGTGGAAAGGCTGGCCAGACCAGATCCCAAATGCAACAAGAAACTGCTCTAGTTCTTCTCCTTCTACACTAGGGCTTTTCAAGTGGGGTTTTTTTTTTTTCCATTTAACGTGAATAGTCCCTTTGCTTAAATTACATGTTACTTAGAAATCACAAATAAAAATAGACAAAAGCAAAAGTTATCCAGGGTCGGCTAGGTGTGCTTTTCCTGGGAGGTCACCATGTCACATGGAGGAATTTTCAGGTTCTTGCAGACAGGGTTCTACAGTATTCCTTGTGTAAAGACCAAATAAGATGAAAGATCTAATACACTTAGAAAATTTAAAACATGTGCTTGGTTCTATTGTTTGTTTTTGTACTTACCTACATATGGGAATTGAAGAAAGGAAGAACTGCACTAAACACTAGAAAGAAAAGATATTATCTTCATGCTATTAAAGTTTGCACAATCATTTTTGTGCAAGGACAAGTAGATATTCATTGTCAAGAAATTCCTTTACACATCATAAATATATACACATCCCTTTGCTTGTGAATGAAGTTTTTGTGCATCTTTTCTCCCTTAATTAAAATGGAAAATCTTTTGAGCCTTTTGTTACTTTATATTCCACAGATGTTCCAATAAAATTTTTAAAATTACAAAAACAAACATTGATGCTAGTTTTACAATATTTATTTACATAGTGTGGGTGGTCCCTAACAACTTTCCATGGCCAATATTTGTTATTAGGAGAACTATTTATTATTCCTTACAAAGATATTTAAAGGGGAAAGACACTTTATTTTGACAGACATGCCTGGACCATTGCTAGTACCCCTATATCTCCATTATGAATAAGATGTTCATTGGGTTTTTTTACTGAGAGGGCATCTGGTTCTTGATATGACTCAAAACCACCAGTGAAGTGGTTTGGAAACTTGATGTATGTTTTAGTGAGAAGTTTTCAATGGGACATGAGAGTTTGTGTGTATGTGTGTGGTATGTGTGTTTTAATTTGAATGCTGACAAGTTTTGGGGGATTCTGTTTAAGAATATTATACTCTGAACATATATGTTACAGCTGTTAACCCTAGATTAATCATCTGTGATCTTGGGGATATCAGTACGTTCTCGAATCTGGATTCATATAAAATGAAAGAGTTGGACATTCTTGCAGCATTCTTATTGGGGAGGGTTATATGAAGGATGGAGTTCTTAAGCTGGGCTCTAAAGAACCGCTAGGACTTTGGTACACCCATAGATGATTTTTCTTATGATTTTCATTATGTCAACTTTCAGTGGAATAACTTTTCAAAAAACAAATGCTTGTTGGAGGACAATTCCAAATCACTTTGCCCAGAAAGAATAGCCGATATTGTAACTCCTTTCCGCCATTTCAATCTTTCTACCACTACTAGCTTAAAAGAATCTTATGCAATAGGCAGATTCAGCTACTCATTCACCATGTCCAGAACACACATCACCCCTTATGGCATCTTTGAGCATCCTGTCACTCTAAGACCCCCCCCCCCCGGAATGTACCTCTCCCTTCTCCATAAATTGACCTGTTCTTCAACTCAAACCCTTTGTCTGGTGTAAAGTTTTCATACATGCATAAGCCAATCTTCAACTTTTTTTTTTTTTGAGATGGAGTCTTGTTTTGTCACCTAGGCTGGAGTGCAGTGGTGCAATCTTGGTTCACTGCAACCTCCACCTCCCAGGTTCAAGCGATTCTCCTGACTCAGCCTCCTGAGTAGCTGAGATTACAGGTACGTGCCACCACACCGGGCTAATTTTTGTATTTTGTAGTAGAGATGGGGTTTCACCATGTTGGTCAGGCTGGTCTTGAACTCCTGACCTCATGATCCACCCACCTTTGCCTCCCAAAGTGCTGGGATTACAGGCGTGAGCCACTGTGCCCAGCCTCAACTTTCCATCTATGATGGCTTCTGTTACTTTTGGAATACAATTCCACTTCTACAACATGACAAAGAAGGCTCTTTGTAATAAGGGCATTGCCTCTAGCCTAATTTATTAATTTATTAACAGATAATTAATAATAACATATAATGTACTAAGCAGTGGGCCAAAATAATGAATCAGACACTGAAGGCTCCTTTCATCATGGAACTTGCATTCTAGTGAAAAAGACAGATAATGAGAAGCAAATAAACAAACACATTGAAATGATAATGTCAGACAGTGATACGAGTGATACGAAGAAAATCAAGCAGGAACAATGCATAATAGAATGGGGGAGGTGGTGGATCAAGGAGGACTTTGAGGAAAGCACATTTCAACAGAAACTGAATGACAAGAAGATGTCAGCCAAATCCAAATCCAAGGGGAAAAAAAAAAAGCATTATAGGCAAGAATAGCAAGTGTCCAGGGCAGAAATGAAGTTTGGCCTCTTCAAATCACAGAGGCCACTGTGATTTTCTGCTGCATGCCAGCTGAAACTTATGGTTTCAAATAGATCCAGAGTAATAGGCAGGGCCAGGATAAGCAGGGCCTGACTGGACAGGATGGATGGAATTTGGGTTCTCTTCTTATTACAATAGGAAGCTACAAGAGGGCTTAAGCAAAGTTAGAAGTCTGTTTGACTTATATTTTTAAATGATTATTTTGGCTGCCATTGGGAGAATGCTTTTCAACGTTATAAGAATGGAAGAGGAGGCAATTGTCACAGTAACTTTATCTTCAGCCATTCTTAAATATCTTCCTTTTTCCCTGGATGTGACTTGCAGAGTAGTTTTTCTACTGACTAACATAGAAGAGTTAGAAATGAAATTTTGTTTTGCAAAGGTTATGTTTTAACCAGTAATATCTATTATTAGTGTGGAAGTCAAAAGACACAATTGTTCTAAAAATGTATAATGATCAGTTGTGTTAAATGCAGGATTCATTAATTCATTTCACTCACTCCTCCACAAAATATTGGTCAAAAATTAATATATATCGGGCACAGTGCTAGTTTCAAGGATTACAGAGGTGGTACCAATAACAAGAGCTAAATAACAACATTAGCTAAAATACATAGGACACCTACTATGTGTTACTCTCTACACAACGCTCTTTACATATATTAATTTATTTTTCCTCATAATATCTCTATGAACTATACGTTGTTATTTGTCGTTTTTTTTTTTTTTTTTTTTTTTTTGGTGAACTAGTCTCGTCTCTCTCTGTAACTCAGGCTGGAGTGCAGTGGCATGATCTTGGCTCACTGCAACCTCTGCCTTGTGGGTTCAAGCAATTCTCCTGCCTCAGCATCCTGAGTAGCTGGGATTACAGGCTCCTGCCACCATGCCTGGCTAATTTTTGTAATATTTTTAGTAGAGACGGGGTTTCACCACGTTGTCCAGGCTGGTCTTGAATTCCTGACCTCATATGATCCGCCCATCTCAGCCTCCCAAAATGCTGGGATTACAGGCATGAGCCACCATGCCTGGCCTGTTATTTGCCATTTTACAAATGAGACAATCCACATCATAAGGATTAAGAAACTTCCCCATGATCATTCAGCTAGTATATGGCAATACAAGGTATTGAACTTACAGAATCTAGCTCCAGAACCTACACTTTTATCATCTACTTCATAGGTCTTTAAAAAATAAAAATAAAACAAATATTGAAAAATAAAACAAATATTGTCCTTATTTTTAGAACTTATTATTTGATCATTAAAATAAATATTAAGCAAAACTATAAGAAAATATAATAAAAGCCAATGGTCACAAATTTTGCAAGAGTAAATGTTTAATAATCTGAAATATTGACATTTCTTTAATAATTTCAATGAGTTAAAAAGAAAAAATATGAGGACATAAGAGCAATGAATTTGGCCATTTGTTTGAGAAATTGCTAATAAGAAGAAGAACATCAAAAAATAAGACAAGAATTAGAAACACAATGTTCTTTAAGAATGGAAGGCTCTGACAAATTTGGAAATAGAGCAAAAGTGTCAGCTGGAAAGTAAGAGTAAAAGCTTCAAAATGGGAAGAAATAATGCATACACAAGTCCTTCCAGGTAAGGATGATCTAAACACAGGTAAAGGAATTATATTCAGAACAGGAAAGAAAATTTTATCAACAACAAAGTTTTGAAGCAGTAAGGAAGAGGATAACCAGAAATAAAATTAAGAATAGAAGAAGTAATTCACATTATATAGTCATAGTAATAGAAACATCATATGGGACATTGGCACCATATATAAAATAACAGAGAACATTAAATGACGTAGAAGCGGCAGATAGGAATATCATTTATTCCTTGCTGAAACAAGACCGAAGGATAATATCAGAACTCCATTGTTCGTAATTTGTCACTTTACATAATATTCATACTTATGTTCAGTATTTTGTGTATTAAATATAAAAGACACCATCACACAAGTTCAGGTATTCTGTTTTGAGATTATCAAACTCTCTTCAGGCATTGCCAAATTTAGAGCCAATCGAGTTGAGATGCTTGATAATGTCAATCAACGTTAGAACCAAGTAGGCTAACTTAACAATGGTGTTTTAGAAAGAATTATTCTGGTATAAAAACATATTCTCCAGTTGCTTAGGACTTGGGTAACCTAATACGTCTCATGTGGCTAATACATGTAAGACCTCACATGTGGATTTCTATAGCTTAAAGCCAATTCTGAAGTTATGAATGAATGAACGAATATAGAATAATCAGAGAAGAGATGGAGAGACAGAAAGTGAGAATGCTACCAGAACGCCTCCATAAACCACTGTAATCGGTGAGATGTGCACCGCTGTGTCTTCGCTCTCATTACTCCACTGGGGTTGGGTATCACGCATCATCATCAAGAACAGGTGTTGGGATCGCTTACAGCTCATTCATCATTAGGCTGCAGCAGTGTTAACATATGCTGCGTTAGTGCTAATCGTGTTTGTTTTTACAGTCAACGTTGATCTACCCTTCATCATGCCAAAGAGATAAATGTCAGCTGAGGAGAAACAAACCTGGAGCATCATATTATTTACTCACCCAGGTTCCTGTTCTCCCTCCCCCATCCCCCAGGAAAATTCTCATGCCTGGAACCTGTAAATGTTTAAAGATTTCAAATTCAAGATTTTGAGATAACTTAAAAGTATACAGAAAGCATTTGTTAAGAATTATATTTGACATAAACTTATTAGAGAACTCCTGGTTAAATCCTTAAATTCTGATATGGATTTTATGTCACTGATTTAATTGTAGATCACTTAATCAATGGCATTCTATTTAACAGACTGTTTAGAGATTAGGATTTAAAGACAATTAAATTTGAATTATAGACAGCCCATCTTGCTGTTCAATTGTTAAAGTATAAGATCAGAATAAAATGTTAAGCATTTTAGAAAAACAAGGAAACATGTAATCAGACCTATACAGCAATGTTACACATATTCATTGATTAGGCTCTGTCTGGTTTAATGAAAAGACTTAAACACAGAGTTCCCCTCTTCAGTATAACTGTGGTTTTCATTAAGCATATCACTTAACTTCAGCTTAACAAATGAGAGTTTGTTAATTAATTAGTTCATTCAGGATCTCTAAATTGCAATTTGCATATCAACTGTTAGTTCTTAAATAGATTTCTTACAATGTTTACAGAAAGTTTCTTCTTAAATGTTGTACTCTTTACCTTGGCTTTTTTTTGGCCAGGGGGTGGCAGGGGACAGAGTTTCACTCTTGCACCCAGGCTGGAGTGAAGTGGCGTGACCTCGGCTCACTGCAACCTCCGCCCCCCAGGTTCAAGTGATTCTCCAGCCTCAGCCTCCAGAGTAGCTGGGATTACAGGTGCCCACCACCACCCCCGGCTAATTTTTGTATTTTTAGTAGAGATGGGGTTTCGCCACGTTGGCCAGGCTGGTCTCAAACTCCTGACCTCAGGTGATCCACCTGCCTTGGCCTCCCAAAGTGTTGGGATTATAGGCGTGAGCCACCGCACCCGGCCAGCTTTTTTTTTTTTTTTTTTTTTTTTTTTTTAATAATGGAAGTTTTGCTAAGTAAAAGTATATTTCCATTCAAACTTTTGGCAAATATGATAATTTCTAAATCAGGGAGCAAACAATTGAGGCTGTACAGCCAAGTAATTTTTACAGCTAGATAATTTTTTACTGTTTTTCCTGCATTTTGTTTTGTTTTGTTTCGGTGCATGTGTGTGCTATGACAAGAGTTGCGTCTTTTTCATTTTGCTTTTTGCTGGCTCTCTCTCGTTACGCTATTTTTTCTTTAGGGCTCTGGCTTGAATTCCACTCTTTGTGGCTTTGGCATTTGACTTTCAGGTCTCTGATTATAGCCAATTTAGTATCTTGTTATTCTTTCTGTCATTCCTGTGCACTGGTATCATTTGTTCTTGAGATAGAAAATTGTTTACCTGATGAGCTTTTAGTATCTTGAAATTTCCTTCCTCTGTTAAACTTTACCCAGTTAGTTCCTTCTTTTGTAGCTGAATTTATTATAATCCTTTTTTTTTTTTTTTTTAAAGATGGAATCTCACTCTATTGCCCAGGTTGGAGTACAGTGGCGCAATCTCGGCTCACCGCAACCTCCGCTTTCCACCTCCTGGGTTCAAGTGATTCTCCTGCCTCAGCCTCCCTAGTAGCTGGGATTACAGGCACATGCCACCATGCCCAGCTAATTTTGTATTTTTACTAGAGATAAGGTTTCACCATGTTGGCCAGGCTGGTCTTGAACTCCTGACCTCAAGTGATCCACCCACCTCAGCCTCCCAAAGTGCTGGGATTAGAGGCGTGAGTCACTGCACCCAGCATAATCCTCTTTCTTAAACATAATTATTTTTATTTTATTTTGATTTTTCTATTTTACTTACTTTACTCTTTATGATCTTTAATATTGTAGTTACATTCAACATGACTTTATGCATTAAAATTATTTTTCATTGTCAATCAAATATTAAATAACCATGTAAGCAGAGTTTCGTCTTAGGTTTTTGACCACTTATTATAGTCTTGAATTTTATGAGGTTCAACTGGCTGAGAGGCAGCCTGGAGTGGTGATTAACACTTTGAAGTTGGATTATTCAGATTCAAACTCCGGCTCTTCCATTACTCCCTATTTATCCTTGCACATATAACTTAATCTTGCTGCGTCTCAGTTTACTCCTCTACAGAATGGTAATGCTATTACCTAACACAAGGTTGCTGTTGAAGATAAAGTTAATTAATAAACAGTGCTTGAAATATTAGAAGTTCATTATTGAAAGTATTTACTTAGCTTTTAGTTTTCTGACTTATCATTATTATTATCCTTGTTTTTCTGGGATGAAATGCATTTATGTTACCTCCGTGTTCATGTGCTTGTACAAATGTACAAGCACACACATGTATATGCTACTCACAGTGTCTTGAAGGTAACCATTTAGGAATCCAAAATATTCAGTAAAATTTCAAAGAGTCTCTGTCCATAACCATATATTTCACCTCAATTATGCCTGAATGTCCTTTACTTGGAGTCCCGGGGATCTGCATTTCGCTTAATAGATGACGGTGCTCTCAGGACAGATCACTTACACTGATAGGGATGAAAAACATGGGACAGTGGGTAGTAGACCGAATACATTGGGTCTCTGGCCCCTTAATAGCTTCTCATAGGACTCAGTGAAAAAATTCCAGCATCCAGAAGAAGAAATTGCCAATGACCAGCAACATGAATGGGAGGAGGTCAGTGACAATGTATTGACAAGCACATGTTCACCTGCAAACTTTCTACACATTCAGATGCCAAAAAATTCAGAGTGAGTGAGTATATGGAACACTTATTCAAGCAGTTTCTCTATGAAATTTTAAATTTTAGAATATTTTGGCACATAATTCTTCATACAAATGTTAAAATACCAGTGTAATTGATAGTCACTCCCAGCAGTTCAACCATGCCCAAATTAAACCTGAATAATGCACTGTCTGTGCTTCATACTGTTATGGGTTACCGCCATAGGAAAACAAAGCTGTATTTAAATGTAATGAAAACAAAAGTCATGTCACTAAGTTGAGAGTGAGGCATTCTCTCCCACAGTTCTTTGAATGAAATCAGCCCCCCTGCTTTTAGCAATCTTAATACAAGTCACATTATATGATAATAACCTTGTCCCCTCTACTTAGAATGAACTATAAAAACAATAATCAATAGCTAAAAAATAATTTTAGCCCGGAGGTGAATTTCTTGTTATTTTGAAAATGCGTTTACCATTACAAGACTGTAATCTCCCTGAGAGCATGGAACCATGACTAGGTAGTCAGTCGCTATAATCGAGAGAGATATCTACTCAGTAAGTATTTATTGTCCAGGTGAATGAGAAAACAAAAGCAATCAGGTTATCAGAAAGATCTCAATGATCACTAACTTCTTAGTAAGGATCGGAGGTTGCCATAGTAATGTCTATCTACCACTGTGTTCCGTATTTTTATTTTGGTAGTTGCTTTTCTAGTTGCATTCAGCTTCACCTTCATGAACCCTACTTTATATTTTCACATCATTCTATTATTCATAAAGCATGGAGATATCTGTATGAGGGATGGATTTGACTTATTAGAATAAACCTGTTATAAAAAATGTTCATTTGTGCATTTGAGATTTGTGAACATATTCAATTTGAGTTAATTGAAGTTTTTTTTTCTTTTTTCTTTTTTAACCCTACAAAATGTTGGGAAGCCTGTTCATAGCTTTCGTTTTAACGTGTTTGGCATTAAGTGATAGAATGTCCTGGTTCCTTTCTGAGAATCATTCAGTTTCATAGTAGGATAGAGAAAGGTCTGAGTAATCAGAGAGTGACATAACATAAAAGCAGGATTTGACAGAAATAGAGTCAACTGCCAGTTCAGGATTTTCCATTCAACAAAGTTGACATTACTGACGTTAGCCTTTATACACTGTATTATTGTACAAAAAACGACTATAACTTTTCTCATTTTTATTCTATAATTTATTTTTATTGTATCTGAACATCATTTTCCCTTTTTGGGGAGTTTTATATTTAGAATTTGTATAATGCCCTTTTGTAAGTTCCCTTTTGGCCTTCAGTCACTGCTTTACGAAAAGAGCCCATCATTCTGATGTAAGTAACAGGAAACAGAGAAAGAAATATTGACATAGTGTAAAAATGTAAGCCATCTTTGATTTTTACTGCAAATCTCTGCAAATGAGGCAGCACAGTTTGTTCAAAGATGGAGGATAGAGAGGATTTTGACTACTTTTCAAATTTATACTGTGCATTATACATGTTTATTTAAGCCATTAAAGGCTGTAATGTGTGGTGCTATTTCTCACCAAGGGAAAATTAACAGGATTTAGCTTTGTTTTAAAAAGGAGGGTGATATTACTTTTTCTGAGAAATGTTCCAGTTTTTTACTATTATGAATTGGTTTTAACTATTATGAATTATACACAGCACGCATAAAGATGCTCTTAATACTAAATGACGAATGTCATGAACAATGACTTCTATCTACCATATAAACACCAATTTGTTATGGAAAGCAAAGTAATACATATAAAAGATTTAAAATGATGGTACGTCACATATGAAATGAAAGACAGTTTTTGGTTTGGTGACAGGTTAACAAGTATTAAAAACATTTGAGGAGCTATGTGAGGCTGAGGTGGGCAGATCACGAGGTCAGGAGTTTGAGACCAGCTTGTCCAACATGGTGAAACCCCGTCTCTACTAAAGACAAACAAAAAAACAAACAAACAAAAAACTTAACCAGGCATGGTGGCAGACACCTGTAATCTCAGCTACTCGGGAGGCTGAGGCAGGAGAATCTCTGGAACCCGGGAGGTGGAGGTTACAGTGAGCCAAGATCGCGCCACTGCACTCCAGCCTGGGCAACAGTGAGACTCCGTCTCAAAAAAAAAAAAAAAAAAAAAAACTTGAGGAAAGGGGAAAAAAACACCAGACTGATTTAGAAGAAAACAATATTAAGATTTTAAAGATAAAGGGGCTAAGATATCAGGAGAAAAACAAAAGTAAATTGGAAGTAAGATAAAGTTAATAGGTAAATATGTATGTATGTTTAGATATAGCAAATAAATATATGAATATGATAAGATTGCTTTGGATAGCTAAGAGTCTGTGTTTTCATCCTTTTATCTGCAAAAGCAAAAAATTATTTCTTAATATGCAATTATTTACATATTAAATAGCAGAAAAAGAAATGTCGTGCCTTAAAAAAATTTTTTTAGGTATATAGTCTACTTAGCAAGTTGAAATCCAGACAAAATATCTGAGAGAGAAATTCTTCCTTGTGAATACTCACATAGATTTGTATTGCTATTAAGTTGCTTGCACATGTTCTCATTTATCTTCAGCATGGGAAAATATTAACTTTATAAGTAGTTTGTGATTAATTACTTTTTTTCCACTGTTTTTGTCTCAATAAAAAGCAATATATTAAAGTAAATGTTAGTAGCCAGTTAATCTGGGCACTCAAAGGAAGAGTGTAACAGATTGTAAAGATTAATATATATGTTGTATATTTAATATAATTTATATTTAATATATATGAAATTTTAGTGTATATATATGTGTGTGTATATATATACCTCTGTGTATATATATATATACGTGTGTGTATACATATATGCACACACACATACAAACACACATGCACATATTGTACCACGGACCTCCATTTTTTTATGTTGTGTGCGTGTACACAGTGGATACCACATACTCGCTCTGAGGAAGAAGGAGGAGGAGAAAGAGGAGAAGGAAGGAAATTTTCAAATGACAATTTCTATCAGGACTCATTTTCCTATTATAAGTTCAGAATACTTGGACGTCTTTATAAAATCAAGTTGAAATCTCTACTATTTTGATCTGTATTCTCTTAAATATTAAAGGTTATACCTAGGGAGATTCCATGTTGACTGGCAAACAAAGCATACCATTTTAAGAATAACTCTTCATAAAATATGTGTCTAAGAATTAAAAGTGTCTAGTAACAGATACACAAAAGAGAGATTTAGAATAATTAATATTTAAAGACAGATAATTTTAATGTTTCACACTTTTAACTACAAAATTCTTTGTTTTCCTAAATATTAGCAAAAATGTTATATATTAAAATAAATCTTGAAAATCTCACCCTACATTTAGATAATAGTTCAAAAGTCATATTGCTAATCTACCTCTCAATTCTGCTATTCTTACAGCTTAAATTCATTTATGGCAAATCACAGATTTTACTTTGTCCTTCTGTCTTATTTGATTACAACACCTGATGTCTCTGAAACTAAATATCACAATTTATTTGATGCTGCTGTTCATCTCTTCTCTCAAAGCATTTGTTTGAATAGGATGGAACAACCCAATTGAAATTAATCTCAAGAAAAAACATTAAAAGCAAAAACCAGAGTAGAGCCAAAAATAACGTAAGCTGGTCCTCCTGCATTCAATCTTTCTTAAGTGTTCTGCCAGTGCACTCTCAACGTGTATATTCAATTACTACCAAGGGGCTGTAAATTATGTGACACATTTTGAGTGGTCTAATGTCCACTAGGGAAATGAGAGAGATGCCGCAATGATTTCCATTTGCTCACTGACTTTGAACTCAAACCACCAATGGATCTCACTTGACTGAATTTTCTGCTTGAAAGATTTGAATTTGTATGCTTTAAATAAAAAAAGCTTATCTACAAGTATATGAGATTTGTTCAAATGGCTTTTCAGTTTTGTGTTTGAGAGTTTCACTAAATTCCTAATGCTTTAGAAAGGACCAGTTAATGGCATCACACCTTTTGTATTTCTCTGTATGAAGCTTGCAAAGACTTCTACAGCCTTCCCTCTGCGGAAGAGTACATTCAGGGCTTTTGGGAATTGTATCCTGGAAAGCCTTGAAGTGAAGGGAGGTAAAGAAGAAGCTGCCAGTCAGGCCCAAGGGTTTTGTTCATCACAAGGATAATGTAAAAGGCAACCATCAGCCTTGCTGATGAGGCTCCTTGATTCACGTCTTAGAAGGCTATTAGGACCCATCTGTTTGACTGCCTCTTCCATCCAGAGACCACAGGGAACAGTGCTGGAGCTACTAGTTGTACAAAACATTACTCTGATTCTGAATTTGACAATCCATGTGTCACAGACCCAACACATTTGGGACATAGGAGCTTTGAGTCTCAAGATTTAACACAGACTTTGAATTATATTTTATTTGCATGTTCAATGCCTTCCTTGGGTTAATGTGAGAGCTTTTGGGGAAGATATTATAAATTATTTGTTATACATGCCAATAGTGTTTTTTTAACAAAATGAAAATCACTATTTCCAAAAATAATTATGAAAGAACTAAAATGGGGCTCAGTCAGTGATTGTAAAGTACAACACTATTATTTTACAACTGAGGGCATTCAGCAGAGTCTTGATTTGCTCAAAGTTGTACTATGCTATGTTAGGTTTCAATGACAGATTTACTCAGATGACTTAATAATAAGTCATTCCTGCCTTCCTATCTATGAACCTTCTTATCATCAGCTCTAAGAGTTGTCAAGAATACCTCAATAGTTTAACATTCCTTTTTTTGGAACACTATTAAACTATTCCTACTTGAAATCAAGGTGTAATTTGAATGAATTTGAATTTATTTTCAAATTATTTATCAAAAACAAGCAGAATGATCAGGATTAAGGGCTCAACTAAATTTAATCAATCCAGATAAGAATTTTATAATTTTTTGTTGAAGATGCAGCGATGGCTAATTTTATTAATTAAATTAGGATAGGTTTTAATGTGTAAAGTAGTGATGGTTTACATTCAACACACAGTATTACAATCATTATTATTAATGACAAAATTCTCCTTTATACAGAGCACATGAATAAAGGAGGGTCATTCATCCCGGAATCAGTCTTGCTAGTCATTTGTAAATAGAACACAGTACCCCAAATTTCCTTTAGATACTCCAATTCAGAAAGTAACAGGCCCCTGGTAAAATTATGCTACTATATTAATATATTTTTGTGTTTTAATTCATCTATGAAATAAAATAGGTCCTTTATTTTTCTGATATTATAAGACAGAACAACTCCTACATTTTAGCCCATTGTCCAGATGATAATGATCGAACTCTCTTGACAGTAAGGTAAAAACAAAACTCTTACATACACAATTATTTTTTTGAAAATGTGAAATTCTCACTTAAGAAAAGGCAGTTTATAAATGTATGCATGTGTGTGTGCACATATTTACTTATGTATCTAAACTTTCCTATTTTCAGTTACTATTAAAACGATAACTATATATAATACATGGGTTAAAAATGAGATATTGTAACAGCCTTCCTCTATAAAACTCACTTTAATAACAACATACCATGAATTGTTGTAATTGTTATAGAATTAAGAATATGAGGCCGGGCGCGGTGGCTCACGCCTGTAATCCCAGCACTTTGGGAGGCCGAGGCGGGTGGATCATGAGGTCAGGAGATCGAGACCATCCTGGCTAACAAGGTGAAACCCCGTCTCTACTAAAAATACAAAAAATTAGCCGGGCGCGGTGGCGGGCGCCTGTAGTCCCAGCTACTCGGGAGGCTGAGGCAGGAGAATGGCGTGAACCCGGGAAGCGGAGCTTGCAGTGAGCCGAGATTGCGCCACTGCAGTCCGCAGTCCGGCCTGGGTGACAGAGCGAGACTCCATCTCAAAAAAAAAAAAAAAAAAAAAAAAAAAAGAATATGAAAGACAAATTATAAGTCAAACTGGTGTCTGGTGTTCTCATGAATTATATATCAGATATTTTGTACCTATATATTAAATAGTCATTTCAAATTTTTTGAAGAAATATTTTGTTGGGTTTTCTATAAAATTAAAGATTTAAAAAATTTTTTAAGACCTAGAAATAGTGAATACCATTTTTTTATTTAAAATTTTTTATCAATACATAATAATTATATATATTTATGGGCTACATGTGATTTTTTATTATTGTATTTTATTTTTAAAAATAACATAATTGTACATATTTATTAGGTATATAGAGATGTGTACATACATAGAGTGTATAATGATCAGATCAGGGTAATTAGCATATACAACATCTCAAGCATTTATCATTTTGTTGGGAACATTCCTCCTTTTTGCTATTTAAAATTATATAATATATTATTGATAACTATAGTCATCTTATTGTGGTATAGAACCCTAGGACTTATTCCTGCTGTCTAGTTGTATTTTTATAGTCTTTAAAAATTTTCTATCATTCCCTTTCTCCTAACCTTCCCAGTCCATAATATCCTGTGTTCTACTTTTTACTTCCTTCTAAACCTGGATATTTCATCACACTACCTGACTTCAAAAAGCACTACAAAGTTATGGTAACCAAAACAGTATGGTACTGGCATAGAAATAGATACATACAACAATGGAACAAAACAGAAAACCCAGAAATAAATCCATACATTTACAGCCAACTGATTTTCTACAATGGCACCAAAAAATACACATCAGGGAAAGGACAGTCTCTTCAATAAATGGCTCTGGAAAACTAAATATCCACATGCAGACAGTGGGGTGAAACTAGACCTCATCTTTCACCATTTAGAAAAATCAAATGAAAATGGATTGAAGGCAAATGTAAGATCCCAACTATTAAACTACCAGGTGAAAACTAAGGAAAAGCTCCCATGACATTGGTCTGGACAATAATTTTTTGAATAAGACCTCAAATGCACAAATAAAAGCACAAATAGACAAATTCTATTACATCAAACTAAAAACTTCTGCACAGCTAAGGAAACAATAGAGTGAAGAAACAACCTACAGAATGGGAGAAAGTATTTGCAAACTACGTATCTGACAAGTGCTAATTTCCAAAATATGAGCAACTCGAACAACTCAACAGAAAAAAAAAGGAAAAACGACAACAACAACAACAAAACCCTATTAAAAATAGGCAAAAGACCTGACTAGACATTTCCCAAAAGAAGACATACAATCGGAAAATATATAAATAATTTATATTTATATATTATATATAATATATTAATATATATTATATATTATATATAAATTATTATATACAATTTATATATTATATTATATATTATATTATATTATATATTATATATCATATATAATAATTATATATTATATATAATATATAATTATATTATATATTATATATAATATATAATTATATTATATATATAATATATAATAAATGTATTATATTATATATAATATATAATATTTACATATAATATATATTATATGTAAATATTATATATAATATATTTTATATAAGATTATATATATTATATAATAATATTCATATAAATATTATATAATATATAAATATATATAATATATATCTTTCTAGGTTATCTATAATATACATAAATATATATAATATATAAATATTATATATAATATACATAAATATTATATGTAATATATAAGTATTATATATAATATACATAAATACATATAATATATAAATATTATATATAATATACATAAATACATATAATATATAAATATTATATATAATATACATAAATATATATAATATATAAATATTATATATAATATACATAAATATATATAATATATAAATATTATATATAATATACATAAATATATATAATATATAAATATTATATATAATATACATAAATATATATAATATATAAACATTATATATATATATAGCTCAACATCACTAATCATCAGGAAAATGCAAATCAAAACCACAATAAAGTATTTACCTCAACCCACTTCGAATGGCTGTAATCAATAAGATAAAAATTAACAAATTTGATGAGAATGTGGAGAAGGGGAAACTGTTACACACTGTTGGTAAGAATGTAACTGAGTACAGCCACTATGGAAAACAACATGGAGATTCCTCAAAAACTTAAAAAGAAAACTATCAAATGATTCAGCGATCTCATTACTGGGTATATATAGTCAAAGGAAAGGAAATCAATATGTCAAGGAGATTCTGCACTTCCATTTTTATTGCAGCACTATTCACAAAAGCCAAGATATAAAATCAACCTAAGTGACCAATTATGAATGAATGAAGAAAAAAATATGTAAATATACATAATGCAATACTATTCATCCATAAAGCAGAATAAAATCCTGTCATTTGTGGCAACATGGATGAATCTGGAGGATATTATAACAAATGAAATTACACAGGTACAGAAAGACAAGCACCACATGACCTCGCTCATATGAGGAATCTAAAATAGTTGATCTCATAAAAGCAGAAAGTGGCATAATGGTTACCAGAGGCTAGGGAGGGGAAAGCATGGGGAGATAGGAAGAGATTGGTCAAAGGGTACAAAGTTACACTTAGGAACAATAATTTCGGGTGTTCTATCACACAGTTGAGTGACTATAGCTAGTAGTAATGTATTGTATATTTCAAGAAAGGATTTTAATGTTATCACTACAAAGAAACAACAAATGTTTAAAGTAATGGATATGCTAATTACTTTGATTTGATCCTTATACAATGTATACATGCATTGAAATATCACACTGTACCTCATAAATATGTACAATTATGTGAAAATTCTAAATAAAATAAAACTTTAAAAAACTGGATATTTCACATATTCACAAATTTGTTCATAAATTAATGTCAAATTTAGTTCAATAAACATATATTTGGATTCTAAATATACTGGCTTTCTAAATATATTATTTTGGAGTTGGGTCTATTTCTTAGTTTATATGAGGTTTAGATTAGAAAGTATAATAAGCTGGGAAAAATACTTCATTTAAAATTAGCAATCTTAATTAATGGCTTCAAATTTTACAGAACCTACAAATATGTATGGTGAAATGAGTGTTCCAAACATGAACACTTTATAAAATGGTGGCAGAGATCATTTGAAATGATCAAATATATTTAGCACTTTGACATAAAATATATCACAATAACATGCTCTGCAATATTAAACACTTCATTAAATGACTGAATTCTGGGTTTCTTCCAGTGTTCTAATTGGCACTGTTCCTGTTTTCTTCATTTATTTCAGCCACTTGGTGGTTCTTGCCAAAATCTCTAAATTTAAGTGTCTGAGACTTAGAATCAATCCAGATTTGAACAAGTGTGTTACCACCTTTAATTTACAATGTTAATTGGGTTATTAATTTCCTAAATCTACTTTTGTAGATAAAGATGTGCTAACATACAGCCATTTAAGAAAACCTAGAAGGGAAGGCTATGTCTGAGGCTTATTTCCAGCTTTCAAAACAGAAAAAAATAATAAGAAGAAAAAGGAGAATGAATAGTAATGCTATTTTCCTCAAGGTTACTCATTTATGCAAACATTAGAAATCCAGCTTAAAACAAATAAACATATATTTTCATCATCCTGTTGGAAGTGGAGTCTCTGATTATATTAACGTGATCTTATAGAAAGGCGGGGAACTACTCTTTTAACGAGCTCAATAGAGAAAGGAGAATGATGAGCTCAATAGAAAAAGGAAGAGAATGATGAGCTCAATAGAAAAAGGAAGAGAATGATGATCTGGAACATTTCCTTTACTCAGAAAACCTCTGACATCTTAAATCATAAAGATGTTCTTCCAAGACTCCCCGGGATCTATACCCTACCATTAGAGTCAACTCAGAAGAATAGCACATTTTTTATTGTGATGTGGTGTGGCTTTGCAAGATTTCCCCCTTCTAATACTCATCACCTATATGTGCTTAAACACACACACACACACACACACACACACACACACACACACACACCCCACACGGCTGAGGAGTCAAAGGACTATCTCTTGCTTCCTTAAAATTTGAGGTTCAACAACAGATTGCATGCACTTTAGTGAGTTAGCTACTTACACGACTCTTAGTGGGGATTACCTTTACATGACACAGTGAGAAATGTGGAAGCACTGATTCTTTTTTATTTTTTTGAAACAGAGTCTCGCTCTGCTGCCCAGGCCGGAGTGCAGTGGCGCCATCTCGGCTCACTGCAAGCTCCGCCTCCAGGGTTCACGCCATTCTCCTGCCTCAGCCTCCCGCGTAGCTGGGACTACAGGCGCCCGCCACCACGCCCGGCTAATTTTTTGTATTTTTAGTAGAGAAGGGGTTTCGCTGTGTTAGCCAGGATGGTCTTGATCTCCTGATCTCGTGATCCACCTGCCTCTGCTTCCCAAGGAATCTGTCTTCTAAATAAAAGATAGTAATCTTTTTTTTATTATAACTCAAATCCTCCACTCAGTCAACCAATGACTATCACATTCCTCTACAATCAAAAGTGTGTTATCTTCACTTCCAATTGACATCTATTAGTAAGTATGTTGATCAAATCATATCAAAAGTTAATGTTTAATTCATATTTCACAAATGGATAAACATAGTACAGTAAAATATCAATGAAACAGAAAAAATTAGGAATGAGAGGAATATGGTGCCCTAGGAGCTAAAAACCTGACGTCCAAAACTAACTAGAGCCAGTGTCTTTTGAAATACCAGTGTTATAATAACCTGCAAGATCAAGAAGTTTTTACAGAAGAATGTTCAATGTTTATAGGAATTCATTCTCTCATCATGTATGCAAGCTTCTGTTGAATGCATATGGAGGGTCAGGCATGAAACTAGCATAAGTTCATTTACAGATATAATAAATAAAATGGTATGAAACAGGCCGGGAGCGGTGGCTCACACCTGTAATCCCTTAGCACTTTGGGAGGCCAAGATGGGTGGATCGCCTGAGGTCAGGAGTTCTAGACCAGCATGGCCAACATGGCGAAACCCTGTCTCTACTAAAAATACAAAAACTAGCCAGGTGTGGTAGCGTGAGTCTGTAATCCTAGCTACACGGGAGGCTGAGGCCGGAGACTCACTTGAACCCATTAAGCAGAATTTGCAAGGAGCCAAGATCATACCACTGCACTCCAGCCTGGGCAACAGAGCAAGACTCCATCTCAAAAAAAAAGGGCATGAAACATTTTAATATTACTTAAGAGTAGAGTCCAACTGAAAGTTGAGTAGAATTCAAATTTAATATTTGGGGAAGAAGATTATTAAAATACATCAGGAAACAGATATGTGTGAAATATTTTAAGATGTTGCCGCCTGTAGTGGAAAGTTACATTACAGTTTATGTACTTGTAAACAAAATGACTCTGGTGCCCTTGAAATACACATAGAAATACACATTCCCAATGGGTTCCATATGCTGCTCAGCACTAATTACATGTATTATTTTATTTACACAAACTAAATAAGAAGTCTCATTAGCATTAGATTAAATTTGTGAACCAATCTTTGTCTTTATTCCTTTTCTCAACTATGTCCACTGCTGTCCTTCAATGACATTCAATTCACTCATAAAAAAAACTCTTTAGAAGAAGGTACTACTATATTACTTTCCATCTCAGAACTAAGAGTGCTCTCAAAATCATGATTAACTCTTAAGCCAAGTGGTAGTTTCCAAAAAGGAGAGAGTTATACCACAGAATTAAAAACAAAAATAAAAATTTGAGCTTTCACTTAATGTAAATGAAATTTAAATTTAGATTGAATATTACCCTAGAATTATCAAATATGACTTTCAAATGAATCACATTTCTTAGGCAACTCCATAAGGACTGACTTTGCTGACAGTTAAAGTTGATGCCATCTATTACTTTTTAAACACACCTTTGGAAATCTTGGTCTGTAAGTGTTTTAAAATAACCTGTCAAACTTGGTTATTTTATTTTATTAAATATGCATCTTCTGAATAGTCATTTTGAATTTAATGACTTAATAGGTATATGTATTAGATTCTCAAGTAATATAAAATAAGCTATTAAAACTAATCACACAATGAAAATTTAAATTGTTTGAATGTTAATTAAAAACATTAACAATTTCTTTCTTTGTAGACAGTTGCAAACATTTTAGCATTCTTACATAAACAGATAACAATATATTTTTTTTCCTCTGGCACATTTCACTATATATATTACCATCTGTCTTGTTATGAGGAGACACACTCACATAGGCATATATTGAAATATATATACATTCACAAATGTGCATGTGTATATTTCCACTATACACACACCTACATATATATTTATTAGATACAAAAGACCTGGGTTCTCATTTTGTCATGAAACTCTGTACCTTCAGCGGGACCAAAACACTTGGAGCCTCAGTTTTTTAAGGTATATATGGGGTTCCCACATCCTGCCTACCTCACATGGCTTTTATGAGCATCTAATGAAGAAGTATATCTGAAAGCACTCGAGAAATAAGGTCACAACTGCAAACTAACTAAATAATACAAGGCTTATATGCTAGTCCTAATATTCTATGTTCAACCTATAGCACCTAATAATGAAAAAGGAGACATTCATGAAGCACTCGTAAATGCACATACAAAAATGTAGATTAAATTTACGGATCAAAACACCATGAAGCTAAAGGTTCTCTCCACCATACTGTGCTTTTTGTTTGAGAACTGCAATAGTAAAATAGCTAGTCACTTTATCAGTGATATTTTCAGTAGAGAAAGGGCTATTAAAGAGGTGAGGGTTAGGGTGGAAGTGGGGAAGGAGGTTGGGCATGTGAGTTGGGAAGATCTTTATCCACACACTTTCACCTGGACTGAGGGATATCACAAATAGGAATGTGTTGCACATTGGAAAGACAAGAAAGCAAAACTAAAATAAATAAAGTTTGAAAATTATATCATTAGAGTTTATATACACCTTAAAATGAAAACAGATGGTACAGGGGAACAAGGCAACCTTGAATGACCTAAATTATATCATTCTAATAAATCTTACCATTGTTTTTAATAGGTGCTTCACATAAATATTTAACTATAAATCCATGTCAGATTATGGGACTCTATAATGATGACACAAAATCTAAACTTGTTTTCTCCAACTGTCTACTTGCTGAGACAGTATTACTATACAAAAAATATTTTTTATGAGTCCATGTATTTACTATTTCTTGAATCTAATGATGGTAATATTAATAGCTTCAGTTTGTAGCTTTCAATGCACTCTACAAGCTGACAAAATCCAAGTATATATCTCCAGCAGGGACTCCTCTCCTAAATTCCACACTCCAAGTAAATGCCTACTAAAAATTGCCAGATACCCTAACATGCCCAGATATGGTTTGTGATTCTCCACAGCCCTTAAGCCTGCATTACTGCGTTCACCCTTGTATTAATCTCTTTTCATTCTGCTGATAAAGACCTGAGATGGGGAAGAAAAAGAGGTTTAACTAGACTCACAGTTCCACGTGGCTGGGGAGGCCTCAAAATCATGGCAGAAGGCAAAGGACACTTCTTACATGGCAGGGGCAAGAGAAAAATGAGGAAGAAGCAAAAGCAGCAAACTCTGATAAACCCATCAGATCTCGTGAGACTTAGTCACTACCAGGAGAATAGCACGGGAAAGACCGGCCCCCACGATTCAATTACCTCACACTGGGTCACTCCCACAACACATAGCAATTCTGGGACATAAAATTCAAGTTGAGATGTGGGTGGGGCACAGCCAAACCATATCAATCCTCAACTTAGATAACTGCAACTCTATATTCCCAGTTACTCAGGCTAAAAAGTTTGCAGTCATACCTAACCCCACCTCATCCACTAGTAAAAACTTTGGCTCTATCTCCAAAATTTATTTCTTGCTTTTCAACACCTGCACTGCTAACAACCTGGGTCAATACATCACCATCTTACATGTTGAAAAGCAGATTTCCAACATGTCTTACTAAAACTGCCCTGCTTTCCGACCGCATATTCTCAACTTAGCAGCTAAGCTAATGCTTTTAAGATGGAAATTACGGCCGGGCGCGGTGGCTCACGCCTGTAATCTCAGCACTTTCGGGGGCCGAGGCAGGCAGATCACGAGGTCAGGAGACAGAGACCATCCTGGCTAACACGGTGAAACCCCGTCTCTACTAAAAAATACAAAAAATTAGCCGGGCGCGGTGGTGGGCGCCTGTAGTCCCAGCTACTCGGGAGGCTGAGGCAGGAGAATGGCGTGAACCCGGGAGGCGGAGCTTGCAGTGAGCCGAGATCGCGCCACCACACTCCAGCCTGGGCGACAGAGCGAGACTCTGTCTTAAAAATTAAAAAAAAAAAAAAAAAAAAAAAAAAGATGGAAATTACATGCCACTTCTCTGCTCAAAACTTCTAATGGTGTACTAGTTCATTCAGAATAAAAGTCCATTCCTTAAAGCCAGTAGGCTTGACAAAACTTCCTCCTGTTACCTTTCTTATTTTCTCTTCTATTAGTACTCCTTTTGCTTCCTCTGCTCTACCCATAACCACTCTCCTGTGTCTTCACAAACATACCAGGATCACTCTTCCAATCCCAGAACCCAGGTATTTTTTTTTTTTAAATGTACATCATTGGCAAGTTAATTTATTTGTTAAATAATCATGACACCCACTAGAAAAAACAGATGAGTTTAACCATTCTTGACCAACAATTAAGAATCCCTGATCTGTGATCAAATCAACCCTTAAATGGAAAGACAAATAGTACCAATTCAGGAAGTGGAAATTCTGGATTTTTGCCTTCTTTCCAAATACAGTTATTCAACATTATGACTTGTTATGTACAAAATTGATCAGTTCTATCCTCTTATTAAGTGACATCATCAAAACTCTTCTAAACCTTAAAAACAAATGTGCTACCAGCCATGTTATTTTTATCAGTGGAAGAGATCCAAGTTACTCCAAGGTTACCACGTTGAATCCATATGTGTCTGCAGCAACTTCAATTCTTGCCTCCTCAGAAGAAATAATTCAACTGAGGGGCATAAAGCAGGAAAAGAGACAGAGGCAACTTTCAGAGAAGAAATGGAAGTTTATTTAAAAAGCCTTAGAACAGGAAAGAAAGGAAAGAACCCCCAGAAGAGATGCAAGTGGGTGCCTGAAGGTAAAAGGGAGAACAAAGGAGAAGCTTTAACCTTGATCCTGGGACTTTATAGGCTCACCTCTTTCCCATGATTCTTCCCTTAGGGTGGGCTTCCCGCATGCACAGTGCCTTCCTTACCCTTGGGAATTGAGCACATGCAGTGTGTTTAGGGAGTTGTTAGCATGCCCATCTAAGGCTTTCTTCCTTTTTCCAGTGGAGGGTACCTGGAAGATCATACTTCGTCATTTCTGTCTCTTAATATGCATGCCCAGCAAGTTGTTTCCCCCGAGGCCTGTCTTTAACTGACACTTTAATGTTAACAGGTGTGGACCCTCAGAAAATGGCCTATCCCTGGCACTGGCTGTCAATGTATCACTTTTAGACAGGCAATGTAATAACTGCCGAACCATCCCTTGACATTTCTAGTGGGTGAAGGTGGGGGGAGAACCCTCCCCTTCCCCATTCAAGCCTATCTATCTACCTATAACACTATTACTATATTTTTAATTGAACTTATTTATATAAGTGTTCTATTTAGTAGATGTATTAGTCCGTTTTTGCACTGCTATAAAGAAATGCCTCAGACGTGGTAATTTATAAAGAAAAGAGGTTTAATTGACTCACAGTTCCACATGGCTGGGGAAGCCTCAGGAAACTTACAATCATGGCGGAAGGCGAAGCAGGCATGTCTTACATGGCAGCAGGCGAAAGAAGTGAAGTGTAAGCACAGGAAAAACTGCCACCTTTAAATCCATCAGATCTCATGAAACTCACTCACTGTCATGAGAACAGCATGGGGGGAACTGCCTCCATAATCCAATCACTTCCCTCCCTCGACACATGGGGATTACAGGTCCCTGCCTGGACATATGGGGATTAGAATTCAAGATGAGATTTGGTTGGGGACACAGATCCAAACCATATCAATAGAGATACAACAGAAACTTGTAAAAAAAAAAAAAAAAGAAAAGAAAAGAAAAGAAAGTAGTGAAGATACTCTGAGAAACTCTAGAACAAATTAAATGAAGCTAATCTCTTATGTAAACTTTCAAAGCAGTTATAAACACTTTAACCATCTGAAATGAATCATGCAAGCTCCAATCAAGAAGACAATACTTCTAGCCAATTATCTTAGCTCCAAGATCTCTTTATACCAACAACACATGCATTTCACTCGTATAGTACCTACATAATAATTAAGGTCTGTTTTTTGTGACATAAGAAATATAAATGAAAATGAAAACCTAAATATATCATATTAATTATACCAGGGTAGCAATTTGATCCCTTCTCACCACATACACTGGTGTTTTCCAGAAGTGAAGATATTGATAAAACTTTACCTCTGAAATAGTAATTTTCCTTCCAGGTATTAATAATCCATGTTAAGGAAGTATAAATATAGACTTTACATGCATATGTGTTCATCAAAGTGTTATTTATAATAGTAAAAACTTAAATAAACTTAATATATTCAGCAATTGGAGAATTATAAAATAAAGAATGATAGAGCAATAAATATTCAATTATATAGCCATTATAATAGAATATTGGACAATGATCAACATTCATGTAACTATGTTAAGATCAAAAGGCTAATATATACCCCAATTTTTCCTCCTTGCTTCTAGATGAATAGTATCTTGAGTCTCAGCCATATCTGATTTAGATGATTTTTAAATACTCTGAACTTTAAATTTTAGAGGTAACACTGGCACGTCAGGGCTGTAAAGATTGAAGGAATGCCTTTGGCATGTGAGAACATAAATTTGGGGTGTGGGCAATGAAAAAATGCTATGGACTGAAGGCTTGTGTCCCACAAAAATTCATATTTTGAAATGCTAATTCCCAATGTAATATTAGGATTTGAGACCTTTAAAGGTAATTTCATCATGACCGTGAAACCTTCACGAGTGGGATTAGTGCTTTTATGAAAAGACAAGAGAGAGCTTGCTTTTTCTTTCTCTGTTCTCTGCCATGAGTATACAGCAAGGAGATGGCCCTCACCAGAACCTAGCCACGCTGACACCTTGATATCAGATGTCCCAGGCTCAAGAACTTTGAGAAATACAACTCTGTTGTATAATCCATCCAGTGTATGTTAATTTTTTATAGCAGCCCAAACTAAGACAACATGCACATATTTACTTTTAAAGGGCTAGAATGAATGGAATCCAATCTTGTTTATTCCTAGGTAATACAATTATGGGTAGCTTTAATTTTCTATTTTTAAATTCTTTCCAATAGCTAGGTTTTACTTTATAATTTAATACCTTTTATTGGGGTTATCTTTGCTAGATACATGGAGAAAATTAGTAGTTATTGCAATATACTTTGAAGAAAGGAAAGTTCCACTAATAACAATACCCACGATAGGCCAGGCGTGGTGGGTCATGCTTGTAATCCCAGCACTTTGGGAGGTGAGGTGGGTGGATCACCTGAAGTCAGGAGTTAGAGACCAGCCTGACCAACTTGGCAAAATCCTGTCTCTACTGAAAACAAAAGAAAATAAAAACTAGCTGGACATGGTGGCGCATGCCTGTAATCCCAGCTACTTGGGAGGCTGAGGCAGGAGAATGGCTTGAACCTGGGAGGCGGAGGTTGGACTGGGCTGAGATCCCGCCATTGCACTCCAGCCTCAGTGACAAGAGTGAAACTCCATCTCAAAAAATAAAAAATAATATATCCAAGACATTGTTTTTTTTTTTTAATTTTTCTTTTCTGGTTTTCCTTCTTTTTTCTTTAAAATATTTCATACTATACATTTTGAAATAGATCTTATTGGTTACCAACAAACTTCATTCCACCTCCAATAAAATCTGTTGCATAAGATCAGAAATAATAAAATATCTTTTGTTACATTTAATTTAAATTATTTTTAACAATACATTTCTCAGTCCCCTTAAGCTTTAAAATATCAAATAAGTACTAATAGATATTAAGCAACAAAGCTAAAAAAGTGAAGAATGAATAGTTAGGAAAAATCTTGTGCTCTCAAGGTCCTATATAGCACCAACAGATACAGTATGTTTTATTCATACATATGTTACTACCGCATTTAATCAACAACCTTCATTTTCCAGGGAATCAACAGTTGAAAGTTCAGAGGAGATTCATGTTTTATACATTTACGTTAAAAATTCATTCAGCCAGGCATGGTGGCCAACACCTGTAATCCCAGCACTTTAGGAGGCCTAGGCAGGAAGATCACTTGAGCCCAGGAATTTGAGATCAGCCTGAGCAAGATAGTGAGACCCTATCTCTACAAAATAATTAAAAATTAGCTGGATATGGTGGTGTGCACCTGTATTCCCAGCTACTCAGCAGGCTAAAGTAGGGGGATCACTTGAGCCATGGAGGTCAAGGCTGCTGTGGATTGTGATTGCATCACTGCACTCCAGTCTGGATGACAGAGCAAGACACTGTCTCAAAATAAATACATATAATAATAAAATAAAAGTCTATATAAAGACTGGGGGAAATTCAGGAGAATATGGTGATTCTTAATGATCATTATACCTAAACTTTACAAGAAAATAGAACTGACTCCAGCGCTTAATAAACATAGCTGATATTACTAGCCTCCCTAATTCAGGAAATGAATAGATTATTCTAAATTATTGAAAAATCATTTTGACCATCTGCAATGATCAAAAGTATCTACAATGACTGCACTTGTTGGCTCTTGTATATATGAAAAGAAAACAAAAAACATATGAGCATTCCAGGATAGTTTCTATTTGAAAACGTTTTATTGGAAAGTCCTATATTACAAAGCAGTAATGAATATTAACTGTGAAAAGAAACAGAAGCAAGTGCCAGTGTTTGTCAGCTATAGTAAGTGGGGATGACCATAAAAAGAAGTAACACTAACCAGGTCCCAATTGTATATTCATTTTACAGCTATATATTATATTCATTATCTTATTCTTTTGGGGGGAAACCAAATTCCTACTTTATACCAGGCAAGATAGTGACATAAAAATTAATTAATGAATTTATCTAAGTATGTGAAAATAGGCATATTTTAACTAAATTGTTTCATGAACCCTTATAGATTAATCATATAGTGGTATTTTATGATGCTTCTACCTGCATGATGTTGAGGATATTCTTTGTCAGAAGTTTCTGTGAAATTATGTAAACAACCTATGCAATATTTTAACACTATTTGAATTGCATCTTGAAGGACTTCAGATTCAGAACAAGAACCAATTACAAAAGACCTAGAAGTTCAAGTCAAGAAATTAAACTTAATGCTAAAAGTGCAATGGAGGCATCATGTTAGACATAAATAGATAGAATTAAGAGCTATTTAAGAATTAGAGTCAACTGACTGACTAAAGATGAATTCATGGGTTGAGAAAAAGTTCAAGGGTGTTATCCAGGCTTCAAATTTGCGCAACTACTGAGCTAGACATAATAAAAGGAAGACAGGTTTTGGGGACAGGTGATGAGTTCAAGTTTGGACATTGAAAACAAGTGCAGAACTTATATAATGCAAGAAAAGGAGGAAATCATACCAAGTATAGAGAAGAAATGTTTAAGCATTAAACCAGTTGTAGAGTGAGAAAGAAGCTGAAGCACATGTTAACTTATTATAATAGTGTTGTTAAATATATGGGGTTTTCAGAAAGTGAAATGTTAATTACTGCAAATCAACCCTTTAATTCGATAGTTCTTTAATTCAACCTCCCCTGAAATTTCTATAGGTTTGTGGTTTGCACAGTGTCATCCAGAGACCACAGAGGTATTTGAGAGGTTGGGCAAAGGATTTTATTTAAATTTCATGCTTTGAAAATTATGGCATTGGATGACATTTCAATATTTTAACAATATGAATGCTCACTCAAAGGTGATATATGTATTCCACCTTGAAGACAGATGAATGACAAGGTAACTAGAATGTTAGGTTTATTACTTCATTTGGAGCAACTGTCAGAGTCAAGCTTCTACTGCCATCTTAGCAAAACATAAGAATGTCTAGGAAATTTGCTATTGACTAAGTAGCTACATAGTTACACTGATCTGTTTTTGAAATCAGACCATCACCATCCTTTCTGTCTGTTGTTGTAGCAATATTCTCCCCTGCACATCACTGTCAGGCAACACTAGATACCTCTGCCTGGTGCTAGCCTGATGGTGGCATGAGGGAACACTAATCCTCTGAAAACCTTATAGGGCAGCTTTATATTCAAAGGTTTTCCAAACTAAGTGTTCTTAGTTTTAAGACTTAATTCTTAAAACTGATCTCAAAACTCAGTTCAAAACCAAGTTTTCTTAGTTTTTAACAGTTTTTCTTTCTGATTTGCAGAAAGTCAGATAGAATATACTACTTTGTATCTTTTTCATTATCATCTTGTTTCTGGTTTTTCAGTTTTTCTCCAAAAGCCATGTTGTTTCAATTGCTTCTGGTAACATACCAATCCCTTAGACACAGAGATATCCATATGACATCCATATCCCCATTTTCTCTAACAATACTTTTGGAAATAAAGAGCCAGTGCAAATTTTAAGCATAGCCAATCAGAGCCCTTCCCTGGGATGGAAAAATGAACACTCTGGACAAAGCCTATCTATGGTAGAAGATAACGAGGCTAGGCCATGAAGAAGCAGAGACAGCAGAAAGAAGAAATGAACAGAGATATAGATTGGGGAAGAACTGAGTCTTCAGTGCCATTTAATCCAAGATTCAGGTTTTCCTTTGAATGTATGAAAGTATAGCAACTTTTCCCAACTCAGTGGTCTAATAAGTCACCCTTTTTTTTTTCTTAAGCTATTTTAAGTTAGATGTCTCTCACTAAAGACAACAATTCAGACCAAAACATCAAATAACTGCAATCTGCAACTTCACGTTTGAATTGGTACTAATCAACAACAATCAATGGATTTTTACTGGGCATCCACTAAAAATATACAAGGTACAGTCTAAGTACGTTCTAGGTGTCAACTCATTTACTTATCACAATACCCAATAATGAACTTTGCTATCCCATTAAACAGATTAAAAAACTGAGACCCAATCAGATTTCTCAGTTGCCCAAGAGCGCGCAACAACCAAAGGGTAAAGTATGAATTTAAACAAAGACCTTTTGTCTCCAAGGCTGTTAATCTTGATACGAAGATTCTTAAGATATGCTATATACTACCTCTCTTCACATGCTTGAGTTCTGATTCAGCCATCTAGTAGCTAAGTGATTTATTCTCTCTGAAACTTTAACTTTTCCATCTCTAAAAGAGGGATACTATTATTTCCTACTGCAAAATTGTTGTAGAAATGGAAAGAGATAATGCTTATGAAAGCATTTTGAAAACTGCAGAGCACTAGAGAAATGTCAGTTCATATTATAAAATTATAACCTACATTAAAAGCTTTACTATCTCTGAATCTTGTAATTAAGTTACTACAAAATTTAATCAACATGTTTCAGCCAATAGTATCTCAGAAAAGTAGATACAGGAGTCAACTCATATGTCAGAAAGCAGCTTTTAATCTAAACTAAAATAAATAATTCCGGTGAATAAAATCTGCCTTTCTTCAATAACAATGATGTTGACTAAGATAAAACTAACTCACATTTCAATATCAATTTAAGTTTTCAAAATTACTTTACATTTTTTACTTCATTTAGCATATTTTAGTGTCTTGGGAAATGGGTTATATTTATTTTTCCCTGTTAATGTCAATCTACAGCTACAGTGCAAGTTTTAGTAATAAGTATTCCAGATGAAAGCTTTGTGTGGTTTATTACGAAGCTCACAAAAAGATAAATATGAAATATGTATTCAAATTTTCTTTTGAATCCCTTCCTTTTACCTATCTGGAAGACTGTTCAACATCCCAGAATATCTTCATATTACATGTAAATGATATTAAGAAAAACTATTCATTATAAAGGCCAAATAATACAACTATACCTAGTTCTTTCTTCTTATTATGAAATTAAAGTTCTATAAAATATAAATATTCATTCATGTCTTTAATCATTTCTTACTCAACCTGGTACTTTCAGATGATCTTTGTGCATTTAACATGTTCAAACTCATGTTTATTTTTATTTATGTCGGTAGATATTTGACAATAGGAGCTACAGTGATTAATCTCAAAATAAGCAAGTAGATTCTTATCATTACTAAATATGATTTCAGTACTAACTCTAAATATTATATTTATGATTAATATTTATAAATATCAAAATATGACTAAATTCTGTATAGACCACTATGACTTAGAGATTATTTTGGGTTGAAGGGAAATTTAGTTTGGTTTGAATCATATGCTGAATCATTTACTCTAGCAGTGTAATGTTTTATGGGTTTCATAAAAACATTCTAATTGAACGAGTACCGCTAATAACATTCAATTTATCTAAATCTTAAAGACAGACCCGAGAAAAAAATCTGACGAAGATATCAGACAACTGGAGAATGTGAGTAAAATATGTATTGGGCTATATACATAAGAAACAACAATAACAGCAAAGCTATGAAATGAAATGTATATGGTATATGAATTTACATGGTAATACATTTGATCTCCATATAGGCTCTTACCAATTCTAAAATAGTTTACCTAAGCCAATTCCTTATTGCCAATAACATTTCTCAGAAATAACTTCTTTCCACATTTATATAAGTCATGAAGGCCTATTTTATGAGAACACATAATCAGGCAAAATAAAATGTTACATAAAATGGAGAAAAGATATGATTTGCTTTTTAGTAGTGTGTTAATGAGCCGCAGCAGAGTAATTCTTGTATCATGCCTTAAAATTAAACCGATACAAGCATAGCTGTTGATTTATATTTCCCTTATTTGATTTTTTATACATATGCAATATTATTTTTAAGCTCATTTGTATTCATGTGAATTGGGTTGCAATTTAAAGTCTGGAAGGTTTGATTTCATTAAATATTTTTTGCTTCAATCAAAAAGTCTGTACACACATGAACATTTCAAATCAAGTATTCATTTATTTTAAGATTTTTAAAGTTGCATTATTAAGTATAATGGCAAGGAAAAATGCACGAATATGGTTTAACATAAAACTTAATGAACAGGTTTATTGAACAAGCTAGATTTAGGTAGGAGCCAAAGCCCAAAATAGACTGTTTTTTTTTTTTTTTACCACTGTCTTTCACTCATGTAAGTTTACATGCTTCGTTCCTGAAAAATATCTTGGGAAGATCTACAGCTTGGTGGATATTTTTAGGCATTGAAATTTACAGACCAGTCTAATACCTTTATCTCTTCTGCTGGGCTTGACGGGCTTAGGAACTGCAGTAACAGAGAAAGAGGGAAAGGTGTGCATAGTCACATCTTCCCACAATTCACAGCTTGAGTTCCTTCTCCCTACTCATTATGCTGGGTCATGGTTACAGCAGAGAGATGGAGAACTTAAGGCATAGAGAGAATCTTATTTAATTAGTGCAGTTGTAACCCGTGTTGGTGCCACTTCTCATGGGGTAGTTTTTGTGAGTTCTTGTGGGCAATGACTTCAAAAGAAATAGAGATTATGTTTGGTGCAGCTGCTTACATTTTCCTGTTGATTCCTACATTCTGTTCGTATCCATTTAAAATCTAACTCTAAAATGTCACACACTATCTCAATTAAAAAAAAAAAACACCTTTTCTGAAACCCTGTCATAATTTTTTGTAATAGTTGAGAAGTGATCATTGTTTTTCTTATAATTACTTTGAAAATAAATTATATATTTTTAACTCTAAAACAAACAAGATGAAACAGCCAGGTTTCTTTCTCTGGTGTCCAATCTGAGGATCTAGTAATGTCTTTAGAATGTGTGGGCACCCATAACATTGTTTCAGATTTGGAGGCTTACTAAAAATTCTGGTTCACCAGGCAAAGTCCCACTTACCATCCGGTTAAATATACAATTTTTTTACTTAAAGAAGCTATACTTTAGGAGATCCCAATTAAACAGTCCTTTTTAAGAAAACATTTATAGATTTCATTTGTACAAAAGGAGAATTCCAGTCAAGATGGTACAGCATTCATAATTTAAAATATTATTTCCACTTCAAACACATGGCAATGTAAATAAAGTATAAGAATAAAAAAATCCAAAAGACAAATCCAGGCTTAAGAACAGAATGAAAACTCAATGACTGAAAATCAGCAGAGAAATGCAAATCGGCAAGTGGAGCTGCAGGGCTAAGCCCACAGTGAACACAGGTGGCCAAAACTTCAGCCTCCTGTGGTAAAAGGAGGAAACAAAGTATCTTCCACATGAGTTGGGGGACCAGAGACATTCATGCTGTTTGCTTGAAACCAGAGGTTGAGGTAGAGCTCCCTTGTTGAGTGAGAGGTTGAACAAGAGAAATAAGCAAAACAAAATACTCACAGCTGAAGCTATTTGGGGAGTTAGCTTTATAAAAGGACAGGGGCTTAAATACAGATAAATTTTAGTCAGAAATTGAACCAGGCAACCCAACAGCTTCTGCAATTGGGATGAAGTGGCTTCAACTCAAATGTGGGGAGGGTCTGGGCTAGGCAACTGCAAAAATGCCGACAGTGAGTAAGGAGGGGAGGAAAGTCTTCTAACTTGCCTTTTCACTCAGAATAAGCTTGTAAACCTAAGTACCTAAACAAGTGACCTAGTATAGATAGAAAAGACAAGCAACAGCCCCAAAATTGTCACTTTAATTTACTTTGAATTTATTTGATGTAACAACCTAACAAAGACTAAAAATAAGTATGCTTAATAATATCCATTTTTAAAAGAGCTTATAATAGCAGATATGAATAAAAATAGGCTGATTTTTAAAATTAGACATATTGGAAACTAATAATACAGACATTAAAATAGAAGCCTCAGTAGATAGAAAGTATTATAGATTTGATACCAATTAAAGAGAGAAATAGCGAACTGAATGATAACACTCATCAATTTACCCAACTTTATAGGTAGATTTCATCATTCTCTTCAAAGAATACATACAAACTCTATTTTTCATAAACCGCCTCACAGATTTTTTTAAAAAGATGGAATGCCATCCAATTTTCTTTACAAGGGTAATACAGCTTTTATAGTAAAACCAATAAGAAGAACACAATAAAAAATTTATAGCCCAATTTCATTTATGACCATAGGTAAAATATCTTAAAACAAATAGTAGCCAAAATCAGAAACATATTAATCTATTTTAAAATATTAAAATTAACATATTAAAAATAAAAATTACCCTTGTGAATAAAAGGCTATTTTCTCCTCAGAAAACCTAATTTTATCATTTACAAAATAGTTGATTACAAGAGCTAACCTCATGTAATCACCATCACAGATAAGTGATTAGACGTTCGCTTGTAGAAAAAAAAAAAAACTTATACCATGAATCAAAAGAAATAGCCTTAAATTTTTCTTGCAACCCTCGATATGTTATTCCTATCCTTTTTGCCTGCTTTATTTTTTCTTCTATGGAATTTATAACCATTGCATGGTTATAAATTCTATAGCTATGTATTTTACTTTGTTTAGTATCTGTCATTCTCTACTCTGGGACCTTTGGTCTGTTCACTGTTGTATCTCTAGCATCTACAAGATCCTTTTTTTTGATTCAGTTGTACCTTATTTTTATGTGCACTAATACAGTGTTACCCTGAGTGTGGACTGAGAGTGGTGCCTCTCAGCAAACTATTCATTACCTATCTGGGACAAAGTAAGTATACAAATTAAGAATTTAGAAGCTTTTTCAAGATTCTAAACTTAAAATAATAAAAAAGTAATAATTTGTGGATTAAAACAACAAATAGAGATTTGTATCTTAAACATAACTTTTTCTAGTAATTCGTTTTTTTTTGTATTTCCCAAAAGTATTAGTCTGTACAGATATTAAAATTTCTTTTTAAACTTTCCTTCACCACAAGTAGTTTGAGAAGCACTATATTAGAGAAGATAATACTGTGTTATTTTTCTTGGTTTCCCAAATAGACATTTTGTTCTTTAGCAAAAGTAATATCTTTTCATTTTGTTTTCTCTTGTTAAAAAATTAACTGGGAGGCCAGCGGGGTGAGGTGGCTCCAGCGCCCTTGATTCCTATGTAAGCAAGTCAAAACCCCACTCAGTGTAAATGGTCATATTTTAAGTCAATCATACCTCTGACTAGGGATTCCCACTGGAATGATCCAAATAAGGCTACTGCTGTACTTTAACAAATCAAATATTTTATTTGCCTTGCTTCTACATTCACCCTGTAAAAGTCTTCCCCAACCCCTTTGTCAGAGCCCTGAGCAGTTTGTGGTCTGGAGCTGCTGGATTCACGAACTGCTGAATGCTGAAATAAATTCTTGACTATTTTAATGTGCCTTCTAAAATGCTAGTACATAATATCCACTTGTGAAAGCATGAATGGGGGTGCTTTCCAAGTTCTTTTCTGTTCACCTTATTGATATAAAGTATAATATTATATCCAAGTTAGGGACTTTTATTTCAAAAGATGTATAGAAGAAACATTGGCATGGGTACATTCTAACTGTACTTTCTTGTGTGGCCAGGAGAAGGTGAATGCCTTTATTAGAATTAGGAAAGCAAGAAACAATCGTATTTTACAGGGAAAAATGTCCAACTTATTTTAAAACACACTACTTTAAAAGTGAAAATTAGTAGAGTGGTGAAGGATCTGAAAAATTTATCACATGAGACACAACAGAAGATAGTGGGAAGTCTTCACATGTGAATATTTAAAGCATGGTAATATAGATGGTTTTAGATATGCAAAAGGTTTTGATAATTACAGGAATTGATTTTAAGCTATTATTGAAGATCAAGTTTAAAAATTATAGTGGGTTGCTTTGTGAAGTAGAGTTCTCAGTATGGGAAATATTCAACCATAATCTGGAAGACTCCATGCCTTTTAGGTGAAAGATTACACTAGATGCTATTTAAGTCACTTTCAAGTCCAAGCTGTTATGATTCTATGAACTAAACAGGGATTGAATGATCGTGGAAGAATTGGATGATAGCTAAAATTTGGTATTCATTTGCATTAAAAATCATCCTGGTGTACATAATTTGGAATAAGGCAGAGAGAAGAGAGGCAGCTGGTATTTATTACGATTCCACTCTACTAAATACTATGATGGTTTTCCTAGCATTTCCTCATTGGAAACTTTTAGCAGCCTGACAATGTAGCACCCCCATTTTTAGTTGAGAAACTGAAGCTCAGAGAAAATAAGTTTAACTAAAGTGTCTACCGTTGGAAAATAGCAGGGATAGAACTGAATGTAGCCTACACTCACACTCAGTCTGACACCAAAATTGGGGCTCTTTTCACCAAAGCAGGCTGTCCCAGAACTCAAGATGTCCCCAAAAATACACACACATATATATAACCTATATAAATATATATATATAACCTATATAAATATATATATAACCAAAAAAGAGCTAAAGATGTGACAATACTGCTATCATACCCATCCAATATTTAATGATATTTTCAGCCATAGTATAAATTCCAAACCATAACAATGACAGACACCTATGTTTAAAATTTTCAGACATCTTTCCTTAAAAGGAGAATCTAAGAGTTCCTTTAAATATACACCATGTGATTCTAAATTTAAGTTTTCAGCAACAAAATCCTGGATCTGAATTTGGCTGATACTAAAGCCACACTGATATGACACTAGTGGAGGCAACATAAAATGTGAAGAGTCTTGGTGAGGACCTACTATTGAACCAATCACATAATCATGTGCTGGCTGAGGAAAGATGTAGAATAAATGAAAAATCTCAATTGTGCAGCATAGCTACTCCATGTTTTGTGAAAACCTATAACCAAACAAATTGACACAAAGGACCAAGACGATGACAGAGTTTTGAATGATCCAAGAGCCAAAAGTCATATAATGCAACAGAGGAATGAATTTTCAAATACAACTTGAAATATGAAATTCCAGACTACACAAACAGATAATCCATTTCTAATCTTGGGGACCTAAAGTCTGCCTTGAACTTTAGGCCCCTGAATTCCAGCATCACTGGATTCAACATACCAACCTGAACCCATCAGACAAATAGGAAGCAACTTCCAATGATGCCTTTAGGAAACACATATCAATGAGGAAGTATCTTTCCAAGTATTAGCTATAGAGAAATACCCTAGAAATCAGCAGAGCAACTACAAAAAAATTCATAGTTGCTTAGAACAGAACTTCCAACAACTTTGTTGCTTCTTTTTGTGCTTCAGATTTAGATATTTCTCTCCAAAACTGTAGTTTACTGTCCTCTATTTCAGAAAATCCATGCTCCAGCTAATTATCCTATTTCATTTTGTTATTCCTCAGCTAAAGCTGACAAAATAATCATAGTGGATTTATTTCTAGACTTTAATTAGAAGTAGAATTAATTTTATTAGAATTTTTATTATTTTCTGTAACAAATTTTTAAAGAAAGACCAACATATAAGTGTCATTTGATCAGCACTATGAACTTCTAGGAGCACAATTTAGTTTTATTTATCATAAAATTGCTCCCCAAACAGAACCTGCCATACCTTTAATGTCAATCTAAATATGAAAAAAAAAACTCTGTTTCCCAGCTCTTTCCTATGTAGATAGGAACAAAAATTAAAACTTCTGGGAAAGATAAATTGTCTGGTGCATTTGATAAACAAACAAAAACAGGAAATTAAAAAGAAGGAATGGTAGAATATCCTCGGAAATACTTGACTAAGAAAAGCCAAAAAACATATAACACACACACATAGAAGTCCTTCTCTTTCTTTTGAAATGATCCAAATTGAAAATGATATCGATGCCTAAGTAAAAACTGCCTTAGTATGTCACAGGCCTGGAGAAAGCAAAATGAAATGAAATCGTGGCATATTTGAGCGCTCTAAAAGTAGCGCCTCCCCCAGTACCTTCAGTGCCCCAAACGAACCAAGTCATATTCTTCATAACACCTGGGGCCTGTACCTCATAAGCAATTTCATGATCAAAAAAATAGAAAAATCTTTCCTCTCTACTCACATAGTTGAGAGTTCCACCCTGTTGTTAGTGGAGTTCTTGGACTTCATCTTGCATGCTGACAGGCTATCACTGACTCTGGTTGGACCCTATCAATTCTGCTTCTGAGTTCTTTAATAGCTTCTCTTCCCCATGGTTAATAATGCTATGACTTCTCGACGTAGTCCTTCTTTTTATATATGTTGCTTCTTAAAATATTATCTCCCTGCCAATCTTATTATTAACTTAACATAGATACTACCCTAATCTCAGCTTCCACTCCAACTCTCCACAGAGTTCTGGTCCAGGATTTCTATCTCACAGCTACATATTTCACCCTGAATGCCTCCTCACCAGTTCCAATTCAAGACATCTTAAATCTGACCTTTCCTTTATCCAACAATAGCAATAAAAACAACCTCTCCTAGTCACTTCCCTATTTCACGAATGATTCCAGTCATCCATAATCAAAATCCAAACTATCTTTGACTCACTCTTGTCATGCTTAAAGTTTGAGACATCAAAGTGGCTACATTAAGAACTCAGGTTCAGGTAAGAGAGAGCTGTATTCACCCTTGGCTCCAACATTTACTACCTGCATAACTTAGGTATATCACCTTAATTATCCAAACCTTCATTTCTATACCACGAAAATAAAATTAATAACAATAACTAACATTTGTAGAGCTATTTATAAGTATTATATATAAACACATTTAGTATTTACAATCACTAAATCAAATAGATACTACCATTATTTCTTTTCTATAGATGAGAAAACTGAAAAATAGAGAGTTAAATAAATTGCCAAAAGCCACAAAGTAAGTGGCTGAGATTCAAACTCAGACAGTCTGGCTCCAAGACTGTAACCACCATAGGCACTGTGTTCCTGAAAATAATAATTTATGCACATGTTGTTGTGAACATAAAAATAAGGCCTATAAAATACTTGCCAATATCGGCCGCTATTATCATTATAAATTTCTACTTTGCAAAAGTCAGAAGCAAACCTTCCAATAAACAAATCCCTATAGCACTTATTCTTGGACCATATGAATTACATATTGCCTTTTATTACTTAACAATCATCTCACCATATTGTGTATGTTATAAGCTGTCTTAAGCTGGGAATGGTGTATAAAACTATCCTATGCTTAATAAATATTAGTGGAATTAATGTATGTCAAAGATTTTTTAATTGATTATTGTGATCCATATCCATTTCACAGTCTCTTGCAGCCTGGCCTTTTGTTATCCTAAAGTTTATGGATGCGTGCTCATTCAGAGAATTCGTGTTTATCCAATTTTTGACCTTTTTGTTCAAGGACATCCTTCCTACATTGAGCTGCTTCCTAGACCCCATACACTGACTTCTGAGCCAGACCTACTCCTGAGCCCTTCTATATTCTACACCTCACCATGGTCTCAGCCCCTTAGCATACCCAATGTCATTTCTCCATACTTGTTCTAGGACGTGCTCGAGGCCCTAAGGCTTAAACACATGAAGCCATGCTCAAAGGTTACACCCACAAGTGCCTAGATTGTACACCAGGAGCTTATGTGGTATTGCTAGAAAAACAACACTATGATACAATGTTGTTTTCTATCATTTCCAAACATAGATTTTTTGTGAAAATCAACAGGGAGGAGCTAGGCTTTTCCACAATAAGGACATTGCTTTTATTTTAAAATGATACTCAATTTCTCAAAAACTATTATGACATGAAAAAGGTATTTTCAATATTTATGTTAAAGGTGTGAATTTTAAAAGACTGTGTACAATATGGACTAATTCAAGTATGCAATAGTGTATATATGCATAGAAAAATGTATGGATGTTGATATACTGAAATGTGCATAGTTTATATTAAAAAGCAGAAATTATGAATAATTTCCCTCTTTCTTATCTATATTTTCTATTTTTTACAATAAATCTTTATTATTTGTATAAGAAAAATATTATTTAAAAATCTGTTGAGTTAGAACATTTTCATTAATCCTTGTTATTGTCCCCAGTGCCATATAATTAGCAAATTATCTGGCAGTATTTTATACAAATCATCTGGAAAACTAAATTTTGTTCATATGTTTCATATCTTAAAATCTTACCTAAAGTCCATTTCTCTAGGTAATCTTTTATTCTCTCTTTCTGGCATCAACTATACAGATATGGAGACCACCGATAAGTTAAATGGATGCTTTAAATGTCTTATAAATTTCAAAGACAATATGTGTTTAATTTTCAGTTAACTATACATCTTTCTTAGGCAACTAATTTTTCCTGGCCCATGGAGTTGTTTCATAAAACAAGTTTTGCTGTACACATGCATCTTTTTTTTTCCGGCATTATCCATCTAGAATATAGAATACTCTAAAAACAAGTTTAGTTATTTCATTTTTACATAGGTGTTTTTAAAGAATACAGTTGCCATTTCCTTTGGAGAAAAAATAAACTTTAAGGTGTCATGTAGCAACTAAAACAAATGACATGTTGTCTATATACCAATGCTGCAAAAAATTCCAACCCTGTAAAGCAGTATGAAAACAAAATGTAATAAACTTTCCTACAATAAACGGGGTCCTTAAACCATTGCTCACTAGCATCCAGCACAGCAATCCAGTTATATGTTTCCAAATAAAGTCAAACAAGCTTATTTTTCAAAGTGAAAGAGTACTGATGGTTGGAATTTCAGCCCAGAGTACTGACCAAACGTGAATAACTTTAGAAGGAGCTGTTAATGGTAAAAATCTGCCTGTAGCTTGGTCTGGCAAAACCTTGGTGAACAGAAACAAAAGAGAATCTACCAAAGTTTAAGAAACCTGTAATAGGAAGGTAGGCAGGCAATTAATATATTACATGAACAAATTCGTATGAAGAAGGACCTTGGTGAACAGAAACAAAAGAGAATCTACCAAAGTTTAAGAAACCTGTAATAGGAAGGTAGGCAGGCAATTAATATATTACATGAACAAATTTGTATGAAGAAGGCCGGGCGCGGTGACTCACGCCTGTAATCCCAGCACTTTGGGAGGCCGAGGGGGGTGGATCACGAGGTCAGGAAATCGAGACCATCCTGGCTAACACGGTGAAACCCCATTTCTACTAAAAAATACAAAAAATTAGCCGGGTGTGGTGACGGGCGCCTATAGTCCCAGCTACTCGAGAGGCTGAGGCTGGAGAATGGCGTGAATGCGGGAGGCGGAGCTTGCAGTGAGCTGAGATTGTGCCACTGCACTCAGCCTGGGCGACAGAGCAAGACTCGTCTAAAAAAAAAAAAAAAGGAAAAATATACATGCAGAGAAAAAATGTTTAATGAGATATTCAAAATTGTGTTAACACAGTTGTCATCCCATGGTGTCATTGTAAGAAGTCTGCAATCAACTTTTGCTACCAGATTCATTAACACTCTTTATGATTTAAGGATAGGATTCATTCCATCTAATCAGCAGAAATTTAGTGTACCTGCCCCTTAAAATTGTCAAAATAAAGGCTGCTGAAGGGAAGCATGACTTTCTATTGATTTGAACACTGATGTCCAAAAATCTGTGTCTTAAAAAATCTGTAGATTTTGAATTACTGTATTCTCTCCTAATTTTTTCTGAATAATCCCATAAACTAAGAATGCAAAATGAAGAAAACACAAGATTTTCAATACTTGGTCTACAGCAACCTATGATACACAACAGGGAATAAAGAGAGAGTTTGACTTAGAGTCAGAAGACCTGGTGTTCAACCTTGACTGTGTCTCTTATTAACTTTGTAATTTACTGGTCACAATTTTTGTTTTAGTTGGGAATTTTAAAGTTAGCCTATTGTTACGTATATTTTGGTGGGGTTGATGTGAAGGTGCAATGAAGTTACATATCACAGTGTTCAGTGGGCCAAAAATGCTTATATAGAATAGTTGGTAAGATTATTATTTATTCTTAGAGGCCAGGCATGGTGGCTCACGTCTGCAGTCCCAGCACTTTGGGAGACTGAGGCGGGTGGGTCACTTGAGGTCGGGAGTTTGAGACCAGCCTGACCAACATGGAGAAACCCCGTCTATACTCAAAATACAAAATTAGCCGGGCCCGGTGGTAGGTGCCTGTAATCCCAGCTACTTGGGAGGCTAAGGCAGGAGAATCGCTTGAACCTCGGAGATGGAGGTTGTGGTGAGTCGAGATTGCACCGTTGCCCTCCAGCCTGGGCAACAAAAGCAAAAGTCCGTCTCAAAAAAAAAAAAAAAAAAGAAAAAAGAAAAAAAAATTATTATTTTTCACTTCTCTGATAATAGTAGGGTGGCAAAGTTCAGGACTGACCATCTAGCATTAACACTTGAGTCTAAACTATTTTAACATATTTGTATTTTGGTCCTAAAGCTCATTTTTGTGCCTCCATATTCTACATATTTACAGGATGTACAATACAGTGTTTAGTTGAACTTCTTGTTATTTATATAAAACTTTTGTCCCTACATCTTGAAAGTTCAAGCAATAACAACATCAGAAAAAATAACAATAACCACCCATATTAAGAACTTACTATGTGTCTGGGATGATGACAGATGCCTTTAATTCTCCTGTAATTCTCACAATGGCCAGATTTAAAAAGAGAAAAATAAAGCATTGATATGGTCTGAATGTTTGTTTCCCTCTCCCCCCAACCCCACCACCACCGAATTCTTATGTTGAAACCTAAGCCCTCACGTGATGGTATTAGAATATTAGAAGGTGGGGGTTTTGAGGACGTGATTATTTCGAGGGTGAAGCCCTCGTGAATAAGATTGGTGCCCTTATAAGGAAGTGAAGAAACCAGAGTTCTTCCTTTCCACCAATGTGAGAACACAGTGAAAAGATGCCATCTATGAACCAGAATGTAGGCCCTCACCAGACAATTTACGATGTTTTGTTTTAGCAGCCTGAAAAGACAAAGACAGACATTGAGTGTCAATTAACTTCGCCTAAAGTGATGCAAACAGTTGATCTCCTGTCTTGCTTTCCAAATTATTTTTGTTAACAACCTTAACTTCTGTTTCTTACCATAACAGACGGAAAATAGCTGTGTAGGTATGAGAGTAGACTTTTTTTTTAAATTAATTTCATGGTTCCTAAAAGACACCTTTGTGTCATATGATGACTAGGAGCTCATTAGCGTCTTTTATAAATTATTCTTATTGTACTGAAATGAATATACAAAACAGTATAGAATGTATCATTTTAGTCATTTTAAGTGTAAAGCGCAGCCATCACCAGTCCAACTATAGAACTTTTTCATCATCTCACACTGAGACTCTGTACCTATTAAATATTAACTCCTCATTTCCTCCTCTTCTCAGTTCCTGGTAGCCACTGATCTACTTTGTGCTTTTATGTATTTAATTATCCTAGATTCCTTATATAATTAAAATCACAAAACATGTGTTTTCCCGTGTCTGACTTATATTACTTAGCATAATGTTCTCAATGATCTTTGATGCCATAGCATGTATCAGAATATCATGCCTTTTTACAGCTGAATAACATTCCAGTGTCTGTACACACCATATTTTATTTTTCCAATGAACATCTGGATTGCTTCCATCTTTTGCCTGTTGTGAATAATGCTGACATGAGCCTAGATGTATAAATATCATGTTTTCAATTATTTTGTGTGTATACCCAGTTTTTGTTGCTGCAACAGAATAATAGTATCGCATCTTTGGAAAAGAGAATTTAACAAAAATTAGCCAGGCATGGTGGTGGGCACCTGTAATACCAGCTACACGGGAGGCTGAGGCAGGAGAATCACTTGAACCCAGGAGGCAGGGGTTGCAGTGAGCCAAGATAGTGCCACTGCACTCCAGCCTGGGCCACAGAGCGAGACTCCATCTCAAAAAACGAAAAAAAGAGAATTCAGTAATTCCTTCATCACTTTATATAACACCAGCTTGAGTTTCATCATTCAATAAATATAGTCTAATAGTTTTATTCCTTAAATGTACTTTGTTGCCCATGTGGAATAGATTATAGTGGCTTAAATTCTTTCTTCCACTAACCTTGAAACTTACAAGTTTAGTCTCTAAACTACGTGGTAATAAAAATTACTTTCATTATAAAACAGGTTTATAACAAATATTTTATATACATCAAAAGGTTGAAAAGATTTCAAATTTTAGAAAAAGAAGGACTCCTTAGAAAGAATTACAATATATCTCAGTTGATAGCCTGTATATGTAACCATTAACATCAATTTAAGTTAATACCAACCAGATTCTAACTCATAATTTTAAAGTTTATAGTTTTATAGTATGTTACATGCTTCTCTGTAGTTCACCAACAATACTTCACAAGAGCAAAAATCAGTACACTTCAAGCAAAGTTTAAAACCTGAGGGTCAAAATTAGGAAATATCTATTCATTTAAGCAAAGTGACTAAATGTACTCAAAAGAAGCAGAACTGCTTTTCATACAAATGAATGTCCCTTCATCAAAGCACAGTGCTAAATGCTATTATTTGAGGCAAAACTTTATAAATATAAATAATTTATCACACATTTTATGATTCACCATACAACTAAGGAATGTAACATAGCTTGAAATCATGTAAAAATGTTTACAGCGTAAGAACGACAAAGAATTCAAAAACATGAAGTATGCTTGCTCTAATAATTTAGAAAACAATAGATACTTTCATGGCCTATTTTCCCCAGAACAGGTTTATCATATTATTAATTTTATCCAGAGTCTTTGTTTTTTTTTTATGTCCTCGTGGTTTATATGTGCTACTGCATAATGTGTATTTGATGTCAAAATTTTCTTCATTGAAAGAAACTTTTTAGGGTGTTAGTACATTCATGTGTCTATGAATTTACCCAGTGACAATTGTTGCTGATACTAACATTTATTGTTCACTAGGTGCTACATATTATACTAAATAATTTACATACTTAGTTTTAACTATATAAAATTGTGGATGTTTATTTTTCATCTATAAAGAGGACAATTTCATATGGCTCATCCTGAGATTTTAGCTCATTTATTTCCCATAAGAACCATGAGATAGTTATTTATGTATGTCTATTTAGATATATTTAGTTATGATTTATTTTATTTTACAGATGATGAAACTAAGTCATAGAGATGTGAAATATCTTGTCCAAGTTTACCTACATAGTTAAGTAACAAACTCAAGAAATGAATTTGGCAATTTGACTGTATAGGCCATTGAATGAACTAGTCTATTACATTATAACAACAAGATAACAAGCGGTGAAATATACTCTGTGGGGGAGTTTGCTTCATTTCTGGACTCCTTCCCTTTGGTAACCCACTCGAAGCCTGTAACTGCCTAAAGTATGATCTGACTATAAACAGGAGCATGGTATCACCTAAGAGCTGCTAGAAATGCAGACCCCCGGGGAGTCTGAATCTGCATTGTAACAAGATTCCCTCGTTACAGTGTTTCGTATGAACCTTACCTTTTAAGAACAGATCTAAGCTGTCTTCATTTTTAAGACTTAATAAGCACATGCAAAACAATCCATCTACATTCAAAAGGTAAAGACAAAATAAGTCTACATGTAATAAAATGTCCTGGTTCAGGTAACCTGTGTTCAATAAGAAATAATACTTTAGATGTAATTTTGGGTGTACACAAAATGAATTCTCGTGAATGCATGCATTCCCCACACCCTTTCTTTTCGTCCTACATACCTCTTTAACTTATTCGGTGAATAGATGTCTATTATGTCTCTATTGTCATGAGATTGTGTCTTCAGTTTGCCATTTTGCTCTCTGCGATTCACACAAACTGTGGCTTTCCCTTTACACTTAGAACTTTAGGGCTTTATGTACAATCCCTGACATAGTGACAGGGAGTATTTCTTCCCACTAGATGGCAGTAACGGCAATTTAATAATACATATAAAGACACTTCCAGCTTGCTACAGGGCACTGCAAACAATGAGTGAGGGTTTCGTGAATTGCTGGACTTAATATAGGGAGCAATGACTTGGTGACAAATTGGAGAACAGTTTTTCTCTTTTGATGTCTATGTTTAAATTTTGTTTTGCATGCTTTTCAAGATTAAAAGCAGTCTTGTTTGCATATCTCTTACCCCTAGTTATAAGGAGCAGCTATTTTATGAATAATTTTCACTGGTAAGAGTGATAGACAGGTGGTTGCTAAAATAAGATATTTTGTTAGCATGACTATATAAATCATTTTCTTATTCCAGTTTTTAAGGAGATCTTTCCTTTTTTCTATAAATGACCATATATATAATTTCTAAATGCAGATATTCAAGATTCTCATGAGAAATCACATCTTGGATTGATAAATTTATTTTTATTAAGTTTCTTTCCAGTAAATGTTTTAAGAAGGCCACATACAAATGCCCTGTAGAAGTTAGGCAATAACAGCAAGGAGAGAAGAAGTTTATAGTAAAATGACAATAGGATTTTAACACATACAAATGCAATTCTACTGACATTCTATTTAGTGTTTAAATATGATTTTTTGCATTCAGAATGTTTTTACATGAATACTTAAGAAAAGAGAGAGGACAAAGCTTATTAATAAAGATGTAAATTTCTTTAGGGATATAATTATGCAACCTCATTGTTGCCTTGATGTTTCAAGGGATTGAAAATACTTTTGCCATTGATCACACTTGTCTTATATTGATCTGTGTTGAAACTCTAAAAGTGCTACCCCAGTGCTTCTCAAACTAACTGTGGTCTAAGCCAGACTATTTTTTTCCTAAATCATGAAGTAATGTTTTCCAATTTACAGTAAAAGTGGATAACTAGAGAAACTAAATGTAAAAACTGACATTAAAACATTCATATTTTATTACTTGAATCAACAGACAAATGTTGGGTTGATTTTCTATGAAATTTTCTAAAGGCTTACTCTCTATTTTTGTACTTCCATGTTTTCTAATGGGTATCAAACTGTTCTCAGAAGGGCCTGGCCCATGGACCCCACTTTGCATAGTGCTGCTCTAGACTGCTTCCTAGCAGAATGGAGCCACATCTTCCTGGGGAGTTAGGTTCTAAAGCAACCATGCATGGTGAAAACCTGGGGCCTCTCAATTAGTCTAATAAAGGCAGAATTTTTATTTTTGTTTTTTAATTTGGCTTCTTTGTTATCTGTTAATTAACCAGTTAATGATATGACTGGTTTCCATTTAGATGCTATGCAGTAGGAAAAATACATATATCTTAATGCTGGACTTACACTGAGCACAAGATAGGTGCCAAAGATGTGAAGTTCCCAGGCACAGAAACTGATACATGTCTCCCAGCTGGGACTCAGGTCTTCACCTCTGGAGAAGGAACACTGTCTTTTGCCACTATTTTACGTCTTTCAATCTGCATCCTCCTCCCTCCACCCCCAACTGCTCTTTTTCTTCCCTAGAGTGAGTACCAATGACCATATTCTCTTCCAGAGCCACATCAAAAGATTAAACAACGGCAACTTATACTGTTAGAAGGAAAAACACGATCTCTGCTCATAGAATCTGACAGTTTGTAGACATCAGCTGAGCTATGCTCACCCACTTTGGAGCAGGATGAAAGGCCAAACAACCTTCTGTGAGGACATTTTTCAGAAGCACTTTAGTAATAGGTCAATGGCAAATAGGCCTAAACTCAGATGTTTTGTGTCTGAGATCTCAATTCTGTTTGGATATTGTCACATTAATTTTCTAAGAATGTTATTTAATTTCAATATTATCCCATAAACAGGTATGTATGAAGAATATAAATATTCATACATACATTTTGAAGGTGTTTGACACATGTCAAACTAACATCAGCAACATATGTTTTACATCCAAAGTCCAAGATGAGTTAAGTGTCAACTTTTATCATTTGATTTTATGTAATTTAGCTGAGACAGGCCTCAATCTTAGCTTTAGACTATTTTGGATTTGGCCGTATATATACAAACTCATTTATCACTAAATTGAAAATATTTTCTTAAAAAAATACTCATGGAGTTATTTTAATTTCAGAACTTTACTAATACTTTTTATGATTTTAAATATATTTTCTGTTTTTCTCACTCTAATATAATGTCCAAAATGGGGAATATATTAAAATTATCCAGTTTATGTATCACATAGGAAAACACACCAAATTTCCCTAAGTACATACATTTATTTGCCAGGCATAGATCAGAAAACTAGAACATTTTATCTGTGCTAGTTTCTCCATTTGACTTAACGCTCTGTTTTTATTTGTTTTGTTATTGTATCAAAGGTGTATGTTTAAAAAATATCAATCAGTATTTGAAGCTCAAGTTAAAACTAGCACCATTTATCACTCTGTCAGACTTTAAAAAATACACACATAAAACAAACAAAATAATAGTAACCACAAAACAAAAACACTACACAAAACTGATCTGCATACCATGTAAATCTGTTTTTAAGAAAGCAGTCCTCAGGAAACTAAGAACCAATTAGTAGAAGAATAACTTACACAAGAACTATTTTCTAATTTTCTGATACCATCTACTTCCAAGCTAACACTTAATGATTGTATCATTGCCTATATAAGTTTTTTATTAATATACATTATTTTATATGAATATATGTATGTGCGGCTGGTGATATTTTTTGCGAATGTTTATATTTTTCAAGGATAACCAAATATATTTGTATTATTTTAAAGTTTAATATGCTACTTTTCATGTGCTAAGCCATGAATTTCAAAGAGTACAGTGAATGTTGTACATGGTTGTGTATATGTATGTATATCAAGTAGGGTTGAGCATTGAAAAAAATCATATAAAAACAATAGTACAGAGAAGACATTTCTATCTAAGAGGAACAGGCTGGGAAAAGTCAGCTGAAAATAAATGTACACATTTGGAGACAAAATTTTCATATAAATGAAGAGGAAAAGTTTGATTAGGATTTAATTTTTAAAATGTAAATAGAAACAATGCCAATTTAGTTTAGCTGTTTTTTTAAATTAGGTTTAATTATAACTCATGCAACAACTTAAGGATGAAAAAAACATTGGATGTTACACGTAAAATTCTTAAACAACTCTGTAATAGGGCACATCCTCAAATCCTTTAACTTATGCTTGACTTTAGTGAGGAAAAGAGGGTCATATTTGTAATATCATTTAAAATGACCTTTTTCCCAAGAGCATCTATTAAGGATTTGGATAATGATGATGGTGATTATGATGATACAGAGGATAAAGTTAATAGTTAGAATTTCCATGGAACTTACTGTATGCTAGTATTGCTTTAAAGCTCTACACATATTATTCTATTCTGTTGTGAGAAGTAGATAAATTATAAATCAAATATTATGTTATTAATATCATTCTGTTTTGAAGCACCTAGTGTCTACAAGTTCACTCTTCCAAAGTACTGCCATAAGCGTTGAACCAATTTCCCAGTTTCCTCTCAGGCTAGTTTTTATGTAGCAGAGAGAACTCTCTCTCTTTTTTTTTTTTTTTGTGACACAGTCTCACTCTGTCACCAGGCGGGAGTGCAGTGGTGTGATCTCGGCTCACTGCAAAGTCCGCCTCCCAGGTTTAAGCGATTCTCCTGCCTCAGTCTCCCGAGTAACTGAGATAACAGGCGTGGGTCACCACGCCTGGCTAATTTTTGTATTTTTAGTAGAGATGGGGTTTTGCCATGTTGGCCAGGATGGTCTCAATCTCTTGACCTCGTGATCTGCCCACCTGGCCTCGCAAAGTACTGGGATAACAGGCGTGAGCCATCACGCCCGGCCGCAGAGTGAACTCTTAAAATATGCATATTCACTTATCTATGATATGAACTGAGACGTCACTGATCAAACGCCTCCAAGGGCTTCCCAACTGACTTAGGAAAAACAATCCAATATTGTTGATATGGCCAACAAGGCCTTTCATGGCCTTATTTCACCATTTTATTGTCTTTGGTATAACTCAAATATGCCACACTCTGCTCTCCTTGAAAACCTCACTGGCTCTTTTCCCTGCCTCGGGCTGCCCTTTCCCGGGCTATGCCTGGTAGCATACTTCTTCACTTCTTGCAGGTCTCTTCTCAGATGCTACCAACTGCAAAAAATCATCTGCAACCAAAAATAGAAGAAACACTCCCCATAGACACCCAACCAACTTTATTTTTCTTCACACTATTTGACACTGTCAAAAACAGTATGATGCTTTTTATTTGTTTGGTTTTTGGCTTAATGTCTTCCTCCTCTCTATGTGCCCCCAGCACCACCTGTAGAATATAAGAACCATGTTTGCTTGGGACTTTTTGTGATCACTACTATGACCTGAACGTTTAGAAGAGTACCTAGTGTATAGTAAGCATTTAATCAATGTTGATAGATTGAATTGAATCATTCTTGTCAATTTTCTCCTTACGTTCCAGCTGAACTAAATCTGCCTGACCCACACTGGTTGCTTGGAACTTAGGCTCAATGCTAAACACACACACACACACACACACACACACACACACACACACATAGCACACACATGTAACAGACATATATACAAAGACTTTTAAACACTTGTTAATTTAAAAAGCTTCTCAAAAGCATGATCTACCTTTGCTATATTATTGTTAGGATTTAAATTTTGTACAAGAAATATACTTTGTGCATGCAAAATTTAAGATGGAAAAAGTCAGATGCACCTAACAGTATGGTAGGTATACTATATCAGTATACTACGTGAAATATGAATATATAATAAACATTAATATGTATGTAATACATGTTAAATATGTAATAGATGAGTGTATACAATATATAATACATATATATATATACAGCTTTCTGATGGCCTATGGCATTCTAAACAAAATTGTTATAATGTTTTCATTGAGGAATATTATTTACTCTTACATATGATTGTATCATGTTTATTTTCCTTGAACTGTATTCACTTGGATTAATCCATGGCTTAACTTATTTTTGCTCTCTTCATTATACCTAGTCTTAATCTAAAGAAAATCCTGCATCCGCCTTTATACCATTGGTAGAAGCTTAGCAAATCTATTCCCTAACTCATTCCTTTCTACTGACGTATGGTTTTATAATGTGATTTTTTTCACCAAATACGGTGTCTGAAAACTACAACCATTATATCATAGTGAAGCATGTATTCTACCATGAGGATCAGGTATTTTTGGAGATAGATAGCACTAGATAACAAGTAGATCAGTAAAAGAACATTGTCTACCAAATTGCAATTCACTTTGTAAATCTTGGTTTCCTGCTTTCCCATAGACATCAGAGTCATTTTCATGCGATTACCAGATCTGGAGTTAAAATATCCCTGAGATTTGCAGTCCATGACAATATTGGTACTTTTTACTATGGCTATGATAAAAGAAAGACAATGAATATCCAGATTTTTATTTCCTTAAATTAAAAATAGCATGCCTTAATATGAATATTCTGTATATTAATTTGAAGGGGTATCTATAAAAAACAAAATGAAGAGCAATGTGTTTGATAGTTTCTGTATAAAAACAAACCACAGAAACAAAACCACATCTCTCTTTCTAACAAAAGAGATGTACAAACGTGCATCTGTGCTTTCTGAGCTTGGAGAAGCTCATGAGTGAGGTAAAGAAACACACACCACACTCTGACATTGGCTGCCTCAGGATGACAGGAGGAAATGATTAGTAACTTTCTCTTTATATGTGTCTGTTTTGAGTTTTAGAATCTATTGCCTTTATAATTATATATCTATATAATTATGTTTACATATTTATATGTATTTATATAATTTACTTATATATACTTATATAATTTATTTAAATATATATTATATGTCTATGTTATATATATATATAATACATAATGGTATATTATTATATGCCTGTATAAACTCTGTGTGTATAATATACACACATTAACATACACACAAGCATATACGTATATCTAAAGTTGCCAATTGTTTTTAATTTAACATTGTTTTTCCATGTTTTATTTCTGGAGGTGATTATTAAGTTTACTACTGTGCCAACTGTCTTTGGGTAAGAAATGTTATATACAAAAAGTGTATTTTACTGTCAGGAAAGGTTGTAAATCTGTTCCACTAAAATACTGATTAGTTGTTTAGCCAAAACCAATATTTTAAGTCATTCTAATAAGTAATGAGAAATGGTACAGTATTTCCACCAGTCCATTGCATATGCTATGTATGCATTTCAGAAGAAAATGTATGACTGATTTAAAATTTTTATTATAAATAAACATATTAGGATGCATGGTTTTGAGGTAGCGGTGGTACCATATAACATCTGATGTGTGTATTACTTTCAGAGATAATCTAACTCCAATACAGAAGGTATTGTTATACCTATTTCATTTGGTTTAATAACTAGATCTTCTGACTGACAAAAGTTTAAATGTACCATAAATGTTAATTATTTTTAGCACCGTAGAAAGAAATAGAATATGTTAGTGTTACTGTAATAACAATACATTTATAAGCATTTGCACACAAAAATCTCTTTAAGGGAAAAAAGGACATTGAATTAGAAGATAAATACTTTTGTTGGCTTTTCTCAAAAATAGGACCGTACTGAAGCTTGCCAAATCCAAAAATTATTAACTGGCTGAGTCAAGTTAAAAACATTTCAGCTTCACATAAAAATATACTTTGAGTTCTAGGGGTGCTACTCACATTCTATGCCCTACAGTAGCATACAAAACTGGAATAGAGAAAAAAAATCACCAAATATGGTATGGTATGTTACAGTGCAATATTAAAACAACATGTCTTTCAAGTAATTAAGACACTGTTATTTTGGAGCTATCTCTTTATAATGCCATTTTAATAATCAATAACCTGAAATGAAAAGTAATCAATACATAGTCATCATCAAAAATTTCCATAAACTAACCTATATCCAAATCATTCATTTCACATTTATTCTTAAAAAAATTAAAACTAAAACATACTTATTAAAATAGAATGTCTAAAATGCTTAAACATTTTAGTTTAAAACCTGTCAGTTGAAACCATCCTCCCTATAATAAAAATAGTCTTCCTCTTAGACTCCCTAATAACTACTACACAATAATATCAATAATATTAGTAAAGTACTTCACTAGGAATAATCAATCTAATTTATTGTAGGTCTGTTTTTTAAGTTTGGAAATATATAACCTCCAAACATCAAAATTCACAGGAGTCAAAATTAATAAAAATTATTAAAAGAGGTCCAGTCACAGTTAAGTTTCCATGAAGTCAAATTTTACTCTTGCTATTTTTATTGCTGTTTACAAAATACCAAAAATATTTTAGAGACAAAAGTGAATAGAAAAACTAGCACCATTCAATTTGTTTAAAATCTATAAATTTACAAACTTTTTTTCAGTCATTGGGCTAGTAAAATGCTACTTTTAAAAAACAGTTTTATTTTAAATGTTACCATTAAATATATCATAAAAAGTCAAATGTATAAAATTATAATACTAGAGACACTATTTCAAGTTTTTAAGAAGTATTTGAAAATAAGTAATTTTATATGCTCTATTTACAATTCATTCCTTACTAATCTTATTAGCTGATATTAGCCATCCAGAAATTCTTTATTCACAACAGTAACTAAAAGAATTTAAAATGAGGTAAAGATTTGAAAAACCTATGTTTACTTATGAGGTTTTACAACTCTGTGAGAAGCTACAAATATTAACAAAATGATTGAAGGGTTAGCCCAGTTTTTCAAACAGTAGAATATTAATGTAGGCTTCAGAAAGAATGTTTTCCTTCGTTGACCTAGTTCATTCATACTTGGCAAAATATTTGGAAACTAAAACATTAGGGAAGTCTAGTCTCCTCTACAGACCATGAATACGCAGAAAGAAAAGCAAAATTGAAACTTATAACCCAATGTCTCAAGATTTAATTTTAAGATGCTATTATCTATTTTTTTGTTTAAAAAACTACATGATATATAAGCAGCTCAATTATACATACATACACAAACACACACATCCATATACATATAGGTATGTTTGTGGTTAAACATTTGTTTAAATAACAAATGGTTATTGATCTGTTTAATATTGAAGTAAACTAGTTAAATATTGATAACAAAGTCTACAGTAAATTGTTAAAAATCAAGCACCACATTACTTGATCAAGCAATACTTCTACATTTGTTGAATAAAATAATGTAAGATTCTGGTGAGTTTTATGGTTTTTGTAGTCCTAGTAGAACATAGGGGAAAATAAACAAAAATCTGTAATTAATTCTGTTAGTGCCTATACTTTACTTTAAAATGCTCCAGTAGAGAGATTTCACAGTACCTTGGTTTTTCTTTAATGTACACACTAGAAGAAGTTAGCTAAGATTTAAAGAAATCTAATTAGAGATCCACTCTTTACATTGGTTAAGATCTACCATTTCCTAATCAGTAGTTTATACTCTAGGGGCACCTGTGGCAAATGCTTCAAGTCTCCAAATATTGCACTGTGAAACTACCCATGGGAGCTTGGTAATTTACAAGACAGTTACAAATAATTTTTCATTGATGAGAAAAATGATGATGAAGATATGTGATTGGCAAGAAACACTGGGTAATCTCCCCACTGTGGGAACAAAGTAAAATAACCCCAGGAAAAGGTTGTGAGTCTAACATCTTTGAAGTGGTACCTTTGATCTAAAATCTATTTGAATTGCTACCCACTCCTGGACATATAAGGAGGGTCCTTCACCTGGTACTACTAGAAGGCTCATTGCTCCTGCTACTAGAATACAGTTGCATTTGCTCTGCAGTGAACCTTTTCTACAAAGTGCTGGATGGCATACCTAAAAAGACAAGGAACAGAGACACCCTCCAGATTATTCAGAACAAGCTATTTGGTTTCATACCTGATTGTTAATAAAAGTCTCTACCTTTGCAGAAATCGATCGGTAACATTTGTTTCTTGGTTTGTTTTTGTTTTTGAAACAACCTAATTAGTAGCAAATTTGTAAAAGAAGAGACCTTTACCTCCTACCTATCTCTCATTTGTCAAAGGTCAAAATATTGACAAAAAAATCCCTAATTTGTTGGGGCAATGAATTACCTTAGATCAATTCCCGCTGTCAGCATGTTAAATAGGAGATAACTCAGGTTAGAGCAGTTCATTTTTGCTAGAGAAAGTCACAATCAGTCAGGATGCTTTAGATTATGCTGGAGTACCAACCAGTTTAAAATCACAAAGTATTTCTCCCTCACATTAAACGTTCATTACAGGTTAGCAGGGAAGCTTTGCTGACTGTAGCATCTTAGCTAAGCAGGATAACAGGGCAGCTTCCACCTCAAATGTGGAGAAAGACACAAGTAAGATGAAGGAACACTGGAAATTAAATACTCTGGCCCCAGGCACACTTGGTCACAATTACTTTTCTATACCATCTAAATCACGAGAGCTGGGAAATGCAACACGATTCTGTCACCCAAAACATGAGAAAATCAGAAATATTTGCTATTTAAATTACCATAGCAATCCAATACCTACAGTTGAAAACTCAGGTTTCCTGTTTTGAACAGTATATCTACAGTATGCCCTAAAATTACACTTTTCCTCAAAAAAAAAAAAAAAAGATGATTAAATTTGGTTTTCCTATTTAACTAAGATTGAAATCTATATGACTGAAATTAAATCTATTTTAATCTGAACAACCTAGAATATGTACAGGCAGGTTTAAATATATAAATGATATAAACAATTTTTTTTTTTTGCCATGGGAATCCTTACAAAACGATAGATATTAAACTTTATATTTAAACATTACATCAGGAGGGGCCAAATTGTTATTTGCATAATAAAGACAATGCGTATTTGTTTTGTAAAATGGATATTTTCGGGTCCCTGGACTAATATTAAGATTAAATAGGTCTGACACTGGAATGCAGAAATCTACATTTTACAATGCACCTATTTAATCTGATGTAGGCAGTACTGAGACCACATTTTGAGAAGTGATGCTGTAGCTGATTGGTTCCAGGAAGCAAGAAGCATAACTATGAAAATGAATTGCAGAAAAAGTAAGGGTTCAATCAATCCATAGCAACTTTCATTTGGTTGCTCAAATTATATTAAAATTATAAAAAGCATCAAAAAAACACCTGACTCAGCAGTCTGCAAAAGATGCAGTGGAAGTATGGTGGCATTGCCTCTCTGTTCTGATATGCAATCAGCCCCCATTTAAATTAGGGAGAACAGAATCATACTATTCTCCTTGCAGATACTTCCCAAATTGATATCTCCAATCCAGACTCCTTTCCTGAGTACGAAGCTCATATATCCAACTTTCTACTCAATATCTCCACTTGGCTACACCTTAAGATGTCAATCTTTATATGTCTGAAATCAGGTTTTTAACACTCATTTCACAAACTGCTCATTTATTGAAGCCATTTCCATCTTAATCCACGATAACTATTCTTTTAGATACTAAGATGAAAACCTGGAAGCCAGGCTTCACTCATTATTTTCTCTACTATTTTGTCGAGGAATGTTTTCTCCACCGTTTTCTTAGTCATTCAGTAAAACCTGTCCGTGCTTCCTTTGAAGATTCCTTGCAGAATCTCACCACTTCCTATCACCTCCTTTGTTACCATGCTAGTCTAAGCCACCACCATCTTTTACATAAATGGTTGCAATACACTTCTAAAAGTCTCTTCTGAGATGTGCTGGTAAGTGTTTATCAACAACTTTGCTTATAAACAATAAATAAGTATATATAATGTTGTAAAAAAAAAGAGAAAAGAAGGAACTGGAGGAGGAGGAAGAAGAAGAAGAAGAAAGGAAGAAATGCAGGAAAGACGAGAAGGGGAAGGGACAAGGGAGGGAGAAGAAATCCTCTATAGTATTTGCAGATTTCCACATGGACTTACCTTCGCCGTGGCTAATTTCAAGTGACATGAGGGCATGGTTCAGGAAGAGATGCACACATGGCTTCTGCTGAGTTGGTAGGAGCCCATTCCGATATAACGCTGCTTCTCCCTTCTTTGACACTAGCCACCTAATAGCCTCATCACCACATGGCAGCCGACGTGACTTGAGTGGGATGATACCACTCTTCTGCCCAAAGCCTCCGGAGAGGCTCCCCATGTCACACTGAGTGAGATCTCCGACCCTAACAGGAACTCCAAAGCTTATTTGATGGTGCCCAGGCCCTGTCCTCTAACCCTCTGGCCTCAGTGTCTACTGCTGTCTGCTGGCTCACTGCACTCTAGCCACCCTGGCCTCCTACCTTGTCTTTCAACATACCACACATGACTCCACCTTAAAGCTTTTGCACTCACAATTCCCTGTGCTTGGACCACTTTCTCTCTAGGTACAGGCTTGGCACACTCTCTTACTTCCTCTTGGTCTTTGAGTAAATAGCACCTAATCAAGGAACCATGCCCTGAACCTCTGACCAAAAAAAAAAAAAAAAAAAAAGGCATAATAACCTTCAGTCTCTAATCCTTCAGCTTGCTTTATTTTTCTTTATAGCACTTTTTACTTACTGGCATTTATACACATAGGTAAATAGATCATTATTAGTATCAATATTTATGTGTCTGTTTCTTTAAGGACACACCCACTCACATTTTCCCAGTTCCTGTGACAGTGTCTGCCACATAATGAACTAATAAAATCTTATTGGCTAAAGAGACATGCAATATACAAGCAAATAAATGAGGAAGGCAATTCCATAAGGAAAATAAAAAGATGGTGAGAGGTTCCATGAGGGACACTGTGGCTGTGCCCAGGGGTGGTGGATATCTTAAGTGGTGATATTTAAGCTAAGGTCAGAATGACAATGTAGTTAATATAACCTCCCATGAACAAAAATTCATGACAGGATGAAAGAGGAGCAACAGCTTTCTGGATGATTTGGGGGTTTTGAAGGAGAGCTGGTAAAACAAAACAACTTTTATGTGTGTTCTCAAAAAGTACGCCCTGAGTCCTGGAATGATGGAGTGAAAAGATAATAATTCATTTAAAGGAGGAGGAAAAGAGGCAGAAATAATCACCCTCTCCAATCGTTTATCCCAAAGAATAGGGAGGCGCACTACAAAATTCAAGGAGAAACCGGTATACTCCAGTGAGCTGTTGCTCTTTCAAAGTTTACATTTTCAAAATTTATTTTTCTTTCATATTTATCTCTCATCATAAACTTTGAAAACAGGCATTTTGTTATTCCCATCATTATAAGAAAGAACTGAAGACTCAGACAGATGAATGCCTTCTCTAAGGTCAAAAGGCTAGCAAGTTAGTGAACCAGGATTAGCAGCCGGGCGTCCTCATGCAGTCCACTATATTGTGTCCATTATGATATGCTGCCTTGATGAAAACTGGCAAAAGACTACCTGGAGGTTGCCAATCTGCTCTGTACAAACCCAGAGCCCGACAGTTGACTTACATTTAAATTCCACAGAATTGAATTAAAGGTTGACTTTGAATGCATGGCAGGAAGGTCAACAGTAACATTAACTTTCAAAGACTTCTTAATGCCCCCCAAATTAAGTACAGACTCCCATAGCTTCCATCCAAGGCTATCACAGTGTGACTCCAATAAGAGCTTCCAGCTTTCCCTCATATACTTTTAAGACCTTTTTGCCTACACCAGACCATTTTCCCAAGTCACTCACCATGAATGAAAGCAAAGAGAGGGGAAGGTATAATTTGTTCCACCTGTAATATCTATCCTCTTCTTCCTCTCATCTATTTCTGTCACAATTTAGCCATCTTTTAAGAAGTCTTTTTCAAACCCTTCAAGTCAGCTGTGACTTCCTCCTTTAAAGTGTTTCTTATGACACCAAAAATCTCCTGCCTGGTACTATAGTTCATTGAAAAATTATTAAAAATCTTATTTCCCAAATAGGATATAAACTTTTTTTTCCTAAAAAAAAGTACTGTTCTTCAATTCTGTATTCTTTTTGTAGAGATTCTGCCATATAATGGGGAATCAGTAAATATTTGTGAAATTAAATACAATTGATTCAAAGAGACGAATGCAACCTTCAAATTAGTGATTTCAACATCCCACTGAAGGCAGAAGTAAAAGATATGGGAGACATGGAGCACAGAGTGAAATCAATAAATCAAAGTATTTGAAAGAATGAGAAAAAAGTAGAAGTAAATGGAAAGAGTCAATTGCAACCACAGCAGCTGGCACAATGTATTGTGCATAGTAGCTACACAATAAGTGTCTGATGAATGAATAAATGAACAAAAAGAGGAGAGTAAAAGAGGATAAAGAACTACTGAAGATAACTTTAAAACAGGGGTCATCATTTTAGGCTAACTGGGCAAACTCTAAAGGAAATTAGGTTACTGGTATAAAATATACTCTTCAAGAAATAAGGCGAAATATCCTGCTGCATTACCTTCTCTTCTGTTCTTTTGTTATAAAGTGCTTTCCTCCTTAATTTAATTTGAAGTACAGAACAATTCTATGGGTAGGCAGGCAGAAGAAACATGATTCCACCCATTTTATAGATAAGGAACAGGATCAGGGAGGTTAAGTCTCTAGGTTAAGATCAGAATTGGGACAAAGCGAAAACTTGAAGCAAAGTCTTCTAACTCTCACATTCTAACCTCAACCAATAGGCCAGCATCATCATCACCTCCTGGGGTCTTATTGGAAATGCAGATTCTCAGACTCCACCCCAGATGCCTGAATCTTAATTGAGTATTAACAATATCCCCAGGTTACTCTGCAGGTTCATTACAGGATGAAAGAGGAGCAACTGCTTTCTGGATGATTTGGGGTTTTTAAAAAAGAATTGGTAAAACAAAACAACTTTTAGGTGTGTTGTTAAAAAGTACACCCTGAGTCCTGGAATGCTGGAGTAAAAAGATAATAATTCATTTAAAGGAGGACGAAAAGAGGCAGAAAGAATCACCCTCTCCAATCCTTTATCCCAAAGAAGAGGGAGGAGCACTGTAAAATTCAAGGAGAAACACTTACACTCCTGTGAGCTGTTACTCTTTCAAAGTTTCACTTGAAGAGTTACTCTCACTTAGAGTTACTAAAGTTAACTGCTTAACTGGTATAAAACTAGAGAACCTATCTGCCTTCAAATATATATATCATGATGATATATATTTGACTAGATAGACAGACAGCAATAGAAGATCCATCACATAGAAATGTTATTCTTATATATATACATATTTGACTATATATATTTTATTTATGTTTTTATTTTGCATAAATTTATATATTCAAATACATATATATTCAAATACATTTATATATTCAAATATATAGTAAAATATATTTGTTACTTTTATATATATTTGGCTTACATATAGTTATATATATTCTTATATATAGGATATATATGAATAAATATATTCTATATTTATATATTCATATATCCTATATATGAATATAACTATATATAGTCAAACTATATGTATTTGACTAAATATATTTGACAATATTTGACAGTATATATAGAAAACTGTATATTTCATCATGTATACATATGTATAGCAGTATGTATAGTATATAGCAATAGAAGAACCATCACACCATACATATTGATATATGTGTATATATATATATAAAGTAGTAACACTATCACATAGAATTATTCTTACTTAATACTGAGTATTAATATAACTATTTCTATATTAAATAAGTATAATTAACAAAGCAATAAATAATATCCTATAAAGAATACTCAATATATATTATTAACTGATAATATGATTTATATAAAATATATGATAATGAATATGAATTTAAAAAAACATATTTTAGGTCCATGGATGTGGCCCTCAAAGAAAAAAAGAAATTTAAAGGATTGAGCCTCTTTTTAATGGAAGCAAAATTGAACAGCCTGGTGGAAGTAAATGAAGATGGAGTCAATCATTTGAGAAAAAAAGAATACAAAAGAGGCCACAAAGTAATGTAGCAAGCACAATAGTTGACATCCATCTGTAAAAACAAAGTATTGAGCGATGCTTACTTTAACACATGTTAACATTAGGGGGTCTGCACATACACAGAGACACACCATGGCTAAGTCAAATGGATTTGATACTCAACAAAAATAGGAAGGTTATGACATGCTAATTAAAGGAAATTGCTTTGGGTGATCTTATGTTAGTAAAAACAAACAATAATTTTTGGAAAGCAGGGCAATATAGAGCCTAAACATGGCTTTTTATAAACACATTCACCCCTCATTGCTCAGATAAAAGAATGGACAGGAGTAAGAAGGTCATTTCCCCTTTCAGAAGGGAGGGAGATTGTTTTTATTTTACATTTTTTAAGGTTCAAACACAGCATTTTTAAAAAAGTGGTTCAAAGTTCAGAGCTGAGTTTTAGACTCAATTACTACAGCATTCCAATGTAAAGATCTTCTGTATATATTTTAAAATTTTCCCTTTGCCACCTATTTATTACCATTATTTGTTCCTACCTTAGCAAAAATATAAGCGGAACAGAAGTGAAGAGCAGATGAGTATATATAAGGGGGAAAGATAGAAAGAGAAGATAGTCCAGTGAGAAGAGACATACAAAAGAGAGAATAGTTGAACTAGGCCCAGAAAAATGAATTAAATTTTCTAGATAGAAATTCTTAAAAAAAAAACACTATTTGTTATCAAGAGCAGAGATATGTGAGATATGTTCTTTAAAAATATATAAAATTATTTTATCTAAAATTGAAAGATAATAGTGCTTATAAATTTATCTATCAAATAGCAAAAGTATTTTTATTAAATATCTGACATTCAATAATTCATTTAAAAACCTTTCATATATAAATATTTTACAGTAATACGTTTTCAAATTTGGGAGGTGCTGTTTGAAAGAAGAGTTCCAGGTTTTATGGCACAGAGAAGAAAATTTTCCAGTGATAAAATTGTGTATGAATTTCCAGCGTGGTTGATATAATGAAAAGTAAAGCCTTTTACAACTTTATATTGGCTTCAGAGTTTTCAGAAGTATAATGTTAGTATGTCCAAAAGATTTTTTTCCAAATACAAAGAACATCTTATCCAATGAGTATTCAAATATGTATTTCATACATAAACACACAGGCATACAGTATTATCTAAGCTGAATGTCTGTGAGAATTTTCACTGGGTTTAGAATTGCTTGTATTTATCTTTAATAGTGAAGTATCCTTTGAGAATCTTGACGTTATGTGAAATTCTTCCCTATGTTTACAAACAGGATGGACAGCAAGATTCTGTAACGCAACCTGTACTTACTCCTCACTCAAGACTATATTAAGGATCATATCATTGCCATCTTGGTTGTACTATTCATTAATGTTTTGTGAATATGGAGCTCTCTGTGATGTACCAATACCTATTATGTGATGAGAGTAGAATCCAAAAAGTATATGAGATTCTGGGATTAAACCAGAAGAATTCTGGGAGTTAAATATATATATATATATATATATATATATATACACACACACACACACACACACATATATTTATCACTTTAAATTTGATAGATATATCACTTTAGATCAAATATATATATATTCTGTTATATTCAGAAAATTTTCTCTTGTGATAACACATTTCAGCTGCTTTCTTCTCACATTTGACTGTGGGCTCCACAACGACAGAAACCATGTATTAGTCATGTTTTAGTTTCTGATAAATAACACAAAACTTGGCTCAAAATAGACACTCGGATTAATTAATTTGAGGGCTCTGTAAACTGAAGTGCCTAGTGCTTTGGGTTCCTGGGTTTGGGAAGGTAAATTAGAACCCTCATATAAATCATCTCATATACTGTCACAAAGTAGATTCCAGAGGCCCTTCAAAACATGTCACCATAGAACTCATGGCTTCAAGCAATAAGGCCAAGGAAGAATCCATTCATGATTTTACATCTTTTATTTAGCCAATATCTATACTTATACGCTACCTATATTTACAGATTTTACTTGTTAACCTATTCACAGAAATTTAGTAGGTAAAAGATTAGTTGGGAATTAATTGATTTATCACTTAAAATGTGTTTTTCAAATTCTCTATTCATAGATTTTCCATTTTTGTTTTTCTCCTAAAAATCTCACCCAAGATGTCAGGCAGGTAAACATGTCTGATAAAATGCCGTAAATTACATGATATGCAATAAAGTGTATATCCTGATTAAAGATGCTTCATCTCAGCATTATACGAACTCAAAGTTCGTATGAAGTGGGTCTGAGTTAGAGACACTTTTAAAGGATGTCTGGAGATTTTCAGAGCTTTCATGTTGAGAACTCACTTAAATATGATTAGACAATTACATACCAGTGTATGTAAATGTTTTGATAGAAAAGGGATAAATGAATAAACATAGATGTTTATCCAGGTAATTTAAAGAAATCAGAAACATAAACTCTTTGAAATCCTGATATAACCGCTAAATCTTAAAAGAAAAATTGAGTGTCCAATATTTTTTAATGCTATCCCTTTCTTTTATGTCTAATGTTCACAATTTGCTTTAAATTGTTTTGTATTTTAGACAGTCTGATGAATAGAAAGCCTCTGAACTTACTGACCTTTTAGTGCACAGCTTACCTACAAAAATGGATTCAGAGACAAAATGAGGCAATGCTGTGCTGGTAAATGCTCAACAACCAGTCTCAAAAAAGGAAAAAGAAAAAAAGCCCTGATTTATAGCATTTGCTGATTTCCATGGTGCAAATACTCCTGCCACAACTGATTTCAAGCTAAGAAAATGATGTCACTGAAAATGGAATATAAGAAGAGATAGTTAAAATTGGTTTATTCAATCTGGCTTAAGCCAGCTTGAGCACATCTGTGAAATTAGGTCATATTACATTACTAAGTATTTTCTGAAAAAAGTTGATTAAATAGTTCTGTGAAATGATGTCAACTATACACCCTTCTTAGGTATGCACTATATACATTAGTCTTTTAAATGTCCTAAAATCTATTGTACATAAGAAACCTAATTTCCATTGTTTAACATAGCATCTTTCTCACATTTATTTGACTCTTTGATTTTTTTCCCTCAGAATACCTTCCAACATGTTTCAGAATAATAATGCTTCACAGGACCTTGTTTGGGAAATGTGGCTGTAGGCACACACTTCTAGTCATACTGGACACAAAGTAGTCATTTACTAATAGCAAATTACTGACAAGAAGGATTCATGCATATAGAACGGTCATACGAAAAAGGTTAGAAACGATATATGAATAAATAGAAGGGACTATTTCCTGATTTTCATGAGACTGGATTATTCTGAAAATTGTTTCATTGGTGCAACCATAGTTGTATTCATTTATTAGAGAGGTATTTATTGAGCATATACTATATTCAGAGCACTATCGGGACACTAAGTCACTGAAACATTTCAGACTCTTTTTTCACGTTTAAGGATAAATGCTCCATTAGGCAAGGCCAAGTTTAGTTTTCCTTTTTTAAACAAATTTTGAAGTGAGGAGGGCAAAACTCAATAATTAATCTAAAATGTAATTTAAAGGAATATTTAAATCTAACACATGTTAGGAGTGGAGGTTTTGCAAACTATATGCAGGATGTACATAATACACAGCTATTTGATAACTCAGATATAGAGAATTTTTTAAAGGCAAGAAGCTGTCATTTCCCACTAAATACTCAATATTAAATATTTTTACCTGGTTGTTAAATGTTTAAATAATAGCATTTTATGAACCACCAATTTGACTCTATTAGAATGTTTCTAAGTGTTTAAACATGTCCACACTTAGCAAGTTCATCTAATTTATGGTCACATGTAAATATTCCTAACACTGAACATGTTTTTGAAAAACAAAAAAGCAGGAGTAGGCTAAATGCTAACTGAAAAAATAACAAGAATCCAACTATCTATTTTGCAACAGATTTCAGGTAATAGACACAATTCCGTTTAATCACAACTCACAAATTATCATGCAATGTATAAACCTTCGTGTATTTGTTTTTGTTTTGTTTTGTTTTCCTTTGGAGAACTGACAGGTAGATTTTTCATTGGAGAAATATTTGCCACTTGACCTTTGGGAGAAAGTGTGATCCGTTGTTACATCAAAGAAACTCTGATGTTGAATTGTTTTGGTAGTATGTAAATTATTTAAAGCAAATAGAACATGGCTACTTTAAGATAATACATTCAGTGCTTATACTAGTGTATAGATTATTATACTATAATAGTGACATTCCAATAGCTCACTTTTTTTAGACCTTAAGTTATTCTCACCATGCAAGAATAGAAACTAATGTACCTCAACACATTCAAAGAAACCAAACAATAAGCATATGTTTGCCCATGAACCCAACTCAAATCAAGGCATCTATATGAGAAACATACCAGCAAATATTTCTCTGGTTTCTTAATTGAAAGCGTAAAATTGTTTCTACCATGATCACCAACACTTCATTGCTTTTGCGAAGCTATAAGGATATTTTCCTACAAGGTCAGTATTTGAAATGAATATCTACACACAAAACTATATGGTACCCATTTATATTAAAATACATAAATTCTGAAAAATAAATTTAATGAAAGTTGTTTTCATGCCTTGTCCTTTGAAAGATTCTTTCCTTTTTCACTCCCTAATTTTAACAATATACTTGCAAACAAAAATTGCTCAAAGGATACACTGCATGGAACATCTGTAGTTAATTGTGCATAGTTAGAACATAACCCAATATTAATTCTTCTAATATTGAGTTGTGGTACATTGTCAGAGGAATGTCTTATCCATGTTAATTTTATATATGTGTGCATTTTGTGTGGTTACTATATACTATGGTCTTTCCTTAATAATACAGAATATGTTACATTTCATGCTTGTCAAATTTTTATTCAGATAACATTAGCTGCTAGTGTATCATATTATGAAATTCAACTTTATCTTGCAGAAAAGAAAAAAACATTGATATTAGAATCTATAGACTCATTGATGTATTACACATCGAATAAACTACAAAGGCATGAATTAGAAACAGGACGATTGTCAGAGGCGAATGATTTTGCTGCAGATTTGAATTATCCATAAGCAGATTTCACGAGGCAGAGGCAAGCTCGCGCTATCTTAGAGGAGTAACCACACAACAAGGAAGTTTCTCACCAAACCTTCTACCTCTCCGCATGAGATCTAACAACGGAAATGAACATGAGATCTAAAACACAGAAAATCCTGGGGAGCACATCAAAGAGAATCAGGTCAGAGAGAGAAATTTCACAAGAACACAAATTCTATGTTATGGTCCGCCCAAAAGAGGAAAATATTTTAAAATGATATCCATAATAAAGCTATATTAACAATAAGCTGTATGGTCCTGCCATTGGAGTGGAGGGGTGTCTTGACCCTTGACCTCTGCTCACATAAAAGCCTGAGAAATGAAAATCATGTTTATCATGGTTGTTTGTTTTATACAAATTTACTGTCTTTCTTTAACTGATATAAGAAAAAAAAAAAATCTTTTCTGAAATAGCCCAAGTCTGGTTCTTAACAGTCATGTGACTGTTTTTTCTGCCAGCCATGTGCTCCGTATCATTTTACTCTGAAATAACTATGCGGATTTCAGCTCAACCTGCCTTTGCTTATAATGCATGACATACCCTGTGAGGGAGCCTGAGAACAGACTCCTTTGAAAAGCAAGGTTCTCATAGTTGGCCTGTAACCATGGAAGCAGATGCCGTTTTCTTCTCACCCTGCTTACCTCTTTGCAGCCTCGAGCTGCTCCCTATTGTTAAAAGGGGTACGCCTTGATTTTTCTTCATCATGACCGAACTTGCCTCTTCTTCAAAGGACATGATGCTGCAGGTCATTGGTCTAGACTGTTTGCACGGTCCAGAGAATAGCCTTGATGTAACCCTTGCTCCGTCTGAGCCACACCACCAGCCGTGCATCTGCAGACTGGAGGGGGACATTGGAGATCTGTATTTGAAAAGAAGTCTGTCTGATTTTGCCATTGTGCCTTTTCACTCATCGATCGAATGAATATCGAACCTTCTGTCGTTGCATGTGTGAAATAGATAGCTTAGCAAGCACTTTTGTGCCCAACCTGTGCAGTGGGCCAAAAGGTTTTCCTTTTAGCCTCAAGAATTTTTTCTTCAGACTTTATGAATTTCGTGTTAGCTTAAATTATTTATATGTCTTTATCCAACTGTTACGATGACCGTTTCAGTTACTTCGTCAGCAGTGACTTTCTTTTGGTATTAGAAGGAGCATTTTCTTTTCTGTCAACTATGTTTGTTTTCCTTTTAAGCTTTTTAAGATCTTCTAGATTAATTCATTTGTAACTAGAGATAGTATAACTTTGACTGTAACCTATGAAGCCAAAAAGTTGAGGTGTTCTTTCAAGGAGATAATGAGATGGTGTCTATCATTTAACAGGTTTATTCCAGAAAGGTGAACTTGAACTGCCTCCAGGTAATTTCAGTGATTTGTAAGAGTAAGTAAATCAAATAATCACATTGATTTTAAATTAAACAAAATTGTCTGATAAGCTCTGTTTCAAGGGAAAGTTTTTCTTTGTTTTTGCCCATTAAAAAATTTGCAAAAATGTTATTCTGGAGCATTAAAATAGACTCAAAAGCACATAAATTCATTATGATCTGTGAAAGGCATATAAAATCATGGCGATTTCATATGTTAAATAAATACTATATATTTATGATATATATCTTATGGCATGATTTAATTAGAAAGTACACAATATAAAAAGATTTTCACATTTCATTTTTAGTACAATTACAATTCACAGCTTGTCATCAATAACTAATGTTGACAATAACTAATAGCAACTATAACACCTGCTCATTCTAAAAAGCATTCTTTTACTGTGTTCTTGTAAAATCAGAATGACTTTAAAATGCCTCCTCTACTAATCTGCAGTATATTGCTTAGCAAGTACTGTCTGTATGTGTCATCAGTTTCTGTTTTGTTTTGTTTCATTTTAAGAACCCACTATTTCATACTTCAACGCATACCTATTTTCTCTAATTGCCACAGGCAAAGGGGAGGTCCCTGACAGAATAAAGAAGGTTATTGTGACAGATGAAACATAATTCACAATGAGTACTCTTTTCATCCAGCTCTAAGTAGCAGAGGATTACTTCCAAGCTGAATTTTGTGGCAGAATGTATGAGCTGATTTTATTAACACATAAGGATAGGGCAAAGGCAGAAAAACTATTTCTCCTCAGCTGGATGGTGGTTATTTTGTGTGTGTCTGTTTGGGGGCTTTATTTTGATCCACCTCAAGCAGAAGATATGCTGGCCAGAAGAGACTCTGAAGACATCGAGGGCATAGGCGGGGAGGGTAGAAAATAAGAAATTTAAAGTAATAAAAGTTGTGGGTTTTCTATACTAGATAATGAGAAATGATGAACTAAATATACAGTATTTCTACATTCTTTGGCATGCACATGAAATAAAGTCATACTTTTTTTCAACAAATACAACAGCTGCAAAAGTAGGTAAATTTTATTTCATAAACTTACCTTTCTTTAGATGATTTTCTTTGTTTTTCATATTTTTAGTTTCAAATGCTTTGTGAGATCTCTAGATGCCGTTTAGTTTTATAAGAGGGCTTAATATTAAACTTGGGTTAAATACGTATATGTTTATTTGAATATTTCACTTGCTTTCAATTGTTTGTTTTGCTTTTAATGACAAGGATTTTATTTGATCTTTATAAAATTTGTATATGCAAATACAAAAAATATTTTCCTTTCTATTTCTTATGAGGTCAAATTTTTAAATTAACTAAAAGAGGGGCAAAAACTTGTACTTGATAAATATCTGTGCATAATAAAAAGAAATCCCAGACTATAACATTTATTGCAATTCATTTGTTTTAAATAGATTTTTACTTACATTAACCATTTGGATTTAGTTATTCTTGAAAATTGTTTGTATTTTCTTCCCTAATACTTTATAGAAATTGTAGTTGAAATAGTTTTCTATCTGTGAAAGGGAAAGTGTACAGTTGTTCTGTCTGCTAGTATGCCTACTGTTACAAGACTTACAACAAAATGCTATTTCCCTATGTTCTTGTCCAGAAAGTTTAAAAAAAAAATCTAAATTCTAAATTGAAGTCTTTCTCAATTTATTGGATCCATTTCATATTTCAAATATTGTAATGAATAATTCAAATGCACTTAATTTAATTAGGTATTCCCTGGAAGGAGGAATAAGACTATAATCTACAACTATTTGTTATTTTTTTCTTAAATACAATAATTTGGTTATTTTGATATACCAATTATACAATTTGAATTAGCTGAAATGATTTCATTAAGTTGGTTTTGTAGCTAAAAGCTAAATTAAATACGTCATAATATTTATCTTGAAGTTTACCACTGTTCACAAATACTTATTACTTCATAAAGATTTACTTCTATTGACTGATTTCTTGGTGAATGAATTGTTAATGTTTAAAAAGTAGTAATTTAAAAATAAGAGTGCTTATTCTATAACTTGCAAAAATATAAAAAATAATATAATTATGATTTTCTATTTGTTGATGAAAGCAGAAATCCTCCTCTGTCCTCCCTACACAAAAAAATAACTGAATTAAACATATGCCTTGCAAATATTTTAGAATATTCTTTCGTTATGTTTTTGCTAACACAACTAAAAGATGATATTTTAACAAAATAAGAATTTCAAAGGAAAAATATAAAGATTTATATAGCGATTACTGTCAGATTGTCTGCAGAGATTTCCTATCTATAGTTTTATGTCTTCCTAATAATTACAGAAGAAAGCCAATTTACCTACTTTGGTATTTGGTAAAATTTTTCACTTCTGTTGTTATTTTATGACTATCCTCTTCATGTAATTTATTTGAAATAGCTGTACAACTTATATTTAGAAAGTATAAATGACTGAAGTGATATTTTTAATTAAACATAGGGGAAAGAAGAAAAGTTTCCGAATGATGATGTTGTTATTGAAATTGTTTAAATGTGTGGTTTATAGTATAGATTTTTAAAATAATAGGTTTTGTTTTGTTCATAGTTAAGTGGAGCATACCAAATGGTTTTATCTAAAAGTAAAATTCATTTGCACTCACTGAATATTATAAAATATTATATAAGAAAATAACTGTACGGCTCTGAGGATAAGACTTTGTTTTGCAATTACATGACAGCTTTTTAAAAATAACATCATGCAACCTGAAAATGATGTCATTGTATTGTTTCCATAAAGAATTTACCTGAACACCCAGCATAGTGCTGCAAAAAATAATAGAAATAGAGGCCAGTGTATTTTATTTCGGGTATGATCTTTTCAGAGTCAACCTCTGTTTTATTCAAAATTTATTTCCTGTGTTTCAGGCCCAGAACATTTTTCATATTGCATTCTTCTTCCTCCCTCTCCCTAAAACACATTTTGCTATAAACTTCTGCACCAATCACTAGGAAAGACACAAACAGTAGTAGCGGTTCAGGAAGCAGCCCCGTGAATGTAAAAATCACAGACTTTGATTTTATAAGACAAGTTGGATAGGAGTCAAAACTGCCACATGCGGTGTGAAAAAATGCCACCCTGGTGTGAACAAAAGGTTTAAAATGGAGTCAAGAAGCGTGCAAGCTCGATGTCTAAGCTTTTCCTGTGAATTGTCTGCCACAACCTGCAGGGTATCAAGTGGGCTGGGAAGAATAGAGAGCTCTTGGAAGCTACAACTGAGAAACATCGGCAGTCAAATGTGTTAGTTTTTGTTTTTGTTTTGTTTTTTAATTTATTTTGTTTTGTCTCATTTAGGCATCATTATACTAAACTGTTTTACCCAAAACATAAAACAAATCCAAAAAAAGTCACATAATGTGTGAAGAAACTGTTGCTTACAAATGAATTGTTACTTTTTTTTTTTGCATCCCTTCATTTATAGCAAAGCAAATTTATCAACTGCACTTTATAGTTTAAATTCCTTGTTTTGTGGGCTTGAGTTCTGTTTACAAAATGATGAACAGGAATAGAGGCTCATGAAGTCCTAAAAATTAGAATCTAAAATGTAACTATAACACGCATATTTGGTTAACTTCTAAATTACCAAGAAAAGGTGGAGAAAAAAGACTGAGTTCACTATTGGAAACAAGTATTTCAGTTTTTAATAAATAATGCAATAACTCTGAATTCAGCAGGAATAGACCCTTCAAGAAACACTGCTACAATATCCTGCTATAGTAAGCCAATTACACCTTTCTCTAATATTTTGCAATGTAAAAATTTACTCACAAATAATCAGTCATTAAACCATCATCATTTGCTTAAATAACAATAAAAGACAATTCAATTTTAAGGACAATTAAAAGGTATACCATTGTGTCATAACCCGCACTTCAATAATCTTAATATGTGTATAAAGGCACAACTCTATGAATGCTAATTACATAATAAATTATGAATAACATTTAAAGAAAGTAACATTTCCTAGGTGATTGTGATCTAATCAATACAACACATTTAAATGCCTCAACAAACATCTTTGATGAGCATTGAAAAGATCCTTAAACTTCGAAGCCAGTTTTATTACATTTGCATGTTATCTCTTATTAAAGATTGGGTCTAAAGCCAGCAAATCCCATTGGTTACGAATGCAGGTCAAGACAGGAACATTTTTCTATTTACTCTTTGTAACACTGGATAAAAATCAATCTGCTACTTTCATTACAACCATACAATCAATTCCGTTTAAAGTATAATACAACAGCCAAGTCCAAGGACAATATGGATTCTCGGAAAAAGCTTATACCGTTTGCAGGGCTGTACTTGATACAGCTCCTGGTAAATTGTTTTCTTTTTAATTAGTGTACCTGGTCATTTAAAGCAAATATGCCTAAATGAGTATTGCAATGTAGGATCCAACCAAAAATGGAGAGTACTCTCTTCATTTAAGCTGCATTTTAAAAAATCCTTTTTAAACAATAAAAACCATAGGAGAAAGAATTCTATTTTTAATCTAATATGACATAGCCATTTTGATATTTCAAGCAAAATTAGCACACACCAAAACTTCTACCTTGAAATTAGCATAAGAAATCCTTTATTTAAAATACCAGCTTCCTCTCATCTCTCAGCAAAATGACTTTATTTGGATTACTCTTACTTTACATCAAAATGACCAAGATTACTGCTTCTAGATTTTTTCTTGCACAAAGCATATCCCAGTAAACAAAAGAAATATGCCCACTGTATACTCCATTTACACATAATAGAATCACTATTTTAAATTCTTTTTAAGCACTAAACGTAAGATAATCTTCATATATGTAAATTATTAGAAAGCACAGATAATCCACTGTATACCAACACTAATGGTGGTTCAATGATTTATTTTCCCTTTATTTTATTTTTTCCCAGCTTTATTAAGATAGAATGACAAATTTAAAAATGGTATACATTTATAGTATACAGTCTCATGTTTTGATATATACAAATGCATTGTACAATGATTAAATCACCTCACATACTTATTTTTGTGGTGAGAACTTTTAAGATCTATTCTTGTAAAATTTTTTGAGTACAAAATACAATACGTTATTATTAACTAGTTGCCATGCTGTAAAATAGATCTCCGGAACATATTCATTCTTACGCTTTATATACTTTCACCGTCTCCCATTCCTCCCTCACTTTATTTTAGAAATAAGGATTTTTTCCTTTTTCACATCAGTTTTAAACATTTCAATTTACAGTCTCATGATTTTCTCCAACATGTAATGAATGTCTTCAAGAAAATCACAATTTATAGCTCTCTGAGTTATAATATTGAAATATATTCCTTATTTAAAATGCAGTATGCTCCTTCCATAGATGAGGAATAATTCAAATTTAAATTAAATAATTTGGTGGTTTTATTAAAAAAATCTATGTCATTTAATGCAAATCATATGATCCTGAAATTTTGGAGTTTGGAAAAGTTTTATCCACTTAGAAAAACAATTTCAAATTTTGCTTTAATATTTTATTCTTTCTGCAAAACCTTATAATGTCACATTTCTCTGTCATCTTTTAATAATCTGTTTATTATAATAACTATTATTAGTGAAACTCTCTTTCTAGTGATAAGAAGTAAACTGAACTTTTTTCAAGCGAAGCCTATGGATAATGCCTGAGACGTGAAGGTACTCCCACATCTTCTATGGTGCTCCAGATGTTCTCACCCAGAAACAGGCATCATTTTTGCTACATTTTTTGTGTACATTAGCAATGCCTAATGAATCCAATGTCAAAGCCTCCAGACACATCGTCACTGCCCAGCAGACATCCAGAGGCTGTTCTCCTCCAATCCACCTCAAGAACCCAATTTCTGATGGCCTTGCACAGCCTTCAACACAGCTGCTGTTCAGTTTTGTTTCCTTCTTTTCATTGGCCTCCAAAACTGACGGCATCTGAGTCTATTCTTGCCTCTCTCTGATCTATCAGACTCTAGTCCTTAGACTGAGCAGGCGCCACACTCACAGATGACTTGCAGAAATCATGCTCTAGGCCACAAAACTTCATCAGAGCAAATTCAGAATGCAGAGGTCAGAGATAGACAAGCCAAGCAAGCCTCTGACAGTAACTCAGCTGACACACGGATAGACTAGGACAGAGTGAATGCTAAAGTAAATGTTAGCTTAGGCCATTCATTATACAATCACTTAGAAAGCAAAAAAATTGTTTCAAGTACATGGGCCATAACTTAAATGAGAGATGTACCACTTTCGTGTTTATACACAGGCAAGCAAACAAACAAACAAAAAACACTTATATGCTCATTTTAATATTTTTTTGTAATTTTTTTATGTTAATGTCATGTTTTTATATGTTTCTAAAGCCCAATACCACCGCTGTTAAACTTGCATCCCTGAGATGGCATTTAACATATTCTTTATTTTAAGTTTTGTATCCCACCCCATCAGATATCCTTTTAAATGAAAGATAAACTTCCTGAAAAGTCAGAAATGGGTTAATCCTTCAGAGTCTATCCAAGTTTCTCTGGAATGTCAGGATTTCCTAAAGGAAGATCAGAAATCACTAGCTGTATTTCCTCAGCTTTTTTATTTTTCTCTAACATTTGAAAAAAAGAGGGCTAAATATGATTTACTTTTCTTTTTAAAATTAAATTTGTTCACAGATGCTCAGTTTCATATATCAAATCATAAAACATGATACTTTTCCATGTTGAAGGGATTTTTAAAACAATCTAATTAACATAATTTTGTATTACTTTTCCATTAGCTATACTACATTTTGGTAAAAGTAATGAGCTTGAGTTAATGTTTTTTTTAAAGAAAGTGTTTAAAACTATTTTTAAATGTCAAGACTTTATAAATAATATTTTATGTCACAAAATTATAGCCCCATGCTGAATATGCTTATAATATATCCTAAATAGGCAATGAAAACTTTATATGCTTTCATTGTTGCTTTGGACTAAAAGTAAAACCCCATCTATGAGCCACACTGTTCACTAATCCAAGAAAATACATGTCACTGTGATTTTAGGAAAAAAAATCTATCTTAGTTTATATTGTTCTTTAAAGCAAAGCCTCAAGTTCAAATCTTGAGCCCAGTGCACTGCCTCACACTTCTCAATTTATATTTAATAATGTCAAAATACAATTTAGACATTTGTAGTATTATAGCTTTTGCTATCAAAAGCCAATACACTTCAATTTATACATATAATTGTGAAACTTGTTCTAGAAATGGAAAACTATTGCCCTCTAAGCATATTTTACTTTAAAAAACATTGAATGAAAGTTGGAACATGACAATATTTCTAGAGAGCATTATTTCTTCCAGACAGTCAGATAACAACCATATGTTTATATATATATGGTTTGAAAGATAAATATAATAAGCTATAAAAACTTGCAATAAATTGGCAACTGTTCTTTGGGGGATATGATGTTTTATTAGAGGCCTTGCTCTCAAAAGACATTTCTGAAGTAACTCATAAACTAGTATAGACATTGACAACATTTTACATCAAATAGTCCTTTGGTCTAAAATCCAATCATTCATTCAAGTAACATATTATTGTTATTTTTAGACAGAGTCTCACTCTGTTGCCCAGTGCCAAATCTCAGCTAGCGGCAACCTCCACCTCTCAGGTCCAAGCAATTCTCATGCCTCAGTCTCCCGAGTAGCTGGGATTACAGGTGCCCACCACCGCACCAGGTTAATTTTTGTACATTTGTAGAGACAGGGTTTCGCCATGTTGGCCAGGCTGGTCTCGAACTCCCGGCCTCGAGTGATCCACCCACCTTGGCCTTCCAAAGTTCTGGGATTACAGGCAGGAACCTCTGCTCCCGGCCGAACTAACATTTTTTAATTGCCTTTATGCTATCCTGGGTTTGAAGGAAATTTGTTCATTCAACATATATTTTCTATATATCTATTTAGCAATGTTCAAGCTTCTAAAAACGCAATATGGATTATTTTAAATGATCAGAGGATTATATGCTATGATAGAGAATAATGAGAATGAAGAAGAGAAAGAGTTCTTGCATAGACAGAATGGTCAGGAAAGGCCAGGAGAAAAGGTCTTCAGAAGGCAACAGAAGGCAATGCGTGAAATGAGTTTTTAAAATGAGAATGACCCCGTTATGGGAATCAGAACACACCAGGTTTCTGCACTAGATGGAACAGCTTGTGTGAGGGACCAAAGGCAGAAAGGCACTCAGCATATTAGGAGAGGCTAGGATCTTATTCCCAAGGCATTAGACACCCGAGGTACCACCATCTCTCAGAAATGAGATGTGGGATATAACATTTTTTAAAATCTCCTTAGATTTGAGGACCATCAATTGCAACCCAATATATTAGGCAATAATTATTAACAATATCATAAACAATCCTTGTGGCATTACTTGGTGAATAATCTGGTCTTCTCATTTTGCTTAACTGAAAAATTTGCATACTTCGGACACTGGTTTATGATTTTTTTCTCAAGAGCAAATGAAACCATTTCCTTCCTATAGGTTAATGCTAACAGGTCAATTTGGCTATTGGTTGAGGTATGTGATTCTGGTAGCAAATATATACCTAACATTCTCAGTCAAGAACAGGTGTGTCCTCTGAGTTTACCTACTTATACGGCAAAATAATTCACCAATGATATTATTTCCTTTAATTCTATGTTTTGTCTAAGTATTCAACCACAAAATTTAAGGGCATCATATTATACATGAAAAGGATTGACTCAAGTAGTTTCAGTATACTAGCAACTAAACGAATTGAGTAGCATACATGTATGCTGCTTCTTTATGTTACGATTAGACATGATACTATTTTCTACTTAACAACCAAGAATATTCAATTATAATATAATTTATGTTTTTAAGAAAAATTTTTAAGTTAACTGTTTAGATCTCTTTTGGGAAGATAAAATGTATTCATTAAATGCTCTAAAGATTGGATAGGCAGTTCAGATCATTCTGAATAGGCTGTGGCCCAAGCAGGATAAGAAATTAATAACACAACTATTAAGACAAATTACAAGGTGTTTCTGCTAAATAAGATACTTAATAACAAGTTTCACTACATTTTTCCAGCCACTTAAAAACAAATTGTTGCAGCACTGTAAATTCTGGCTATTAGAACACAAGATTAAAAGCAACATGTTTCAAACTTACCATGGATATACAATAGTTGACATTTTTAACGGTGGCTTCCCTTTACTGAACTTCTCCCGAAACAAGTATCTTGCTCCTTTACAAAGTCTAATTTACAGATGTACCCCTTCTTGGAAATTTATGTTTAATCATGTAGAAGATGAAAATAAAGCTACAAAGAATGCTTAATACACTTAAGGGTAGAATTTTGTACTTAATATTGATGGCCCACTTTTCTTTTCTTTTTTTTTTTTTTTTTTGAGACAGAGTCTTGCTCTGTCGTCCAGGCTGGAGTGCCGTGGTGCAATCTCAGCTCACTGCAACCTCTGCCTCCTGGATTCAAGCAATTCTCCTGCCTCAGCCTCCTGAGTAGCTAGGATTACAGGCGCATGCCACCCCGCCCGGCTAATTTTTGTATTTTTAGTAGAGACAGGGTTTCAGCATGTTGGCCAGGCAGGTCTCAAACTCCTGACCTCGTGATCCACCCGCCTCAGCCTCCCAAAGTGCTGGGATTACAGGCGTGAGTTACCACGCCCGGCTAATTTTTGTATTTTTAGTAGAGACAGGGTTTCAGCATGTTGGCCAGGTGGGTCTCAAACTCGTGACCTCGTGATCTACCTGCCTCGGCCTCCCAAAGTGCTGGGATTACGGGCGTGAGTCACCGCGCCCCGCGATGGTCCACTTTTCTAAGTGCATTAGATACTTTGGCTTTAATTTAAAAGTTTTTTGACATGGGTCATCTGTACCAATAATTACATACTGAAATGCTCTTTTGGTGTTCAATTTGATAAGTCTAATTTAAAATCAGAGTTAAAGTTGTCACTTTATATAAGATTTTATTTATTTTGGGTATATATCAGTGCATTACATTAAAAGTGTTTAATTGGAGTACCATTATATAGGAGGTATTAAGTGGCAAAGTAGGAATTTCAAAGTAGGTGGCTGTGAACACATTGAAACTATATAAGGCCTGAAATGAAGAGACGTGAGAGGGTTTTCTGAGGAAGATTTCTTTGGGGAGCATTGGGCCTGCCTTTCCACTCAATTTTAATGAAAGAGATTTCAGTAGGACCACTTGGGGAGCTGAAGTTTGAAGACAGAGTGGAATTGACTTTGAATCCTGTTGGACAATGTAAATGTCACACTTGGATTAGCTAACTGCTTCAGCCTTCGATTCAAGAAGAGCTTCCTACAATGTTGATAATCTGCTTAAATTCCCAGAATTCGTCAGTGCAAAAATAGATGAATATAGCCTGTGAGCCATATTTGTGTTCCCAAGCATGAAAAGAAGCTCTCTAACAGAACACCTGGAAGGATACTGGACATCATAAGGGAGAAAGTTGTGTGGAATAGATCCCTAAAAAGGTGAGCTGAGGATGACACACAATGAGAGGAAACTCTATTACCCAACACATAGGAAGTACAGTCGAATGTTCCCAGTGGGTTCCTCTGATACGCACCCAAAAGCACCCAAAGGGCATAAACTACCCTCCCTGGATAGTGGAAAGTGCAGTAAAGACAGTAACAGTAAAATGGGGGTTCCTGGATATCCACACTTCACCCCTCTGCAACTTTGATCACTGTGCAGTAGAAACTGTCCTTAAGAAGATGCTGAAGGAGGAATGCAAGCCGAAGGTGGGGAAGAACAGAAGGTTCTCCCCTCAGCTTCTGAGGCCGGGAATATCTTGCCTGCAGCAGATCCCATCTAGGCAAAAGGAGTGATGAGTTGAGAGGTATATTAGTCTGCTCTCACACTGCCAATAAAGATATACCCAAGAATGGGTAATTTATAAAGGAAAGAGGTTTAATTGACTCACAGTTCTGCAGGGCTGGGAAGTCTCAGAAAACTTACAATCGTGGCGGAAGGGGAAGCAAACACGTTCTTCTTCACATGGCTCAGGAGAGAGAAGAATGAGAGCCCCGCCAAAGGGGAAGCCCCTTATAAAACCATCAGATCCCGTGAAAACCAACTCACTATTAGGAGAACAGGATGGGGGGAACTGGCCCCATGATTCAATTATCTTCACCTGGTCCCCTCCACAACACGTGGGGATCATGGAAACTACAATTCAAGGTGCGAGTTGGGTGGGGACACAGACAAACCGTATCAAGAGGGATGACCAACAGCCAGTTAATACAGGACATTTGCACCTCTTTTAAAAGTTCAATTTGTGTGCAATGAAAAGACTTCGGAAGGTTTTAAGAAAAGAATGACATTATCAGATCTATGAGTTAAAAATATCAATCTGATTGCCCTATGGGAAAGAGGATAGAGAAAGAGAAGGATTAAAAACTGAAGAAGAACATTTGGGGTGTTATTGCAATAGTTCTGCTGTGAGAGAAGAGTGTCGCATTCTAGGGTGGTAGCAATGGAGATAAACAGAATGGGATGGTTTAAAAATATATTTGTGAGGTAAAAGTAACAGCACTTGTTGATCAATGAGATTGGGGTAATTACAGAAAGAGAGGTCAAGTATGACATCTGGGTTTCTGGCCTGAGCAATTGGGTGGATGAGGGAATTTAACAAGGGTGGATAGTAAAATAAGGCTGGAAATCCAACAAGAGTGGGTTGATGCCAGGCCGGAAACTCAGCATCTCCAGAATTTTCTATTCGAGGAACGTACGAGTCCTCCCCAAACCTAAATTTCCTTTCCTATTCCTTGCAGAATTGTTGGCCACTCTTTCCAGCCTCCAGGGACATGACTATTTCCCTTAATAATGTCAAAGAATTTGCATCAATTCCTAATTGCCAATGATCTGTTTTTACTATCTTCATTACCATTTTCTTGATAGTATCCCCAGCCTCTACTACACTTGCTGTTCTACATCCAGCAATACATTTTCTCAGATTTTTTAGCTTTCTTTTTGTTTGTTTTGCAATCTATTACTTAAAACATTTACATCAGCTATAATGGTCAAAGTTGTTGGAATTTAAAATAAATAGCACAAAAGGAGACTGTTACAGAGTGCTAAGATCATTTGAGGTAGGTTGTGTTAATAGTAATTAGCTAACAATTTAGAGTACAATCCGTCATGTTAGTTCTCATTGTCTGAAAGTTTAAAATAGCATTCCAAGCCCATAAATAGTAGACTATATTATTTTTCTCTGTATTTATGTTTTTTGTTTGTTTGTTTGTTTGAGATGGTGTTTTGCTCTTGTTGCCCAGGCTGGAGTGCAATGGTGCTATCTCAGCTCACTGCAACCTCTGCCTCCCGGGTTCAAGCGATTCTCCTGCCTCAGCCTCCCAAATAGCTGGGATCACAGGCAAGCACCACCACACCAGCTAGTTTTGTATTTTTATATATGTTTCATTTTTATAAAAGTGATTGAGAAACAGGATTAAAGTCAATTAGCAGAACCAACATTAATTTCTTAGTTTTGTTCACTGGATTGCAGTTACATCATATGTTAACATTAGGAAAGCAAGGTGAAGTGTATATAAAAACTGTGTACACTATCTTGTAACTTTTCTGTAAGCCTAAAATTATCTCAAAATAAAAAATTTTGGCCGGGCGCGGTGGCTCACGCCTGTAATCCCAGCACTTTGGGAGGCCGAGGCGGGCGGATCACGAGGTCAGGAGATCGAGACCATCCTGGCTAACACGGTGAAACCCCGTCTCTACTAAAAATACAAAAAAAATTAGCCGGGCGTGGTGGCGGGCGCCTGTAGTCCCAGCTACTCGGGAGGCTGAGGCAGGAGAATGGCGTGAACCCGGGAGGCGGAGCTTGCAGTGAGCCGAGATCGCGCCACTGCACTCCAGCCTGGGCGACAGAGCGAGACTCCGTCTCAAAAAAAAAAAAAAAAAAAAAAAAATTTTAAAAATCAGCAATGTGAGGTCATTTAAAAGGGGTATATGTATACAAAATCTCTGAAAGAGAAAGATATTCAAATACCAGCATTAAGGGCTGTTATTCAGTGTTATGTCTTTATTCTTGATTAAATACATGAGTTCATTTACATTTGCAAATCAAATCTGATTGCATTACATAAGATAAGACAGGAATATATACACAAATATATGACTACATAAGATGACTTGGAGCTTAATGAATAAACAAGAGTTAATGTTACTTAAATAATTATAAAAGAGCTAAGAATCTACCATGAATCTCAGTCAAAATTTGCTTACATTATGGGCCAGTTTACACTTTTCGTTAAGAAAAAATATTTAATAAATTTCCAGAGTTCTAGGAAAACCTCTTAGCTTTACCTAATCTGTTAACTCGACACCATTTTTCCATTTACTCAGGCACAAAATGTCAGTTGTCTTTAACCCTTCTGCTTCCTTTTTTGTTGTTGTTTCACCCAAACACTTCCTAAGTCATGCCAAAACTTCATCTTCATTATATTCACTTTTGTCTCACATTAAGTCCTTATTGCTTCTCTTACATATTACATAAGAACATCCTCTTACATATCATTCTCACACTCCTTGACTCAAATGATACCTTCTACATACATATGGCAATTCATTCTTCATAGATTATAGGCTTGATTATGGTCAAAAGACTTCAAAAGAAATATATTATCTGGAAAACAATAGGAAAATAGAAAAACAACACACTCCCCTAGAACCTAGTCTACAGGTGAACACTTTCGTATCTTTCCAATCTCAACTCACACCCCATCTTTCCATGTATACACCCTGCACTCCTGCCAAAGTGGATTGTCTACTTTCCCTAAAAAGGCCCTACACTCTTCCATTTTTACTTTTATTCATGTTGTTTTCCTCCAGCTGAAAATATTAGTGCTCTCATTCATTCAAAGGACCAGCTTTAATACAGAAACCCAGGATCTGCTTACCAAGCTAGTTAAGATGACAGAGTGGTCCTGCCCTTTACAGGCTTCCAATGCAATAGTCCACTTTTCCCATGCAACTTTTCTGATCCACCTGCCGATATGTAGGTTTTTCCTCCTTGGACCTGCTTTCTTTGTTGTCATGGCTTCTGTATTTCTGTGTTCTGTTTTACAGTGACTCATACACTGATATGGTGCTCCTAAGTGTTGCTTCCATAAGGTCCAAAACTGCTTGCATACATTTTTCTACAACTCGAAATGTCCAACAGAGGAGAGGATACTCAGTAAAATCATTAGAATTAAGTTTAAAACCAAAGGTATTCTCTAAAAAGCAGGGATTACTCAGTTCCTGATGAACTCCTCCCTTTCCTACCCTAAGCTTACTACAACTTTGTCAAATTAGTTTTTAGGCTTAAAATATTGACAAGCATGCTACTTGGACAATAGTGCTTTTTTAGAGTTTGGGTCAATAATAATCAGTGATCCACATTTAAATGTGACATGCTTGTAATTGCTTTTTCTGTCAGAGAAACTACATGTCTCTTTTATTCTACATGCTGTTCAAAATTTCCGATGGAAGAAAGGCATAGCTGAGGTTTGTCTATCTTCAGTTCACTCTATTTGGAATCTTATTCTGTCTTTGTATTCATTATCTAACATTTACAGGATGTTGCATATGGTTGTTTGGACTGAGCCCTGTGAAAGGGAGATTGGCCAGGGTGGTGAGTGAGATTGAAATATAGCCCAGGCTCTTCTCACTAAGCCCTAAGCATGAGTCCAATTACACCGGCAAGGGCACACGTGTCATGTGCACAGAGGAAAGGGCACCTTTGGTAATTTACACGAAGTACAGGTGGGGATTCACATAGTCAATGAATGTTAATATATTGCACAGAAACATTTCGATACTAAAATCCTTGGGCTTTTTAAAGTCCTATTTTATTAATAGGAGTGCAATTTTCACATAAGTGTATTTCAACATAGAAACAGTGAAGAATTCCATGAATTAAACATACAGGTTCTCCCAAGAAATAATAAAAAGATATATTGGGTCATTGGCTTGATTTCTTTTCCAATGTAAGATTGTTCCCTCTTGCATATTTTCATCGTTTTGTCCCATATGAGTTTAAACGATTTAAGCTATGGTTCTTACTCCATTTCCCAAGGGTGCATATTCAAGAGTCTGATAGAAGTCACTGATAATGAGTTGAAGAGTTGGGGGGTGGGTGTTTATATTTTATGTTTCTTTGGTGAAGTATCCTGGCTACAATTCGGGGCACTGAGTTATTACTCTTTTTGTGTGTGTGTGATGGAGTCTCGATCTGTCACCTAAGCTGAAGTGCAGTGGCGCGATCTTGACTCACTGCAACCTCCACTTCCCAGGTTCAAGAGATTCTCATGTCTCAGCCTCCTGGGGTTATTACACTTATATTCACTATTGTATTATTATTCTATCAGTAAACATCTCCTATTGGCCAACTATTGTGTTGATAATGTTTATTATCTCTAATTCCCTCTGCAAACCAGCCTTATAGGTAATTTCCATTTTTTATAGGATAAAACTGGGGTGTTTAGTGATTTCTCCAAGTCCAGAAGGAAAGCATGTGTCTAAAATGAGATTATAATCCAGGTCCTCCTGGCTACAAAATAACTTTTCACTCCTTCAGATAAAGTCTTGCAAACTATGTCCCACTTTCCTTAATAAATTCATTCAACAAATACTTATCAAATACTTCTTTTGTGCCCTGAATTCTTCTAGATCCTGGGGTTAAGTAAAAGAGACAATGCCTTTGCTATTATTGGACTTATGTTAGGAAAAGGACAACAAACAAATACAGAAATATATAATGTGAGTCCAGGTATTGACAAGTACCATGATGCTAAACAAATGAGGATAATGAGATGAGAGTAATGAGTTGGAAGTAATGGTTGGGAGGCTGGATAACGTCTTTCTGAGGAAGAGATGCTTTAGTGGTAGCCTGAATGTAACAAAGAGAAACCCATATGAAGGCTGAGTGTCCCAGGCAGATAGAGTAAGTGTAAAGTCTCTGAGGTTAGAAGGATTAAGGCACGTTAGAGGAACATCTTCAAGGCCAGTGTCTTTAGGACATGATATGCAAGGGAGAGTGGTAGGAAATGAAGCCAGACACATACGCAGCAGCTTCAAAATGTAGGCTCAAGCAGTCGAGGGTAAGCAGTTAAAATTTCTTCTAATGAGAGACTATAGAAAAGCTTTATCTAATTTACAGTTTTGAAAAATCACCTTAACTGGTGTGAGCAAAATTAACTCTAGGGGGAGAAGAATGAAAACAGAAATATCAGTTAGAGGGCTATTGTAGCAGATGACAGTGGCTTCAGAAAAAGCGGTAGTTCTGGGGGTATGGGGAATTGACTGTACTGGAACAGAGTTGAAAGTAAAGTTGGCAAGACTTGAGGATAGAAAGAATGTGAGTGTCAGAAAAAAAGAGAAATCTATCACACCTTGCCTTTACACTGGAGTTACTGGGTGGGTGAATGTTGGTACCATTTACTGAGACAGGAAATTGGAAAGGAGCAGGATTTCAGGAGTAGATGAGTGGGAAAATATGAGGCCTGTTTCACACATGTCATTACTTCTTATGACAATTTATACATCTCTCTCCCATTTTGAATGTATAATGTTTTAGTCTACATCAAAAAAGATCTAAAGGGTGTTGGCAGATAGGTACCTCCCAAGAATGTATACAAGATGTGAAAATAATGTTTCCCTACATACTTTCACTCACCCACCTGCCCAAAATACAAAAGTGCCCCTATTGTTTTGTATTATAGCTACATATTTATTCATTGAGACATGTAATTTCATTTGGATCATGAAACCACTGATTAAAGTCAACCAGAGAACATGCAATGAATGTTAGTCCTTTTTTTTTTGCTCTAGATAACCCCTGTGATGTCCTGAGGCAATCTTCTGTGGGTCCATTTTCTCCATCCATGAGTACGTCTCCACGGTCCTGAGATTGGGAGCAGAGATACAAAGTTCTCTGGGATGTTTTTTTCTCTGTTGGTTTGTCTGTCTCTAACTTTCTTTTAGAACAATTCTCAAATCACATTTCCTCCAAATATCTTTCTCTCATTGCTCTGGGCTACGTAGAAAAAAAAATGCCCAATTCTATTTTGAAGTTCTGAAGAGGATTGATTTGTATCACTTTTTTAGCATTCAGAACTGACTTAAAATTCTTAGTCTTCCCTCCATTTCAAGATGCTTTCTACCTAGCTGTATTGCAAACTGCTTAAGGTAAAAAGTGGTCTTTTGTACACTCACGTCACTCTCTACTGAGCATAGTGCTCACCTAAGACAACTTTGATTAGTTTTTGCTGATAAAAGAAAATCAGAAAACCTATCTTCCAAAATATAGAAAGTTTGCAAAATCGTAGAGTTGTTTGGGGACTTTTTCTTATATTTGTGAAGTCTGGAAGCAAAATTACAGGTACTCTAATCCCACAGTTTTTTTTTACTTGCATTTGAAACTTTGCTAGATAAACTGTTACTTGCTAAAATAAAACCAGACAGATCGATAAACAAAGAGGACAAGAACAGACATCTATGCTGATAAGCGGCATGCTTTCTTTTGCTAACTAGCTTGTTCTTTTGTGATGATATTTTGCTTAGTTACCTTTATCTGTTTTGAACGATACCAAGCATTCCGTTGACTTATTTTACTCATAAGCAATGATAATTCGCATGAGGATAAAAAAGGGACAAGACGGCAGAGTCCATTTGAAAGGAGTTTCCCGCCAACCATGTTGGAGACTCCTGATTCCTCCTCACTTGACTGGAAATTCAGGTGATAGTTATCTGGTGATAATCATTAGGATTAATGTATACAATTTATTTTGATTTTATAATCTGTAATGGTCATATAAGCACTAATATGATTTCCTGAATTCACTATTCTACTGGAAAGAAAATGTTTTGATCAGCTAACAAATATATACATCCTTCATTTATCCATGGTTGTTTTCTTTTTTCTATTGTTGATTTTCCTGTAAACTTGATTATGTGAGAGTTAATCCTCAAGGACTTTTATCACCCTTGAGTACAATGACCAAATAAGCTTCCTGACCAAATTCAACAGTCGTGGAACACTTGGACCCAGCTGAGGATTTTTATGGCTTAGCTCAAAACAGTGAGCTTTACAATATAACATGACAGGAAACAAGCAAAGAAGTGCATGTCTATATTTTCCAGACATCTTTAGTTATGGGTAAACACTCCAAAATTATTGTTCCCAAGTGACAGGTGAAAGTAGCATGGCTGTGTTGCTTTACCCCTATTCTCAATGGCCCACTTGCCCAGATTATTCCAATGCCCTGTCCCACGCTCGTAATTCAATCTGGGACAAAGCAATCTTTTAGAAAACTTGCTGTGCTTGGGGGCCAGAGACAAATTTGGGTCCATATTTAATATAATGGCACGGGCGCGGTGGCTCTACGCCTGTTATCCCACGCACTTTGGGAGGCCGAGGCGGGTGGATCATGAGGTCAGGAGATCGAGACCATCCTGGCTAACAAGGTGAAACCCCGTCTCTACTAAAAATACAAAAAATTAGCCGGGCGCGGTGGCGGGCGCCTGTAGTCCCAGCTACTCGGGAGGCTGAGGCAGGAGAATGGCGTGAACCCGGGAGGCGGAGCTTGCAGTGAGCCGAGATTGCGCCACTGCAGTCCGCAGTCCGGCCTGGGCGACAGAGCGAGACTCCGTCTCAAAAAAAAAAAAATATTCAACTAAGTAATTCAAGTGATAGCCAAAAGGCTGACATTATACTCATTAATGACTGAAAACAAAACACAACAAAACAAAAAGCCCATAAGAGATTAATCAGATTTTGATGAGAGGAAAGATAAAATGCTACGGTGGGAATATAGTGAGAAGGTTGATCAACATGAAGAATTTCTAGGTTTCATCTGGACTACCTTTTTCAATGTGTGATTTGAGGGTATATCTTCTATTCTTAGCAGAGTATTGTTTAAACTTTCACCACCAAAATAGCTTGTCAAATTTATGTAGCAGACACCCAGTTATTCTCAAAAAGGATCTTACTCAGAAAACAAGCTTGGAGGTACCTTCTTCTAATATAAAAATTATGAGAATATTAATGCTAATACTAATTTCTAGAAATGATCTGAGGAGAAACAGAAAAACAGGACCCCAAATTCTTCCTCTGGAGTAACAGATCTCTATAAAGAGAAAATTATCAACATATAGTTATAAAACATTCAAATTCCTTCTCATGCTCAGAACGCATAATTAGCATCTGCATTTGGGAAGATGAAATTTAACTCATCATATGTTAAAAACATCTTCAGATATGGCATAAAGTTTTCTGACTATTTTAACAAGCATACGTTAGCCTCCTCCAGGGTGCCAGGCACTGTGGGCAGAAAGATAAATAAGACAAGGAACTCTGCCCAGCAAACTCTAAGACCAGATGATAGGGTTGACCCTCAGTAAGACACCTAGAGGCCTCCACAGGGCAAAGACCTTTCCTAGACTTCCTCTTAGATTTGAGCTCCCATAGGTTTTCTGAGCCTTGGGACCTTCATCTGTGAAAGCACAGAGATGAAGTCTGTGACCACTAAGATTCCCGCCATATCCAAAACTCCAATGTTAGGATTCTAAAGAGTTTCCAATACAATTAGAGAGGAAGAGATGAGTAAAGTGTGAAAAGCAAGAGAGATAGAGATTGAGAGAAAATGAGCTAATAGAGAGAACAGATTTCATTGAATCAGAGTCTCATTTGGAGAATATCAACTTGAAGTTGTCTTAGGTTGTAACTGTAACAAAAAAGGTATTAAAAAATACTTTGACGTTTCAAAAGAACAATCTATTTGAGATAAATGGTAGTGGACTACTGAGGGAGTATTTCAAACCATGCTGCTATAGCCAGAAAGCCATGCAGGAAAGATATTAAGACAAAGACAGAGAAACCAATGGAGGTAGATACCAGTCAGAATCTTGCAAACACAAAGATAGGCGCAGAGTGATTATGAAACTTAACATCATCTTGTTGATGATTTTGATTGTTGATAAATTTGAAATTGTTCATACCTTGCCTGCAATAGAATGCCTAGAACATCTTGTTAGTTCAATAATGTAAAGTGGAGGTTTAAACGTTGAAGAGAAGGAACTGCCAGGGTCTAAGGGATGGCATCTTCCTTTAAATCCTCTTTGATGAACAGAAAATAAAAATGGCGAATATAGGAACCTTCTGTTTCTCCAGCGCACTAAGTATGGTCAGCATGATTACTTCAACCTTCATTTATCATCTCCAATTGCCTTTTACTTTACAAAGCTTACATTCTAATTGGAAAGAAAGCCTATAAAGAAATAGAACGCAAACAACAACAAAGTTTTTAATATTAACTACAGGCAGCAAAGAATTTTTAAAAAGAAAAACATATATCATTGACAACTGGTGCTTAACTATCTTGTAAATTGCCACGAAAAGAGTTCTTTAAGAGTTTAAGGGGAGGCAATATTGTCACCATGATTTGGTTATGTATTCTCCTGGAATTGAACACTGAAACTTAGTGTATTAGGTATGACCCCAAACTAGAGCCTCTGTTTCTATAAATTCTGTAAATCATAGTTACTTGTGATTTTTTTAAGTCTACCTTATGAAATATTTAAAATTCCATCAGTTAGCTGTGGAATGTAGTACAACTTGGAAAGTTGCTTTTCAGTAGCACCTTCTTGGATCCAAGAGAGTGAAGAAGCACCCCACACCCAGATTTAGACCTGAACTATCTCAAAGGATAAGAGAATGACCAAACATACCACTGCAATTCCTACCCTATCTGGGAAAAGTTATAACATTATCCTAGCACATCAAGGAGAACTATTCATACCCTTTGTGAAATGAATAAAATGGTTTGCATTAATTCCCAACACAAGCACACAAATATGTTCATTATGCAGTAATGCTTACTGAGTGTACAATGATTATGTGAGTGTAGAAATTTGTTCTCATTACATCTTCAACCAAAGTGTTGGTAGTGTTTTCATAAAGCATGCATTAAGCAGTCTTAGCACACACCAAGTATATATTGAAAAAAGTCATGTGCAATATTTAGGATACATCCTTTTTTTTCCCAGACATGCTCTAATTATGTCTTATGTTTGGATCATGTAGAAAAACTTTTTACTTACTACCTACGTCTTATGGATGTATTTTCCTTAAATAGATATCAATTATACTTTGATGTATATCTGGTAAGCCTTGTCTCATGAAGATGATTTTTTTAAACATCCAATTTAAAAATTTACAACCTCAGAAGGAAACAGTAAAAATAAAGATAGCCAGGTCCCACCTCACATATATATGTATAGTTTTTAACAATACCTACAAGACATATACCAGCAGCATAAGATTTTGTGTTTTTCTACACTATTGAGTGGGTTACAATGTGGGTTATCAGTTAAATTCCCACCTAAATCATTTCCAAGTGCCCTATAATTTTTGTAAAATTAGTAAACAACTGCTTTAACCAGCAGCTTCTCTTTAATTTTAGGATGAAAGCATGATAGTTTAAAATCACTGATAAATTTGGATTAAGACAAAACACACGGAGTGCCTTCCATAAACAAAATTTTAGGATAACTTTTTAATGACAATTAGTTTTTTTAATAAAATCACTAAAAAAAATCACACAGATTGGTAAATTAGCTTCTGTGAATTAGGATCTGGAATATTTTTGACTCACAGTGGTAGGACCCAAGTGTATTATTTTTCTTTGCTTACATTCCTTTCCCAAATGACTGAGCAAGCTTATTATAGGACCAAATTACTCAGTGTCAAAACCATAAAGGGGGATTCAGAATAAAACTAAACGTGTTGGATGTCTCCCGTGGGCCAAGTACACAGGATAAGCATGGAGCAATCATTTTCATATTCTGAGTCTCCTAATTCTCAAAGCAATGCTATTTATTTTTCAGATAATGAAATTAAGGTTAAACTACAGGCTGTATGCATGTTTCCCAAGGTCATATACTGAGTATATAGGGGAGCCTGGACATTAACATATTGATCTAATGTTAAAACTCCTGCTTATATTTTTATTCCATACTCCCTTTTAGTATGGATTAATTATCAGAAGCCATAACCTCGATTAGAAAATTCTGAATGCTCAATTTGAATCTGGCATTGTTTTGAGAAGGGCAAGGGAGTTTGTTGAACATATCCTGCTTTTATTATATGTGCTTGCAGTAGCGATTTTAATGTCTTTTTAAAAAAAACTTTGCATACATGAACTGTTACTTTTAGAGCCTCTCACATCCATGAATTCCTACAACCCTCATTATAACACTGGTAGCAAACAAAGGTAGTGATATAGCTAAGGGAAAATACATCATCAAGGGTAAGGATCAGAATTCACACAGTCCTAAATTCTGAAATTTACTCACAATAGTACACTTCTTGATAACATAGGCAACAATTAGAATGAATTGTTTATAAACTAAAAAAAAAAATACCTACTATTTTCATTTTATCAGCCTGAAAGTCTATTTGCAGAAAGGTCAACTTAGAATCACAGTCTCATAAAAAAAAAATGAGAAAATAATTTCTCATTTGCAAACTTCAAAAATGGCATGAGTTGGACTCAAGTATTTTTCTATGTGGCTCATTTTTAATTATCTTGAGCTGGTAGAAGAGTGATGTTAGCTCACAGGTCTTTGAAAATAAATCAACAATAATTAACCCCAACTTAAATTCTAGTAACCCATCTCATACATCAACAGAAGTACTCTGTGTATGTGAAAATATAAACATGGCATGTTTGACATTTTGGAGCATCCTTAGAGAGACACTGATTTGTAATTCAGATCACATAGCATATTTGATTTCTCTCACTTGCCCGTGCCCTTTCCCCATCCCTTCCCCCAAAATAAAACACAAAAGCTGTATCTGCAAGGGATGGAGAGCAACCCAGGAATCTGGGCAGAGACTATCCATCACATTTCTGTCTTAATTGAATGACACCAGAATGAGATCGATAAAATGTAACAAGAGACAGCTTTGCATTTCCACACCCACTTATTCCCCCTCCATTACTCTCAGCCACCACCGTGACCAGAAAGCTCAAGTAAAAAACACGAACCCTGCTGCCAGACAAGCTGTTAGGATATGAATAAACTTGTCACAGAAACAACAAGACTTATAAACATTAGAAGGGAGCTAGGGAGACAAAAAGTTATTAAAGGAATATTGAACAAGCTTCTTAATAAAAGCCATTTCATAGATGTATTCTCACTCCTAAATAACTTCCTCAAATGCAATGTTTCAGTTAAATAATCTCAACAGCTTTCCCTAGGTGCCCAAGATTACTTGAGACTGACTGCATCAATGGCTGGCTCAAACACAGATGAGGTGACAACTCAGCTCAGACCTGCAAGTCCTACGATAAACGTGGGGCAGCTGTGATATGTGTATGTCAAAGGTTCCCAAGATCTCCAATGCATTATTGATAACCTCATCACTCCGCTAAAAGCAAAAGCTGACATTGTTATAATCTCAACCTTCTCCTGAAGAGCTCTGGCTTTGCCCGGGTATTGATCACAGGAAGAAGTAAACCAAAGAGTAAAACATAACATGTAAAAATCCAGAAGGTTAAGGTTTGCTTGCACTCGCTATGAGTGCGTTAACCACAATCACATGGCCTGTTTTAGTGTGTTATACCTTTGATGGTTTACAATGCGGTCCTACTTCTAGGCTATATGTTGTAATAATTCATTTAATACTCCACATCTTGAGCTTGTTACAAGTTATCCGGGAACAAAAGTCCGTATTACAAAATAAAAATAAACCTTCCATGTAGTTGTCTAAAAGGCAGATTTTTTTCTTCATTCCAGTAAATTTTTTCTATATCATTTTGAAATTTAATTACATATAGGTGACTGTTCTTTCTTAATCTATCTTCTTTCCATTGCATGTAACCCTTCAAGGAAAAATATGTACCTACAAATATACTCTATAAAATTTTACTCTTTTATTATTTTAAATAATAATGTAAGACTACAAAACATATTAGTGCCTAAGTTCTTTTAAAATTTTAGATGTGATTTTAAATTATTTTTAAATTATATGTTGAATAATATGACAAAACATAAATGTCACGTCTTATCACAGGTAGTTCAAAGTGAGAATTAGAAGGTATATCCAAAGTATGATTTAGAGCTTGAATATTTTATATTTTCTATGTTCATACTTGGAGATAAAATCTTAAGTAGCCTATCTTTGCTACTAAAAAAAAAAAAAGAAAAGTTTCTGATGAAGCCTATGTTGGTAGGGACAACTAAGGTTGTTGATGAATGCTAACAGCTCTAACACACACACACACACACACACACACACACACACACACACACACACAAAAGAGAGTGAGAGGCCATTATTTTCTTAGCTGGTAGATGACTAGGTAGTTTGCAAAATGATCATTAGTGACTGGTTGCTTCTGGATTCCAGAGCAAAAGAGCTTACAATTCAAACATTATTTATGAGTGAAAACAACTGGTCATAAGGCACTAAGAGCAAAATGTACAGAGTTTGGTTTTACCTGCAGACAGTGGTCACCTGAAGCAGGAGCTGATGGCTGCCTGTCCAGGTAAGACACATGGCATGCAGCAGTGAACCTGTTTCATCCACCTTTGACCTGCTGGGCCTTGTATGTGATGTCATGTAAATTTGCCCCAGTTACAGATTGATATTGTTCACCATGAAATTAAGGCCCCAGAAAATGTGAATATAATAAGAGTAGTTACAAGTCTTTATACATGGATGCCTCTATTGTGAGGCATACAAAATTGTTAGTACATTCTAAAATAAGTAAAAACAAAAGCACCCCAAGGTTTACCACATCGTTTTGTTATGCTTTATGTTTTTTAATGAAGCCATTGCTCACTATCTCAAGTGCTGCAGGAGCTTAACCCCTGGGAAAAGGCAAGTTTCATAGAATGTGAAACTTATTTGGGCAACAGAAACTAAAACTATCTTGGAATAAATATGTTCTACATCTGATCATTTTTTATTTAATTTATTGTTGTTTGCTTTAGTTGGTGGGCACTCTATTTAGCAGTAAGAAAAAGTCAGGCTATTTCTGCTATGCACATCACTTAAAAAAAACTCATGAAAATATTAAAAATGACAGCAGAGTTAGGTAGCATTAGAGTGTGTTATAGTCCTCTAAATGTGTGTGCACCTCACAGTGGGGGAATTTGATTAACCCCAAGTGTGCCAAGTAAATCAGAGCCCAGGGGTTGGATGCAACTGCTCCGTACTGTGAGTTCACACAGAGAACATAGTTTATGCTGAGGGGTGGTTGTTGTTGTTGATGTTATTGAATGTGGGTTATTTTTAATTTTTAAAATGACACTATGGCTAGTTAGGGGTATTGGCACAGCATGGACTGATGAAGAAACTGATTACAATTATAAAGACTTCTGGGGCCAAAACAGTCAAACATACCGCCTGCTACTCATGATGGCCCCAGCAGTGTCTATATGGTTGTCAAGTATGATTAAGTGAGAAGCAAACTGTATTTATTATTTTTTTCTACAGGATTTAGATGCCCATGGATATGGCTCATAGTATTACCAGAGTCCTACTTCTTTCTAGTATTTTCCTTGAACAGTTAGAATACTCAAGAAAGAGAAAAAAACCTCCATATTATTGTATTCTCCAGAGTCTATAATATGGCAGGATAAATCAGAGAAAAATCATCTTCTCTAAGTAACTTTCACAATACTTTATCACTCTTAAAACTTGAAGTCAGTTCCCGCCTTGTTTATTTTTCACATTCTATATATTTGAAACTGACAAAAAGCAAGAAAACATATTGGAAATACACCAGTAAGATGAAAAACAAACAAACAAAATTTAACTCTGGGGAATTTATTTTTTAGAGCACATGCAAAAAAGAAAAATAACCTTTGCTTAATCCTATGGGGTCACCTATTGAAATGCAGCATCTGAACGTAGTTTATGTTTGATTTTTGTTCCCTAAGAGTATTTTTCATTTGGGAGAAGAGCACTTATTACATGTCACAAAAGAGCCTGAATGGGTATTCAAATAACTGCTGTAATCAAAAGATTCTTTTTTTCAAGGAAATGACCATAGATTTTTATACTTATTTTTGCTCTGCTATGGGTATTCTAGAATGATGGAAAGATTCTCATTTGTTTCCCCATCCCCTGGCCCCCCGGAAGCTATTGAATTGTTCTGGTTTTGTACAGTGTAGAACAATTCTGCAATAATAAAACATTTCAACTTTGTACAAAAGGTGAAGCTTTCCATTTGAAGTTTTTCTTTACCGGAAAAAAAGTAGAGAAAATGGACTGACAGCTTTAGAAAATTCAAACAATTCCCCTTGCCAAGATACGTATTTTGTGAGTTTTCTTTAATTTTGGATTTGGTGCATATGTTTCCTCTAACAATGAATGCTTTCAATTTCAGAGTTCAGTTTCTGCTCTCCCTACTCAAACCAATCTTCACCTTTTAATAGGCAATTATTTTTCTAATTGCTTTGTAAAAACTTTTTTCAGGATGATTGGGAGACACTCAGCTCTAAGGTATACATTATGGTTGCATTTAAAACAAACAGAGTGGGCTATAAACTGTAAAATGGCACTTGATTGGTAAAAGCATCTTAGAATAAGAAAAAGAAGCAAAAAGACTGTACTTCAAAGTACTAGAAAACTTTTGTAACTTACGAATTCATAAAAATCATAGGGGAATCTATTGAGAAGAATTCTTTTAAGGAACGAAGTGAGCAAAGCAGTATTGGCTGTGATTGTTTTAATGGGATAAGTAGTGTTGCAATATTTTCTGCCATTGGCATTAAATCTCACTTCACAAAATGGAATACTCTCCCACTGCTTTTTCTCTTTATAACCCATTACTTACATGGAAGTATATTTTTTTAATGTTGAAAAAAATACATAAAACCAAGCTTTCATGATCTCAACTGTTTCATATATATTCATTTGAAATACAATGTTTTGAAAAACATTTTCATGTGGCAAAATGAAACAGGAAAATACTGTTAGAAAACAAGAATAAGTAATATTGCTATATATTATGAGAATTTAACCATCAGGTGTGAAAAGAAAGGCAATCCCACTCAGCTCTGTGATACCTCACAAAAGCATGTTTAGCAATGCTAATTTTAGCATTGCCTACACAAATAGAATAATAAAAATACATGTGGCTAAGCAGTTGAGATTTGTAATTGCGATATTGCATAGATGATTCCAAAACAATTCAATTCAAATCAGGAAAATTAGTTGATATTTCATGAAACCAACTAAACCTAAAATAAAAGCTTCCTTCAATCTCGATGTTTTAAAATTAATTTATGACAGGCTGTTTAAAAGACTTGTTTAATTATTAATAGAAATGTTTTATCTCATGGTTCTCTTAAAAAGTTGCATTTGATATTATCTACCACTGACTAAACACAGAAGGTAAAATACACACATGGTTGGGCCAATATTGCAAATATCCTCATTAGTATCATGCTATAGAAAAACAATGAAGTGATTTTGTCACCAATTACTGACAATTAGCCTAAGTACAACAGTTAATTTCATGGAAATAAAACCACTATAAAATGAAAGGAACAAAACCTATCATAATTAATGGCATTTGTCTGCATTCCTCTACTGGTTATTTAATTAATGAACCATAAAAGTTTGAAGTAATTTGAACAGCTAAACACATATGCAAAATTAAAAAGCCTGTGTATCTGGATTTTCTGAATTTTAAGTATCTGTGGAAACATGTATTTGAGCAGCAGAATTATGTATATCGAGTTTTTATCCCCTGAACCTAAAGATGTCATACTTTCAGACAATGCATTTGTCAAACAATAAAACCTATTATATTAAGTTACAGAGAAATGTCTTGTGAGAGCTTGTCATTATCCTGTTATAATGCTTCTAGAGATAGTGAACTGCCAATAATTGTAAAAACATTATAATAAAAGTTCCTAGTTTCTCTCACTCTTTCTTCTCACTCAAACTTTTCTCTGCACTTGCTTCTCCCATAGTTTTTCTAATGTAACACTGTGGTCTGTGATCATGAGCGTGAGGATGTCCACTTGTGATCCCAGGTCAGTTTTGTCTCATGCATTAACTCTCTGCCACAAGTTTCAGAGCTTGCAGTGTCAGGATGTATTACGAAGTCAAATCAAGATTTAAGATGTTGTTCTGGCCTCTCCCAAAGCTGGAAAGGACTCATTTTGCAGGCTACCTACCAATTGACAAAGTAAAAACAACTCAAGGCCAGTGACTTCTAAAGCTAAACTTCAGAAAATGTACCCTTGCAAATATTTTTCCAGTTTCAACAAGTTCAGAAAACAACATTTTAAAACCTCACAAAACCTCTCTATTGACTGTTGCTTAATGAACAGCCACATGGATTTTAAAACTTTAAGTACACAAATAAACATTTTAGAGGTTTTTGGCTGTGCAGAGATAAGATCCTCTCTGGGGAGACGACTAGAAACGGCCGGGCTCCTTTGTGCAGACTCCTGGAATGTGCTTGCTTTTCATTTCTTTCTTTGTGTCTGGCACACTGGCCTCACAGGCAGTGTCTTAAGCCATGCAGGGTCAGGGCAAACAGAGAACTGCATTCATGGACAGATCAAGTTTATGTGAGAATCTGCTCCTCCACTGCCCTCAATCTCCATATGAATTGTTAATAAAATCTCAGCCTGAAAGCTCATCACCCCAACAGTGGGGAAGTCATGCAGAGAATCCTCTCGTTCAGAAAAACAAGATTTCTTCATCTTTTTCATCCTTCGCCAGCATTCGTGGGAATTCCGCCATGTAACCTCCTCCTGAACTAACCCGCACCCCCTCCCCAACCAATACCCCATTCCTCTCCACAACTCTCTAGGTCGCACCTGATCATCATCGGGGGAAGCGGGGAGCCGAAAGACAAAAGAAACATTCTTACACCCACAGCAAATCTACCACAATATCAACTTTGCCTCTGCAGTATTTTGCTGCTGTAAAAACCTTCAGGCAAAGGGAAATATCAATGCTTATTTCTTTTGCAGTTTGTGTCAAACACTAGAAAGACTTTCCCATAGCTTTATGACACCATATGAACTAGAGAGCCACAGATATAATAAAAGGTCACATAGAAAGCGAAGAACAGAGTCCTACCCTAATTAACTTGATATCTCCATGCAAATACTGGACAGGAACAAGACCCGATGTGTGTGGCAGGCAATCTTGCGTGTATCTTCTAACCTTGCTACAGTCTAGCTGGGCCTCTTCTTTCCTCTGCTTTTGCTCCTTGAAAACTGTTTTAATATCGAACGCTTTTCAGAGGGATGGGCTGATGAACGAAAACATGAATTTCCTGCTTGCCCTTTAAGGTGGGTTAAAGGGGGTGCTAGCAATCAATTACAGAACAAAAGAACAAAAAAAATGACTTAAGAACCTACAAGTGAATGTATAACAGTGTTTGCAGTCTATTTTTTTCATCTAAGTGCTTTATCTGTATTTATTTACCTTTATCATATATACAATATCTATTTCATTAAAAAAAGGATGTTTGCCCAGCAGCTCCCAAAGAAAAGCTGTTTTCTACTGAAAATGCCTTTAAATGCACTTAACTTTCATTTCAACTTGATGAGTTAACAAAGAGTAAAGAAGTTTAAAATTTTTTCTACATTTATGCTTCAGATTTTCAGATTGCTTTAACACACTCTGATCTATTTACAGAATAAAAAGTTGCATTTTCTAGTCTAATTAACATTCTGGCCCTATCAAATCTTTATTTTCTTATTTTATTTTGGTAAATAAGACAACATTAACTTTTAAACTCTGTACACAAATGATTCCAAGGTATCTTTCAGTAAACGTTTTTTGCTGCAGCTGCATATGTCAGAGAAAGTTGAATACTGTTTAAAAAGAATACTTCTAAAGTACATATAAATAAATCTGATTTGACTAAATATTATGCAAACCTCTATAACCATATATCCAGAAATGTTGTTAATATTTAAGAAGATAGAAATGCACAAACTCTCAAACACATGATTTCTTTTTTAAAGAGGTAAAATAAAAGAAACATAAAATCATTCCTTAACCATTCACATAAAAAAGTCATATACATTTATTATTTCACTGAATTTATCTAAAACAAAGTTGCTATTATAAATAAAACACGCATTTGCTCTATACCCATAGGTATCACCCTTCGTATGTGAATCATAGGAACCAGTAGGTCAAAGAATTCTCTTCTATCAAATTTGAGTCACAGAAATTTGACAAATTTTCAAAAGAAAGAAAATTTAGTTGTGTATTAAACATTCCAGTGCCTCATAGCATTCTATTTAGGTATTAAGATTTAGAAATTTATGAAATACATATTGGAACCATAATTGTAATATAAAGTTCAATATTATTATTCAGCATTGATATAAATTATTATTATAATTAATATGCATTCTACTGTTTCTGAAAGCATAGAAAGTCCAATGGCTCTTCAAATATACCTAAAAAATTTGCCTTTAAATATATAAAATCAGTAAATCAATGGATGCTGAAGACATACTTGCAGTTATGCAAATATGTGAAAAGGGCTATTTTAGAAAATGGAAAATGATCTGAAATATATATTCCTCTTTTGTGGAATAATTAAACAATAAGCTAATTTTATAGTAGTGAGTTTAATATTTAGTATGGCTATGTAAAAATCAATAATTTTTTTCATAAGACTATATGTTAATGAGTTATATCACATCAAAATGTTAATGTGATAGTTTACTTTCATTAATCACCAAAGGAATCATAATATTTTAGGACAGAATCTGTATTATCAAACCTCAATTTCTATTGTGACAAGTATTTTCTGAGAAGCAGAAATTATTGGTTTGACCATTCCCTTGAAGAATTTGCTCTTCAAAATATTAGTGAAGTTCTAGAGTAGGGCTCCCCATTCTTTTTCTAAGGGATGTGTTCCATTGATTTTCATGGGGTCTTGCAATTCATAACAAGGTGGAGGAGGAGGCAAAGTTGAATGTAGATGTTACTGGAGGGCTTGAGAAGTGGCAACCAATAGCACTCTCTTTTCTGCCTGAAACTCTGGGAGCCAAAGCGAGAGAATGTGGCCCCAAGAATAGCTTGGAGGTGGTAAAGGGTGGAAGCAATTGACAACTTGAATCTGGATGTGTGTATTTACAACGAGAATATAGATAGCAATGTGACTCCATGCTACGAGGTTTAACAAAGCTTTTAGAGAGCCTCTGATAAACCTAGAGACAAGTTGAGGTTTTCATATTGTTATGGACTGAATGTTTGTATCCTCTTAAAATTTACATGTTGAAGCCCTAACCCGCAGTGTGACTATACGCAGGGATGGAACCTCTAAAGAAGTAATGAAGGTTAAACGAGGTCATAATGATGGGACTCTGATCCAACAGTATTAGCGTCCTTATAAGAACAGACAAGAGAGAATTCACTCTTTTTCTTTCTGTGCACACACATATGGAGGAAAAGCCATATGAGGCCATAGGAAGACGGACATCTACAAGCCAGAAAGAGAGCCCTTGCCAGAAACCAAAGCCCTTGATCATGACTTCTAACCTCTACAACCGTGTGAAAACAAATTTCTATTGTTTAAGCTGCCTAATCTATGGTATTCAATTATAGCAGCCCAAACAAACTAATGTTATCACATGTTAAAACCAGCAATAACAACAATAGCAAGTTGAAATAAACCAGAACTTCATTCTAAGGATAATTTTGTTTTGCTTGGTATCTTCTCCCTTCCAGTAGAGCCAGGTGAAGTAGGTAAGTACTTCAATATTTGTCCCTGCTTCTGTTATAAAATGTTAACCTTACCACCCACCTGCTGGATAGCTTGTAGATCTGTCTTTAATCAAAATTATCAATTACATACCTAAACTAGAGAGTATAATGGTTAATTTCTCATGTAGTTATTTTCCTTCAAAATTCCGATTTGAGAAAAAATCTATAGTGTAAGGATGAAGAGTATAGATTTTTGAGTAAGGGTCTAGATGCTGATTGAGCTTCAGGGACCTACTTGCTCTTTGACCTTATGTGCCCCTTGGCCTGTCCAAGATCCAGTTTCCTGAGCTCTAAAATAACATCACTGACATCAAAAGATTGTAATTTATACTTGATGCTAGTAAACTGGCAAGATTCTTCATCATGACCATGACCAACATCATCATTTTCATCACATTTCTCTAGGCTTCCTAAAATTCTTTCAGTTTAATAAAGGCAGCAGAAGTCTATATATTTGGATTTGCACAATCTTAATGCCCTCGTGGAATCACTTTCACAGAATTTTTAAAATATAATGTCTAAAACATCAGTAAAGATCAATCAGTATGAGGAATAGCAGTATCTTGATCTGATGCTAAGATGTTTCTAAGGACTCTGCTCATTACACAGTGCTTTAAAAGTGACTGGTATGAATCATCCTGTCACATCACAAGAAGTGTGTGTGCTTCCACCCTTGATTTTCACCCTGGCTTCAGGTGGCTTATGTTAAATTACCGTGTGGCTTGCTCAACTGGCATACTCGCAGTTTTATTCCCTTTGCTCAATCTTTTCTCTCTCCTTTGTACTTTATACTGCTCTTTCAGGAGGGTTCAGGTTTTGTCCTATATTTAGGAAGATGAATTTAGAAACACTAAGGCAGTGAAAAGCATGGGGCCCTGGAACCAGACTCTAGGGGGTCAAAAAAAGTATGGCCACTTAATAGCTGATTGGTTTTGGGCAAATTAATAATCCTTCTTATTGGTTTTCTTGTCTGTAAAATAGGTGTGATCTCAAAGGATTAGGGTGAGAATTAAGTCAGTTACTACAGATGCCAGAACGTTATTGGGAAATGTTAACCATTCAATATATATTAACTGCTATTAATACAGTGTTTAAATAGGCACCATACGAACAAAAAGTCTAATATAATCAATGAAACAGAAACATTTCATTGATCATAATAGATACTAAAAAAAAGAAGAATATGGGGTTCGCCCTCAAATACATTAAAATTTAACTGGTGAAGTAATTCAACTTATTAAAGAACTTTTTAAAGAAAATTAGAGAAGAACTCTTTAGGTGGAAGACTACATTAATGAGTTATTTTTAATGTTCTGAAGGTGGACCAACATGGTAATGGGAGACGATATGCTTCTTTGCTTATAAATGGATGTTTAAGGAGGGTTAAAGATGTTTCAAGGAAAATTGGAAAACTTATTTGAGCCATAAAGATGATACCAAAATGATAATAACCAAAATAATATCAAAATATTTATATCAAAATAACCATAATATTTGTCAATAATGGGCTACATCTGCAGGTTCTATATGTAATATTGTGAAGCCATTTAGTCACTCGGAGGAGACATAACAGAATCCTCTATGTCTAGCCTTATTTCTGTTTTTCCAATTAGTACACATTCCTTTGAAGCTCATAGTGAAGATTTGTACATATAGTCCATCCTTGCTATTGGTTTAAATATTGTATTCTATTCTCATTTAAGTAAAAAAAGTTATATATAAGGCATATAAAATGTCAAGCAAAACATATAAAGTCTTATTCCATTTTATAGTTATGCTTTTGCAGTGTATACTATTGAAGTGAGGTTTTTTTGTTTGTTTTGTGAGCCAGAGTCTCGCTCTGTTGCCCAGGCTGGAGTGCAGTGGCACAATCTTGGCTTGCTGCAACCTCCACCTCCAGGGTTCAAGTGATTCTCGTGCCTCAGCCTCCCCAGTAGCTGGGATTACAGGCATGCACCACCATGCCTGGATAGTTTTTATATTTTCAAGAGAGATGGTGTTTCACCATGTTGGCCAAGCTAGTCTTGAACTCCTGAGCTCAAGCTATCTGCCCACCTAGGCCTCCCAGAGTGCTGGGATTACAGGCGTGAGCCACTGCACTCAGCCAAAGTGAGTTATTTCAAATGAAAATCTAGGAGTTAATTTGGTTATAAGATGACATAAATATTTATAAGGACAAATGAGGTATGACTTTTTCAAACTGAAGCTTAAAAATAGATCAAAATGACTAAAACTGTGCCCACTCAAGGGAAGTACACCTCCAAAAATGTTTAACATTGCAAAACTTGTATCCTCGTCATAGTTCTACAAGAAATTATTGTCTTTAAATTGTAACATTAATGTTGCTAATGGGATTCTATTCAACAATCACTCACTTTTCAGAAATAAACACATCTAATGATAGAATTAGAGTATTCTGTAAGTAACATCAAAAGTTACGTGATGTATAAAACCCAACAACATTTGAGATCAATAAAATACAAAGAAAACTTAGAAACTACTTAGAAACCAAAAACTTAGAAACTAATTCTTCACAAGAGTTTTTTTCCTGGTTTAAAAAAAAAAAAAAACTCTCCATTTATTTTAGAAGTATTTTGAATATGGCAGTTCCCAGCACATATTTTCCAAGGATGTTACCTTTTCTTTTTTGAATATGCATATTGTTGAGGTAGAATTCAGTCAGAGAAAGTGTTCCTGATTCAGGTTTACTCAACTCTGGAGGTATTTGCTCCCTAGAAGTGCCAGGGCTTTGGACCTTCAGCATTGTGTCGAGAATACATGAGAATCAGGTCACAACAGGCTCATGTACAGAGTCCAGGCAGTCCTTCTGATTGGGTTTGGCAAAACATACTCTCCCACATTTAATTCTTCCAACTACAACTCAGAAGTAAGCTCTAAATATAGATAGTGATGGGAAAAAAATAATTTAGCCAAAATTAAAGCAGAATCTTTAGGTTTTAGCACAGGAGAAAAAAAGCATACTTTATGTATAATAATGAAAAAAGTTCTATTATCTTTCTGAAACAAAAAGTTTGCTAAAATACAGGTTCTAGATATATCGTGTATAACAGTGTATGTTCTAACACAACAGCATATCTAGCTGAAACACAACAATATAAATATAAGATAACCAGTTGAAGTAGAATGTAAGAAATAAAATAATACACCCATTTCATACAAAATGTAGTTTAAACGATGCTTAAATTAACAAGAATAACTTAGTAAGTGGAAGCATAATTAACTATCATTATTACCAAATAGTCACCTGTTGGCTGTTGTCCTAGCATCTGTTGGTTATGTTATTCAATTGCATTCATAAACATTTTATTTTATTATGAATATTTATATTCATAAATATCCATAATATTTTCTTCAACTTTTTTTTTTTTTTTTTGAGACAGAGTCTTGTTCTGTTGCCCAGGCTGGAGTGCAGTGGTGAGATCTTGGCTCACTGCAACTTCCTCCTCCTGGGTTCAGGTGATTCTCCTGTCTCAGCCTTCTGAGTAGCTAGGATTACAGGCATGCGCTACCACACCCAACTAATTTTTGTATTTTTAGTAGAGACAGAGTTTCGCCATGTTGGCCAGGCTGGTCTCGAACTCCTGACCTCAGGTGATCCACTCACCTCAGCTTCCCAAAGTGCTGAGATTACAGGCGTGAGCCACCACGCCCGGCCCTTTATTCAGTTATTTAACTGCTGTTTATTTCATGCATATTATATGCTAGATAGAGTACTTACCTCTAGGAAAAGATAAATAAGGCATAAGATCTTTGCCTTTATGATGGAATTACTACTTTCTCTGCATTTAAAAGGTGTGAAAACTGAGACCTATAGTGGTTAAATGACAGTAAGTAAAAGGTAGAGATGGGATCCCAATCCATGGTGCCTGAGCTCAAAGCCTATATTTTTGTAAACTGACAGGACAAACAGGTGAAGATTATCAGTTCAATTTCCCTTGCGTTATATCAAGATCTTGGACATTCATTCAGTCCCTCTGTGAATTCTCGCTCTCTCTCTCTGTCTCTGTCTCTCTTCTCCCTCTCTGTCTCTGTGTGTGTGTTGCCCTGTGGTTTTTTTTTTTTTTTTTTTTTTGACTGAAAGAAAGTTTGGGAATTTGGCAACAAAGAAAAATTATTTGAAAGAAACATCTTTTCACTCTATTTAAAACTAATAGTTCATAGGAATGCTTATTGTTACAGATAACTTTAAGGCAATGTTCTAAAGAGACCATGACTCTTAATACTGAGATTTTTATAAAAGGAATGGTAAAGACTCTTTAACAAGATGGAAGCAACATTTATCCGTCAAATATCCTTTTCTTTTCTCTCAGTATATGATGTTTTTATTCAAGGAAAACTTTAATTTGATTATAATAATGTCAACCAATCTTGACAAGAACTTTTCCAAAATGCCCTTTAAGGTGAAGTATTTGTTGGCATTATAGAACACAGCCAAATATTACCCTGTATTTAAAGAGAACAATAATAGGGTAATACTCTCTGACGGTAGAGCAATACTAGAGAAAACACCGCGCTGTAGCTTTACTTTTCCTACAAATATAAGTCATCACCTACACTGTGAATTAGAAGTAGAATGGTGCTTTTCCCTAAAAATTTTAAACATAAACATTTTACTAACATAATCTATGACTCAAATACGGTTGAAATGTTGTTCCAATACAGATTTAAGCTCAATGCTGTACAAGTCAGAAATGTGCTTGCTAAGAGATTTGCAGAATAATATCTTGGAAGGTCAACACTTGGGAGAAAAATAGAGATAAAGACTTTACCCGTCACAGGAAGAGCTGAACTCTACCTGATGCTGCAAATACAACCTTCATAAGGATATCCAATGATCTATCAGTTTGATTAACACTTATTCTCTTTTTTCCTGATGCTCCTGATTTACTAATATGGATGAAAATATTGCAGTTCCTTAACGTCTATTATTTTATCACATGATTTCTAACAGTTGTTTGTAAAATATTTATTGTTATACTTGTAATGAGGCAGAGATACACTCTAATTCATTTTGTTGCTTACGTAATTTTTACCAAAATGTTTATTTTATTTTGTTGACTCTATAGAGATATGTTTAAATATAATGTATATTATCATCTGCTCTCTAGTAACCACTACTTATAACATACTATATTCATATTTGTTTTTATAGCTTTATCAATTATTTAGTATGTTTTGTTACTGTCTTCATAACAATATTTACCAATTCCAGCATTGTTTAAAGCTGTGATATTTTACACTTTATTTCAAGGTTTGTAGACTATTACCACATTTTCAGAACTTATGAATTCCTACTGAATTCAATTACACAATTTACTTTATTTCTATAAAGTATCACCCTACCAACACTGTTACATCATTGAACCACTTGAAAATCACATTCAATACATGATTTTTAAAAACCCATATGGCATTGATATAGATCAAATGCAGCTAGCATTTCTTAGACTCAAACATGTACAATAATGTTTAACTATACCTTCTTAGTAGGCATACTCTACTGTTCATATGACTGTTAATACTGGGTTCTCACAAACAATCAAAAGCCCAGTTGCAATATTACTCTCTGCCACCATATTTTAAACTTGCACAACATCACTTATTGCTATAAGCTGTGCTGTTCAATACGTTAGCCACTAGTCACATGCACATATTAAACATGTGAAATAGTAATTTCAGGAACATATTGCTTTATGTTTAAATAATTTAATTCAGGGGTTGCTATGGTTTGAATATATACTACCCAAAATTCCAAATTTAAATGTTGAAACTTAATGTTTAATGTGATGTATTAAGAGGTAGGGACTTTAAAAACTGGTTAGGCCATGAGGGCTCCTCCCCTTGTAAATGGGATTAAGGGGATTAACGCTTCATGTAGCATTAGGATTTCTTGCCCTTCAGCCTCCTGCCACATGAAGACCCAGTGTTCCTCCCCTCTGGAGGATGCAGCAAGGATGTACCATCTTGGAAATGGACAGCAGCCGTCAGAGACACTGAACCTGCTGGAGTCTTGATCTTGGACTTACAGCCTCCAGAATTTTGAGAGAGTAAATTTCTGTTCTTCATAAATTACTCACTTTGTGCTATTTTGTTATGGCCACACAAAATGGACTAACACAGGTGTCAAAACAAGAAACCACCCTTCTCTTTTGCTTTGTATCTGTTAGTAGCAGTGGTTTTAAGTATTATTGGATTACAGACACCTTTGAAAGAAAAAAATTAAAACTCTAGGCCCTGCTCAGAAAAAAAAAAATGTGCTTATGAACATGCATATAATGTTGCAGGTAATGTTAGGGTTCACAGACCTACAGCCAAATAGCAGATCCAAGTCAAGAACTATTATAAAAGTTATTTTGCTACGTAGCAGCATTCTGTATGAAAGCCTTTTGGGACATCAGAACCATGGGCAGGGGGAGCCTGGACAAGGAGAGCCAACACGGATTAAAATAATCAGAATTTAGATTCTAAGGTGGGAAATTGATTGTTCCATGTAGAATGTCCAAATGGGGTGCCAGGAGGTTGGGTTGAATGCAGCAGCAATTAGAACCCAAGAACCAGCACGAGGGTTACACACAACTTGGCAGGCACTATAAATTCTAGAATCCAGTTCTGTAGGTTCAAATGATAAAAAACTTTCAGACCAGGCCTCTATCAGTGATGAAAAGTTAAAAGAAAAAAAAACTGGTTCTGTTTTCTCCTAGATAGAGCATAACAAGAATTGTAAAGCCCTGGTGAAACTGGCTAGTGTTTAATGCTGTGCTATAATACCTATGAGGAATCTCAGGGTGATTGGATTACTATTGCAGAGGTTAAGGAGAGAAACAGCTGAAAATGTACCCGGCAGAGAAACAGTTGTGCACAGGCTAGAATTTGTCATATTATCCTAAAGAGCTGAACATGGTGATTGCAGTGTACTCCAAGAACCCAAGACATTATCCCAATTCTACAATTAACTTACCTAAGACCTTTGAAATATAATTGAAATATCTAGTAATCATAGTTTTCTTAAAAGTATAGCTATACATTAGTGTGCAAACCCTGGAGTTGGCTTGCCTGGGTTCAGAGTCCCTTTCAACCAAAAACTAGCAATGTGACTTTAGACCTTACCTTCTGGAAGCTATTTACAAACTATAACATAGAAATGATAATAGTACTCAACCCATAAAGAATTTGAAAGGTTAAATGAGAATATATTTAAAGTATTTAGAGCAATGCCTGACACAAAGCATGTGTTCATTCAATGTTTGATTTCATATATATATATATTATGTTTTGCCCAGTAGATTATTTTCATTCTGTGAAGTCTTTGAAATGGCTAATTATGCATAAATTCTAAATTTTCAGGTGTTTTAATCTGATAACACACACATTAGGGTCCTGTAGTTTTCCAGGATCTGGATTCTGTGGCACATAATTCTCATATGACAGAGGAGCTGTGCTGAAATATGATTATTTCATGTTGATGACAAGTGTGGAAACATGTCATCTAGGTGATTTTACATCACAGACTATTTGACATCTAAAACTGCAAGATTTTAAAACAGGTCTGAATGACAAACACAAAGGAAATAAGCCAATCTCATTATCATAGTTATAGCTTGTGCTTGGCAACAATTAGACAGTAGCCTGTCTTAGAGAGTAGCACATTTTCACAAGAAATTTTCTTAAAATTTTGTAAGACGAGAACACAAGCATTATCATAAGAAAAAAAAATTCCTGAAGAGATCCCATGACTATCAATGTGCAATAGAATATCAAAATTATTCTTTCTGTGGAACAGTGGAAGATACAATAATCTCTAGAGACAATTTATATTTTGGTAATGTTATGTTCTGCCATCATTATATTTTCCCTATCTTCATTTCCCAGCATGTATATTTTAGTGTGTAAGATTAGACACTTGGGTGACCGTCTATATAATGCATTCTATGTCAAGCTCATTATTAATAAACACTAATTGAATTTCATCAAATAATTATAATTCCAATAATAATATACTTTCTGAAGTTTTTTCAGAATATTTGTTACATTCTTGTCTTCCAGGAGGGATACAACTTCAGGTAAGATGTCATGAACAGTTTTAAACTAGTCATATCAATAATGTATATATTTAATCCCATACATTGTAGCATTTCATGGAGAAATTGAAGCCCAAATTTAATTGATCTTTTTAAAATCCTTTTTAAGAGGTTTTAATCCCAAACTGAAATCTTACTTTGCTATCTCCTTTTGTGCTATGGTCTGACCTGAAAAGCTAATATTTGTATCTTGCCCAGTTTTTCTAATTCTGTTTATTATGTCATTTAACATTTTCTTCTGTAGATAATTAGATAATTACCCATTTGCAATGCCAATTATTAAGTTTTTCCTCTTTCATAATGCCTATATTGGTGGTTTGTTTGTTTTACCGTGTATTATTTCTTTGCCAACGAAGTTAGGATCTCCTAATTGGAAAAGCAACTTTTAAACATAATTTTGAGCTACAACATCTATAAAGGTACAAGATATGTTATCATGCCTCCATTAAGTATTTCAGCCAAGACTGATGGTTATAAATGTATAAAATGCTCTAATTTCCTTGAAGTAAAATTAACACTAAAAGCTAAACTATTTCCTAGCTTAACTCTGCATTACTGGTAGCCATTTTATTCCACCTGTCATATGATGAGTTACAGTTACTTAAGAGGCTGGCATTTTGCAATGAAAATACAAAATTTGCACCAATATTCAAGACAGAATAACAGGCACAAAATCTTATGAATGTGCTACAACTCTTGAAAATTCTGAAAAAAAAAAACCAGTTGATAAATGTAATGAGGTATGTCGGTAATAATGTAATGATATAATATAAGGTTTTTACAGTTTAAAAATTCCTAAGTGTAAGAAAATAAAACATAAAATATAATTATGCTAACAAATTAAATAATAGCACAGATCTGTCTAAAACTCTAATCCAGATGCACCATTTGGTCATTTCACATGTAGGTTTATTTCAGATTCTATGTATGTATGTGTTCTGCTGGTGTGTGCGCCACATGTTCATGGGCTGGTTGGGGAGGGCAGTGGAAGTAAAACCTTTTTTTTAATTTGAAGATTGATATTTAAGAGTCTACAGAAAGCATGGTATGTGTTTTTCAATGAAAATAACACTTTCCTTGGAAATACTACAGATCTACTTTATTGAAGATACATTTTATTTGCATTTGGGAATAAGAAAAATTATATCATCCACTTTGACTCATTGCTTTGGGTGTTCTGCTCACCTATGGTGCAAAAACCAAATGATCCCTAAAGACCATTTACTCCCCAAAAGTAAGAATCATGCCTTTTTGTGCCTACAACTGTATTCCCAACATGTAGCAGGGCTCTTAAATGGCATTCAATAAATATTTTATTTAGTCAAAAACAAAACACTGAACATATGAAGCACCTTATTTTAAATAATTTTACACAAGTATTCATTGTATGTAAAGTAATATGGATATGTGTATAAAGCATCAATAAAAATAAATATTTTTCATATCACTCAGATTTCTGCAAATTTGTAACAGTGGAGAATGAGGGCTTCGGGACTTTCGTGCCTCACAGATTTGAGTTCCAATTCTTTTTCTGGAATTGAGAAAACATCAGCTCCTTAAATGTCTGGGGTTATCCTCATCTGACAAAAAGAGACTAAATCCTTTTCAAAGAGCTCATGATAGGATTGGAGTGTATCATACAGGGTTGATGAAAGCCCGTCAAATGATAGATACCATCTTCCCATGTTATTATTTTTCATACCCATGTTGATATTTTAAATAAAAGGTCTGGCATTTCAGATTTTTACAACAATAATTGACAAAATTAGTACAAAATTTGATTTCCAAACAGAATTTTTTAAAAACTTGGATAGATTTTAGAACATTATTTGGTCCAAACTCATGTATGTAAATAGGCAATGGGTAAACTAGCTATAAAAATAAATCCTTTTGAAGATATGCAAATAGATAGATTCTATGCTGCCTTTTCCTTGTTCAAAAATGACTCCCTATATTTCAAATCCCCTAATTGGTTATATACTGTCAGAGAGCACAAGTAAGCAGTCATTGTACTCAAAACAACAGCAGCAATAATGGTAATAATCTGAAGAGAATAATGAGTTTATTATTTTTTGTCCTACTACTGGAAAATTCCAAATTGAATTTACCCTCTCCTAACTGGCAATGTTATGCTTCCCCTTTATGTTATGAATTTGATGACGGAAATAGTTAAATCTCATCTCAGGTTTTCAATCACTTGGATTCCCTTAATAAGAATCAAATTAGTAAGGGTACTGGCTTTTGCTAATTTCAGTGTGTTTTGGCAGAATGACATTACCTCTGTTATAATCCAAAAGTTCAGTTAGGGTCCTATGAATTGCTTTTCAAGAGAACACTTGTGCATAATGCCAAAATCCACCCCAAAATAAATGCATATCTGATTTAAAAAATACTTTTTTCATTTGGATGTTTTTGAATGATAACTGTAACACAACCTTTTCATTTATTTCCTTTTATTTAGTCCACATAGTGACTATGACATAATGAGACCTTTTCTTTAAAATTACCATTATCTGCATAAGATTACCTAAATCCTTCCAACTCTTCGAGATCAATGAAATTACAACTTCAAATCTACATGAAAGTCATATTCCTTACTTTTCTTTCTCCCCTTATTATTACATATTTTTGAGAGTCTGCTATATAGCAGAGGGGCTCCAAAACACGTAAGAAATTGTCCTGACACCAAAGAATTGGAACCTAATGGAGATACCGTAACCGAAGGCAGCATTTCTAAGTGTTTTGTAGAACTATAAATTCCCTAAGAAACCTTAAAGTTTCAAAATCTGATTTGTGTGAACAAAAAAAGAGAGATGATCATTAATTTCTGCTTATAGTCTATTACTGCCATAATATACAGACAGTTCAGGAAGCTTCACGCATTCATGTAAAAACGGTTGATAATAAGATAGAAAGAATCTGAGGCGGTAGATATCTTTAAGGTGATGAGCCACATGCCTGCTCTCGTTGGCCTATCTTCCTCCAGACATGATAGGAAAGAGAAGTAAATTTCTATCTTGTTTGATCCACTCTATGTGAGTGTCCTTGTTACCTGTTTCAGGCTGTATCAGTGTGCTTCTAATTATTGATGCTGAAAACTTAACAGCCAATGAAATTTTCATCTCTACTTCTAGTACCCAACTACTGGATTACAGTCTTTGTAGATCTAATGGCATATTCCCCTTCTTCACCTGGAAAATTCCTATGTAAATCTCAAATATTCCATCCTGTTAGAAATCTTCCCCAACTCAATCAGAGTTTTTCAGGCAATCCACTGAGCTCCCCAAGGACCAGTTATTTGAGAAACAACTGGTCCTTGGAGAGCTGCAAAACAAATTTAAGAGATATAGTCTCAGAAATGTTGAGAAGGATACCTTTTTTTTTTTTTTTTTTAAGACGGAGTCTCACCCTGTCACCCAGGCTGGAGTGCAGTGGTGTGATCTTGGCACACTGCAACCTCTGCCTCCTGGGTTCAAGTGATTCTCCTGCCCCAGCCTCCCGAGTAGCTCGGATTACAGGTGTGTGCCACCACACCAGGCTAATTTTTGTATTTTTAGTAGAGACAGCGTTTCACCATGTTAGTCAGGCTGGTCTTGAAGAGAAGGATACATTTTTTAAATTACATAATTAAGAGAGACCTTGTGCTATAAGAGAAACAAGACTGACAATAATTTTAAAAAACAGCATAACATTATAAGTTGTACTAGTTTGGAAAAAAGCACAACTCTCTCCCTTGTTCCTTAATTTAGCTTTGATGTTATGACACATCATATAAACTGCAGTATTCCATGTAAGTTAAGCACAACCCAATTATTTACCTGAATAAAATTAAGGCCAAACAAAATGGAAAACATATTTGCCATCTAATATTTCCATGTTGGGTGTTTAGGTTTCATGAGGCTGTCTTATAGAAGAAAGAATCAGAATAGTAAGACAAAAATAGTTCTAAGTTAAGAAGAAATGCCATCTGTGAAGTTTATGAATTAAGTTGGATAATGATTAGTTCCTCAAAGGAGGAAAGTTAAATATAACTAATAAGTCTTCTATTATAGTAAGGCAAAACCAAAAGACAAACGAGCAAACAATAATAGGCAAAAAGCAGCAATTTTGAAAAAGTACACATATATGGCTATCTTCTTAGAAATACATTTTATCCAATATTTCATTGACTATTGAAAGTTATACAAGAGTATTTGCATCAATCAGAATATGCTAAAAAAGATAAGTTGTATGTTTAAAATAAATGATTTTCTTGGAAGAATAGAAAATAGTCAAAATTAAAAGCAGTTACCATGAGACTTTTTTTCTGTGATAGAAAAAACATTAGGAATGGAAAGAAAAATCATAAAGTCCAAAAACTGAAGATGAGATATCTAATTTCTTAACAGCTTTTTAATTCAGTTTGATCATGTTCACATTTAACAACTCACTGATCTCATCGGGTTCCAGCTTAGAGTCACGTATGTTGAAACTGAAAGGAACCTTAAAGGAAGCCCAAACATCTCCAAATTATGGAAGTGTATAGGCTGAAGAAGAAGTGACTTCCTTATAAAACTCAATACTGCTTTTAAAAGATACTACAATTGACGTAATCACTTACTTTCCATGTTCTCCTTACTAGGACCCATGGGAGATTTCTGTTCCTAATATTAAGAAAATAAGTATTCATATTCTTTGTGACTGGTTGATTCGTGGTCTGGAAGATATCCTAAACTTGTGTAATTTCACCAGGATTTCCTTTTTTGCATTGGCTGCTAGAAATCTTGAAACAAAAATTATGACCTATTTATAGCAAGGGCATATAACATTATGTTATCTTTTTAGCCCCGTTGCTGGCACTTTTGTTTTGTTTTCAAGGCAATTTTTCTTTCTTTTTACACTTTTATCTTTAATTACAGATCTTTCCCAATACCCTTTACCAAACAAGGGCAAGAATGAATAAATGAATGAAAGAACACTCAATTTTAAATGGCACATCTGGGCCCAGAGGGCAAATATTCTGTCTCCAAAACAAGTGCTTGTGTCTTCTCTACATTATTTAGCATCCCTACTTAAAATTGGATAAATTTCACCTTGCATCATTGAGAGTTGTAAGAATGACTTATCCTTTACCAAAGAAGAAAAAAACTGGTTTCGAGGAAAATTGCTTTCTAAATTCATTTCCTTTTAAAAAATCAACAAGTGTCTAGTATGCGTAATGAAGCATTCCATATATCTCTATGTCTATCTGTCTATCTATCTATCTATCATCTATCTATCTATCGTTAAGATATTTTAAAGAAAACATTTAAAGGTACTAATACTATTTCAAACTTTATTTGGTAATTTTCCCTCAACAAACCTTTGCAAAGACACATAATAAAAACAGAAAGAAAGAAAAAATAACTATTTCAGTCATTCTGAAACTTTTAGATAGCTAATCTCTGGCTATCTAAAAGTTTAGCACACCACATGACAGCCCTCTAACAGAAAAACAAGACAACATCATGGAGAAAAAAAATAATCATCTTCTATGGCAGAACAAAAGGAAAACGCAAGGAATTTTTTTGAAATAATTTGAGCTATGGACAGACCTGTCATAGACACCTGCCTATTTTTGAAGCCCTTCTGAAGAATCCTCAATTGGTATAAGACCATAGCCAAGAACTTTGGTTAGTGTACTATACTCAAGTTCCTAAACCATCCTCTAAAAGTTTTGAGGCCTCCTATTTAGAACTGAGCAAAACAGATTTTGTCATTTGATGAATGAATAACTAATGAGACTAGTTAACATTTTAGAGTGGTTTCTTTGAGTCAGGCCCTGCAGCAATTGCATTATCTCTAATCTCCTCAAACCCAAGAGGCAGTAATATAATTATTCTCACCTTTACAGATGAATAAACTGAGGTTTGGGAAGGCTTGTTAAAGGTCCTAACGCCAGTAAGTGTTGGAAGTTGGTCTGCCTCCAAACACCACACTCTTAAGCCCTACCCGATATTACCATCTGTGCTTATATATGGTAATATTCATGATGTGTGGCTAACATTTGATATTACTGGTATTAATGTTCATTGATATTCTTAAAGACCTTCTTCAGGCTGAGAATGGTGGCTCACGCCTGTAATCCCAGCACTTTGGGAGGCTGAGGTGAGCGGATCACCTGAGGTCAGGAGTTTGAGACCAGCCTGACCAACAGGGTGAAATCCCATCTCTACTATAAATACAAAATTAGCTGGGCGTGGTGGCACATGCCTGTAATCCCAGCTACTTGGGAGGCTGAGGCAGTAGAATCGCTTGAACCTGGGAGATGGAAGTTGCAGTGAGCCGAGGTCGCCCATTGCACTCCAGTCTGGGCAACAAGAGTGAAACACTGTCTCAAACAAAAAAAAAATTAAAAACTTCAAAAAACTAACTGTACAAATGCTACATACAAGGAAACATTGATTAAAATATAGAATATTTATGCTGGAAATTTAAGACTATTCAGTCTAAAATTTCAAATTAAGTAAATAAAAATATCCCACCAAATATAAGTTGTATAGGAAAAAGTAGTATCATTTAATTTTCTAAATAGGCCAAAAATGAAAATGGCTTCCAAGTCCACCTTTGCAAACCATATCTAGTACATCTATATACTATATCTAGTATTACCCACACTTCACATATTTTTATATAAGCACTGCCAAGAGACTACAACATTTTTTAAAGGTGGAAGTAAAACTGCAAACTTTGGAAAGAAGAATTGTATTACCTATCCATAAAATTCAAGTTTACAAAAGAGTTGGAATATATTTATGCTATGGTAACTTGATCATGCATAAAAGGGGTGATACACTCAGTGACTCACATTACTTTAATTAAAAACCTGGTTGGGGTTACTTCAGGTTGGAGAAAAGCATAGAAATAGAAGTCACAAGGGCAGATTTATATTCTTGATAGTACCACTAACAGGAACTCTGCATAATATAAAGATTGTTTTATTTCCATGTCAGAAAGCAATCAATATAAACTAAATGTGAGATGTACAATACTTTCATTAGGAGGAGGGAATTGTATTATTCATTCATAAAATTTCTTTCAGCGCTGACTGAGAAGTTCCTATTCAATGATTTCCACAAACTTATAAAATTTTATCTCAAATCAATGAATGCATGCAGCAATAGAAATAAAATAATTTAAGAAAAATATCTTAAAATAGAAGTGAGGAGTCCCGCAATGAGAACTATATTTTACAAATTATTACATGAAATATCATAGACTGAAGCCTGAGGGAAGGAAATGTTGACTAAGAGACTTGAGTTGGGAGCACTCTTGCAAATAATCAAAATTTTGCCTTCTAAAGTGAGAACCGAGCCAGATAAAGGAAGGAAAGAAAAGTGGAAAATAGATTTAACTAGTGAAACAGAATTATGAAAATCAGAAAAATTACTTACTTCGCCATTTCCATTTCTAACATGTACCTCATTCTATTCTCTTTCTTCCCAGATTTCCCTTCAAAGTAATAAGGTTGATTAGTTTTTCACTGATGAGTACTAACTCTACCACTCTTATTCTACTGATTCTATTACTGCTATTAATAATTCTATTATTACTGATTCTCCTTGATATTAGGCAATATTGATAAAAAGGGGGCGGAAATGACACACACAATTACTTCCTTTTCGAGCACAAATACATATGGACCCTTCTGGGTGCTTTCCTTATAAAATGAAATGGACCTACCCATTTTAGGTGTGACATCTACTTTTAAAATTAAAAAAAAAAAAAACTATACACATGTTTCAGAAAAGTTTGTAACTGTCACAATTATAATGCAACTTGTTTAGTCCATCAGTATAAATATACTTTTTTTGGTCAAAAATCTCTAGATGGAAAAATGTGTGAATTATTCTTAAAACTGTGCCTTACAACGTGGTAGAAAATTAGGCCAAAACACAAGACAGAATGACCAAAACCACCAGATGTTTTCATAGAATGCAGACATTGCTCTAATGAATTTCATCCCTATGGAAAATCCCACCCGATTTTATAAGGTTCATAATGTGTTTCCTAAAGGAATGGAAACATTATTGGGATTGCTGTCTTAACAGGCAGCACATAACTCCACATTATGAAAACAATTTATTCAATTATTTTTTCTTCTAAATACCATACTTTGCTAATAATAGGTTCTACCATGGTTTGTCTCTCTTAATTTTAAAAGTTATATTTCCTAAAATTGAAAAGATACTAAAAATGTTTAAAGAAGTAAACAAGGGCACCCATATCATACATATTCTTACCATCTAGAGTTAACCATCAATAATATCTTAGCATATTTTTATTAGTGTTCTTCCTTGCTTTTCCTACTAGGAGTCATGTTCACTGCAAAAAAAAAAAAAAAAAAAAAAAAAAAACCTCAAAAAATTATTTAAGTACAGCAAAATATTTTTAAACACACAAAATCCTAACAAAGAAATAACTGGAATTGATATGAGGGGAAATTCATTTCAGGCATTTTTCTGTGCGTAGATATGGATGGATGGATGAATGGATGGATGGATGGATGGTAAATGATACATTTATGAATATTTAATCATTATAAACACTTTTTTAAGTCTTAAACTTAATTTTTATAGATTATAACAAAATAAATCTGAAGTAACACTAAAGATAGTGGTGAATTTCTAATATTTCTTTACCAACAAAGATATGATTTCTTTAAATTTCCTTTTTGCTTAAGAAATTATTTAAAATATTAAGAAGTGATGTCATTTTCCATCTTAAAACTCTATAATACAGGGTATAATTCTGTAGGATTCTGTAAAATATGAAGACATCAGCAGTTCACATGTCCCTACGTCATCTCTTTGTACTTTCTAATTTTAAAATGAATATTCTTATACTTATCTTCTTTAGGTTTAAACATTTGTACACCTCTGTTACAATATTACCCTTGATTGCTAAGTATTAATTTTATATTTAAATATTTGCAAAGCTTACTATTTTTTTATGAAGTCTTTCTTTTTCTGCCTTTTTTATTTTGATTCAACTACTAATTGGCTTAATGTATTGTTACAATGATTTTAGAAACACTCAGGCACCACTACTATATATATATACATGTTTCAGAAAAGTTTGTAACTGTCACAAATATACATATATATAGTAAATATAATGTATTATCTATGTGTGTGTAAATATATGTGTGTGTGTATATATATGTGTGTGTATATCTATATATTTATAAACATTTTAAAAGGAAACAAACTCCAAATACCAACACAAAGGAATGTATTAAAATTGTGCTGTCAACTAATTCAAATTCTGTAAATGCCTTTTTACTAGCTAATTTCAAAATAATTTAACTAAAGGGAATTCTATGTGGACAAAGAACTTCTAATTTTATTTTAAAATGTAGTCATATTAACAAACTATTTTTAAGAACAGCTTTGATAGCTATGCTGTATTGGTGTTGGAATTTTGTAATCTTCTACTCCTCTGAATTTATAGAACATGCAAAGTTACTATATCAGAATGATTTCTACTAATATTACAGATTTGCTTTTTAATAGATGTGCTAACTTTCATGTTTGGAGAGTAAGTAAAGCAACACTAGAGGCATGACTACTAGAATGATACTCAAAAAAACACAGATGGGTTTTTGCATTTGTCACAGTTGATTCAAGAAGTTCGTCATCTCAACAGACTGCTTTCTTCAAATCTTCAAATGCACCCCACAGTAACTTAACCCAGAACAGGTGACAGACCCTGCCCTAGCCAGAAACTATGTCCTTCAGTTGATTTAACTTATTTACAAAGGCTGATGACGGCAACCTAATACTCTTACATTAGACCCCAGGTTACCAAGTAAGAAAGGAATTAGCTGTGACTTAGCAAGATCCTCGTTTAAATTTCACAGCTCTGATTTTAAAATTACATATTCTGGTTCAAATGGTGTTACGGTTTTGACAAGCTATATGACACTCTCAGCTACTTGCCCAGCAACATGATAGTCACATTAAAGCTCAGGATGAAATAACATGTCTGACAAAATGGATAACCCGTGACAAAACAACTCATTGGGAAATGTCACATTGAGCTTATGAATCACCTATCATCAGACATGCTTAGTACCCAGGAGGCTAGTGGTATCACCAGAAGAACATTCCCAACCAGGAATAATTAGGTTTCTCTAGAAGCAGCTTTCAAAGTAAGCTTTCAGACTGTCACAATTAAAAGCAAGCTTACTATTAGACACGGTAGCCTTATAAAACAGGCCCTATCAGAGTAAAGAACCGTGTAAATATCATACAGCAGTAATGGGTTTTGGAAGTTTTCAACATGATTAAAAAACCTGAAATGTACCTATCCTTGGAAGACGATAAATCATTGAAATCCCACATTCTGATCACTTAGAATATGGGAGTGGGGAAACACAACTGCTTACGGCTTTTTGTTCATAACTGGCATTGGCTCCCAAAGGAGAGAGGGCATTGGTTTCTGACACAAATGAAGGCAAAATCCACAAATCCAGCTTCACTTCATCCGTCTTCAAGATGTCGATAAGAGAGACTGCTGCCACATGCAATCATATAATTTAAGGGTATGTGCTTAGCCACAGAGAAGCAAAGGTATGCATAAAAACTCCAAGGGCAGAGGAGTGATAAAGAACTAGATCTTTGATGTGCTATAAAGAACTTGCCACAGTGATAATTTACAAACATGTGAAGATACATATACACACAGTTTGATTTAATGTCCATTATTTCTTAATTAGGCCACTATTTAGAAATTGGTCAATCTCCTAAGTATGTTGTAAATGACAGGTAGATCTGTCATTCCATGTATGTTTTCATGCAGTTAGATTAAGAAAACAAGATCGCATTAATATAATCAAACTATGAATATTAGCTTTATAATAAAGCAATCAGTAGTAAGGAAGAATCTAGGAAATTTGCTAATGATTATCTTCAAAAATGCTCCCCTACTCTCTATAGACATGGCCAGCAAAGATATTTAGAACCAAGCAATGACAATTTAAATTAATTATTTCTAATTTTTTAAACAGACCAATAAAAGACAGTCAAGGTTAATTTAGTTAACATCTCATGAATTCAGGGCTGCAAGAAGCTAAGGTGGAATTTTATGGAGGGTTTGTTTTCTGTAAGAAATCCATTAAGGCTTCTGAAGTTTGCCTATTTCTTTTAAATGGCATCCTAAAAGCAATTTTTTTAAAGAAATCCTTTTTATTCAAATATAAGCACCTTCCAAAGAAGACTAGCTTGCTAAGAATTTACCTATTCATATCTGAAAATACTTTTCTGACAAAAATTCTTGAATTCAATTACCATAAATTTAACATCCTGATCACTTATGCTGGAGGATATTTGTTATAATGCTAACAAACAGTGTCCTGTGTACTCCTACTTATCTTTCTTGCTTTTAAGGAAGGTATTCAGCTTAAATAGCAACTCTGTTAGCTTTAGAGATAAGTAATCATTCAAGACAGGACTGACAATTGATCCTATGGTTTATAGAAAAGGCTTTTACAAGCCAAATCAGTGAATTCTTCAGTAAATGTTTTTTCCAGATTTGAACCTGTGTTGGTAAAAGACATGGAAATTTGGCAACGGCATCAATATAAACTTGGTTTAATTTACTGACCAAGATACATTAAAAAGGTTTTCACTTACCTTGCGTAGTATTTCCATTTTGGTATACTACCTCTTTCCCTCAAAATATCTCAGAAGATCACCTTTAGTAAATCAAAATTTATCCTTTTATAGTCATACAATTTTACAATACAGGTATTTAATCGACAAAGACAATAAAATCAACTAGATATGGCCATCTGGAGTTTGAGGCCACCAAATAATGAAATAACTGTTAAATGTGTTAGTCTAGTCCTCTGAGTGGCATTTTCCCCTGTGTCATCATGCTAAGTACTAAGGGATGTATCCATCCCATAATTTGAGACATCTAAGCCTGCAGGCAAAAAGTAGATAGAAAGCAAATGAAGTTTAAAATACAGAAAATTGCTTAGAAAAAGAATTGAATTAACACCTAGAAATTAGATTGCTTATTTAATTATTTCATTTAGTTTTCATTTTCCTTCAATTACTTTGCAATCTTTTGCAATAAATGAAGCCAAATCATAGAGAGAAAAAGTGTAAGCTTTCTCTTTTTTAAAAAAAAACTAATAGCCCATTGCATACAGTAGAAATGTGAAAATGTCTGGTAAACTATTAACTTTTTGTAGAACACCTGATTGAAATTTGAACAAGATCCAGTTAAATGAAAATGATAATTTAATGACTGCATTTCTTCAATTTTCAATGTAAAGAAAATGCCAAATGAAAAAAAGAATGTTTCTGAGGCAAATGTATTTTAGAAAATCAATATCAACTGAGATGAAAATGCTATTACAAATGCTACTCTAATTCAGGCTATGGAAATTAATGTATTTAAATATGTCTTCGTATTGAAAATATAAACTAGAAAGTTTTAAATATATGCAACTAGAGACAAACATATCTGATCTTGGGGAAAAGAGAAATAGTAAACAATACGGCGGAATTATCCCACAACACTGTTAAACAATTGATAAATATTAGATCTGAAGTTACTGCCAGTGGACAGTCTATTTTTATTGGTAGGCAATGAATCATTTGAGATGAGATGGAAAAAAAATTGGGGGTATCTACTGATAAAAACTGTATAATCAAAACTTTTGTTTACCCAGGACCAACACTTTGAGTTGAAAACAGAGGAAAAGGTAGACATTTGCTCTTAAGCCTACTATGTATGTGTCTCGTCTATACACACAACTGTGCATGTTAGTGTGGAGATTGGCCCAGGAATCTCATGACTGAATGTCAAGTAAACATGTACCTGATGTAGGAACTCATGGGTGGCAAGATCCTAAGTATAATACCAGCCCCAAAATGTCTTCTCTCTTCCAGGGGGACTGAAATTCCCTTACTAGTGTATTTTATTATGTTAGAGAGGGGAATTGGATATTCAATGATTCCCTATCAAATGCAAAATTCCTAGAAGAGAATTTTCCAAGCTACTACCAGTGACCAATATTATAGTTCAGTATTTGCCAATCTTTTTCCATCTCAGAATCCTGACAGACATGACATACTTCCATCAACAGTTTAACATCATTAAGGATTCTATCACTAACATTTCTGTATAGTAGAAATTCTCTGTACCATTACTATTATAAACTATACAACCAATCCCCCAGTTGAGAATCACTGCCTTAATTGAAATGAATGCATGAGGTTTCTTTCCCACGGGAAACATTCAAAATAGGCTCCTGTGTAGCATGAGACAGGTGAGTTGGAGAAAAATAGTCCAATTCATGGATATTATCAGTGAGTAATACACAAGTATGTTGAATGAATTGGACTTGCTTTTTATGTAGTTCTGGATTATTTAATATTTATATTTCTATATGCATTTCTATTTATTCTCTGCACAAAAAGGAGATTATATCTGTTTTGTATTCTATAATTTCTGTAAGGTGGCATAATAAAAATCATAGACTAGCATACTTCAGGATGGGACACAATGAATGAAATGTATTTCCCACAAAATCTTCAAACGAAGGGAAACTAATTCTGTTTATTCTACAGATAAACCATTACATTTCAGTGAAAGGCAATTGGCTAGCTTTCTTTTTTTCAAGCTATTTCTTTCGATGGAATTAACAAATTTGACATTTTAAGAGCAATAATTTATGATAACCTATCTATTGTATTAACACTCATGTTGGTGCCTCTCATATCGGGCTAAACCTAAGTTTTAATCACAAAACTTTTCATTCCTAAGCCATCAATTGCCATTAATAATATACCAGATAGATGTAAACTGAAGTACATGTAACTTATTCCAGTGGCAGTAGAAAATAGAGATGATTTAGTACCTAGTATGATTGGAGAAGAAATGACATTTAAAGAAACTATTTAGCATAGATGACATGCTGGACATACTTGTGAACAAGTATTCATTGGAACTTTATTGGAACTATTTATTTTGGCAAATGTCACACTCAAAATAAGTTACGTGGTAGCACTAAAAAATAGAAATACAGGAACTTTTTTCAATGAGGAATTTATTCATGTTTATAAAAATAAGTGGAAGAATTGAGAAACAAATTCTCCACCAGCAGTAACAAAAATAACACAAGATAAAGTCAAAAGTCTTTTTTTGTTGTTTTTTGCTGGGTTGATCTGGCTTAAATAAATTCATACTTTCTATTTTAAAGAGGGCTACCAACACAAAAATATGGGGAAAAAAACTTTTATTTTTCATACCTCTCAAAATTATTAAAGAGTTCTGAGTCATTTCCCAAATTTAGTAAAAAATAGTAAAATAATACTACATTTAATAATATATGAATCAGTCTTCAAAATGATCTTTGATGACTTTACACAGTAGAAGGAAGAAGAAATGCTAATATAAGTGATCTATTTGATACTCTTACTGACAATTTTTAACGTGGAGGGACTCATTGGTGGAAGGTCCTAAGTATAATACCAGCCCCAAAATGTCTTCTCTCTTCCAGGGGGACTGAAATTCCGTTACTAGTGTATTTTATTATGTTAGGGAGGGGAATTGGATATTCAATATTCAATTCTATTCAATTGATAGATTGATATCAATTTGCAGGAAAATCCTGTGATACAGGTGGTACAGAGTACCTCCATCAGGTCTGTCAACCTGACAGTGAACAAGGGTATCAGTGACATACATATCCAGAGCTGTCCCATAAGGTCCACACTATGGTAGCTGGGCAACTTTGCCTGCTTCTAAGAAAAGAGACAGGAGTGATAGAGTGATTACCAGGCAATCTATTCTCCAAGTAAAATTTAAGGGACTATGAAATGAAAATTATTTTCTTTTATTTACCGTTGAAAATACGTATCCCCCAGTGGAAAGCAGTCCATAGATTTAAATATTGGTACCTAACCTATGTTTTAGCCTCCCTGGCAAAAATGTGTACAAATGCAATGATAAAAAAAAAAATTAACTGAAAGTTATACTTCAAAGTTACATAATATACTGTGCCTCCCAATGAGTGCTATAATCCAAATGACAAACTAGTTGATATGATTTGGCTCTGTGTCCCCAAGCAAATCTCACCTCGAATTGTCATCCCCATAAGTCAAGGGAGCAACCTGGCAGAAGGTAATTGCATCATGGGGGCAGTTTCCCCCATACTGTTCTCCTTATAATGAGGGAGTTCTCATGAGATCTGATGGTTTTAAAAATGGCAGGTTTCCCTGCCGTCTTTTTCTCTCTCTCTCCTGCCACCATGTAAGGTGTGACCTGCTTCCCCTTCCCCTTCCACCATGATTGTAAGTTTCCTGAGGCCTCTCCGGCCATGAGAAACTGTGAGTCAATTAAACCTCTTTCCTTTATAAATTACCCAGTCTCAGGTAGTATCTTTATGGTAACACGAAAACAGACCAATACGTTAGCAATTTAAATTACTTCTATTATTTTGTCCTTGGAAGATCACTAAACATCTGTGAAGTTTCTGATTTCCCCTACTGTCTCAAAGAAGCTGATGATTATTCATTTCAAATAATCTATTAGAACGGATGCAAACTTAAAAAGCTGTAGATATCCATAGCATTGTCTAGATGACATTTCAATATCAATTTCACATTAAGGAAAAGTATGTTTAATCTAAGAAATAATGTAGCAATTCTATGTTTTTAGCTATAATTTGAATGATGTGAGGTTAGCTCCAAATATTGACATTTTTCATATTATTTTAAATTACGTAAAACGAAGGAATGTGTAATTTTGTTAGAGACTCAGAAACAATTTCATGCACTTTAGTTAATTTTTATCACAAAAGAGTATACCATAATTTAATTTTAAGTGATATGACATATTATAATAATATTAATCCCAGTGGCATGGCACAGGGGACTGAATTAACATGTTTTAAAATTGAACCAGTATATCAATTCACATTAGACCTACAAACGCACTAGAGCTTCTAATAGATTTCACTGCTGACTGTGGTATGTAAATTTTTGAACTTCACAGACACAATATTTCATAATTGTAATCATAATTTAAATCAGCCATAACAATGTGTTGAACCTCTCTGGATGAGACCCTAAAAATGATCATTAACAACTAAACTTCTATAAAAGGTAATTTATGCAGTCTATTTTCTATTGAAGTCCTATATTATAAAAAGTTAAACACAATATTTATAGGGTTTATAAAATTTCCTATTATTTTTAATTGGTACATGACAGTGAGTACTGGTTATTCACAAATATACAGAAGCATGTAGTGGGTTTTATTTCTGATATGTACATTTTCTTTTTTTTTTATTGCTTGTCTCTATTGCTTTTATATTCTGCAGCATGCTTTTCTATTATTTTGCTTAGTACATTTCAATGTAAAATCTATTATGAATCATTTCTCTCTTTCCATATACATACACATACATTCAGACCACCCACATACATATCTATATACATGATAGAAACATTTGAATGCAATATTAGAATCATTTTATGGCATTTGTCTTGCTGAGACTTTCACTACCTTCAAACATATTTAACTTTCCATGAGGTACACTGGATCAAGTAGAAAATGGGGATAATTTTAGTAATTGTTTTCATAAACATTAAAAAGTCTAAGGGTCAAATATGCTGAAGTAAAGATTCCATTTTAGGCTCAATCACTGACACAAATTTTACAAATTTGTAAAACTTCTCATTTCTTTACTCTGTCTTGCACGCAAGCAATTATCACAGTTATATAAACATCCATATAACAGTAATGAAGTGGAAGCCAATTACCAAACTGGAATGAAATTAACAAAGGTTAATAGCCCTTTTATATAAAAATGGACAAAATTATTTTGTGCTATGATTCCAACTATGCAAAATCAATACCCAGGAAAAAATAAATGAAAATAAACACCAAGTAATGGTAGTGATAACTGTATGGCTTCATAGTTATTAATACTATACATTTTGAAACGACAAGCTTTTCAGAGTAAAAACTTGTTTTAGTTTTATTTTTACAGTACACAAAGAAGTAGATAAAAAGTCAGATTTGCCTGAAGCTATTTTATTGCAATTGAAAGTATAGTGGAGTTTGGCAGATTTCCATAAGGGTGGAATGAAATTAGCTTGTCCATATATGATTATGCTTATGCTGGAACTACCATTGTGTATTAGAGTTCATCAGGGTCTCTCTGTCTCAGAACCATATCTCATTCCTTCTGAGGTTAGTGAAATTCTTCCTTAATGAATACAGGTTCCAAACTTTTTTATGGTCATTGAAAAGACCCATAGGTGTTAACGACAATATTACAATTCTGTAATCCACACCATAACAAAACTTCAAAACTCTTCATAAACTGTGGGACTGATAAGAGTTTGACAAAACTGATATTACAGGGTTGTATTAAAAGCCCAGATTTCACCACTATGCGGTATATCCATGTAACAAAACTCCATTTGTACCCCTAAATTTATATAATTTTTTAAAAATATGTTTAAAATGCTTATCACCCATCTCTACTAAAAATACAAAAATTAGCCAGGCATGGTGGTGGACTCCTGTAACCCAGCTACTCAGGAGGCTGAGGCGGGAGAATCACTTGAACCCGGGAGGTGAAGGCTGCAGTGAGCCGAGATCGCACTACTGCACTCCAGCCTGGGCGACAGAGCAAGACTCTGTCTCAAATTAAAAACAAAAAAACAAAACAAAACAAAACAAAAACAAAAAAATCTTACCAATTCTAGTCCAAATGGTACTTACAGAATATTTAAAACTATTATGTAAAATATTGCTTTCTTTATTTTATAGTAAACATATGTGTAAAGACACACACATATATATCTATGTGCATATGCATATATATATATATGGTAATATAAAATAATGACAAAGAAGCTTACTCTTATTTTGGAAAATCTGAGCTCTCTAAAAATAACAAACCACATGCTATCTGACAAACTGATAACTAAGACAAAACAAAAATCAATTAAGCAAAAAGAAATTAAAGAATGGAAAAATAATATCAATTGTTCCATTTTCTGGTGTAAATTTGAAGTAGGAGCTAGGTTCTCTATTTCAATACAGACACGGGTCTTTTTAAAAGTTCTTAATGATCTGTTATGGTTTCAGCAGGTATTGAATTATCTTTCCATTAAGACCCTGTATGTATGCAATGTGTGCACAGGTCCCAACTGTACCTTCCTGCAAACCCTTTTTTTAAAATTATGATCTTTTCTATAAAATGATGTTAATACATATGGGAAATACAGGTATTATGTACACCAAAGTATTATTAACATATATTTCAATGTTCAAGACCATTGTGTAATATATTTATCAAGTAATATTGATCTGTGTATCGCATAAAATTACTTTTGTATTTTATAGTGGAAAATTTCTCTTGAGAGGTTTTATGGTTATTCTTCCCAGAATAAATGCAGGCTCTTGACATATTATGGGGTGGATGTTTTTGTAGGATTAGGCACAAAATACATCTTCACCTATAAAAGTAACTGAACCATGGTATAAAGTAATAACCAGGATTAATTCTGACCTGATTAATTCTGAGTAATCTGAATTCCACTCCAGCCTCTGCCCATCCCCTCCAGGCTTGCCAGAGGAAACTCTGCCAGTGAACACTGAAACCTTTCATTTTGAGGACATCCTTGAGCCTCTGTATTAGCTCTGTGGCCTAATATCAGGCTTCTTATAGTATAAGACAAGTGAGTATGCTTCTACTGAAGCCACTGTAGCAGAGATTTCTGTTATTTGTACATGAAATCCTAACAAGCTGACTGCTTTTAAAACTGATTCAATATACCTCTTTGGGGTACCTCTCACCCTAGACCACTATAGCAAAACTTCTATTTTGCAGGTGCCAAAGGTGACTAGAGTTGTTGAGGATTCTCATTATTTCAATATTTTAATAACTGTCTGCTGTGGGACAACAAGAAATAAAAAAACCAGGATCACTCAGAAGTGGAGCAGCTGCAACTTCAGGACTTCCTCAGTCAGTCATAAAGGTAAACTGATAAAAACAGGGCAGAGGCTGGGCATGGTGGCTCATGCCTGTAATCTCAGTACTTTGAGAGGCTGAGGGGGCAGATCACCTGAGGTCAGGAGTTCAACACCAGCCTGGCCAACATGGCAAAACCTCATCTCTACTAAAAACACAAAAATTAGCTGGGTGTGGTGGTGGGCGCTTGTAATCCTAGCTACTCAGGAGGCTGAGGTAGGAGAATCACTTGAACCTGGGAGGCAGAGGTTGCAGCGAGCCGAGATCACTCCTGGGTGAAAACAGGGAAACTCTATCTCAAAAAAAAAAAAAAGAAAAGAAAAAAAAAAAGAAAAAAGAAAAAAAGTGCAGAGGTTAACTACACAGCAGTCATATTCTTATTGACTGCTACCATCCTGAAAGTGCCAATCATTTAAACTTTAGCAGTTTTGCGCATTTATCATCGTCTTTCACCCACTGTTATCCTCCCAAGATTAACTCAAGGATTCCTTTTTCCTGTTAGTTTAGAATGTTTTACCTAATAATTAGCGACCAACCCCCATTTTGCTGTCATGGGTGAGTGAGATGAGCATTATGAAGACTCACAACGATGTCTCCCAAAAAATAGTCTACCAAACGGTTAATACATGTAACAGGCAAATAATAATCTACATCTTTATGTCTACATTAATTGTTCTGAGTCTTTCTTACACATTTTTCTTTATAGATATACTATCTGTAGCAAACAATTCCAGTTTCTGATACAGTATGTATTCCTACTTTTTTCCTGTCAGAACCCTGATTTAGTTTGGGACATCAATGTACCCAGGTAAAATTACTCAATTTTTTAGCTTCTCATAAAGCCAGAGCAGATAAAGTGACACAGTTTTGGGTAATAACATGAAGTTGAAAGGGCCATCTCTTTCCAAATTGAAAAACAGAGCATTGCTTTTCGCTAATTTGTTCTTTCCTTCTTTCCCAGGTAGTTATCCTGAGGATATGGGACCTAGAAGTGTAGCAATCATCTACCTAAGAAGGAGTTAGCATGAGGGTAATAGTAGTCAGCGCAATACAGAGCAGAAAAAAAAAAAAGAGCCCGAAATCTTGAAGGCACTCTTGAGTGTCTATATTAGCCTGTGGCCTAATCTCAGGCTCCTTGTAGTATGAGACAAGTAAATATGCTTCTATTTATGCTCCTGTACTAAGGACTTCTGTTACTTGCACATGGATTCCTAATACACTGACTGTTTTTAGAAATGATTCAGTATACCCTTTTGGGATACTCTAGGACATAATACACGTCCAGTGCTTTGCTAAACAGTGAATTCATCCATAGGACAGGGGTAGACCAATATTCTCTGAGACATCTTTAGCCTCTAAACTATTAGCCTCTAAAATATTCTACAGTGGTTTACTTCTAGCTCTTGCAATCATGATTTGTGAACCCCAAAGAGGGACAATTTGCCTGAAAATTTTTATATGAATAGGAATCTGGGAGATACAGTCTAGATTCTAGATGTATTCAAAATTTCTGGGACATTTCAATTTTTTATGGTACAAGAAGGAAAAAAAATTGATTAAAATCAGAATCATCCCAGCAAATCTATAGTAGCACATTCTAAAATATAAACCAGAAATGACCAAAAATAAAAAATAAAAAGAGAAAGAGCTGACAGAAAGACTAGTGATCAGGTTCTTAAGAAATAAATATAGTTTTAAAGGAATTTAGGCTGGGTGAGGTGGCTCACGCCTGTAATCCCAGCACTTTGGGAGGCCAAGGTGGGTGGATCATCTGAGGTCAGGAGTTCGAGACCAGCCTGGTCAACATGGTGAAACCCCGTCTCTACTAAAAATACAAAAATTAGCTGGGCATGGTGGTGCACACCTGTAATCGCAGGTACTCAGGAGGCTGAGGCATTCTACTCATGAGAATCGCTTGAATCTGGGAGGTGGAGGCTGCAGTGAGCTGAGATTGTACCACTGCACTCCAGCCTGGGCAACACAGAGCAAGACTGTGCCTCAAAAAATACATACATACATACATACATACATACATACATACATACATAATGGAATTTAGAGTTTATGTTTTTGCTTTGTTTTGTTTGAGACTGAGTTTCTCTCCGTTGCCCAGGATGGAGTGCAGTGGTGCGATCTCGACTCACCACAACCTCCGTCTCCCAGGTTCAAGCAATTCTTCTGCCTCCGCTTCCTGAGTAGCTGGGATTACACGCGGACACCACCATGGCCGGCTGATTTTTGTGTTTTTAGTAGAGATGGGGTTTCACCATGTTGGCCAGGCTGGTCTCAAACTCTTGACCTCAGGTGATCCACCCGCCTTGGCCTTCCAAAGTGCTGGGTACAAGCGTGTGCCACCGCGCCCGGCCAGAGTTTCTTTAAACAATTTTTTTTTTTTTTTGCTGTCTAAAAAGTATAAATTTATATTTTGTTAAAAAAAAGAAAAGGCTAAAATATTTATGGTCTAAACAATATTTTTAAAAAATACGTTCTAACAAATATTTTTTATCTGTGGATTACCTATATTAGAATAACTTGGAGTTGCTGGTACAAAATGTAAGTTTAAAAGACACACTCAGATTTATTTAAAAATTTAAAAATCTGAATTTCTGGGGGTGGCACTCAGGACTCTCTTTTAAATAAATCACTCGGTTGATTCTTGTGTTCACCTTGGTGTGAGAACATCTACCATACCTGACACTGTAGAATTCTGAATCTCTTGATCTGAAGTTTAAAGTTGACATTTGGCAATGGCTTAGAATGTTCAGTATAAACCTTGTTTCTCACATTTAACACTCAGAATCCATTTCTTCCATATTTCATTTTAGTGTTCATTTTCCTAGGAAGCAGACGACTAATACATTATCTTATCTGAGATAGTCTCAGCCATGATATACTGATGGCACAATGAGACAGGGTCCTTCATAATATTTATCTTTTAATCCAAAGATATATTTTAAAAACTGGCAATTACATCCAATGTAATTCAATTGGGTTGTACACGGGCAGGAACACTGATCAAATTGTAAAATTAGAGGTATTTGGATAATGAAAGAGAATATAGTATTCTCAAGGAATTTTTCCATTTACTGAAATTTAACATCACTAGTAATGTAGAGCTTGCTTAAGATGAAGCATATTATATAGACCAAGCAAAGCTAAGAAGTTTCATTCCAAGTCTTGCAGTAAATTATGCATGTAAACACTGAAAAGATTGTAAGACTGTCCAATGGAATTGTATACATTGCCCAGAAATGTATATGTTGAAATCCTAACCTCCAATGTGCTGATATGAGGAGTTGGGGCCTTTGGGGGGTAATTAGATCATGAAAGTGGAGCTCTCGTCAGTGGGATTAGTGCTCTTATGAAAGATACCCCAGAGAGCCCTCCAGTCCTCTTTCTGCCATGTGAGAATACAATGAGCAGATGGCAGTCTGCAACCTGGAAGAGGACCCTCACCAGAATCCAACCATGCTGGTACCCTGATCTTGCACTTCCCTGATTCCAGAACTGTGAGAAATAACTTTATGTTGTTTATAAGCCACCCTGTCTATGGTACTTGGTTTCATCAGGACAAACTAGACAGATTGATTAAAAAAAGAGTAAAGCAAATGGAGAAACAAAGTTTGTGAGAGTTGTGTGTAAGGCACATAGAAACGAAAACTGGTAAATATAATAATAAATGACAAACTGAAAATCACAGGAAAAAATGAAAAAATGTTTCATCTTAGTTATATCAAAAAGAATAATCCATTTTTTTAATACCAGTGTACGGAAACAGTACCTTTGGTAAAAAACAAAAAACAAGAACTCACGGCTTGAAAATTGGTTTCTGTTATAACTGGCGGCATAGCCAACTGACTGAACTCTCCAAGAAATATCTTTATCTGTTTAATGCATCAGTTGAAAGAGCCACACTATTCATTGAGAATTATTATTAGAATGAGATATAGATCTATTCTATTCTCAGATTAGTACAACATGGCTTTTATACTAAATGTGTCATTGGAGACACTTTGTCACACAGACAATATATTGGCATTTTTGATTATATGATTTTCATCTAAATAGAGCAAGTGATATAATGAACAAAGATGAATAGGCACTCTGTGTGTTGACTTGATGTTATTAATATTTATCCCAAAGGTTGTTTTATACTAAAAGATGCTATGAAAGGACATTGGAAAGGAAACAAGTTCTAAAAGTGGTTGGAATAACTATTTGTATTGGAAAACATCACAGAATATAATTATAAGAGCAGATTAAGTAGATTAAATTTTACTGAAGAAAATTAATAGTGCATAATATTTTAAAGTGCCAGTAAGAAAACAACTCAATACTACCTTTTGTTGATGAGTGACAAAAGGTAATAATACTAGGTATAGAACATCTGATGTGAATAAAAAAAAGTTCATCTCATCATAAATATTTTCTTTGCCATTTATTTGATATTCATCAATATCAAATTTATTTGATGAATATGAATATCACATTCATAAATATCAAATAAATCATTTGATTTATGTGAATATCAAATAAATCATTCGAATCAAATATTCATTTGATAATTATGTTTACATCCCCATACTATAGATATAAAGCCTTACCTTTTGGTAAAAAAATCAATGTCTTCTTGAGAGATTTTCATGAAACCTACTATTATCACAAATCCCTCAGAAAAGCATGTCATATATGATATATTATATTACTACAAATGTGTTTCTAAATTTGACAATATATATCTAAATAGTGTTAACTAAATTATACCTCAAGTCATCACCACCCTGCTTTAGCATCAATAAGAAAGAACAAGAAGTTTCCTGATATACATATAATTTCTCTTGAATCATTTTTGATTCACATTGCACATATTAATAATCTCATCCTTCCTTTTTCTGACAGTTGGCACAAGATTTTATATCTTTAGGAAAGAAATTGCAACATAAAAAACAGAAATATGTTATTAATTCAAATTAATGTCTATCTTTCTGGATAAAAGAATGAATTGTTTTTAATTTGATAGTGAAATTATTTTGTTTTTGAAATCGCAATAAAACTTAAACCTGTAAGATTGCTGTAAGTAAATTTAGTTGTGATCTTTTCTTCTGAAACAATGCTGATATGGTTGAAAATAATTTTGTCATAATTTAGACATGGACTTTCACAGCATTGAGACCTCTACTAATGTGACAGAATTAATAAAGATTTTTATATTTAATTTTACTTGCAACTCAAAATATCAAGCTTTATAAATTGTGAGATTGACATAATAAATTCCCCTTGTTTTTATTTTTAACTATTTTCAAAACAAAAATAAAAAGAATCAATGTTTTCATGTATGTTCACTCCAAATTTAGTAATAACATTTTCAATATCCTCTATAACAATTTTAAGAAGCTAAAGACTTGATCCTTCAGCTTGTCATCTGGAATTATAAAATAGTACTGAGCTTTTTTTTTTTTTTATCCAATCCTCTTATTTTCAGAGACAAAATCTGAGACCCTAAAGGGCTACAAGACATATGTACAGCTGATGTACCTAGATAGTAGCAGCTTACATTCTGAGCAAAGGCAATGGAACCCAACCCAACCAGACTTTAGTTTGTGGCTCTTTTTTTTTTTTTAATTATTTTTATTTTATTTTAGGCAGAGTCTCCCTCTGTCACCAGGTTGGAGTGCAGTGGCACAATCTCAGCTCACTGCAACCTCCACCTCTCGGGTTCTAGTGATTCTCCTGCCTCAGCCTCCCAAGTAGCTGGAATTACAGATGCCTGCCACCATGCCTGGGTAATTTTTGTATTTTCAGTAGAAAAAGGGTTTCGCCATGTTGGCCAGGCTGGCCTCGAACTCCTGACCTCAGGTGATCCACCTGCCTCGGCTTCTCAAAGTGCTGGAATTACACACATGAGCCACAGTGCCCTGTCTAGTTTGTGGCTCTTCTAATTTTGTTTTATAGCTAATTTCTTTATTCTACTAAATATATATTTTAGGCATCAATTATTTAATACAAATTTATCAGTAACAAAAAATAAATTCATAGGTAGAAACTTTTACATATCATTGAAGAATTTAAAAGATGAACCTTTTCAAAAGTTTTTAAAAAAATACTGTATTTTAATTACCTTTATTTACTTTTACTCAGAACAGAAAGAATATGTTAAGAAAATTACAAATTTCCAGCAAGAAAAGCGAAAGCTAATTTTGGTTATTCAGCAATACCAAGTGTATATAGAAGATATAATTTAGAAGGCTAAAATAGAGCCTTTCTTTTAAAAATTACATTTAAAAATTATATTTAAAATATACTGTGTGCTTTCCAAAACAGAAATAGATCTCTTAATTTACGCACACATAGAACCTAAACTTGGGGGAAGGGTTAATATTCCCTAATAAGACCTAAGCTGTCTGTAAACACAGTAAATTATTCTTGTAAAAACTCAGCCTATCAAATGGCCAAAACCATCCCTAGCAGCAACAGAATCTTGTCACTAAAACTCAAATTACTCGCCAACACTTCCAAGGTTACTGGAGTGAAACCATCTCAACAAAAGCTGGTTTTTCATTAAGTTTGTGTTCTTGGATGCTTTGTCTATTATGCATGGACTTCCTTATGAGATACAAGAAATTATATAAAGCCTATCTGATAAAAACACACAGAATAATCAACTTCTTGTGGTTGAAAGTAAATTCTTTCAACGAGAAACTACATTTAAAAAAATCTCCAAATGTAGTAATGATAACTATTTCTTTCCTTTATTGTAATATTATAAAGTGTAGATTCAAATATATTTAATTTTACTTGAAAATATGCTTGGTTTTGAGATAGGGAAAAGAAATAATCATAGGATTCTTTAATTGTTTTTTTTAAAAAAGGGTATTAAAATACTAGTACTTCACTAATATTTCAAAAGACATTTTATTCTTTTAACAAAATGCCTCTTTTAAAGAAGTCACAGTCTATTTTTTCACTCCTTGAGGAATTGCAGAAAGCAGAGAATTAAATAAAGGTTGGTTTTATAGGCATTGAATTAGAATATTAAATCGGTATGTCTAATTCACATAGAACAATGCCTTTTGGACAAAAAGGAAACCCCAAACCACAGGACCTTATATCTGTACACAAAGTTTTCATCACATTTACTGTGCAAATATTAAATCATTTTATTTAAAAAATTAGATTATCACTAAAAAAATCTGAACTTTGCAAATTTTTCTATCCATCTATTTATCTATCAATAAATAATCTATGGACGTGAAAACATAAAAATTATAAGATGTACTTATAATTTAAAAGTTATGATTTGTTTATATGAAACTGATATTTTATCTAAGTATAAAATTCCTCTGTCAAAACATGTTTCTACCAAAACAAATATGTTAAATTCCTCACATAATTTTTTCCTTAAAAAAATCAATTCAGCTAAAACTTGTGAATAATCTACCAATTAAGTAATATCTCCTTAATAAATTCTATGTTCTTTACATGATAGAATAATAATTTTTTTCACAACTAACCAGATATAAACTTTCATTATATTCATATTCCAAAAAGTTGGCAATGTAGAGTTTACATTGGAGCTAGATACATTTAAGTTTATAATTTTAAAAACAGAACAATAGAAATTCAGAATTTTTATCTTGATCTTTAAGAAAGAAACTCATTATTAAGCCAACCAAAATCTTGTTGCATTTTCATGTATTCCTCATACATTTATACATCACTAAGAAATATAAAATGCTTCATATCTGCGAATGTTGACATTATAGAGCTAATAAACCTACAAGTTCCTCTAAACGACAGATATTGCAATAACTTAGCATCGAATAGGGTACTTTAGAAACTTGAACCTTAAAATGAATATTCTCAAAATATTTATTCTGGATATTTAAAGGCACTTTTGTAATTTGTTCAGGGGATACAATTTTATTTGAAAATATTATAAAGGAAAAAATGTCAGCGGGGAGTACTAATAACACCTCACATGGTTAAATGTGTTCACAGGAATGAATGTAAATAATTGTAGATACTCAAAAATTCTTCGGTGCCCTGATAAATATTTATCCTTGTCTTTTGTCATAAGGTCTATTACCTGCAATCTCACCACAGAGGGAGGTGGGAAGGGGCACCTCCAAGAAGGTCCGCCAGATCAAGGTAGTGGACTAGTTGTTTCTGGACGGAAAACATTTAATTAAGATCATTTCCGATTTTGTATCTCCCTCTGTGCAGATGAAAAGGCTCACTGTAGGGAAGAAAAAGGGCCCCCCATTGGCTGTAAACAGGATAGAACAAATATCCTGCAGCTCCAGACAAGGAAACTCAGGCCACCCTGCTGGCTAGTAATGGGGAGGAAGTTATCTCCTACAGACTTCAGAGATAAGTCCAAGAAAGGCATATTGGTATGAGAATCATGGGCACATTGTGAAGAAAGAGGAAACAGAGCTAAATCATTCATTATGGCTTAGTTCCACCGTTGTGTCATGATGCAGACAGATTCCTGAACACACAATGGTTGGGACTTTACATATCAAAAATCATGGCTGTTATCTTTCTAAAGCGTGTGTGGAGTGACAGGGGCACGAATCCTTCTGATAGCTTAGCAGCAGAGTCATATATCCATAAACTTCTTTTGTGCACCCAGTGATGAATATTATGTTATTACATCACATTTATGAAAAGAATGATGTTTTTCCATTGAATCACAAACATTAAATTATCACAATAAATTAAATTGTCACAATAAATCACTTTATTATATGGAGTCCTTTAATGAAGAAAATATAATGGATTCTACATGTTCCCAAACCATCAAACATTTGAGAGAAATAGTTTGGCAGCCCAATTTATAGTTTTGAGCCACACCGTTTTACAAAATTAGAATGATGTTTTTATGGAAAACCTGACTCATCCTTCATTTGACAGCATCTTTGGAAAGTTATAGAAAATGAGTTTGAAAATCCTGACACATTATAAGTCTGTCCAACAATGTTTGCTTCCAAGAAGCTCTTATATTTCATCTCTGCATTTTTAAGTCCATGCTCAAAGCGTTGTATTAAAAAATATAATTATAAGTAATGCTTGATTCATTAAGTCTTCTGACTTCTTCCTATTTAAAATAAGTAAATAAATAGATGCCACCATTTTGGTGTAGCAAAATTGCATTAGTAAACCTCCCCATTGAGCTGGTCTGGTGGCACCTGCCTAGAATCCTAGCTACTTGGGAGGCTGAGGCAGGAGGATCATTTGAACCCAGCAGTTCAAGTCCAGCCTGGGCAACATAGTGAGACTCTGTCTCAGGAAACAAATAAACAACAACAACAATAAATTCTCCCTTTTGGCTGAGCTTTGCATTTGGAAAACTTCCCTTCTGTCCCTTCAGAAACTGTTCATTAGCAGATTGTTCTTGTTTTTGTTTTTTCTTTATATTGTCGGTGGAAACATTGGAATTTCAGATAAAATCAAATCCTATTGAGAAACAACATCATTCCCAGTGATATAAATATGGTGTCCAGTGGCAATGATTTGCTTCGTTTTTCAACTTAACAGAATATTTTTTAGCGAAAATGTAAAGGTGGACTGAAGGTAGGAATAATTTTTAACACTAAAAAATATTATTTAAAGGAAAGTATAAAAGACAAACCGATGGTAATAGTTATAAATTTACACACTTAAACCTAAGAATCTATGCTTATCATAAACTGGCTCTTTGTTTGATTATAAAATAAAGTAGCAATTATATAAAAGGATCATAGAATGTAAAGTAGCAGAACACAGTACAGGTTTCATATCAATGAAATATATGGAGACATAATTATGCTGTAAAGACATAATAAACCTGATCCCTCTACTCACTAGCTGTGGGTGTATAGTGACGCTGTCCAGGCATTCTGATTCTCAACTTCCTATCTGAGAAGGTGCAATGATAAGATTCTACCTTCCTTACAATACAGGCTTATGTTGAGAAGAAAAAGATACGCTGTCATCCGGTATCTCATCCATCAGAAGACGTTTGTGGGTCTCTCTAGGACTCGTTTACAAACACTCCAATTCTCCTCTCCTCCCAGGCACATAGTAGGAATGTACTTTCTCACCCCTTTTGAATGAGAAGTACCCATGTGACATGTGTTAACAGTGAACTGCTGTTCATCAGTGTCCCTTTCCCTGTCACATGAGTCAATACGGTGCCTCCCTGAGTCTGGGCTCCAAGTAACTATAACATGCTGAGTACCCCTTGCTCTATAAATGAAAAGTAAACCTGCTGGGGGTGGTGACTCACGCCTGTAAATCTAGCACCTTGGGAGGCCGAGGTGGACAGATCACTCGAGGTCAGGAATTCGAAACCAGCCTGGCCAACATGGTGAAACCCTGCCTCTACTAAAAATATAAAAATTGGCTGGGCATGGTGGTAGGCGCCTATAATACCAGCTACTCAGGAGGCTGAGGCACGAGAATCACTTGAACCTGGGAGGCACAGGCTGCAGTGGGCCAAGATCATGCCACTGCACTCCAGCCTGGGCAACAGAGCAAGACTGTCAGAAAAAAAAAAAAAAAAGAAAGAAAAAGAAAGAAAGAAAGAAAGGAAAAGTAAACCCTTGTTGAGATAAATCAGTGAAATATGGGGATGGTTTATTACTACAGCATAGTCTATAGTATTCTGACTCACAAAATATATACATTCCAAAAGGTTAACATTATAAAGGTTATACCCAAAGAACAAAAAATAAATATAAAATGTTTCTTGCCACAGTTTCTCTTCTAGATACAAAGTATGAGATTGTCAACTCAATTATACCCCATTTTTGAGACCCACAATTCTAACTACCAATGTCTACACTCTAATTTTTTTCTGCTACCCACTCATGTTCATAACAGAAAAATTAAATTGAATCATAAATTAAATGTGCAAATATTTTTACAAAGACAAAAATGCAAACACTACTAAACCTTAACTGTCTGGAACCAAACTTCAATAAAACTGAAATTTTCAATTATAAACTGATGTTTAAAGAAATGAATTTTATATTAAAAAAAACTGGGAATGTCTCCATCAAAGTCCATGTTCAAAACAAATAAATATGACTCAAATGACCGTATACTATGTAAATGAAAGTGATTTGCAAACTACTATATCATATAAAATGGAAATTTCAAGAAAAATAGTAGCCATTAATAAGATGACAACTGTGATTTAAATTCCATACTTCAAACTGACCAATCTTTGTGAACTTTTTTCAGTCCTTATTCAAAATGCACCAAAAGTACCACACAGATGTGTTTTTATGATGTGTCTTAGTAAAGATGTATGCCTATAAGGCTGTGGCATGTCTATATTTGCAAAAAGCTATTTGGGAGTACTTCTTTTACTGGACTTCCTCTGGCATAATTTATACATCTCAAGGCTTTTCAATGTATGTATTCAAGGCTTTATTGTAATTTTTTTTTTCTTGAGACAGAATCTCACTCTGTTGCCCAGGCTGGAGTGCAGTGGCATGATTATGGCTCACTGTAGCCTAGACATCCCAGGCTCAAGTGATCCTCCCACCTCAGCCTCTCAAGTATCTGGGACTACAGGAGCGCACCACCACGGTTGGCTAATTATATTGTATTTTTTGTAGAGATGGGGTTTTGCCATGTTGCCCAAGTTACATTACTTGTAATTAAAGAAAAAACATATTCAATTAAAATATGAGGACAGGCCAGGTATGGTGGCTCACACCTGTAACCCCAGCACTTTGGGAGGCTAAGGCAGGAGGATTGCTTGAGGACAGGAGTTCAAGACCAGCCTGGGAAATATAGCAAGACCCTGTCTATACAAAAAATAAAAATTAGCCAGATGTGATATCATATCACACCTATAATCCCAGCTACTTGGGAAGCTGAGGCAGGAGGATGGCTTGGGACCAGAAGGTTGAGGCTGGAGTGAGCCATGGTCTGACTACTGCACTCCAGCCTGGGTGACAGAGTGAGAACCTGTGTCTAAAAAAAAATGTATGTATATATATATACACACACACACACACACACACACACACACACACATATATATATATAGATATAGATATATATTCTCATATATATGTGTATATATATATATAGACACACACATATATATACACATTATATATATAAAAACATGAGAACAATTATTTTTGAGAACTTATATGCAAAGTACTCACTAGAAGCTCTCAATGCTGAATTCACATTAGGATCTCATGGGAAGTTTCTAATAAATATCAGAGCCTGAGCCTCACTTAAGACCAATTACATTAGAATATCTGCAAATGGGACCTGAGTATTTGAACCCTCCCACTTTTCCCCTTCCCACCCCCAAGTAGGGGGATTAGTGGGTCATATGATAAGTGTATGTTTTCCTTTTTTTTTTTTAAGACTGCACATATTTAAAGTGTATAATTTGAGAAGTTGTGGATACATGTAAAGCTATCAGTAAAATCAAGATTTATCACCCATACATGATTATTTGTTAATCTTCTGCAGTGTTTCTAACATGCAGCCAAAGTTGAGAAACAGGGGGCTACAGGGAGATAAAGAGGTAAGTCGTGATTCCTCTCTCTAGTCACATAACATCATTTGTGTGAGAGCAGCAATTAGATAATTCTAACTAAAATACAAGGGAAACTAAAAAAGTCTAAATACAGAAACAAGCATTATGTCTTGAGATACTCAGGAAAAAAGTAATAGGATGAGAAAAAAATCTTCCCACTTAGAGTTAGCTGTGGCCAATTACATATAACTTGATGAATGACATATTTCTATTTATATATAAAAATCATTTATATTTTACAACATTGTTATATGACAAAACACTTATCATATTCAACATTTGAATAACTGTCACTTTGAAATAAAAATTTAAAATATTTTTTGAAAACATTCTTTTAATAAAAATAGCGATCTTTCCTTTGCATTGTATAAATACAATAGTATTTCAAAACAATATTTAAAATATATCACAGTGAATATAGATCAATGTTAATTTTGCTGTTAAATATAATTACCTCTCTATAGAGAAATACTTATTAGAGGGTATTTCAGAATTTTGTTTATTTAAATATTCCAGAAAGCCTACATCAAGCAAAATTTTATCTTACTTTTAATATTCAGATAGTTATTTTAACTCTTCCTGTATGTAATTTGATTAGACCCGACTCTCTCGTTATAATTAAAGTTATTATGAATGACTTTGTCATGTTTATTTGTATATATTTATCACTATAGTTGTGTCCTGTCAGTCACTGACTAGTCCACGAACTTGATAATTCATTCAATCTCTCTGGCACTTTATACAATGTGGACATTGGGTTAGATGCACTCAAAAAAACAAAAAAAAACACTACCCAATATATCAATAGGCTTTATAACTATATATTCAGAAACTTGCCCTTGTACAATAGGAACCATCTTAACATTTAGAAAAGGGATATTTTAAGCTACTAGTTTCATACAGTGTTTCTCAAACTTAAACAGTACGACCCCTCTTTGGAAGAAAAGTGTTCACAGATCTTCAGTGTGGGCCTAAATTATTTTTCATAAGTTTAAATGCAAAACGGCATTTGAATTTCTAAGGCTTATAATGTTCTAAAACTATAAAATCTAGAGAAATGCAGACAATATAAACAAAGCTATGAAACAAAATTTATAGCTCTCCCCACTCAATTGAACAGAAAGTTGAATATTTTATTTTTCAAGACTTGGGAGAAGAATGTCTGGCTACTAAGTCAATTGAGAATAATGTTTACTTCATCAATGTTTGAAAAACCAGTGCAACCATTGTATATTTAATCTAGTTTCCTTAATTACTGGAATGGTCAAACAATCTATTCTTTAGTTCAAAAGATTTGTCACTGACAATGTTTGTGGAATACTACATATCACATTATTAAGAGTAAATAAATATACCTTGACATTTAGAAAGAAGTAACGAAGAACAAACAGTTAAAATTTTAAAAAGGCAATTGTAAAGACTTAAAATTTGATTCAAAACTTTCAACTATACAAAAATATAACAAGGAAAATCTATCCTGGCTGCTTTTCATATGATAAAGACTAGGAGAAAGACTACAATCTCTATTTGAGCCAAGTTGTATGAAGCAGCTACTAAATTAATTCACTCTCTCTCCATTTGAAGTCTTCCATGAAGCACTCATGACTCTATTTCTAACCTTAATTTTAGAGGTTACAAATCAAATATCCAATTACATGCTTTTAAAAAAAACCCTGAAAATTGCATCCTCATAAATACTTCCATATAGATACCTCAGGCAAAATCATAATTATACACCCTTGGAGGTAAATTACATGTATGCAATCAGTTTGGAATCAAGTCAGAATAATCTACTTCTATCAATAATAGTTACAGTTCATCATGTCTCTTAAATTCCTACTCAGGACTCAAACCATTGTTTACCTCAGTTGCCGCAGATTCGGGAGCAGTAAATCTCATAGTATTAAACAGCTGCAACTATCATTCTGAACAAGTCCCTGATACTTCAGGTCTCAACATTCAGGAAACATAGCTTAGACTAGGTCATTTCTAAGTTGTATTTATGAATTCCATTTCCATGGTATTCTAATATAAAACTTCAAGAGTTCCAATAAGTTATCAACTAAACAACTAAACTGTCTTCTCAGTCTGACCCACTCAGGTGATTGATCATATGCTCCTGCTTAATCTAGCCCTTTGCCTTTTCAAAATAATGACCAGCAAACATTGGTTGAATACCCACTATGTGTGAGAACATGGTCTAAGTATGAAGAAGCCATGATGCACATTAATTAGATGTGATGAAATTCAGGGGAATGAGGATGATGGAGATGGAGAAAGGGAATAAATTGAGAAGAGATAAACTTGGTACTGGGTTGTGAAGAAAACTGAATGCATCCTGAGGATTTTGGTTTTTTCCTCTAAGCAAACGAAAATCATAAAAACTTTTCAATGGGTGACTGTCATGATAATATGCAAATTCTGGTAGGAGTGTAGCTGACGGACAAAAGAGGTAGGGATATAAAAATAATTAGTGGTTTATAAAAAATCAAAAAGCATATGTTGTGGTCCTAAAACTGAGGTAATAAATACAGAGGTAAAGAGAAGTTTGGGATACATGTAAAGATGTGATCAATAGGACTTTTATGAAGTTTGGTTAAGGATAGGACAGAGTAAAGATACAGCATAAAATATTAATTAAATAAAGATTATATATTGACAGCCTATTAAGTTTCTAGCACAGATTAATATCAGCCATCAACCAGGAGAGGAAATAGTAGGAGAGGTAGGTTAGGGATAAAGACTGAGCTCATTAAAGTTTTGGTTGTCTTCAGGTCATCGAATCAAAAATATATTAATGTCAGTTGGAGATGCTGAACTTTGGAGAATTCAAGCAAAAGATTAAGAGCTCTTTCGTATGGAGGTTAAAGGTTCTATCTCTTGTAGGGAGGCAGCTTTTTCTACCTCTTAGCATGGTGCCTAGCAGATAGTTGGTTTTCAAAAATGTTTGATGGCTGGCTGGATGAATGCCATATCTCTAATTCTGGTAGAAATTTGTCTTGGCTTTTACAAGCTATATCAAAGTTTCTAAAAATAAAAGTGGGGGATAAAATTCATGAGACAAGAAAGTCATTATATTTTACATTTAAGAAGTTGATGTCACAGAAGGTCACAAAAGGACTGAGAAGGAAAGCTGATGGAGGAAATGGACTGGATGAAGGAAAAGTAGAAGATGGCGGGAATTGGCTTGGGAAAGATTAAGAACACTAAACCCTTCCTTCAAAGACTGGAAGATATTTCTAAGGTCAGATTCCTAAAAGTAGAAATGCTGAAATAAACAGATCCTTAAATCTTATATTTGGCCTTAGTTGTACGCCACTGTAGTTGATCTTTCATACCCCCAAAGATTCATCTTCCTATATAGGGTCTACTCATATAACTCACCAGCTTATATTCAATAGTTTTATGCCTACTGTATAAATCCAAATGGATCACTTGGGCATTTTAAGAATTTGCACAAACTAGCCTCATCTCTGTCCAGCAAATAGAATATAAGAACATGAAATTTGAATATTATGATGAATTGTGCTGAACTGATAGAACTATATCCAAATAAGTCTATGACAAGGATTACATACTGTTTTCAAATATTTCCAAAACATTTAAAAAATCAATCATATTCAAACCCTGGTGTATACAACCTGATACACTTAGAAATATTTTCATAGAAATAAATCTCAGAATTTAAAAAATGGCATTAGAAATAGACTAGGTTTTGGACAGCCATGATGGCTCATGTCTGTAATCTCAGCACTTTGATCCACCAACCTGAGCAGATCACATGAGGTCAGGAGTTTGAGACTAGCCTGGCCAACATGGCAAGACCCCATCTCTACTAAAAATACAAAAATTAGCCAGGCATGGTGGTACACATCTGCAGTCTCAGCTACCAAGGAAGCTGAGGCACCATGAGAATTGCTTGAACCTGGGAGGCGAAGGTTGTAGTGAGCTGAGATTGCGCCACTGCACTCCAATCTGGGCGACAGAGCAAGACCTCGTCTCAAAAAAAATAATAAATAAATAAATATATATATATGTGTGTGTGTGTGTGTGTATATACATACATACATATATATATATATATATACACACACACTAGGTATTAAGCAGAATTAATAAATCAGGAAGATAAATATATCAAACAAGTACATAATTCCACTTTTGGCTTTTTGAGAGAAGCTATAAAACAGGGAAACTTCTGACACAAATATCAGTGAAAAATGAAGAAAAACACATAAAAATTAGAAATGATGAGGAGTCTATCAAACCTATTCAACAATAACTTTGCAAACCAAAAGACTATAGTTTATAAATATGTGGCAGTAAAATGAAAAACTTAACAAAATGAGCAATACTTTTTAAATGTCAGACTAGAAATTAACTCAATGAAGGTAGAATTCCTACAAAATTCAAAGAACAATTAATAAAACATTTTTTCTAAATTTCACCTCCAAAATAGATTCTGTGGTCTGAATATTCTACCAGTAAGGTTTTTATTTTATTTGTAATTTTTACATATATGTAACTCCACAGAAAATATTGTGAAGTTCAATGTGGATATAACGTCCTTAATAGTACCACATAGATATCAAGCAATAAAAAATAGTATATATCATTCTTACTTTGGAATATTCTTTAGAATTCTCAAGTAAACAAAAAGGAATTGAGCTAAGGTATGTAATAAAAGTAAGCTTCCAGCTATGCAAGAGTAACATAATATTAGCAAATCTGCTGACCTAGAGAGGAGAACCAAGTCATCTTCTCAACAGATTTTAAAACATTAATTTATATTTAATTGAGATTTATAGAATATCAACAGGAACTTCTGATCATCAAATATAGTTAATTAAGAATATAATTACTTCTTAAGAAAAAGAATAAAACTTATACAAATAGTCAACACAGTACTCAAATTATAATCATGAAAGTAATTCCTAATAAAATCAGAAAGAACAAAGAATTATTCAGTTATTTCATGTTGCACCGAAAGACATAGCCAAGGCAATAAGTAGTGAACTCAAAATAGAAAAAAGTATGATGCTAAAAAGGAAAAAAATAAAAGTATCTAAAATTGTTATTGTTTTTAGAAAATATGATATTCTATCTGGAACCACAAAATAACTAACTGAAGAATAATTGCCATTAATAAAGAGCTAAATGAGATATAAGTATACAAAATAGGCACATCTTAAGAATTCTAAAAAATAATTCAAATACAATAGGTAATTTTGTAATATCTAACACTTATGAGCTAGGCACTGTTCTATACACCTAACTTGTATTAACATATTTCATCCTCAAGACAACCCCTTCAGCTAGGTATGTATTATTAGCTCCATTTTGCAGATGAGAAAGGACAGCCCAGAGAGTGTAAAGGATTTGCCAAAGTTCACACAGAGAACAGGTGGTGGAGCAGGCATTTATACCCAAGCTGCAGAGGAAGTGGGGACAGAGAAGGTGAACCTGCATTTTACATCATCATCACACTCATTTCTTGAATTTTTACAGTAGGTTGTGTGTTCATATACTGAAACCATTCACCAATTTATACAAAAGGTTAACAGGTTACATTAGGTGGTGAGAATATGCTTTTTAATTGTATTTATGTGTATCTAATTTATCTATCCATTATGAACATAGTATCATTTGTAATAAGAAAAATACAATAAATGCAATTTTGAAGCACATTGCTTGGGTCATGAGCTCAGATGGAGAACTATCTGTATTTTAGACAACTCTCTTATATTAAAAAGTATTAAAAGACTTTGCACCATCTGACTGACAGTGTGATTGTCAAAAACTTAAGCATAAAGTTTTCAGGGAGATAGTTCCTGCCACATAATTATAAAGAAGAAGAATGACTTCATGTATCCTACCTCAAAACTTGAGAAAACAAACTCTTAATGAAGAAGATCCCCAAAGTGAAGATAGACCAGCTTATCAAAGTTTCAAATGTATGAGGGTACTGAATTGGATATCATTTCAAAACATAGTTAATTATGTATCTATGGAAGGCTATAGGTTGTATTTTTATAATTTCGCTATAAGAAAATAAATGATACATAATTATCTGAAAAGATAGTTTTATGTGTATATTTTGATATACAATTCTTCTTATATATTGTTTACAAAATGTTTGCCAGTCACCTATTTTCAGAAATTTTACCTTTTACCAGATTTTAGAGTAAAGTGATTAAATAGTTCCCAGGCTTACATGGCATATATTTGCATCTCAGGATTATAATTTTTAAATAAAATAAAAAGAAATTCTTTAGTGATTCTAGTTTTTCTTATAAAAAAATTAAAACATGAGTGAAGAAGAGTAAATCAAGTTTCTCATTTCAATACTCAGAAAGTTATATTAATTATGGATAAACAAATATGATTACATAATAAGATGTTCTGCTTACCATTTGGATAGAATGCTTGCAATTTATTTGGATAATTATCCCAGTAAAATTCCTGAAGATCTGAAAAATAAGAATGATTGAGGAAGATTAATTAAACCTATCTTGTATATCATTTTATAATACATTAATTCCATGTGATCTTTGACTCATATTCATTCCAGACTCCTACATTCAGGCTCATAATTTTCATTTAATCTGAATATTAAGTAAACTTAGGAAACAGCTCACGTCTTTTATTTATTCACACACTCTTCTTATTGCCAGGAGCTACCTTTCCAGCCTGACTGCACTGAACCTCAACTCTGACCTTCACGAATCACACTGTGCAGTTAAAAGAAATAATTCACTCTAAACTCTGACTTGATACTCCCCTTAAACAAAATAGAGAGACTGTACCATTATGCTCATAATTTTTTTTATTATATTTTAAGTTCTGGGATACATGTGCAGAACGTGCAGGTTTATTACACAGGTGTACATGTGCCATAGTGGTTTGTGAAACCTATGTACATTTATTTCTCCTAATGCTATCCCTCCCCTAGCCCCCCCACGCCCCAACAGGCCCCGGTGTGTGATGTCCCCTTCCCTGTGTCCATGTGTTCTCATTGTTCCACTCCCACTTACGAGTGAGAACATGTGGTGTTTGGTTTTCTATTCCTGTGTTAGTCTGCTGAGAATGATGGTTTCTAGATTCATCCATGTCCCTGCAAAGGACATGAACTCATCCTTTTTTATGGCTGCATAGTATTCCATGGTGTATATGCGCCACATTTACTTTATCCAGTCTATCATTGATGGGCATTTGGGTTGGTTCCATGACTTTGCTATTGTGAACAGTGCTGCAATAAACATACTTGTGGATGTGTCTTTATAGTAGAATGTTTTATAATCCTTCAGGAATATACCCAGTAATGGGATTGCTGGGTGAAATGGTATTTCTGGTTCTAGATCCTTCAGGAATCGCCACACTGTCTTCCACAATGGTTGACCTAATTTACACTCTCACCAACAGTGTAAAAGCATTCCTATTTCTCCACATCCTTTCCAGCATCTGCTGTTTCCTGACATTTCAATGATCACCATTCTAACTGGCATGAGATGGTATCTCATTGTGGTTTTAATTTGCATTTCTCTAATGACCAGTGATGATGAGGTTTTTTCCATATGTTTGTTGGCTGCATAAATGTCTTCTTTTGAGAAGTGTCTGTTCATATTCTTCACCCACTTTTTAATGGGGTTGTTTTTTTTTCTTGCAAATTTGTTTAAATTCTTTGTAGATTCTGGATATTAGCCCTCTGTCAGATGGATAGATTGCAAAAATTTTCTCCCATTTTGTACGTTGCCTGTTCACTCTGAAGATAGTTTCTTTTGCTGTGCAGAAGCTCTTTAGTTTAATGAGATCCCAATTGTCAATTTAGGCTTTTATTGCTATTACATTTGGTGTTTTAGTCATGAAGTCTTTACCCATGCCTATGTCCTGAATGGTATTGCCTAGGTTTTCTTCTAAGGTTTTTATGGTTTTAGGTCTTATGTTTAAGTCCTTAATCCATCTTGAGTTAATTTTTGTACAAGGTGTAAGGAAGGGGTCCAGTTTCAGTTTTCTGCATAGGGCTAGCTGGTTTTCCCAACACCATTTATTAAATAGGGAATCCTTTCCCCACTGCTCGTTTTTGTCAGGTTTGTCAAAGATCAGATGGTTGTAGATGGGTGGCATTATTTCTGAGGCCTCTGTCCTGTTCCATTGGTCTATTTGGTACCAGTACCATGCTGTTTTGGTTATTGTAGCCTTGTAGTATATTTTGAAGCCAGGTAGGGTGATGCCTCCAGCTTTGTTCTTTTTGCTTAGGATTGGCTGGGCTATGCAGGCTCCTTTTGGGTTCCATATGAAATTTAAAGTAGTTTTTTTTCTAATTCTGCGAAGAAAGTCAATGGTAGCTTGATAGGAATAGCATCGAATCTATAAATTACTTTGGGCTGTATGGCCATTTCCATGATATTGGGTCTTCCTATCCATGAGCATGGAATGTTTTTCCATTTGTTTGTGTCCTCTCTTACTTCCTTGAACAGTGGTTTGTAGTTCTCCTTGAAGAGGTCCTTCACATCCCTTGTAAGTTGGACTCCTAGGTATTTTATTCCTTTTGTAGCAATTGTGAATGGGAGTTCATGCATAATTTGGCTCTGTGTTTGTCTATTATTGGTGTATAGGAATGCTTGTAATTTTTGCACATGGATTTTGTATCCTGACACTTTGCTGAAGTTGTTTATTTGCTTAAGGAGACTTTGTACTGAGACGATGAGTTATTCTAAATATACAATCATGTCATCTGCAAACAGGGACAATTTGACTTCCTCTCTTCCTATTTGAATATCCTTCATTTCTTTCTCTGGCCTGATTGCTCTGCCCAGAACTTCCAATATTATTTTGAGCACGAGGGCATCCTTGTCTTGTGCCAGTTTTCAAAGGGAATGCTTCCAGCTTTGACCCATTCAGTATATTAGCTGTGGGTTTGTCACAAATAGCTCTTATTTTTTTGAGATATGTTCCATCACTACCTAGTTTATTGAGAGTTTTTAGCATGAAGGGGTGTTGAATTTTATCAAAGGCCTTTTCTGCATCTGTTGACATAATCATGTGTTTTTCATCATTGATTTGCATATGTTGAACCAGCCTTGTATGCCAAGGATGAAGCCAACTTGATTGTGGTGGATGAGCTTTTTGATGTGCTGCTGGATTCGGTTTGGCAGTATTTTATTAAGGATTTTTGCATCGATGTTCATCAGGGATATTGGCCTGAAATTTTCTTTTCTTTTTGTTGTGTCTCTGCCAGGTTTTGTTATCAGGATGATGCTGACCTCATAAAATGAGTTAGGGAAGAGTCCCTCTTTTTCTATTGTTTGAAATAGTTTCAGAAGGGATGGAACCAGCTCCTCTTTGTACCTCTGGTAGAATTTGGCTGTGAATCCTTCTGGTCCTGGGCTCTTTTGGTTGGTAGGGTATTAATTACTGCCTCACTTTCAGAGCTTGTTATTGGTCTATTCAGTGATTTGACTTCTTCCTGGTTTAGTCTTGAGAGGGTGTATGTGTCCAGGAATTTATCCATTTTTTCTAGATTTTCTAGTTTATTTACGTAAAGGTGTTTATAGTATTCTCTGATGGTAGTTTGTATTCCTGTGGGGTCAATGATGATATCTCCTTTATCATTTTTTATTGTGTCTATCTGATTCTTCTCTCTTTTCTTCTTTATTACTCTGGCTAGGGGTCTACTATTTTATTAATCTTTTCAAAACACCAGCTCGTGTGTTTATTGATTTTTTAAGGCTTTTTCGTGTCTCTATCTTCTTCAGTTCTGCTCTGATCTTAGTTATTTCTTGTCTTCTTCTAGCTTTTGAATTTGTTTGCTCTTGCTTCTCTAGTTCTTTTAATTGTGATGTTAGGGTGTTGATTTTAGATCTTTCCTGCTTTCCCCTGTGGGCATTTAGTGCTATAAATTTCCCTGTAAACACTGCTTTAGCTGTGTCCCAGAGATTCTGGTACATTGTGTCTTTGTTCTCATTGGTTTCAAAAAGCTTATGTATTTCTGCCTTAATTTCATTATTTACACAGTAGTCATTGAGAAGGTTGCTCAGTTTCCATGTAGTTGTGCAGTTTTGAGTGAGTTTCTTAATCCTGAGTTCTAATTTGATTGTGTTGTGGACTGAGAGACTGTTTGTTTTGATTTTCATTCTTTTGCATTTGCTGAGGAGTGTTTTACTTCCAATTATGTGGTCAATTTTAGAATAAGTGCAATGTGCTGAGAAAATGTATATTCTACTGATTTGGAGTAGAGACTTCTGTAAATGTCTATTAGGTTTGCTTGGTCCAGAGCTGAGTTCAAGGCTTGAATGTCCTTGTTAATTTTCTGTCTCGTTGATCTGTCTAATATTGACAGTGGGTGTTAAAGTCTCCCACTATTATTGTGTTGGAGTAAAAGTCTCCTTGTGGGTCTCTAAAAACTTCCTTTATGAATCTGGGTGCTCCTGTATTGGGTGCTTATATATTTAGGATAGTTAGCTTGTCTTGTTGCATTGATCCCTTTACCATTATGTAATGTCCTTCTTTGTCTTTTTTTGTCTTTGTTGGTTTAAAGTCTGTTTTATCAGAGACTAGGATTGCAACCCTTTTTTTTTTTTTTTTTTTTTGCTTTCCATTTGTTTGGTAAATATTCCTCCATCCATTTATTTTGAGCCCCTGTGTGTCTTTGCACGTGAGATGTGTCTCCTCAATACAGCACACCAATGGGTCTTTACTTTTTATCCAATTTGCCAGTCTGTGTCTTTTAATTGGGGCATTTAGCCCATTTACATTTAAGGTTAATATTGTTATGTGTGATTTTGATCCTGTCATTATGATGCTGGCTGGTTTTTATGCCCATTAGTTGATGCAGTTTCTTCATAGTATCAATTGTCTTTACAATTTGGTATGTTTTTGCAGTTGCTGGTACCAGTTTTTCCTTTCCATATTTAGTGCTTCCTTCAGGAGCTCTTCCAAGGCAGGCCTGGTGATGACAAAATCTCTCAGCATTTGCTTGTCTTTAAAGAATTTTATTTCTCCTTCGCTTATGAAGCTTCGTTTGGCTGGATATGAAACTCTGGGTTGAAAATTCCTTTCTTTAAGAAGGTCAGATATCGGCACCCACTCTCTTCTGGCTTGTAGGGTTTCTGCAGAGAGACCCGCTGTTAGTCTGACGTGCTTCCCTTTGTGGGTAACTTGACCTTTTTCTCTGGCTGCCCTTAACATTTTCTCCTTCATTTCAACCTTTGTGAATCGGATGATTATGTGTCTTGGGGTTGCTCTTTTCGAGGAGTATCTTAGTGGTGTTTTCTGTATTTCCTCAGTTTGAATGTTGGCCTGTCTTGCTAGGTGGGGAAAGTTCTCCTGGATAATATACTGAAGAGTTTTTTCCAACTTGGTTCCATTCTCCCTGTCACTTTCAGGTACGTCAATCAAACGTAGGTTTGGTCTTTTCACATAGTTCCATATTTCTTGGAGGCTTTGTTCATTCCTTTTCATTCTTTTTACTCTAATCTTGTCTTCCTGCTTTATTTCATTAAGTCGATCTTCAATCTCTGATATTCTTTTTTCCACTCAGTCGATTCAGCTATTGATACTTGTGTATGCTTCACGAAGTTCTTGTGCTGTTTTTCAGCTCCATGAGGTCACTTATGTTCTTCTCTAAACTGGTTATTCTAGTTAGCAATTCATTTAACCTTTTTTCAAGGTTCTTAGCTTCCTTGCGTTGGGTTAGAACATGCTCCTTTATTTCGGAGCAGTTTGTTATCAGCCACCTTCTGAAGCCTACCTCTGTCAATTCATCAAACTCATCCAGTTTTGTGCAGTTTTGTTCCCTTGCTGATGAGAAGTTATGATCCTTTGGAGGAGAAGAGGCGTTCTGGTTTTTAGCATTTTCAGCCTTTTCGTGCTGGATTTTCCTCACCTTCGTGGATTTATCTACCTTTGGTCTTTGATGTTGGTGATCTTTAAATGGTGTTTGGGTGTGGACGTCCTTTTTGTTGATTTTGATGCTATTCCTTTCTGTATGTTAGTTTTCCTTCCAACAGTCAGGCCCCTCTGCTGTAGGTCTGCTGGAGTTTGCTAGAGGTCCACCCCAGACCCTATTTGCCTTGGTATCACCAGTGGAGGCTGCAGAACAGCAAAGATTACTGTCTGCTCCTTCCTCTGGAAGTTTCGTCCCAGAGGGTCACCTGCCAGATGCCAGCTGGAGCTCTCCTGTATGAGGTATCTGTCGACCCCTGGTGGGAGGTGTCTCCCAGTCAAGAGGCATGGAGATCAGGGACCCACTTGAGGAGGAAGTCTGTCCCTTAGCAGAGCTTGAGTGCTGTGTTAAGAGATCCTCTCCTCTCTTCAGAGCTGGCAGGAAGGAACGTTTAAGTCTTTTGAAGCTGCGCCCACAGCCGCCCCTTCCCCCAGGTGCTCTGTCCCAGGGAGATGGGAATTTTATCTATAAGCCCCTGACTGTGGCTGCTGCCTTTCTTTCAAAGATGCCCTGCCCAGAGAGGAAGAATGTAGAGAGGCAGTCTGGCTACAGTGGCTTTACCCAGCTGCAGTAGGTTCCGCCCAGTTCAAGCTTCCCTGTGGCTTTGTTTACACTGTGAGGAGAAAACTGCCTACTCAAGCCTCAGTAGGAGCAGATGCCCCTCCTTCCACCAAGCTTGAGTGTCCCAGGTCGACTTCAGACTGCTGTGCTGGCAGCGAGAATTTCAAGCCAGTAGATCTTAGCTTGCTGGGCTTTGTGGAGTGGGATCTGCTGAGCAAGGCAACTTGGTTCCCTGGCTTCAGCCCCCTTTCCAGGGGAGTGAACAGTTCTCTTTGCTAGCATTTCAGACACCACTGGGGCATGAAAAAAAACTCCTGCAGCTAGCTCAGTGTCTGCCCAACCAGCCGCCCAGTTTCATGTTTGAAGCACAAGGCCCTGGTGGTATAGGCACCTGAAGGAGTCTCCTGGTCTGTGGGTATGTGGGCCAGAATGCATCATTCCTCACGGCACAGTCCCTCACGGCTTCCCTTGGCTAGGGGAGGGAGTTCCCGACCTTTTGTGCTTCCTTGGTAAGACAACGCCCCACTCTGCTTTGTTTCGCCCTCCATAGGCTGCACCCACTCTCTAATCAGTCCCAATGAGATGAGCCAGGTATGTCAGTTGGAAATGAAGAAAACACCCGCCTTCTGTGTTGATCTAGCTGGGAGCTGCAAACCAGAGGTGTTCCTATTTGGCTATCTTCCCCACAACCTACACTCATAATTTTTAATGGTACTTCACAAACTTTCTGTAGGAGAAAATTGCACTATAATCTTCAAGTGTGATCAGAGGAAATCTACATTCTGAACTTTTTGAGTCTATATACTAGGTGAGCTAATTTGTATGTTTGGCAATTATATCACCTCTGGAAATATATTTATTTTAAGATTGTGATTAGCACGTTATTTCAGACATGGTATAATAATTGTCAAGTACTTTTATAAGACCAGAGAACTCTCATCAATTTAAAAAAATCCTTATTTTTAGAAGATGAGGAAAATGAAACTCAAGGAAAGAGAAATGGCTTGGCTAAGATCTAAGCTTAGAAGCAGTGCTATGGCCAGGCTAAGTCTCAAAGCTTTATTTTATGCCTCTTTCCATGGCATTATTTTGAAATATATTTATTAAAGCTGTAATATATTCCAAGCATCTAACTGAGCACTGGGGAATCAGTAATGAACATGATAGACAAAGAACCTGATTTCATGAAGCTTAATTCTAATAATCTTGGTTCATTAAAGTATTGAATAAACTCTTCCATCCGTATAATTAATATAGAATGAAAGTTTAACCAAGATGCCAAGAGTTCAGAATGCAAAAAATATATTTTTTGACCTACAAAGTGCTTAGCTGAACATCTGAATATCTTTGACATGTAGATAGACATTTTGTGCAAAGATAAAACTTTCAAAAAACAAGTATTTTTTTTCCATTTCATGTTTTCAAAGATATGCTTTATTTACTTACTGATCTGATTCTGTGTTAACTTCCAGGCTCAGTGTGACGCTTAAAAACATGCTGTAGAGATTAAAATTTCCACACGTGCAAATGAGCAAATAGATTCCACACGCAAGAGCAAAATAAAGACCTTGAGATCCATTCTGCAAATCATTTCTTAACTACTCTTTCATATTTGGCAGTGAGTTCAGCTGTTCTGCTTATAGTAGGCATTTGCAAAATAGAATGGCATCGTTTAAAAATAACAGATTGGATCTTTAGATCACTAAAACACCTTTCTCGTGCCTACATTTTTATGCTCCCTACCAATAAGATATAAGTAACTACATTCCTGTTTAGTTGCATTATCTTAATGACTTTGGATATCAATTATTTTAGAATGACTTTCACATGAGGCAAATTGGGATGGTTTTGTCACTATAAAAACATCAGTTGAAATCTGGAAAACAAAGAGCCCAAAATAATTTACTAAACATAAGGCCAAGTTGCCAAGTTTTGCCTAAAATTACAGTTGTTCCTAAAATTATAACAACAGAAAGATATGTAGAATGGTTACTCAGTGTGAAGTGATTATTGGTTAGGCTTCCTTGTGACCGAGTCCAAAGCCTCTGAATGTGACTACCAACTTGATTCACTTAGAAATGCCTCTGTTTTAGCATAGTTACCTTTCAGATTTTCTCTAAACCTCCTTAATATGGCATTCAGGATACTGAATTAGTGACTGATTTCACCAAAAAGAATCAGCTCATAGAATGGACCCATCAGAGAACGCCTGAGGAGAAGCATTCTCTATGTTTTAAAGAGGAGACAAACCCAGGCACATAGTCGGTGATTGATAGAATGGAATCTGGTTCATGCTCCTTTACTACTAGTTCTGTGTCTTTTCCACAACGTCATAGCTATGATATGAAGTGTTTTATTCTTTGTCATACACTTAGGACATAAGGAACATTTTATGGTATATATCATAAAATAAAACTCCTTACATATATTACAGAACCTTATATTACATATTATTACATATATATGTAATTCACCATATACATGATATTAATTAGAAATTTCTGAACTTGAAAACTGTGCCTTCTGCTTCTAGGGACCAGCTCCATCATATAAAGACACTATCTGTGTCATCGTTTCAGAATTATACCATTACAAGATCATAATCAATTGCACCACCAAGGCTTGTAACTATTGTCTTTGACACTTTCATCCTATTTTCTTGGAGTAAATTTTCTCCAGCAGATGAGACTTCAACAGGCTCTTCTCAAGTGCCTTCTCCTCCTAGAATCAAATTTAGTACATTTCTAAGAAAAATCTCAGAGCTTATTGTCTTACATTAAGCTTTTTTTTCCTAATCACTGTCATTATAAAAATCAGGGATGTGAGATTCGAGATTTTCAAAAATGTCAAATATCAGTGTGTCCCGCTTTTATTCTATTTTTTTAAAGTATTCACTCTAATTTATATCCTTGAAACACGTGGTGCATGCATTGAGATTGCTTGTCATCTAATTAGAAAAAAATGTCAAAGATTGTTTAAAGTATTATCTTACTTATTACTGGGAATTGAGGGGTCAAATAAAACACAAGTAACAGAAACACCGTTTTACTTATTTGTCATTTGTCATTTTCAAATAAGGCAACAGCAAGGAGTCAAATGTTTATGACAGAAATAAGTCACATTAGTGCTGAATATGTTTTCTATAAATCTACCAGTAATCATATGTTTAGAATAGATTGGCCAATTTTTAAATGTCTTTGCTATTATAGAGTTAAATGAAGGTAAAGAGAAAACCAAAAGAGAAAGAGAAAGAGAAAGGAAAATTCTAATTATGATTATAATAGTCATAATTTACCACATGCCCACTATGCATTATTGAAGAGTTTGAACCAGAGAGTGACATGACTTGGTTTACTTTTTTATGATATTATTGTGGCTGGTAAGTGGAGAACAGATGGAAGAGTGGGGCTGGAGTGGCTCTAGATAAGCAGAGAGAAAAGTTAGGCTACTCTTGTAGTCTGGGGATAACGTAACTATACTTTCAATTAGAATGCAGTAGTAGAAATTGACAGGAACATAGGAAGTTGAGATGTCTGGAGAATAAACTGTGGAAAAGAGAATCAAGGACAACTCAGGTCTTCAGCTGAAGCAACAAGGTAGACTGTGGTGCTGTTTATTAAAAGGGTGTGTCTAGCATATGGTGGAGGGAAAGAGATTTGGAAGAAAGACTACCATTTCGGCCGTTTTACCTATGCAGGTTTAAAACATTGCTATATAAGTGGTTAATAGGCTGTCCTTTCATATACCATAATTTCTATTTTATCATCCACAATTTTCTCAATAATAAGAATAGCCAGTTTGCCCTTTTTCTGCTGCATTGTGTTGAGAGTTGCTGTATCTGTGCCTTGTGAGTAATTCCTATCTCTTCTACATTTTCAGTCTCTCACTCCACCAGTTATTTTCCCATAGACTATTAGTAATGCCTTTGTGTCTCTTGTCTAATTAATTAATGCATCCCTCTACCCTGTGAATTCCTCCAGTTAATGTCCTCCCCTCCCCTACATAGCTAAGCTCCTCAAAAAAGAACATGAACCTGTTCATTTTAACTCTTTCATTTGTATTTTATTCTACTATGCACTGAGTGGGTGCTCCACTTATACTTCCACTATGTTACTGAGACTGGTCTCACAAACGTCCCTAATAAACTCCTAATTGTGACACCCTATGGATTATGTTGGTAAGTCATATATATATATATATATATATATATATATATATATATGGCAGGTTGCTATTCCTAATGTTATTCTTCCTCCTCTAAACATTTTGCTTTGTGCGATATTAACACTACATTTATGAAACGTCAATGACCAACAAATCTACATCTCTAATTCGTCCCTGTGTTCTAACCTTTGGGCCCACATATTGAACTGCATACTTGGAATCTCCACCTGGCTGCCACATAAACACTCCAAACAAAACATAGCTAAACACTGAACACTAACCACTTCTCACTCTTGCCTCCCAAACCTCTTTTCCTATTCCTATTGGTGAACAGCATCACCATCTACCCATTAACCCAAGACAGATGCTTGGGAATCTACTGCCTCTTCCACATCATCCAAATTTTATCATTGACTTTGACTTGTTAATACTACTTCTGGCCAGGGGTGGTGGCTCACGCCTGTAATCCCGACACATTGGAAGGCTCAGGCAGGTGGATCACCTGAGGCCGGGAGTTCGAGACCAGCCTGACCAACATGGTGAAACCCCGTCTCTACTAAAAATACAAAAATTAGCCAGGCATGGTGGCATGTACCTGTAATCCCAGCTACTCTGGAGGCTGAGGCAGGAGAATTGCTTGAACCTGGGAGGTGGAGCTTGTAGTGAGCTGAGATTGTGCCATTGCACTCCAGCTTGGGTAACACAGTGAAACTGTCAAAAAAAAAAAAAAAAAGAAAGAAAGAAAGAAAACACACACACACACACACACACACACACACACCCTACTACTTCCTTAACATATACTGCATCAAATCCTTTCCTCTCTATCCCCACCATTCAGGCTTTATTTTATGTCCCAATATTACCAGAAGGAATCATTTAACGCCTCTTATTGTGCATTCCCCATTCATCCCCTGCATTTCTGCCAGAGGGCTCTTTCTAAAATGTACAGCTCTGTTGCTCTCCTGCTGAAAACCCCTTAAAAGATCTTCACTGCCTAAAGGAAAATGTTCATGAACTTTGGCATGGTTTTTAATGGTTTCCAAAATCTTACCCCTGCTTTACCACCTTACCTTCATTCTCATCTCTCAGCATGCCTTATTTACATGCCTTAGTAGTCACAGGTACCAGACATGTGGTTTCATGCTTCTTTTATCCTCTCAAATGTTCCATGTCTAAAACATATCTCCATCCCTGCCTGTGAAAAAGAATCCTATTTCTGTCTATCCAGATTCTGTTGGAGCTTCCCCATATAAATGAACCCTTTCTTGATGGCACTGGTAGAAGAGGTTCTTCTTGATGACTTTACTCCTGTTGATACACAGTTCTTATAAAGCAACTCAAATATTTTATAGAACCCATTGATTTTATGCCTCTAATGTCACTATACTGGTCTTGCCTTGTTATCTCCACTAACATGATTGGTAGTTCAATACATTACTGATGACATTCTAGAATAAATACAGAATAATGAATTAATTAATAAATAAATGATGTATCCCAAAACCCTACCAAAAAACACTAACACATCAAAACATTTTCAAAAAATTCTCCATGACTTTCTAATCCCATTTTAAAGCACAGCACACTGAAAATAACATACCTACATGATACGCACAGTCTAGTATGAAAAGAACAAAGTGTCAACATAGGACAAATCTATTAGGTCAACTATTGACAGACATAAGCCATTTCATGGACTTTGGCTAGAGCTAAACTTGAGAAAACTATTTCACGTTAAACTTTGAACTTTAGAATTTAGGAAGAGGGCAAACGACCAAAATAAGCTGCATAATCAGCTTAAATTCAATCAGCACTATTTCTAGATATAGCTTAAAGATCTGTGAGCTGTCTTGCATCTTATTACCAAAATTAACCATAGACAAAGCATGTGAATTGCTTATGATCTTCAGCAAATAGTGATTTTCAAAAACACGTGTAATCTTATTCATGTGGTTGAATCAGAACTACATTTACCCAGCAGTACAGATGGATATGATTTGCTCTGGAAACTGAGACTGTTTTATTACTTTACAGTTTTTACCTATAAAAATAAATTTACATGATAGTGCATATGGTGAGTCTCAGACCTTAAAATATGCCTAGAAATAGCTGAATAAAAATGCCATCACACTGCAGCTATGAAATTCAGGTTGGATGCTTTCACACTGTTTACTTTGATACCACTATAGTAATACCTTTGTGTCTCTATTTTAATTTTATTTTAAAAATACATAGCAGTAGGCTGGGCACGGTGGCTCACATCTGTAATCCCAGCACTTTGGGAGGCCAAGGCGGGTGGATCATGAGGTCTGGAGATCGAGACCACCCTGGCTAACACAGTGAAACCCCATCTCTACTAAAAATACAAAAAAAAATTAGCCAGGCGTGGTGGCGGGCGCCTGTAGTCCCGGCTACTCGGGAGGCTGAGGCAGGAGAATGGCATGAACCTGAGAGGAGGAGCTTGCAGTGAGCCGAGATTGCGCCACTGCACTCCAGTCTGGGCGACAGAGTGAGACTCCGTCTCCAAAAAAAAAAAAAAAAAAAAAAAAAAAAAAAAAAAAAAAAAAAAAAAAAAAATTTATCTATATATATCTATATATATATATAGATATATATATGTTATATATATATATACACACATAGCAGTATATAAACTCATCTTTCCTGTAAAAAATCTGAACAATACAAATGTATTTGAAGTAAATTTTCCTTCCCCACCTTTTCTTAATTTTATTTTCCTCCCCAGAGGTTAAGTGTTTAGTGTATATCATTCAAGTTATATGATACATTCACATAATAGATCTTTTTTAATATACATGTCATTTATAAAATGTATTGTTCTAAGTCTTGCATTTTCTCTTAATAGTAAGACTTAGAGACTTTGTTGCTAGAAGTATAAACTGTCAAGAACAATTTTGAAATTCAACTTTTAACTAGGAATTCCACTTCTGCAAAAAATGGCATATACAGTGGTGATTATTATAGGGATGTTCAAAACAATGAAGCAGAGGAAATGAAATAACCATCCAACAATAGAGGAATGTTTCAATATATGGTATGATGATAAGTCCATGCTATGAATTATCATGCTGCTGGTTTAAAAGTATGAGGCAGATCTAAATATAGTGAATTTATGTACCTATAAGTTATTTCACAATGTTTCTCTGGAATTATTAATTCAGCCTTATTTCCAAGCAATATTCCTTACCATTTGACTCTCACACTCTTGTCAACCACCATCTTAGAGATATATTTTTCATAGAGACATAGGAAGGGATTAGTGGAAGATGGAAGATGGAGGATCCTGAAAGCTTGGTAAGCGGCAGGGTCCTATTTTGCCTTATATTAAATAACACAGAAGGAAAGAAAGACCTAGTAATAGAAAGACCTAGTAATAGGAATACCTGGGCCATGTTAATCACATGCATAGCTAAGCTAGTTTTTATTTGCAGAAAGTAACAGCAAGGAACTGATTGAAAACTAAACTATACATAGTACTTAAGATTGCTGCACATAGCTGCAAAACAGGCCCAGGTGCCAAGTTATTAAAAAAAGATTAATGAAATGAAAGCAGAAATACTAGGTGTGAAATATGAGAATAAAAGGGAAAGAAATTATAAATATTCAAAAAAGAGCTTAAGAAAAAAATGAGAAATACTTTTAGACATGTGATATAAATAGTTTTAAAATATTCATCTTCTCTCAGAGTAATAAAGAGAGGGCTAAATATTACGCTTAAAAAGATCAAAGGAAGAGGAAAGTTATTCTATAACTAAAGATAAATTCACAATTTTATAAATAAAAGTTTCAAATGTGGAACTTTTTTCAAAAATGTCACTTAATCTACTTCATATTCTCTCCTTTGAGACGAGAGAAAACTTACTCTGACACATTTTTTGTGAATTATTTTTCAAGGTCAGATTAAATAAACATATTCTAAGAAGATTGTTCACATAAATTATCTCATTTAATTCTCTCAGCAGCCCACTGGGGTAGAAATTCATAGCTGCATTTTACTACTGGATAAACGGAGGCTCAGAAAGTATAAGAAACTCAGCCAGCCGGAACACTTCAGAGCTGGAATTTGAATTCCCATTTGTTCACTACAGCTTTAACACTCTTTCTATCTCATCACAGTTGCTTTAAAATCATTATGTAAGAATGCCACCAGAATGGAAATGAGTACATTGCATTCAGTTTTAGTTAGCTTTTTCTGATTAACAGATACATTCACATTACATATTTTAGGGTAGTGTTTATAAAATGCATAATGACTATCACTTAATAAACCTGATTATACAGAGAGTTGTCAGACATATCACCCTCTTTTTATGTGGTAGGGTGGATTACAAGGCTCCGAAATGAGTTCTTTACTGTTTTTTTGTTGTTTTGGGTGCTCTGTTTAAAGACAAATTTTTTGTAATTAAATAGCAATCAGACATTTAAAAGACAAGCTGATCTCAGTACTGTATTTATGTAAGGCAGACAAAGATTGCATTTTCTATTTTGTGGTCTGGACACCTGGGGCACAAACTTCAGTAAGAGGGTCAACATCACTGAAATAATCCCTCATGTATCTGTCATATAAACAAGGCTTTAAATTCTGAAAACTCCATATAACAAAAAGAGATAAGTATTTTTCACATTACTATTATGAAGTGCCAATGTTTCTGTTCTTAGTTGATTTGTTCTTGTAGCCACTTGTATAACTTTTTAAAAATCATTTTCCACTTAATAAAATGCTTTGCACTGGCAAAACATAATTATGTTATGCACGAGCCACAGAGATAATTATAGTTCCTCCAGACATTCTTAATCTGTATTAGTGGAAACAAGTTACAGGGTGATGAGAACCTCACATATCATTATCCAATCTCAACAGCTGCTTAGTTAATCTTGCCATAATCAAATCCAAGTTATCATCCTATCATTTCTAACCTGCCATGTTCTTCTGAATTTCTGCTGATTTAAAGACATATCTATGCACTGTTGTAAGTCCTCAGATCTATTTAAGACTGCACTATGATTAATGTGTCTCACTAAGCCAAATGTCCTTTTTCTAACATAATTTAAGACTGCACTGTGTCCATATTTAGAATTCAACCTAACAAATAAGTGCTTGCTGAACTTCTCCTACATCCTTCGTATTAAAGGAAAGAGGGAGCCTTATGAGTATTAGAGAATCTGCTATATGTTCACAAGCAACCAAATCCTGCCATGGAGAAAATAAATTCATTTACACTATGATATGTCCAATTTTCCATACCTCTTAATTTGCCTAACACTTAAAAGTAGCAATCAAATGTCAAGTTTTCAGCTCAGTAATCTATCATCAACTAATTATCATCAATATAGGAAGCATTCCTTTTTAGAGCTGTATTAGAACCTTACTAATTGTAGTTTAGTACTTTGTCCTGTTTGGTTTTGCTTATTCCAAGTGCCAGGATTTCCACCATTTCCGATGGAACTTTCCTCTGTAATTGAACAAATTTCACTACTACGTTGTATTTCCTGTGATTGAGTTTATCCTCTTCCTGATGATTATTAAGCTGTGGACAATTACCTTAAATCTTCAGGACAAAAAATTAATTCTTCTTTGTTTTTAGCAATCTAGGAGACTCAATAATCATTTGTGAGTTTCCCAAGATTAATAAGCTTGTTCTTATCTGTGAAGTGTCGCCATCATTGAAACCATTTCTCAATGATGGCAATATTATTGCTTTTGACAAGCAAGGAAAAAGTTACAAAGGACTGGCTAAAATATTTAAGCCTTTCTATACACACCAAGAGACTCCAGGACTCCCTCTTTGGGGAACAAAAAGTGCAGGTAAATGAAAATCCTCCTTTTGTAAAAGAACTAGAGAATACATCCTACCTGCCAGGTGCGGTGGCTCAGCCTGTAATTCCAGCACTTTGGGAGACCGAGGCAGGTGGATCACCTGAGGTCGGAAGTTTGAGACCAGCCTGGCCAACATGGAGAAAACCTGTCTCTACTAAAAAAAATACAAAATCAGCTCGGCGTAATGCCGCATGGCCGTAATCCCAGCTACTTGGGAAGCTGAGGTAAGAGAGTCACTTGAACGTGGGAGGCGGAGGTTGCGGTGAGCTGAGATCATGCCATTGCACTCCAGCCTGGGCAACAAGAGCAAACCTCCATTTCAAAAAGAAAAAAGAAAATACATGCTACTACTTAGAGTGAAAAAACGATAGGAAAACAAACCCAACAGGTACTCATACATATACTCATCCTTATTAATATGTCTCACTGATGACTCACTAAATCCTTCAGGGTCTTCAAGACACCTGAAAAAGTTTCTTTATTCTTATTTTAATGTGTGCTTATAATTCTTAATCTGGAAATATTTTATATTAATTGTAAGTATGTTAGCCCATTCAAATCATACCTATATGCAATTTGCTCTGTTTTACGTATCAAACCCCTGTTACTAATCAATAAACTCACTGAAAGACTTACCCAGTTATTATATATGCAGACTTAGCTTCAGAGGTTGTTTTACTCCCCATATTCTATTTTTTTCACTGCCTTATTTAAATAAGTCAAGTTTCCTATATACTTAGTCCTTCTGTAGTACTGTCCTGCAGAGCAAAAGAAATGGTGATGAGGCATAGCAAAACAAAATAAAAATTTTCCCTCCAAGTGCATACTATTTAAAAATCAGTGGGAGTTTATTTTTTAAAAACTCAAAAGTATTCTGTTGTGGTTTTATTCCAACTCAACAAAATTTAACAAGAGCACCTGATTCTTACACATTTTCAGCCTAAATTCTCAAATCACAGATTCTAGTACATGAGATAGATTTGAAGAAATGCCAAAATCAAAAACCAAGAGACTTGAAAAAACATTAACAGATAATTTTAAGTAGAGTGGTGTGATGTAATAAGAATTGCAATGTAGAAAAATAATCCTTTGGCAGCAACCAATTATAGGGTAAAACTTATATTCTTTCTTTTTTTTTTTATCTCAGTCATTGCCCTAATATTTTACCTTACTGAATTGCTGGAATTGTATCATTCTCCCAGGTGTTAAAAGCCGAGACTGGTAGGCTGAGGACCAAGACACCTCTACAGACTCATCGGTAGGCTGAGGACCAAGACTCCTCTACAGACTCATGAGTGATCAGAAAGTCGCAACAATAGGCCATGGGATTTATGTCAGTGGAGTTAAGCCATGATGTTATAAAAATACTAGAGTGACCTCAGAAGGGAAATGATTTTATACACTGTTTGTGTATGTAAAACATGTAATAATTTGGCCCTCAAAATAACTCTGTGAAGTGGATAGAATGGTTATGTGGATAAAAACTAAAAACTCAGACAAGTTTCATGGCCAATAAGGAGGGAAACTAAGCTAAAACCCATATTTTCTGGTAACTTAGTCCTTTTTCCTCTTGCTTAATCAAAATTTTCTTCACTCTCTCAATACCATCAACGAGTAGGAAATAATAAAAGTAAATTTCAAACACGTTTAATATGTCTTTTTCTTCCCTTTTAAATATTTTTGGAATGTATCCATTATTGAAAGGAAACCTACACCTTAGATCAAAGTGTTTAAAGAGCACATAAATACTACTACCCATTATAACAGGAAACCACATGATTAGATACAATTTTTTATTACAATTAATGCACTTCCACTTGAATTCTGCTACCACACTATATTTCCAATTGCCATTCTAAGCTTAACAATTATACATAGCACATAATATGTTTGAGGGTAGTAAGACAATTTTTCTGAAAGTTGGAATAATTTAAATTATCAATCTAAAAGTTACATGTTAATTATGACTCTATGGCTGTCATCTAAACTTTGTTACCCCTTCTCTGACGGAGTTGAGGAGGATCTTTCATTTTGAACTTGGCAAGACTTAGGCTATCTTCTTGGAGGACTAACAGTCTCAGTTGCCAGTGAAAAATATTCTTAAGTCAAATACCTGAAAATGAGACTTCACATATTCTACATCAACACTATTTGATGTTTTACATTGTGGTAAATTGCAGCTACGTCTAATGGGAATAGAAGAGGCTATTTTACTCCTCAAACGTTTAAATACTTCCCCTGCATCATAAAAATGAGAAAAGAATGGCCCTCAAAACCCTATTTCAAGAGTGCCCTTTATGGTGTGAATACAGTATTCTTGATTATGCAGATGAGACTTACAGGTGCCATTGAAGAAGAACTCCAATATTACCTTTTCCTTCACTGAAGTCTAGCAGAATCAAGACTCATAATGCCTTCAAACTCTCTGAAATGTTACCTTTCAGTATCATTTCAAAAAATATCTATACCCTGACCATAACTCTAGAAGAGAATGTAGAATGAAGATTAGAGCCATATAATTTTGGTTAAGGAAAAACAAAGATAAAAAAGACTTTTTAATGAGTTTTTAAAAAGGTGGGGGCATGGTCTATCCTATATAATTTATTATTCAGTTTTGTTTTGCAAAATGTGGTAACTTGTGGCTATAACAGAAGATATTTTTACTGTGCTTCTCTTCAAGTTCAAGGCTTTCAGAGACGTCATTGTCAAACCCAGAAAAAATTCTTGCCTTGGCAGGTTTTAACAGATCCTTAGTTAATGAGATCGACTGTTAGCTGTTAGTGCCCTTTGGAACTCATCAAATAATTCCCAAGGATTAACGATTGAGAACACTCTGTCAGTGAAATACAAAATCTCTGGATTACTCACCAACATAAACAATCTGCCTTTTCAAATCGACTTTCTCAAATGTTTTGCCTGTTCTCTCATTTCCATTCCCAGTGCATTAGTTCAAGCTGCTCTGCACTACTCCCATTCCTAATTTCTTTCCATTCTACTTGTTCTGAACACTGCTTTCTTTCTCAAGCATTTGCTGAAGATTTTGAAGTGACTCCTGAACTATAAATAGGGTGCTTAAGGCCTGTCATGTGATAGTCCACAAATATCTTTCAGATATCTTTATCTCTGCCCCTATCATAGAATCTCATCTCTGGCCATTTTATAGTTTCCTGTTGTCATGTCACTTTTCATGCTGTAGCCTCTATCTCTGCTGATGACGAGTCCCTGCCTATGCTTCAAGCTCTGTTCCAATACTGCCCCTTGCAAAAAGTTTCTCCTTATGAGAAAGTCTTTATCCCTCTACTGTATAAGCTAATAAATCCAGCCTTGCATTAACACTGACTTACGGAAAGTTCTGTTCCGTAACTACTAAGAATCTAGAGGGTAGAAAATGTATACTGGTTGTAGAAGTGCTCTCCACAGTGCCTGGCTCAGAGTTTGTACATACAACCAAAGTTATCCTACGTGTGTTATCTGGCTCTCATGAGGGACACAGAGAGATGACATTGCCCAGATTCACCTGAGCAAGGTATGGCCATGTGGCTGGGCACTGAAGAGTGGAGTATATATGGGTCTGCTCCAGGTCCAGACCATAAAATTTCCCCATGTGTGAACTAATACTTCAATAGCAACTGTGGAAGTTGCTATTGGTGGAGCTACAAGATGGAAAGAACTTCAGTCTTTGAATCAGGGAGTAAAAAACTGTCCAAGGCATACTGCGTGGATTGTAATCTGAACAAGCTCTGAACCTCTAAGAAGCTGGGGTTTTATCTATTACATCAGCTGATATATCCTTATAACACAGCAAGTCTGCTGATTGGTCAGCCAATTATTACAATGGAGACTATAATAAATAATGTTATTAATGTAGACATATGTATATATGTGTATATTTATATAGTTAAAGTTTTCTTTACCTGTGTGCCCATCAAGCATAATTTTATTGCTATTGCTTTTTGTGTATAAACTGCCCCATCAATAATTTTGAATTTAATATATTTTTAAATGAATGGAGAATTTAGTCACTAGAGAAAAAAATTTCAGTACAGACATCTGAATTTTTATAATTTGTGTAGTCTTTTACATTTGTATTGTCCATACTTTATGCAATGGAAATACTTCTTAGAGACTTACTTTTATCAAGACTTGCCAAAGCAAAAGCTCAGTTTTCAAAGAAATAATAGCTTGCTTTCTTTATATATACATTTTTAAAAATCAGTTTACCTAATTTTTAATTAAGTAAAATCACATAAACCACTGCCATAAATAATGTTTGAGAACAAGCATGATTAAAGCTATTATATGTTCGTGATATTGAAATTCTTTATATTTAGTTTAAGCCTTGTACTTATTAATGCATTTCTCTTCTCCCCTGTTTCTATGCTCAGGGTCTCCAGGCACATACAATCCTACCACACTGTTGCATTTGAGATAAACGAACACATTAAGAAATGGAGCTGGTACAATACCTATCTAATTGAATTGTGAAAGGTAGTTTACCAGAAGATATTAGCATGTTTTACTTGTGTTGTGATGGCTGTGTGAATTACTGGTCCAGAGAGAATATTATACAACCTTATTGCATTTTAAAGAACGTATGTTTTCTTAACTTTTTTTAAAATCATATATGAAAACCAGTATGATCTGCACATTTGAGATAGGCTCTTAAAATACGCATCTCCAGGTTTGACTTCTCTCCTTCATTGCTTGCAACTGCCAAAAGGACTTGCCTCTCGGCTTTCTTATCACCCCTCACAAACTTATTATTTCCCAAACTAAGCTCCTCTAGTCTCTCTACCATTAGCTCCTTTCCTGAATTTCCTGTTTCTCAGAGTTTATATGTCCGTTCTAGCCATTTTCAGCAGAAGACCAATATATTTGCTATTTGGAAATTTTCTTTTCATATCTATCTTTCCCTTTTCATCCCCCAAACAATCTCACTTCTAAGTCAAACTCCACCACAAGTTGCCCTGTGTCAGAGGAACACACCCTCTGCACCTGTGCTCCAACTATGGATGCTACCCATCAGTTTCTGTATCTATAGCAGGCCCTCTTCACTTTTCCAGACTAACTCCTCATCCTCCAGACTGTCTTACGTCTCCCCTGGAAACAATAAGTCGATGAGCCACTGGCCCAGTAGCCTTTGCCCTTGAACTGGGTGAGACTGAAACTGTCAGCTGAAGTTTTTAGCAGGGGATTCAGAAGGAGGAGCAGTCAAACATCTCTGTCAAGTTATCACGTTCCTTTCCCTCAGAATGCACTTTTAAAAGGTGAATCTTCCTATTCTACCCATCTCTTTTGGGTTCCCAGAATTTATTTTATTTTATTTTATTTCATTTTTTGAGACAGAGTCTTAGTCTGTCGCCCAGGCTGGAGTGCAGTGGCGCGATCTCGGCTCACTGCAACCTCCGCCTCCTGGGTTCAAGTTATTCTCCTGCCTCAGCCTCCCAAGAGCTGGGATTACAGGCATTCGCCAACTTGCGTGGCTGATTTTTGTATTTTTAGTAGAGACGGGGTTTCACCATGTTGCCCAGGCTGATCTCGAGCTCTGACCTCAAGTGATCTGCCTATCTCGGCCTCCCAAAGTGCTGGGATTACAGGCATGAGCCACCATACCTGGCCTTGGCTTCCCATAATTTCTATGTCCATCATCTTATAGAACAGAAGAATTTACCCTCATGTGTTTGAGAATTATATTTTCCTAGAGTTAAAGATTTTATAAGAGAACTTTTACCAATTTGGCAAAAATGTCTGTGAACTAGAAGGTCCCCAGTCCATACTTTATATATAACAGGGGTCATAACTGTTCCCTACAATCCTGTCCCTTAGAACTAAATCTTACTTCTGTTTTCTCCTGGTTTTAGTCTGGGATAACTTGGCTGGAACGACTTTACCTTGGCTGGCATGGCCATCTCGTCTTTCCTCCAATGCTGAACCCAGCCTTTTGCTGCTGCTTAGATTTAACAATTTCTCCATTTGGACACTGTTACTCTTCTGGGATTTGCTACCTCTGTATGGAATTGGTTCTTCAGACCTTCTCACTGACCACTAAATCCATTTGACTAAACTTTTAAACTCCTAGCCATATATTCCAATCTTTGCCATCACTCAAAGTCAAACAAATGTTTTGCTCTTACATTATTTGCTCTCACATACATTGTTTATTATCAGTCAATCCAGAATGTTCTTGCCTTGCTTCCTACATCTCTAACATTCATTTGGTAATCTTTTATCCTCTGAATAAACCTATTTATATTCTGCTTTTTTCTATAAAGCATTAAGGAAGCTCTCTTAGTTAACCCTCCCTACTGCAACTCAGCAATGTGTGAATAGGAATTATAGCTCAGATAGTTGGCTCTAGATCCCAAAGCACCTTCCATAGTGGCTGTAAAGTGATTAGACATGTAAAAAATTCTGGATTGCTGATAGGCAACATGTAGCATTGCCCCTCTTAAAACAAATTTAAACACCCACTAATCCCAAAAAGTTCATCTAGATTGTCATTATTTGAAAAAATTAAAAATAAATGAGACACAGTGTCATGAAAAGCAATAGTCACACATTCTTCAAAATGAAATGGACTAAAAAGATACAACCATCTTAGTTATCTGTGAGCCCCTATAACTAGCAAGTACCAGGGAAAGATTGGAAGCTCCAAAATTGATGATGAATACAAAATTTTCCCTATGTTAAAAAACTGAATTCCCTGGCTTCAAAGATATTAAAGAAAGTCAGCCCACTCAAATTTTCCTAAAAAGGATTAATATTACTTTGAAATTACTTGATTCATTAATAATTAATCTTTAAAATAAGAATTCCAATGAATACACACTCTGATTCCTCCTTTTTAATGGTGCATTCTGGAACTTTCAAACCATACAATTCATTTTGTCATGATTTAACTTAAAGTATATCAGTGACTTATGCAGATGAAATATGGAATATAGCATTCCATAAAGTATGATATGTGTATATCTCTCTATGTACATGTATCTGTCACTATTAGTCTTTGCATGTGTGTGTGTGTGTGTGTGTATGTGTATAGTATTAATGTCCCTTTTCTACATATCTGTTTGTAGCTAGTCATTTCTAATCACCCAATACATAAATAAATTTATTTGCTAAAGGCGTAACAGTGATTAAAAAGTTAATAACATTTAGTAAATATCGATAATTTCTTCTACCCACAGAAGTAAATAATTCTAAATGTTGATTAAAGGGCTCTAAATCTAGATGATTTGGGCCATATTCCTGTTATATTTGTCCCTATGTAATCTCTAGTGTGTGAATATATAAATAATATTGATTGCAAACAGCTTGCTAAATTGTTTTGTGATATCCTGCCTTCAAGAATATATGAAATCTAATCTTGCTAATTTAAATCTGACTGACAAGAAAATATTGATTGAGAAGATGAGAACAATAAGAAAGTCATTTAAATGTTGCTATAAGATATCAAAACTTAACATAGAAGAGACTGATGTCAAAGAATACCATATTGAGCTTCAAGATTTAAAACGTTTACCTCTTCTTTGTTGAGACAGATATTTTACAGAGAGTGGAGTAAAATTTCTGCTGAGGAGAGGAACTGTGTCAGCAATGGGGAACAGTGTAGAAGAATTTTAAAGCACCAAGAAGTGGCAATACAAATAGGGTAATGAAAGACAGATTTTGCTAAGAGCTGAAGGCAAACAGGACTTTCACTCCAAAGTAACAAATTATGAGACGTGAATGCAGAAATCAGCTACACTTTGCAGAAAGAAAGGTAAGAGAAGTCAAATAAGACAAGTTAATGCAACTGAAAAAAGAACAGGAGAAAATATTAAAGACATGTTCATGTCCTTGGAGGAAAGACAAACTAATAAATAATAAATAACAGTTTTATTAGTTATTTAACAAATAACTAATAAAAAATAAATACTAGAGAAAATGGGCTTGCTTAGAAACAAGTAAACAACAATAGCAATGCCTCAAAAGGTCTATATTAGATATTTTTGGAGTAATCCAAGAACCAGCAAATAAACAGAAATGATTAATACTTTATATAAAATGATAAAAACTAAAAAGCTTAAAATCATAGAAAATGTCATGATATCAAGGTATTACCTTCAAAAGGCAAAAATCCTTATAGCTCTGGCCATAGTTTCTTTATATCTGAAGTCATTTCTAATACAAAGATGGAAGTAGAAATAGGAATATGCAAATATCCACACATAAAGGACGAAAAAAAAATTGAAACCAAGTTATCAAGAAAAATATACTAGCCAAGAAGGCTGGTTGCTCTATGATGTAGTATCTACGGAGGAATGGACTATAAAAGATCATGCATATGATGCTAAATGAACTATATCAATAAATAGCTTTTAAACATTATTTAATTTTTTTCAGGAATACATGTTTCCCTAGTTATTACATGAAATAAAATCAATAAATCCACTAGGAACCGGCTGATGTTAACAAAAAAAAATGCAGAATATAATAGAGATTCACTGAGGGTTTTAATTTCTTAATATTTTTTATGACTTATCTACCTAACTTTATAACTGTGACCATGAATTTACAGCTCTACACAACAATCCCCACACAACAAAATCAAGAGAGTCAACTAAATTAAAAGTTTAGAATTTTAAATATTAAATTAAAAAGAAAAAAACCTGTCACGAAAAATATAATCTGGAACACATTTTTAGTCTCTTTACAAATTCAGGCATCATCTAGAACTGGAGCATGTGGTTCCAGTCAGTTCTCTTCTGCCACATTTTTTTTTTTTTTTTCTGAGACAGAGTCTTTCTCTGTTGCCCAGGCTGGAGTACAGTGGCACATTCTCAGCTCACTGCAACAGCACCACCTCCACTCACTGCAACCTCCGGCTTCGGGGTTCAAGTGATTTTCCTGCCTCAACCTCCCCAGTAGCTGGGATTACAGGCATGCGCCACCAGGCCCAGCTAATTTTTGTATTTTTAGTAGAGATGGGGTTTCACCATGTTTGCCAGGCTGGTCTCAAACTCTTGAGCTCAAGTGATCCACCCACCTCGGCTTCTCAAAATGCTGGGATTACAGTCATGAGCCACATGCCCGCCTCCCAGTCAGTTCTCTTCTGAAAGACTATTTCTTTTGCTATGTAGAATAGACATTACATTCCTCACTTAAACCTCTCTCATTGCCACCTCCTCTTTACCTAGTATAGGTACCCTTCCAGTGCACACAGCTAGAGAAGCCCTAGCACAGGTTCAGTCTCATGACACACCTCCCCTACTAGACTCGGACTTCTCAACTTCCTGGAGGGTTTCCATAACAACTCCGTGCCTTTATGTGACTACATCAAGAACTGGAATCAGTCCACACAACCCTCACTCTCAGTAGCTTTGCTAACTTCTTATTTACCCATCATTCCCTCCTTCCTGTCAGCACAAGTATCTCAACAATCTCATTTCTGCATGCATTTGTTCATTAAGCTGTAATCACGGCCCCCAAACTCATTAAAAAGATAACACTCCTTGGACTTTAACTCTGAATCTCCTTCCAATGAGCTACGCTCCCTGCCCTATTTCAACTACTGTTCTAAGCTTGCAACTCAACTGCAAAATCTCGACCAAGGAGGGAGATCTCAATTTTGTATCCTTTAAAGAACGTTTTGCAATTTTTAACCTAAAGCCCTTCTCTAACTATTCTATCTGAAAACAGCCCCTCTATTCTTTAAATTTATTTTTTTCTTAATACTTATTACTTCTTAATTTATCCACATATTTATTTGGTAATTTGGTTAACACCTATCTCTCCTTTCTAAAATATGTACCACTTGGTAATGATTTTCTTAAAAAAAAAAAGTCTATATTGCTATCACATAGAATAATCAACCAAATACAGCAATCACTTGATAAATACTTGTTTAATGAGTATGTAAACTTATTTAATCACTCAATAGTTTTTGAAACTTAAAAGGTTGGTGTGACAACTGCTTGTTATTCACCTAAAATTCATTGTCCCTCTTCTTAAAGACATGACTTTCCAGCTAGAAACCACATTTCCCAACTTTTCTCATATGCAGTTGTGACTGTGTAACTACAATTAGATGAGTAGAATAGAAATACTGTGTTTAATTTCTAGGCTGTCTTCAAGTTAAAGACAGGCTGTGGTCTCCGAAACTTGGCTCTTTTTCTCTTCATATGTGAACTCAGTGATGTCTGCAACCTAAAAGGCAACATATTGTGGGATGAGAGAGCAACAAGGTGAAAGAAACCTGGGCTCCTGAATTACCTTGAGGAGCAGAACGGCCCCATTAGCACAGAAAGGCTGGCTTGTACCATGAGGGAATTTAACTGTTTTATGTAAAGGACTTAATTTTGGAATCTTTTTCTTCTTTCATGCACTTGGCTTCCATGATTCTCTCTGTTATTTCTCTGAACTTAAAGATTTTCTTAAAGGTTCTTTTCTTAAAGGTTCTTAAGGGTACTTTTCTGGTCAACCACTGTTCTTAATTTAATCTAGTGATTTTTCAATGTTTCAATCAATGAAATGTTTGAGAATTTAATAAAGGATATGTACATATATTCTTCTTTATACTAGTGCTTATACAGCATATAAACGCTGGTAGTTTTTAATAACTCTGAAGCCTATCTTCGAATCCTCTAAGTAACTACAGTAACAGCATTAAAAAAAATTCTTGAGAAATGGCACATATTATCTTGGTTTAACTACCACTCATGTTCCAGGATATTTTCCTATCTAAATAAAGAAAATATACAACCATTTGCCAACCTTATTAAACCCTTTAGATTTGTCTCTAGTGCCCTTAGGATAATCCAAACTAGACCTTTCAGGAGGGAGCCAGTATTTATCTCCAAACCTCCTTCTCAGCCCTTTGCCACTCCCAGCACTCGGTGCTCCATACAATTTAAACTTTTTGCAGTTTCTCAAGCTCACCAGACTCTCAATTTTATAATATTTCATATCTCTTTCCTCTGCCTGGAACATTGCTTACTCTCACTTACATATCTCTCTACTCTTTCAACAAGACTCCATCTGAAACCCATGCACCCTGTCCACATGCTACACCCCCAATACCTTTTTATTAACACACTTTATCCACCATATCTTCATTGCAGTTCAACTCTCAGCCTTTACCTCCCACAAAATCAAGGACTATCTGCCTTGTTCACTTTTACATCCCTCATACCTCTCACAGTGTTTGATATGTACTAGGTTCTTAATATATATTTTCTTCAGTTATAAATTTGCTACACTTTTCTCAGCTATAGAAAGCTTAATGTTTAAGATGCTGGAGACCAGACACGGTGGCTCATGCCTGTAATCCCAGCATTGTAGGAGGCAGAGACGGGCAGATCACCTGAGGTCAGGAGTTCAAGACCAGCCTGACTAACATGGTGAAACCCTGTCTCTACTAAAAATACAAAAAAAATTAGCCAGGCATGGTGGTGCGTGCCTGTAATCCCAGCTACTCAGGAGGTTGAGGCAGGAGAATTGCTTGAACCTGGGAGGCGGAGGTTGCAGTGAGCTGAGATTGTGCCATTGCACTCCAGTTTGGGTGACAGAGAGAGACACTGTCTCAAGAGAAAAAAATAAAGGAAAGATGTTGGATTAAAAAAAATTCTGGTGTTGAAGTAAACTGTATCTCCTTGATGCATGATTCTCAACTGTTCTGAAGAATATTCTTTCAGTTGGAAAGAAATATCTCCCCTTGGAATTCCCAGTGTTTTATGACTCTCTCAACATGGTATGACAGACTAATCTTTCAGTGGATAGGCTGTGTATTGTGTTCATATTTTCATCCCTCATAGAATGAAGCACAGTTCCTTACATATCTTGAAATATCTCCACAGTACATTGCATGACAAAAGCAGGGTTTAAAACACTGTATGTAATTGAAGGAGGTGTAAATTGTATGCTTTTATTTGGTTTATAGTCAAGAACCCCACAAGGGGCCAGTGGGAGCGGAGTGGATGAGAAACAAGGATGGTGGGGAGACTTTTCACTCTATATATTGTCTACTTTTGTGATTTCAACATGAATATGTTTATCTTAAAAATAATTAAAATTTCTAACACCTTCTTTATAAGAAAAACATAACAAAAGTTTAAAATCAAGGGATAGCCTTGGAGACATTATTTGAAACATATAAGACAAAGTATCAGCACTCAGAATGTATATAGCAAATGCCAAAAAGTCAATAAAAAAAGATAAACAATTTAATAAAGATTGTCAAAGTTATAAGGAAGCACTTCACTGAAGAGAACACTTGAATAAATAAAGATACATTTATAATAAAAATGATGAATGTATTGCATTTTGTATATAAGGTCTCCATCGCTCACTTCATTTCAGAGATTTACTAGATATCTTTCTGTTTTCATTTAGAATCAAAAATATGAAAATTTTAAAAGCCTTAAAATATCATTTACCCAACAAATAAAAGTTAAAACATTGGACAATATTAAGAATTGGAGGCCGGGCGTGGTAGCTCACGCCTGTAATCCCAGCACTTTGGGAGGCCGAGGTGGGCGGATCATCTGAGGTCAGGAGTTCAAGACCAGCCTGACCAACATGGAGAAACCCCGTCTCTACTAAAACTACAAAAAAAAATTAGCCCGGCATGGTGGCGCATGCCTGTAATCCCAGCTACTTGGGAGGCTGAGGCAGGAGAATTGCTTGAACCTGGGAAGTGGAGGTTGCAGTGAGCTGAGATCATGCCATTGCACTCCAGCCTGGGCAACAAGAGCAAAATTCCGTCTCAAAAAAAAAAAAAAAAAAAGAATTGGAAAGGACTGAGGCAAATGGGAATGCTAGCAACTGCTGATGGAAATAGAAATTTGTCCACTACCCTTGGAGAGAAATTTCAGTATTTTAGAGAGTGATTGGAAAAGTGGTAAAATTGAGACCACATATATCTCACAACATATAAATTCCACTTTGGGTATTATCCTAAGAAAAATTTGATACATGTTCACAAGGGTGCATATATAATTGTGTTCTTTGCAATGCTGTTTGAAATAGCAAACACATAGAAACAACTTAAATGCCTCTGAAATGTGCAATGCAGATGTTTTCGGTGTTCTCATATAACCTTGGCACTTATATTTTCCTTACACATTGAGGATGTTTTACTGCAAGCACCTGCCACTCTCTGCCTGAGGGTGTTCTCTAGCCAAGAACATGCTAGGGTTGCCTTGAGATGGGCTGGGATTCTAGAATTCATGGTCACAGGAGTAACCTTCAACCAATGACAGAAAGGAGTTTCAGATACACACCCCAGCTTCCTTGTCCTCAAGTGATACAACTCTGAAGTGGTCCACCATTAATCATATAGTAAGAAATGTGTAGCTGTGATTTAAAAAAATGATTAAAAATAGAAATGGTTAGAAATCAATATTTCAAAAGCCTTAAATGTTGTAGAGACAGAAAGAGAGAAGACAAAGTTCGTATCTTGTTTCTGTTTTGTGCAACCAGGTGGATGATGGATTGACATGGTAAAAGATTCTGGCAAAAAGATGATTATTTGAATTCAGACGTCTTGAGGATGAAGTGCCTGTGGCTAACTGAATATACTGGCTTAAAGTTTGAGAGCAAGAAACAGGCTAGAGATGGGCTTATAATGGTATCTGAAGTTACGGAGATGGATGAGATGAACAAAGGAGAAAGAAAAGTAAGAGAGGGCAACCCAGGAAAAAGCAGTGAAGTTCATGAATATTTAAAGAATGAGCAGAAGATGTGCCTTCAAATGGAAATGAAAGAAATAAGCTAATCTGGTGGAAGGAAACCCAGTGGTAAGAAAGAAAAATAAAATGCTTATTTCATAAATGTCCTACCTGAGGACATATTGACAATAGCTTCTGTTATGGTTTAAATATGTCCCCCAAAGTTTATACATTGGAAACTAAATTGCCATTGAAACAGTATTAAGAGGTGGGGCTTAGTAAGAAGTGATTGGGTCATGAGGGTGGAGTCCTCCATAAATGGATTGTTATTGCTGGGCTGGGTTAGTTATTGTAAGAACGGGTTGTTGTAAAAGGGAATCCTTGGGCAGTAAGGCCATACTTCGGGCAGTATGGCCAAACCACTGGCTTTCCTTCCACCAGGTTAGCTTCTTCCTTTCATTTCCATTTGTAGGAGCATCTTCTGCTTATTCTTTAAATATTCTTTGTTGGTTGGAATGTAAATTAGTTCAAGCTCTGTGGAAGACAGTGTGGTGAATCCTCAAAGATCTAGAACCAGAAATACCACCTGACCCAGCAATCCCAGTACTGGGTATATACCCAAAGGAATATAAATCATTCTATTGCAAAGACACATGCATGCATATGTACACTGCAGCACTATTCACAATAGCAAAGACATGGAATCAACCCAAATGCCCATCAATGATAGACTGGATAAAGAAAATGTGGTACATATACACCATGGAATACTATGCAGCCATAAAAAGGAATGAGATCATGTCCTTTGCAGAGACTGGAAGCCATTATCCTCAGCAAACTAAGGCAGGAACAGAGAACCAAACACCACATGTTCTCACTTACAAATGGGAGCTGAACAATGAGAATACATGGACACAGGGAAGGGAACAACACACACCAGGGCCTGCTGGGGGATGGGGTGTGGGGAGAGAGAGCATTAGGCAAAATAGCTAATGAATGTTAGGCTTAATACCTAGGTTATGGGTCGACAGGTGCAGCAAACCACCATGTTACATGTTTACCTATGTTAAAAAACCTACACTTCCTGCATATGTATCCCAGAACTTAAAATAGAAAAAAGTTTTTTAAAAAAGGGACTCTACCCCTCGGGCTCTCTGCTGTCATCTGTCTCACATTCTTGCTTCCACCAATGCCATTCTCTTGGAATTCCCAGCCTCCAGAACCATGAGCCATATAAATATCTATGGTTTATAATTTATCCCAGCCTGTGGTATCATGTTATAGCAACAGAAAATGGACTAAGACTGATTCTTAGAAACCTGTTTCTATTTTCAAATTCTAAGACAAATTCCAAGTTGCTACTACTGCTTCTTTATCTTCATCCCCATCTTTCTTATTTTTAAAACTTTTTGTTTTCAGAATTTCATTTCCCACTCAACTAAACCGACCCTTTGCTGATGCTATAAATTTGAATGCTAGGTCATCAAAATATATGTTTTTAAAAGAGACAATATTACAAAGTAGCTACAAAGCAACAAAACAAGACTGTCTGAAACACTTACAAAAGATCACCACCCTCCTCCCCATTTTCACTATTACAGAAACCCAACCTGGGTGGTATATATATTACTATTCATCAAGCCACAAGCATGTTCTCATGCCACTTCTCTCTTCTTTTCCATCTGTCTTAAGTGACATGGATTTAGAGAACCATACCTAAAGGGTCATTCTGAAGAATGCTTTTCATTTTATTAAGATTCTCTGAATTAGGTGAATGGTGTAGGTGGATAGTGTAACAGAGCTTTGATCCACCTGTGGAAACTCATGCAGTCAGCAGTCATCTTTAGAAATGTGCTTTAGATATCAAAAATGATAGTGTTACTTTCACTCAGAATACAAGAAGCAAGTCTATTTGATACTCCAATTACCATTTGTTAATTACATAATCAGTAACATCTAGTTTTGTTTTGGTTTTAATTGCTTTTTCTCCACCTCCAGAATTTGCACGCACAGAATGTTTAAGCACAGGCCTAACTACTTTCCACATCTTTTCACATTCAATGCTTACAACAGTCATACGAAGTAGGCATTACTATCAATATTTGCAAGGGAAAAGGAGGTTTATAATAGATTAAAGACTTTGCTTATGGTAACACATAGATCATAAGTGAGTCAGAATTTGAAACCAAGTTTTCTGATTCCAAAGCCCACGGCTTTGAAAACTCTTGTCAAGATGGCATTGCAATAATATGGTTTGAGCCCCGTGCCTTTGCTTCCAACATGTAACAATAATAGATAAGTTTTAAAAGAGGTGATATAAAAGAAAAGTAATAGTCAAAAACAAGATAAACATACCAGAAATAAACTATAAACACAAAGTGAGGTACACTGCACCAGATGGTGTCTAGAATGAGAAGCAAGCCAATCCTTGTATCTGCAAAGTAACTGGATGCCACATGTGTCCCACAGGGAGTAATAATCAGTGCCAAGCTTACTGATTAAAACCTGAAGGTAAGACAAGAGGAAGCCGAACAACTGACTAACACCTCCCTTTTCCTGGAGCCACGGCTTGCATAGAGCTGCTTTCTTGGGGAGGCCAAAGCAAGCAGCCATAATCTCACAGTCACATCCTGGGACAGACTGCTCTTTGATTTAGTGACTAGGTTTTTGATATCCCCATTAGCAGAGATTATAGACTGGGAAACGAGAGGGTACAGAGCCAACACTAAGACAATAGGAATGGTGCAGAAGGGCTAGCAATGAGAGAGAGAGAGAGAATTTTTAAATCCTTCTCATTCCAGTTAAGCCTGAAAACCAAAATTCTAAGCCATGAGAGAATGATATAAAAAGGCACCAGCAAAATTTTAAAAACAACATTCAGTGAAGTTATTCCAGAAGACATGAAAATAATAGAGCGGTTTCAGAATAACTTCAAAATAAGCATGCTAGGATTTTGGAAGAGACAAGAAATAACATCAATACAATGTGTAACAAAGTAAGTAGAAATAAAACATTTGAAGTGGCGATGAGAATCAATTAAAATTTCCAGAAAAGAAAAACATTGTCAAAAAAATAAATTCTGGAGTGGACATAGTCAAAAAAAGAATTAGTAAATGGGAAGATGTCTCAGTAATTCACCAAAAGTGCAGCACAGATAGATATATAAAATAGTGTGAAAGAGAATTTAAGAAATATGTATATTATGAAACTTTAACATATATCTATTATGGAGTTCCAGAAAAAGAGATTAGAGCTAATGTTAAAAGAAGCAGTGCCAGGCACTGTGGCTCATGCCTGTAATCCCAGCACTTTGAGAGGCCAAGGTAGGCGGATCACAAGGTCATGAGATCAAGACCATCCTGGCTAACATGGTGAAACCCCGTCTCTACTAAAAATAATAATAAAAAAAAATTAGCCGGGCATGGTGGTGGGTGCCTGCAGTCCCAGCTACTTAGGAGGCTGAAGCAGAAGAATCATTTGAACCCGGGAGGGGGAGGTTGCAGTGAGCCGAGATCCCGCCACTGCACTCCAGCCTTGGCAACAGAGCAAGACTCTGTCAAAAAAAAAAAAAAAAAAAAAAAAAGCAATATTTGTGCTTTGTGGGATCAAAATTGTGGAAATAATTTCAGGAAGATCAAAGTGTCTAGAAAGATGAACAAACTCTATGCTCTCTACCCAGTAAGAAGAAGAATAAAACTATACTGCTACTCTCTAGGAAAGTCTTTAAGGACCCATAATTTGTCTGGGATGATAGGATCTAGTCCTATAGATTATTTTCTATATTTTGATGGAATAAATCATCTTTAACATAAATTGTTCAATCCATTTGAAAGAATGCAGCTGATATAATATGTACTCTTAAAGAGAAGGCACGATTTCACTGTATCAGCTGTCAACTGCTACAAGGGTACAGAAGAGCCTGAAATTTAGTGACCAAGAGAACTGAAGAAGTAAATCAAAGAGTGTCATAACCCTGGCACATGTCCAGGCTACTCTCTCATCCCTATGTGAGCTCATAAGTGCACACACACACACACACACACACACACACACACCACCAACCTGGTCTATAGGCAAAGGAGAAGTAATCATCAATATGGTAATAAATACATAAGAAAAGCAACAAACCCACTAGTGATATATTCTGTAACAAGCGCTTGGTGTTACGCTTCACACCATTGGTGAAGCATTTTTTTTTCTTGTTTTATTCAGAACACTTGTCAGAAGACTCTTTCGTTTTATTTCATCTACACATGTCTTCAAAACTAAGTGCATAACTAGGAGGAAAAGACATTGCCTTAAGATGTTAGAGGCCTAAGCACAAGATATGTGTTTATGTTTGTATGTGAATATATGTTTTATATATAGATAAGAGAGATCAGCATATATTAATCTGTGACCATATAGCCACTGTTTCCTAGTAATCAAATACGTAATCTAAACATCTATGGAAGACTAGCTTTACATAAGAAAATATACACCTTCTTAAAATCATGGTATTAAAATTATGTGGTTGACTTCAGTTTTTAAAAGATGCCTCTGTCTCAGCAGCAAATCAATAAGTAAATATACAAAGAAAAGACAGGCGTTACTAGTTTAAGATTAAATGTTAGGAGAACTAAGAAGTAGGTCTTTAGTTTTTCACGATTTATGTACTTTCATTAGAGGGAAGCTCATTCTTTTGTAGCGTCTCTCCAAAGCCTAGTAACTTCCTGCCTTGTGGTTAGACTTTATAACCAAGTAAAATAATAAAGTTCCCTTTAATTTTTGGTCTTTACATTCATTTGGAGGGAATAGGTAAGTGGTAAACATTTTTTAAAACATCTTTATACAAAAAGGATAAACTTTCAAAGGTCTAATCTCTTGGCCTTTTAAAAACCCTCAGCCACACCTTAACTTTACTTGAGATATAGTGAAAGAAAATCCAAAATGATTTATATGTCCTTTCCTGACTATTCATATTAAGATAATAACAAAAGACCTTATTAACAAAACACTTTGGGCAATTATGATAAGACCACAATTTTTTAAAGCTCAAAAGATTCATGCAAATAAAATCTTTGACATTTTCTTTCAAAAAAAATATTTTCACTTTCCTGCAGCACTAATAAACAGCTAGGAACTGTGTATGTGGGCAAGGGAGAATGAATGTAACAGGTGACGAGAGCATAATGAACTTGTTCTCTTAGAAAAGGATTTGTCAGTCACATTTTGCAATTGTTGAAGGAAGCTTGTATCAAATCATAGAAACAGTTCGGAAAATAATTATTCTTTTTATACATAATTTTTGTATAAAGGCAAGCCTATTACTTAGTTCCACAACAGTTGATTTTTCCTTAAATCTTTGCAAAAGAGAGCTAAGTAATGCTTCAAAATTGCCTTATAACTGAAAGCACATTCATTTTTTTCTTAAAAGCTTTCTTCCCTTTGAAGAGTTTTGGAGCTTCTAACTCCAATATATTTTTTCAGTTTCTTAGTTTACTTTAGCAAACAGAATGTATAAGTCTCCAAAAACAAGAGCCTACTCTAGTAAATTTTATTTTTTAAGTGAGTATACAAAATTTGTATTACGCAGCTGCTCTTTAAAAAGTTTAAATGAATGTGACGCACGAAGTAACCACACAGACCTCTATATTTCATCAGATCAACAGGGTGAAAGCACATGTTTCACTTCGTCTCAGTTGGTAACATCTAATGCAGTCACCTTGTTAATAAAATTGCTTTTTTAGCAAAGTCAACAACAGCAATGATATCTTGGCACTTAATAAATTGTAAAACTGAATCTGCAATTTTTGCCAAAGAAAAACATTTCTATTAACATTTCTAGGAATAGTCTCTATAGGCTCTGATATTTTTAAAATAAGAAGCACATTTAAAGTAGAGTTATAAGTATGACTACACGGGGAGTTAAACAAAATTTACACTCTGAGACATTGTTCTCCAGAAAACATAAGCCTAGCAACTTTCAAAATATTTGCACCAAAATAAAAACTACTTGGTACCATTTCAAATTTTTTTAAAGTGTGTAAAGTTTCAATGAAATATGAGCAAACAAGACAAAAAGAAACAAAAGAAGTTTGCATGCCGCTTCCTAAAAGAAATTTAAACAATTCTTTGCCAGGAATAACATCCACATACTACAAGAAGGGAACTGTTGAAATCAAACACACTTACTTTTTAATATGTAAAGATGCACTTTTTTTTTTCCTATTTTAAGTTAAAAATAAGAGGACACACCAGTGATCTTGCTGGCAGTCAGATAACGCACAGGCCCTGACCCTTCAACTGGCCAGGAATTCTCACACAAAGCTCTTTTCATGCAGACTGCGCTATATATTCCTAAGATAAGGCGGCAAAACATGAAGCCGTGGAGAAGTGACACAAAGTCGAACTAAATGAAATGTTTACATATATTCTGTCACACCGTTGTTCCTTCATCATCTATCCCACACATGATTTGCCTAAAACAATGCTGATTCAAGTTGAAGAGAAGCATGATTTAAACCAAAGGACAATTTTCAGAAAAAGGACACACGAGACAATACAAATATTGTATTTTTCTGTTTGCATCACCAAGGTTAGTGTGAAATCAAGCAGAAACAAAACCACATCGTCTAAGAACTTCTAAGAAATGCTTTTGCTATAATTTCCCTCAAAGCACAACAGATTTCTTAACTTGTTTTACAACATAGAAAGTATATTTTAAATATAATATCTTAAATCTGCACTCACCATGAAAAAGCAACAGTTGCGTAGAGTAAAAGTGTGCTATTTTCTGCCCCTGTTCCATTTCAGTTTTGCCTATGGTTGTCCAACACCCAAAAGCCCAGAGCTGCCACCCAGAGGCCCCTTCCACAAGCTGGCTTATTTGCCTGTCAATCTGAGTGCCGGCTTCTCTATTATGCAGCTGTGCACTTTGCTGAAGTTCTAATATAATTTCCATACGCTTGCCACCGCCTGAAGTAGGCGATTTGTTCTTTCAGTTCAATGAATACTCAAATCACTTTTCAGGTAACTGTAGGATCAAGCTTTAAGTTGTTCACCCTCAAGTTAAGGAGTTCTTGGTAAGAAGTGGGTGGAGAGAAGTAAGCTCACTACAAGGGAATTCAGAGTGTAATCAGAACGCAGAGAGAAACTTCCTCTTTTTTCCTTCCTTGCTAGCCTGAGCTACTAGTGCCTCTTTCACAGAACTTAGGAATGTAAAGGGAGGACGCAAAGAGGCCCCGCCAGACAACCCTTTCTCAATCAATTAGCTTGCAGCCATTACTTGTGACCTTAGGTCACACAGCATAAGTGTGTGGGGCGTGCCTTCAGGGGTCCCAAGGCTACTTATTACAGCTTAGATAACCAAAACCAAGCAGACACTAAAATCTAGAAATACTTTAATAGAAAATGTACTGAAGATGTGACTAAAGGTAAACTCCGAGTTTTTTTTTTTTTTTTTGCAGTAACTTTTTGCAGTAACTACTATCTAATCCAGTCAAATATATTTTTTTTTTTTTTACATTAAGAAATCTAAAACAATGTTTTCCATGTTGGATCAAACAGGATTTAGAATGAAGCAGTGAAACTTTTTTTTATATTAAATTTCAAGCTGGGAATAGAGAAATGACAAATAATATATCATATAGATCACAGGATCATATATGTGTTACTCATATAGCTCAGGTTCCAAGGTCTCATTTGAGTTTTGTAAAGAATGCTGGTTTATTACACCTAACTGCAGAGTAGAACTACTGTAAACAAAGTTCTCTATGCTTAAGGAAGTCAAAATAATATCACTTTAGGGGCTAGGAACAACTATTTTAAACTCTAAAGATTACATACTATCTTAGTATCATGATTTCTCTCATTCTCATAGTTGTTTTAATGAGAATTTCCTTTTGAGCTCTATGTCAGACAAATGTTTTTTCTCTTTAACATTTTTTTAAAATGAGAACTCAAACTAACGGAAAATAGGAGAAACACTAAAGGAAAAGGTAATATTTTAAAACTACAGATTTGTGTAAATTTCATACTGTAAGTTTTCATATTCCTTGAAAACACTAAAAAATAGTAGCCGCCACCATCAATAAATCAATGATACAGAAACATCAGGCAATTTTATTTCAAATTAAATCCATGCTTTTGAATAATACAACCCAATTAAGAAGCACAGGCTTTGATACTGATTGGATTAGCCAATCTCTTCCCTCCAAAAAGGCTGTTACTCAGAAATGGATTTGCCACACCCACGTTTTCTCAACCTTGTTACTTGATGATGCCACAAGGCATGTCTGACTCAGCACAGTGCAGGAATGGCAATATTCCTCATGGATACCTGGCCAACTAAATTGTCTGCAAAGTGGACAGTGACATAAATAAAACAGACAAACCAAAAAAAAAAAATCAAGAATAAATAAGACAGGTGTAAAAAAACAGCGGCCAAATAATACTGTCTGATGGATAGAGTCAATTTTAAAAACTGCAGTAACAAATAATGTGGTAATAGGAGTGTTAAAATCAGTTATGGGTGGGGGTTAGGGCAGAAATTAAGAGTTTCTACTTTCTCCAATATACAATAGAGAGTCACTGATAGGTTTGAAAAAACAGATTGACATTGCCTCTCAATAAATTTTAAATAATAATAATTTGATGTCTTTTAGTGATTCTGTTATGGACGTTTTATATATTGAAAACAGGCATTATTGAAAACCATTTTTGGCTCTTTAGCCAATAGATATGTAGAAAATCAAAAATTCTAATTACTGTTTGAGGAATACCTAGTTTTTAGAAATTTCTACAACTCAGCACCACCCTATCATTGCATGTTTCATCTTACTCTGTTATAAAAAGAGCAAGCTTTTTTTTTTCTTGTTTCTTTCATTTGAGACTAACAAATAACTTCTAAAAGTCAACAAGGCCAGCAGGTCTTATGCATTAGAAGTCTGCAATTAAACACCTGAAGATCTGGCCTCTATTCTGACAGAGCTACATGCACAAAACAAAGGACTTTCTGATAAAAGTGCAAAAAAGGTCACTAATAACCTACATAAAACATAAAACATACATCAGCACTTGAAAGGGCCTTGGTGAGTTCACAGTCCATAATGTATTTTTTTTTAATGGCCAGTTGACTAAAACAACCACAGACATTCTGAATTACATACGGGTTACAGAAAAAAATCCCATTTTAAAAGTGACTGAAAAGATCACTACCAGGATGCTATTGAAAAAAGTTGGTCGGTTTCCACCATCATTTCACGGGGATATTGTCCACTGCTCTAGATGCCGTGGTGATTTTATCAAACATTGCAGAACATTTTTCACTAAGTTCATCTAACTTGAAAAACATCTCAATAGCTTAGATAATTCTACCACTAAAACCCTATGATGTGTATTTAGAGATGCTAAGTTAGAATAAATATGAAAATAATTAAAATTATATTTTAATTAAATAAAAGGCCATTCAAAATGGTATGACATAATAATAATATATGAAGTTACAAAGACATAATTTCAAAACATCACATAATAAAAGAAAATACTTGCTACTTATTATGTCATGTTGATATTTTCTACTCTAATCCTATTATGCATCTATGCATTTGTCCAATCATTTGGAATGTCTTGGAAGATAGTCATTTTGGGATGAAGGAAGAGTTGAACTAAAATCAAAGACCTGAAAAATATTGCCATAAAAATTTTAGTTTTCCATGACATCTGGATAGCAGTCCACCATCACAAGGTGGTCTCAGCTAACTTTTTGTTAAAATACTTAAACTGAAAAGTACATCTCTCAACAATTCTAAAAACTAAGATTAATAGCGGTAATATCTTTACCATTCTTCTAAAGCTAATGATGTTGGGCTAAGAAAAACAGGTGGTCTGCATTGTAGAAAGATTAGTCCTATCCATCTGAAAATTAAGAAGGTATTTTTAACAATTCTTGATTAACTGCAGTCATATTTATGGCCTGTTCCACCAAAACTTGGACTGCCATAATTACATCAGGTATCAATAGAAGGTGCTGGTTCTTAGGGTACATAGTGCGGTGTCCTTATATCACTATCTCTTCCTATTTTGGCATTAGTACCCAAAAACAGAAAGTTGCAGCGAGGTGGAGTTGGGGGAGGACGGGGCAGGGAGGGCTGGCATGTAACACATTACATCCCCCCAAAATTAGTTAAAATGAGTTATACAGTAGGAGAGAGAGGAAGATGGTGAAGAAATGAACTTACTGTACTAGGAATAGTAGCTTTTCATCCTTGTGATATAACAAGGTTTGGGACATAAGAGACCTACTTACTATTGAGAGCAAAGTCAGATTGCATAGATGTGTCCTGGTCTCTAGCTGCTGGGAGGTCCACACACCAACGTGTCACCCAGCTGGAGCAACATGAAGTGGATTTAATCAGCATGAATGGGATTTAACCAGCAAGAAGTGAATAGTAAGAAAACAACAGGAGTTATCTGGTTGTAAACATGACATTGGATAGATCTAAGCTAATCCAGAGTGTTGAGCCAATAAAAAAACAAATATAAAGGTGGAGCCTATACACAAATACTACAGAGAAAATGGGATAAGAACATTTTTAAAAGGAGAGCAATAAGTAAATATACTACTATTAAAACAGGTGAAAACAGGGATTTTAAATAAAATTCACAAAGCCATGTTCCCTATCATACAGGACAAGAAGGAGGAAATGGCTTAAAATAAAAGGAAGAAAATGAAACGGAGGTATACACTTAAAAATAAAAAAAAGAAAAGAAAGAAACCATAATGGATTTAAAAAAAAATGAAGTAAGGATGATAAATGACACTGGAAAATTACAACAGTGAAATCAATGACAAACTTTAAAAAATAAGAGATGTGTTTGAAATCTGTAGCAACAATATAGGTAAGCTTGCTGGAAGAAATCTTCTAATATTTGATTTCACATGTTTTTAAATCTAAAATGTCACAAAACATAAGGAAAACTTAAAAGTATATTCTGTGTTCTACCCAAAAAGACACAGGCACTTGTGTGTTCATCACAGCACTATTCATAATAACAAAGACATGGAATCAACCTAGATACCCATCAGTGGTGGACTGGATTAAGAAAATATGGTACATACATACCGTGGAATACTACACAGTCATGAAAAATAATAAAATCATGTCCTTTGCAGCAACATAGATGCAGCTGGAGGCCACTATCCTCAGCGAATTAGTGCAGGAACAGAAAACCAAATTCTGTATATCCTCATTTATAAGTGGGAGCTAAAGACCAGGTACCCATGGACATAAAGATGGAAACAATAGACCCGGGGGGTCACTAGACGGGGGAAGAGAGGGAGGGAGGAAAGGGCTAAACGTATTGGGTACTATACTCACTACCTGGGTGACAGGATCATTCATACACAAAACTCAGCATGCTACACTATACCCATGTAATAAACCTGCACGTGTACTCCCCGAATCTAAAATAAAAATGATATTACGATATCACTTAAAAATGATATTATGAAAGAGAGAAACATGTCTATAAAAATGTGAATAACTTCAACATTATTAATGCATAACAGCTCTTGCACATTATTTTAAAGGAAAAAAAGGAGCAAACACTTTAATTTAAAAAGAATGGATAAAGAAGAGGAAGAGATGAGCGGTGGCTCATGCCTGTAATCCCAGCACTTTGGGAGGCCGAGGCGGGCAGATCACAAGGTCAGGAGATCGAGACCAGCCTGGCCAACATAGTGAAACCCGTCTCTACTAAAAATACAAAAAAATTAGCTGGGCGTGGTGGCAGGCACCTGTAATCCCAGCTACTCGAGAGGCTGTGGGCAGGAGAACTGCTTAAACCCGAGAGGCAGAGGTAGCAGTGAGCCGAGATCGCCCCACTGCACTCCAGCCCAGGCGACAGTGCAAGACTGCATCTCAAAAAAAAAACAAAAAACAAAACAAAACAAAAAAACCTGAAGCAACATTGATATATAGTGTACATTTTTATTTTTTTATCATTTAAAAACTAATATTCAAAGTGGGTTATTCTGTTGTAAAATGAGTATCGTCATACATTACATATGAGTATACAAATTAAAACAGGCTTTCTGGAAGGCAACTTATTTATATGTACCAAAAGTTTTGTACTTTTTGTTTTTATGTATTTATTTGTTGAACAAATAAGTATTTATTGATCACGTACTATGTCTCAGGCACTGTTTCAGATGCTAGGAATAAAGCATTTAACAAAACAAAATTTCTGCCTCGTTTATCTTCGATTCTATGAGGTAGAGATAACAAGTAGACAAATAAACATTACATATTAAGTACTACTGAACGTTAAGACAAAAATAACGCAGGATAAGACAAATAACTTCGGAGGCAGCAGATACGACATTTTACATACGGGTTCAGGGAAATGTCTTTCTGGTGTGGTAACATTTCAGCAATAATCTGAGTGTAATATGGGAGTCTAACGTAATATATGGGAGAAAAGCACTTGTGGAGAGGGACGTACCAGTGAAAGGCTCTAAGATGGGGCACGATTCTCAGTGATACTTTGAGGGCCCTTTTGTAAGAAATTCATTAGTGAGATAGGGGTATGTGTAATGTGTGCACCATTTTTGTACAAAATTGTTTATAACTGCCAGGAAAACTGAAAATAGAGTATATCAATTCTTATGATATATTAGATATTGGTTAAAAATGGTATTTTCAAGAGTCATGAGATGTAAACTTTAGGTAAGCAAAAGCAGGGGGAAAGAAACAAACTGCAGATAATGTATGATTCCAATTTTGTAAGACGAGTATTTTTCAATATAGTTAAAAGATCAGGTATCAAAATGTTGACAGTAACTATCATCTCTGTATAGTAGAATATTGGATTTACTTTCTGATATTTTCTAAATTAAAAAAACATATAAGTATCTTTTTTAATAAAAGAAAAACATTAAACAAAGGAGAGGCAGACATTCCAACTTTGCTGTATCATTAATTTCAGCATTCTCTTTATCACACATCTTAAAGCCCTTAATTTTTTCAAATATTTTACTTTCCCAAATCTAGTTAGAATTTGAAATGATTCTTCTTTTTTAAGGAATGGAAATTTCCCCCTTCCCTTCAATTTCACTGCTTCTGCTCTGTTGCTTAGATTCACAGGAAGATTTTAAAAATAAATCTATAAAATCATGTTCATCTCTGTCTATAGCCTTTGTTTTCTCCTTCGAGAGCATATGGTGACAGTCATCTCATCCAGTGACAAATGCCCTCCCACAACATCTACTACTTTGACCCTTAATTAGATCTTCTCAGACAATCTAAAATAACTCATGTCTGAGACTCTCCCTATCTGTACAGATCCCAAAGGATTGGGAAGCAAGAAAGTATCTTACTGCAGCCGAGGATACATGTAGCCAAATGGGTGAGCAACTGGGAGTTGAGTGAGGTTGCTTTAAAAAAAAAAGAGAGAGAAAAGAAAGAAAGAAAAAGAAGAAAGAAAGAAAGGGAGAGAGAAAGGCAGAAAGAGAAGGAAGGAGGGAAGGAAGGAAGCAAGAAAGAAAGAAAGGAAAGAAGGAAAGGAGGAAGGAAGGAGAAAGGGAAAGGGAAGAGAACAAGCATGCCAACACAGAGAAAACTATACAATTAGGTCATTAATGAAAAGTGAAAGCTCAGCAAGGTATCAGAATGTGCAGGTGAAATCTCATGTTGAGAATCAGAGAGCAGGGTGGTCAAGAGCACCCAGTTCAACAAGTTTTGTTTTGATAAATCTATAAAGCATACTGCCTGGGTGTTGCCTTTCAAAGCTCTTGTTAAAACAACAACAACAACAAAAAAACCCACTAAAACAAATAAAGAAAGTAAATATGAAGGTGAGAGAGAGAGAGAATATTAGATGATCTCCCATAATTTTAAAAAATGAATAAATGATTAGAATGGGAGCTGGGAAGGAAGAGGAAGAATGGCTCCTGGAGGGGTGTTATGAAATGCACATGTATAATTGATTCTTGTGTTCACTGGTGTTGCTACATTAATGTAAGTAAGTAAGCACAGGTAGCATGTCTACAATAGTGACAGGTCAAAGCTGAAGTCTAATCCTATGGGAAACTATTTGAGGGGCAACTATTGAGCTCCTCAAGGGAGGATCGTTTGTGTGTGAGGCCTGGGCTTAACTGGGGTCCTGATACCCAGATTGTCTTTCATCTATCGTGGATGATACTGCCTGGCCCCCATATGCCTCATTGCCAATAGAGTTCACCCAGTCAAGTGGTTGCTCTAGCTGTTGGGTGACCAAATCTGCTTGGGCCCCAGAGACAGACCTAGGAAGATAGTGTGGAATTAATAACAATTTTAACCAAGGAAAAGATACCGGAGGCATTAGGCAAATGTGCTCCAGCATATTACAGCCACATGGAGTGGCAGAGTCAAGAACAAGAAACAAGACTGTATTTGGCACTTATACAAGAATGTTTCTGAGATAAACCAGGGCTTCCTTCAGCAGATAGTGAAAAGCATGTCACATGCCACAACTCAAGGAGTGTGGAAAGGCCAACCTATTCAAATTATCTTTCCCTTTAGCCCTCCTTAGTTCTAAAAATCCCCTTAGAGATTTTGGTGCCAAAAATCCTTACCATACCAAGACACTAATTTGTATATGGGTAAAATACTATCTCTGGAACTTCTACAAAAATAAAATATAGTACATGTAAAGATCGTATTCACCTCCTTATGACTGTCTTCAGGCTTTAGATTAGGATATTCTGAATCAGAGGATGTTGGCAAAGAAGGCAAGCCTCTCAGGAGCAGGGCTGCCGAATTTGAGTTAATACTCTTAAACAACTGGCCCTAAATCACTAGTACCTAAAACTGTGGGTGCCTATGCTGTTACTGAAACTTTGCCTGTTGAGTTAGAGCATCCTGAAGAGTTAATCAACGGCAGCATACTACTTTCCTGAGCTCCCTGAGCTAATATCCAAATGATCAGAACTAAACTTCCATTTATAAGAGGATATTATGGGATAATGAATATAAAAGCAAATAAAGTTCTATGATTCTAGTTCTAAAATTTTCAAGAAGAGCTATTTTTACAGATCCCACTTTCTGTTGAATTGGATGGGGGAATTGTTTTCATTTTGTCCCCAAGTCATAGCTCAATTAATTAACTTTCAAGCTTTTAAGAAAGAAAATTGATTCTAACTATAGCATGTGATCAGAAAGGTATCCAAAATATCTGAGCTAAAGCATTTTGGAATATATTATACAGATTACATGTTACAAAGTTTATTCTTTTCTTGCCCTTTTTCCTTTCAGGAAGGAAAGCTTGAGAAGAAATCGTCAAATGTTGCAGGATTCTTGTAAGCACAGAGAACTATGAAGACCTGACAAGGAGGGTATCTTTTTCTTTCATGCTTGTCCAACAAGAGAGCACATTGTTAGTGTGCTTGAATTCCAACAAAAGAAGGCATAGAATGAATCTTGGTTGTTCCCTTTTACTTGCTAAATATGTACTGAATGAATAAATGGTGCATTATACATCTATAAAACAGCTGAAAATAACATTTGTAGTGAGTGTGAATCTATACAAATTTCCCAAGAAAACATGAAACTAGGATGCCTGCTGTGAAAGACAAAAGCTCTGATCATATCTTTAAAAGAAGGAAGTCTTAGCAGTTGATAAAAGATTGTTTTAGGCCTAAAGACTGGTATACATTTAAGAAGGGGCTGGGCACGTGGCTCACACCTGAAATACCAGCAATTTGGGACACTGAGGAGAGAGGATTGCCTGAGCCCAGGAGTTCAAGACTAGCCTGGGCAATAGTGACATCCTATCTCTACAAAAAAATAAAGTTACAAAGGTGTGATAGTGCACACCTGTAGTCCCAGCTACACAGGGTAAGAGTGATGTTTAGGGAAAGAAAGGATGGGGACATTAACCAGAAGCCTCCAGTGACTGGTTCCTTCCCACCTTACCTCCCACCAGACTTTCTCCACCAATAATTATATGCTAATTAAAGCAAAGCCAGCAGCCACTCTGTTTGTCATGGCCATGCCTTTTACTAGAGAGTCTTTGGTGTTTGGAGAGCCCTGCAGCCACAATCTGCTTTCTCTCCTTTTTCTGGCTTCTCTTCTTTTTCATGTAGCTTGTTTCTTCTCTCTTTTAAGACTTATCTTAGATGTCACCTCCTCTGCTTCTGCCCAGACCCAGTTGAGTCCCTCTCCCCTGGCATCCAGTTGCTCTCTGTGACTGCTAGCATTGCACTTACTGTCTTTCACTAAAAGGTAGAAATTTCATCCCTCTGCCAATTTGGTTTCAGAAATATCTCTTGATTCCATTCTCTGATCTTGTCCCAGTGCCTCTACTGTTTTGACTCAGGTAATTGTCATCTACTGCTCACCTGGTTTCTTACAAAGCCCCTTCCCTGGTTTTCCAGCCTCTCTCCAGCAGCTCAATAATCAAAATATTGCCAGAATTTTCTTCCTAAAATACATGCCATTTTTCTGCTCAACACCTTTAGTTTCCCTCATTTCCAAAATAATAAAAACCTAAACTTTTAACACAGCAAAAATAATAATAATAATAATAATAATATTCATCATAATTTGACCTTTATAGTCTCATTAGCCCACACTCCTACCACTCTTAATCTATGTTCTGGGCACATTAAATATCTGGCCATGCTCAAGAAACGTGTGCTCCTTAATATGTGTGTGCCTTCCACAGAGCCAGTTCCTTGCCATAAAATGCCTTTCTCCCATTTAGTTCTTTCTAAAATGCTAATTCATCTCCTAAGATGCTGCACAAGCACTCTTCAATAAATTATCCCAGTCTCTGCCAAGCAGAGCGATTTGCTAAATGTTATGTGAGGTCACAATATTTTGTTCATGTATCTAATTTAGTTTTTTGGGTTTTTTATTGTTTTTCTTTTTCTCTTTCTTTTCTTTTCTTTTCTTCCTTTCTTTTTTTTTTTTTTTTTTTTTTTTTTTTTTTTTTTTTTTTTTTTTTTTTTGAGACAGAGTCTCATTCTGTCACCCAGGCTGGAGTGCAGTGGTGCGATCTCGGCTCACTGAAACCTCTACCGCCTGGGTTCAAGCGATTCTCCAGCCTCAGCCTCCCGAGTAGCTGGGATTACAGGCACCCACCACCATGCCCGGCTAATTTTTCTATTTTTAGTAGAGACAGCATTTCGCCATCTTGGCAAGGCTGGTCTTAAACTCCTGTCGTCGTGATCCGCCTGCCTCGGCCTCCCAAAGTGCTGGGGTTACAGGCATGAGCCACTGCTCCTGGCCTGATTTTGTATTTAGTACAGTATTTTAGTTGTTGATTTTATTTCTGCTTTTGGCTTTATGTCTTGCACGAAACAAATGTTACTTTTGTCCCTCCTCTATACCAATAGATGGTGACCTCATGGAGGCATCAAACTGCTTTATTGGTTTCAGTATTTCCAAAGCCTGTCACAACATCTAGCACTCAGTAGGCAACTGCTGGATTACTGGGAAAGGAAAAGGAGAAAAGAGGAAGGGAGAGGAAGGGAGACGAGGGGAGGAGAGGGGAGAGGAGGGCAGGGGGTGGAGGGGAGGGAAAGGGAGAGGAAGGGAGGGCAGGGAGAGTACAGGAGGGGAGGGGAGGGGAGAAGAGGAGAGAATGATATGACAGGAGATAACGTACTAAGACGAGGAGAGGAATGAAGACTCTATTAAAATTCCACAACTGAGAATGCATCATTGTTCTGAAGGTGGATATAACCTTTATAGCAAAGAAAAAGAAAACTATCTTAAATCAGATAACTAAAGGATTCCAATTTCAAGAAGGTAAAATAAATAATCTTTCCATAACTTTCTACTTCCAAAAATCATTGCAAAGAATGAGGAAGAAAAAGAAACTCTAATGCAAATTGTGTTTCTTTCTTGTATAACAAATTCCCACAAACTTGCTGACTTAAAAACAACTGAGATTTCTTCCGTTACAGTTCTGGAGGCCAGAAACTTAACATCAGTTTTACTGGGGTAAAATCAAGCTTTTTGGCAGAGCCAAGTAAAAAGAGGACATGATTTCTAGAAAAAAAACAAAAAACAACAACAAAAACAAAAACTAACAACAAAAAAAACACCTACCACATCATAAAATGGAAGAATAAACTAGGGCGACAGCCAAAATAAAAACAAAAACAAAACCCTAAATGACATCTCTTTATAAGAAGCCTTCGAGCGCAACTAGAGATAAAAGTGGAAGGTAAAAGTGGAAGGAGATAAAAGTCTCCTGTCTCTTTCTACTTTTATCTGGAAGGAGCCAGGGTAGCAGGAGAGATTTCTCCAAGGGTAGTGGGAAGGGGACCTTTCTAGATTATTTGACCAGCTTGTCATTGTAGAAAATTGAATAGAAAGGCATTTTATAAAGATAATGGAGGGTTCGGGAAGACCTAGAAAAAAAATAAAAAGAAGAAGAATAGGAGGAAGGGAGGGAAAAAGGAAGGAGGGGAGAAGGGAGATAGGGAGATGGTGAGGGAGAAACTGAGCAAAAGAAGAATAAAGGTGGCTCACGCCTGTAATCCCAGCACATTGGGAGGCCAAGGCGGGCAGATCACTTGAGATCAGGAGTTCGAGACCAGCCTGGCCAACATGGTGAAACCCTGTTTCTAATAAAAATACCAAAAACATTAGCCAGACTTTGTGGCACATGCCTGTAATCCCAGCTACTCGGGAGGCTGAGGCAGGAGAATCGCTTGAACCCAGGAAGCAGAGGCTGCAGTGAGCCGAGATCCCACCACTGCACTCCAGCCTGGGTGACAGAGAGAGACTCCATCAAAAAAAAGAAAGAAAGAGAGAGAGAGAGAGAAGGAGGAAGGAGGGATGGAGGGAGGCAGGGAGGGAGGGAGGGAGGGGAGGGAGGGACGGAGGGACGGAGGGAGGGAGGAAGGAAGGAAGGAAGGAAGGAAGGGCACTGACTTCAAGAGAAAATGAAAATTCTACTACAGTAAAGAGAATGCAATCATATCACATCACCAGTCTCAGCAGTAAACATTATTTGTATAGTCTTACTAACTATAAATTCAGATACAGATTTAAATTAAAACAATAAAAATAGTGATATAGCTATATTGGGAGAATCAAGAATTTTGAGGTCTTAAGGAAGTTTAAATCCACATCTATAGCAACAAGAAATCAATTGTTAGAGCACTAACTCTAAAAATCCTGAGATAGATTTATAGATGTTATTTAAAACCACAAAAGTAAAATAAAAATTAAAGAGTTTGAAAGTGGTTCCTTTCCTGCAGTTGTGCCAAAAGGTTTATTTCTTTAGTTACTAGCCTTTAAATTTACCTGAATTTTAAATATATGCACATGTATTCATTTGGTAAAAGTTACTTTTTAAAGAAATATTAAATTTATTTAGCCCATACCTCTCTTTACTTTGTTTAGAATTGTAACAAGCAAATCAAATAGCCACATGTCCTCTTTTTTCTTTAAAATATTTTTATAAAAGTAAGTTATACTACAACTATAACTTTATTAATGAGTCAATGCACAAATGCATGCTTTAGTCACTCTGCTCTTCACAGATAATCGAAATTGATACAATGTCATGTTTATTAACAAGTTATACATTAGATGATAAATATAGCTTCTGCAAAAATCTGTAGATCAAACTTGAGAAAGAAAATAGTTTATTTTATAAAGTGACTATGCATTCCTAAAATCGTCTGTATTATTTTTACCTGGTTTGCAGAACGTTGAACTGTCTCCAGATGAAGAACTGGTTGGGCCTTGCTATTTCTTCTCATCTTCACATCACCATGGGCAAGCTAAAGAAAGCTGGAGAGAAGAAATGTTGATTTGTAAATTCAGAATTGGCACTCATTCAAAAACTTCCTATAGGTATACTAATGCTCATCTCATCAACTTGTTAATAAAAAGGTCTTATATATATCCCTTAACTTTAAAACTAATTTAATGCAAAATCATATTTTTTCAGAGTAAATGGCTGTTTAAAAATAATATTTCCACCAAACACACACAGAGCAAAGTACAAGGAGAGTTTACACAACAGGATGAGATTCTCAGTTATTATTTCTGGAGAGCATCCTAGTCTGATGTTTTTCCTTTCGCCATTCTTAGAGAAAGTACGCTGTCCAAAACAGATCAATCTAAGTCCTCCTTATTTCCTCAGGAATACAGGTCAGGCAACATGCAGTATCCTTGGGAAAGTGGCCCAAAATGACCAAAAAGGCCATCTCAGTAAGACATCAGGAAGCACAACTGTTTCCAGTGACACCAACATAACAAAAAACAAAACGCTCTAGAACTATGTGCTTTCTGAATCATAGTTTGTAAAAATATTGCACATGCTGTGTTTTGACCACCCAAGATAAATTAAAGTCACTTTATCCCTCTAAAAGCATCTTGGTCCTACTGATGTTTATGATTCTAAAATCAGGAGCATGGGTGGGACCCTCTCAGTTCCTGGGAAAGGATCAGTCAGTATCTGCTAAGGCGATGTTAGAAAAAAGCTTTAAAATACCCCCTTTGTTGCAAACCTGCTATGGGAATTTATGGTATGCAACATCAAAGGAGTAAAATTCAGGTCACCTCTGTTGGATGTAGCCATGTGGGTGTGTGAATTAAAAACATGCAACAGGGAGCCTCACAGGTTCCTGTTTCAGTCTGGCCTCTTCTTCGACTTATCTAAAAGTGATCCTTATTGATAGTCAAAGGAGAGAGGGCTCAGACAATTTTCAGAATGTGCTGGTTCTCAGAAAAGCGGATTAGAATGGTCAAATGCCCCATTACCCTCACGAAATAACCAATAAAAAAGCAGGCCCAAATCTTGGTAGCTAAAAGAAAAAAAGAATTTCTGAGAATATTTCTGTTCATCGTGAAATAGATGAAAAATGAAGTTGTTCAGGAAGAGCTGCAGAATGTGTAGAAGTGAACTGCATACTTCTGGTTCAGCTTCTCAAGCTATTAGGACACAGCATAACAGGATGGTGTTTCAAGGTGATCGACCACCTAGCAGCTAATATCTGTGGATCCCCTAGGTTGGCCAGACCCTTAAAGGAATGGGACACTAATCTCCACAGTTGCAAAGCTTATTTCAAAGCTTACATCCTACAACTAATAAAAGTACAGAGATTTTAAAACATGACAGTTTGTACTAGCCTGAAAAGAGTGACAAACTGATAGAGGTAAAGTAAAAAAAACAGATAAAAATAAAACGAGACTTTGTTATTTGAGCAAAGCTTCTATTTTAGTTGTTCTGATGTTTCCTTCAAACCTACTTTCCCTAAGCAACTTCTGCAACTTGATTTCCTTCCTGCCCAAATTGCTGTGTCACCTGCTTTCCAACTAACAAAATCCTGCCCCTCTTTGAAGTGTCCTTTCAAATTGCACCTCCTTGGTAACAATTTCTCTGACCATACTAGTCCATGACATTCTTTATTTACTGAACTCATCTGTGACCCCATCTTGGCGGCTGTATTATGCGATCTTGAGATGTTATATGTGTGTGTCTATGTTTGTTTAAACTGATGCCTTATCTCCTGTGTTACACTGCAAATTCAACAGGCCCCACAATCAGGACTTCTATTTTCTGTTTTAATTTCCTACAGCCCTCGCTTCAAACTTACACAATTAGTACAAAAGAAGGTTGACAAAAGAACCAGCATATTTTTTCCTTTAGCATAAGTAATATTAAAAGCCTTCTTCATGTATTATAATGCATTTAGACAGAAATTTAAGCTGACTTTGTGAAGAAATATTATCCAATTATCTAAGCTTTCTTTTTCAGTTGTTTAGGAGTTTGGCTTAGAATAAGGTGATAAATAGGTGAACAATATTAAGGAGCAGCTTTTGAGTTGCTTATCAGTAATTCCACGTTATCTCAACATTTATGGGTTCTTTAAAGACTTTATTTGTAATTTGCTCCCTATATAGATGAGTAAGCTGCATCTAGAAACTCTCTTCAGACATGTTATTTCATTTAAAGTTTTAAAAACTGGATTCCTTTTTAAATAATACCAAATTCAAAGTAATAAATAATAATAATAAATAAATAATACCAAATTCAAAGTGATAAACATAGGCTTTATTAAGCATGTCTAAATTTGGTTCAAAGTTCATGTACTTTTTTTACATTTACCTTTTATTTAAAATTTTAAAATTGCTGTATAATAGATGTACATAGTTTTGGGGCACATGTGCTAATTAAATATATTCATATAATTTATAAATTTTGATATTTTTTCCCAATGAAGATTTAAATAGTCTATGAAAAGTGGGTATTATTCTTTAAGAGAACACAAAGCTGTATAAACTGAGAAATATTATCAACCACACACAGAATATAAAGTTGATAGAAATCAAACTTGGAAAACATAAAAAACTCTTTTATGTTCTTTTATGTTCTTGACCAACTTGAAACTATAGACCAACTTGAAAGAGTTTTCATTAGTCACATGACTATTTTCTTTTCTTTTCTTTTTTTTTTTGCTAACAAGGAAAAATATACCATTTCTACTTATGAATATGCAAATCATTTTAATAAGTAAAAATCGGAAAAACACTGTGAAGGAAAATGTGGCACCTGAGCTACACAAGGAGGTAAATGCAGAATTGAGATATGTGACGGCTACCTAAAAGATAAAATTGCCCATGATAGAGTCCTTGCCATCAGGAGATGGGAAAATGAAATAGACACACACATAGGGAAAGCTAAAAAACAAACAAACACAGGTTTGGTGAAAAAGACGGATTTGAATCTATCCTCTTTTGCTTTCTACCAAAGAAACTTGAGAGAAGCTGCTTGGACTCATTAAGCCTCAGTTTTTTCGCCCATGAAACAGGCATGCTAGTTCTTCATTGCCTGGTTGTTAAGAGAATTAAATGAGGTACATAACGTAGAAGACCTAGAAAAATCCATGGAGAACTCTGGACATTCAACAGGTGTACCCTCCCTTTCTGCTCTACAGATAGATGAGCAGTTCAGCACAGCAGATGTGTACCTTATTTGAAAGAAAAAGACCCACACATCCACAAATAGCGTTATAGAGATGGGAAAAATTTTAAAGACCTTTAGAACAAGAAAAAAAATTGGAGCAGTAGGAAAAGTAGAGAAAGTAAAAGCGTGAATCCAAGAAGTGAAGGAACACACATATTCTTGAAAAGATGGAGGCTGAGTGGAAGAAAATGCTTATGTGCAAAAGTAATTATATATAAAAGAAGTAACAATGTAAGTTGGGGCCTGGCCCATGAATTCCAGGTGGAAGAGTGGGGAAATACTGGGAAGCTAATAAAGCTCTGGAGCAGAACAAGGAGAATAAATTTTCATAGAAGTAAATGGTGCTATTCTTATAAAATTCAATTATCATAATAAAATACTGCAACTATGAAGCCTTTCCTATTGGAAATGTGTCAATTCTTGCGAATAAAAATTTACCCTTCATTCAATTTGAGATTGAGCTTTTACATAAGAGAACTTTCCTTAAAGTGCATTACTATATTTTGTTCCAATAAATTATACTATGCTTTTAAGAAGTGGCCAACAAGGCAACAAAACCCCTCCTGCCTAATTATTTGTAAGCATAGCGAGTTTGGAGCAGGAAAAAAATAGAAATGCACATTATACATCTGATACTGCATAAAACAACCACGGTTTGGGAAGTAGAGCAGATCACTAAAAACACTATAATGGATCTGTAATGGCTCTCTGTGGAATTCTTCACACACAATAAAATCTCTTTGTAATGAGGATAAATTGCGCATATTATACTTATTATTCAGTAAGAACATATTTTATTTACCTATAACATTTTTCTAGATGGATGGTAATACAGTCTAAAAAAGGCTTCCAGACATCCTACTTTGTGTATTCTCCTTCCCTCTCACAATTTCACATTTAGGGTAATGGATCTTTCTGTTTTTGGTATATGACACATCTATTACTCTCCTGTAGTCCATATGTTAGTCTTGCAGCTCTGTTTCAAATGATGATTTAACTAGCTTGAAAAAAAATAATTTTGGTATTCAGAGTAATATAAGACCAAACAAAGTGCCCAGGGTTCTACCCAATCCTGCAATGCCATTTATTTTTAAAGAGCTGAGATAAACAAAGTTTATTTTCACTGAGTAAAATTAAAGAATACTGAAGGCTCAGTTCAGATGAACAACTACAACATGAAAACACTATATTATCATTAATATTAATCTAACTTTCTTGCATTAATACAAGATGTCCTGAACTGCTTAGTTTTATTGAAGAAGGGGTAGAGGGGAAGCTACTAGCTATTCTCATAAAATGATAAAAACAAATAGTCTCTTAATATCTCTTTATTTTAAATAACGTAACATTCATATTACTCATAATATTTTAATCCTAACTGACCATGTCAATTCAGTAATGTCAATAATAAATCCATCACAGTTTTTTTTGTCATTTTTAACTCTGGTTTTTAAATTCAGGATCATTGTTAAATTTAGCCTAATGTGAAGAATAGCTTACATTTTGCAGTGATATTCTGTCTAAAGCATTTTTCAGATTTATTTTATAGTCAAAATAGGTCTGAAAAGAAACCACAATCAAAGTTGATGATGAAGAAAGTGTCTTTAGCAAAGGAGGCAATGGCTTCCCAAATGACTCATTTGGATAAGCAGAAAGCCAGCTTGTTTTCAGAACTCTTGGCCCAGTCTGGGACTTGATGTTCTAAGCAATGCTCCAATCCCCCTAACTTAACTGAACCTCCATCTGGTCTTCACAAGTTACAAGGAAATGTAAACCATAAAGAAATCTAGAGAAGATTCATAAAGTTTAACAAAGTCTTATAAAAAAATTATAAAATCACACTAATAAAAATGAGATTTATTTTTTCAAATTGTGGAGTATGTTGAGATAAAGGACTGACTTGATAGTCCTTGAACTGCTACACACAAAACAGGCCTTCGAGGAAAAAGTCCTTGACTCAATATACAAGCAGAAAGCAGATACAGAGAAAAGCCACTATTGTATGAATAGACAGGACAAGAAAATAGAATAAGTACTAATGTTGGTGTTTGGTTAGAACAAGAAGTAGTAACATAAGGAGATTTGAATGTGTTTTTAGCTTCAGATATTGAGTCTTATCAAAATATAGGTGTTGGCAAAGAGAAGAACATGTGATTTATGTATGAAGTGAGGACTAAGGTTGTTCCTAAAAGGAGCAGCGTTACTCCTTTCCAGGTCAGAAAACAACATAAGGGACAAACAAAAATTATACCAACTTCCCCTGCTATACGATAACAACAATGACGTCTACAATATTTATGCACCACCTACTATACATCAGGCCATAATCTCTATTAACTCTTTTATTCCTCCAACATTGCTAGGAGAGAAGGTAACATTATTCCTCAAAATCTAGCTGCAGGGAGTTTAAGTAAATTGGTCAAGGTCATAGCCAATCAGTGGCAAAACCAAGATTTGAACCTCAGCCATCTGGATCGAGAGCTTACATTGCATTGTTATTGTTTCCTGGCTCTTGGTATTATTATTTTCTTTATTTTTGTTTATAAAATTGGTTATTATTTTGTGCCTCTAAGGTTTGTGTTAAAGTGGGAACAACACCTGCGTCCATTTAATATGTTCCAAGCCTAAAAAATGCAGAGGTAGAAAGGCATGAGGGGATGGGAGGGACTAGGGAGAGAAGGAAGACAACAGAATTTTCAGAAATTTGAAGGATGATGTACCATTTGAAAAGCCCTACTCAATATGTTCAGTTCCATAGTTTAAATATCATAAATTACTAACAGAAAGTACATTACTTTAGAAGTTAAAGACTGGCTCCATTAGATTGCTAGAGCATAGGTCAATGAGTTCTTTAAAAGTTTAATCCGGACAGGCTGGGCACACTAAAAGGATCAGGAGTCACAAAAACAAACCTGGGTCATTTCACTCTGTTCTTGACACACAAAATGCCATTATTTATAGTATGGAGTTTTAACTATTCATAGCATGAAGTTTAAACCACTTCACCTGGAATTAAAAAGTCTTGGCAATTTTGCCCCAGCCACCTTTCCAGCCTCACTTCCTGTGATCTGTGACCACTCCTCATTATATACATGTTAATTGTTCCCAAACATGCTGTAAACTAGAATGCTTTCTCTGATTAAAATGAATGTTTAAAATCTGATTTGTTGTTGGAATGCCAACTCAAATGTTAATACTTTCTTTGTTTTTTTATTTTTTTGTTCTTCAATAAATATGTATATTTTATGAACACAGAGAAAAGATGAATATGCAGTATTTGGAGAGTATGAAGTTTTCTCTACATATGTGTAAAATTATTACACATGTGTTACATATATACATACCCAAAAAATCCAGTTTATTGATTATATTCCTCAATTAACTTTTGTTCTTTCTAATTTTTTCTGGCAGATCTGTCCCATTCTTAAAATACATCAACTAATATGCTTCCTTGCCATCTTTACTGTAAATATATGTATTCTAACTTCTGGATATTAAAAGGCCAATATTTTCTAAATATTTCCATGACTCCCCAAGCAAATCTTTGCCTACTTCTCTTCATAACTATGTATTTATATAGAGAGATATGTAGATAATATATTTATTATATATCTATATATGATATATTATATATCATATATAGATTATATTATATATAGATTTATTATCTATATTATATATAGATAGATGTAACAAATAAGTATATATATTATCTACATATCTCTCTATATAGATAGAGATCTCTATACAGATAGATAGAGGAGTAGGCAAAGATTTGCTTGGGGGGGTCATGGAAATATTTAGAAAGTATTGGCATTTTAATATCTGGATATAAATGTTTATATAGAGAGATATATAGATAATATATATATATACTTAAGCACAGATATTATACTCTAATTGTTTCCCTTAGTGCATTTATTCAATCATTGAACAATGTATGCTGAGTACCTATTATATACCAGGCATATTCTAAACTCCCTAAACCTAGGACTATTTGTCATTTTGATTTGGGGCGGGAGAGTTACTTTCTATTCCCATGCTCACTTCTCAACACATAGTAGCCATGAATCAAATACTTGTTGAACCGAACCATCCACAAGAGCCTCAGTAAACATCATAATCAATAAATAATCATTAAAAGATAACACCTTATGCTTTCTCAAAAAGCAATAATTAACGTGTGGAAAAATACACAGGCATAACTCATTTTAGTGAACTTCACTTACTGACCTTCACAGGTATTAAATTGTTTACAGATTGAAAGTCCGTAGCAACCCTGTGTCAAGCAAGCCTATCATCAGCACTGTTTTTCCAACAGCATGTGCTCACTTTGTGTCTCCGCGACACATTTTGGTATTTTTCTCAATATTTCAAACTTTCTTCATTATATCGGTTGTGCTGATCTGTGATCAGTGGTCTTTGACGTTACTATTGTAATTGTTTGGGGGCACCGCAAACCACTCATATAAAACAGATAACTTAATAAATGTTGTGTGTGTTCTGACTTTTATGCTGACCGATGGTTTCTCCAAATTTTGCCCACTCCTCAGGCTGTTCTATTCCCTGAGACATAATAATATTACAATGATGCCAATTAAAAACCCTACAATGGTCCAGGTGTGGTGGCTCACGCCTGTAATCCTAGCACTTTGGGAGGCCAAGGAGGGTGGGTTGCCTGAGATCGGAAGTTCGACACCAGCTTGGCCAGCATGGTGAAACCCTGTCTCTACTAAAAATACAAAAAAATAAAATAAAATAAAATAGCTGGGTATAGTGGCACGTGCCTGTAATCCCAGCTACTCAAGAGGCTGAGGCAGGAGAATTGCTTGAACCCGGGGGGCAGAGGTTGCAGTGAGCCGAGATGGCAACACTTCACTCCAGGCTGGGCGAAAGAGTGAAACTCCATCTCAAAAATAAATGAATACCCTACAATGGCCTCTGAGTGTTTAAGTGAAAGAAAGAGTTAACACGTCTCTCACTTTAAATCAAGAGCTAGACGTGACTAAGCTTAGCAAGGAAAGCATGTCAAAAGCCAAAACAGGCTAAAAGCTAGGCCTCTTGTGCCAAAGAGGAAAGTTTTGAATGCAAAGAAAAGTTCTTCAAGGAAATTAAAAGTGCTATTCCAGTGAATATACAAATGCTAAGAAACAGCCTTGGGCCCAGCGCGGTGGTTCACGCCTGTAATCCCAGCACTTTGGGAGGCCTAGGCGGGAGGATCATGAGGTCAGGAGATTGAGACCATCCTGGCTAACATGGTGAAACCCCTTCTCTACTAAAAATACAAAAAATTAGCCGGGCGTGGTGGCGGGCGCCTGTAGTCCCAGCTACTCGGGAGGCTGAGGCAGGAGAATGGCGTGAACCCGGGAGGTGGAGCTTGCAGTGAGCCGAGATCGAGCCACTGCACTCCAGCCTGGGCGACAGAGCGAGACTCCGCCAAAAAAAAAAAAAAAAAAAAAAAAAAAAAAAAAAAAAAAAGGGTGGGGGCGGGGCGGGGCAGGGCGAAAAAAAGAAACAGCCTTATTGCTGATATAGAGAAAATTTTAGTAGTCTGGATAGACGTTCAAACCAGGAACAACACAACATTCCCTTAACCCAAAGTCTAATCTAGAGCAAGGCCCTAACTCTTCAATTTCATTAAGGCTGAGAGAGGCGAGGAAGCTGCAGGAAAAAAAGTTTAAAGCTAGCTGAGGCTGGTTCATAAGGTTTAAGGAAAGAAGCCATCGTTGTAAGATAGAAATGCAATATGAAGCAGCAAGTGCTGATGGAGAAGCTGAAGTAAGTTATTCAAAAGATCATTGGTGAATGCGGTTTTCTTAAACAATAGATTTTCAGTATAAATGAAATAGCCTTCTACTGGGAGAAGATGTCATCTAGGAATTTCATAGCTAGAGAGAAGTCAATGCCTGGCTTCAAAGCCTCAGAGGACAGGCTGACTTACTTGGTAGGGGCTATTGCAGCTGGTGATTTTAAGTTGAAGCTAATGCTCATTGACCGTTCCGAAAAGTCTTGGGGTCATTAAGAACCATGCTAAATCTATCCTCCCTATGCTCTATACATGGAACAACAAAATCTGAATGACAGCACATCTGTTTAGAGCACGGTTTACTGAATATGTTAAGCCCACTGTTGAGACCTACTGCTCACACACACACAAAATATTCCTTTCAAAATATTACTGCTCATTGATAATGTACTGGTCACCCAAGAGCTCTGATGGAGATGTATGAGGAAATTAATGTTATTTTCATGTCTGCTAACACAACATCCATTCTGCAGCCCAGTATTTAAGAAATATATTTTATAATGCTGTAGTTGCCATATATAGTGATTCCTCTGATGTATCTGGGCAAAGTAAATTAAAAATCTTCTGGGAAAGATTCACCATTCTAGATGCTATTAAAGCATATACGACTCATGGGAGAAGATCAAAATATCAACATTAACAAGAGTTTGGAAGAAGTTGATTCCAACCCTCATGGATGACTTGGAGGCGTTCAAGACTTCAGGGAGGAGGCCGGGCGCAGTGGCTCACGCCTGTAATCCCAGCATTTTGGGAGGCCGAGGCTGGTGGATCACAAGGTCAGGAGATCGAGACCATCCTGGCTAACATGGTGAAACCCCGCCTCTACTAAAAATACAAAAAATTAGCCAGGCGCGGTGGCGGGTACCTGTGGTCCCAGCTACTCGGGAGGCTGAGGCAGGAGAATGGCGTGAACCTGGGAGGTGGAGCTGGCAGTGAGCCAAGATCACACCACTGCACTCCAGCCTGGGCAACAGAGTGAGACTCCATCTCAAAAAAAAAAAAAAAAAAAAAAAGGCTTCAGGGAGGAAATAACTGCAGAAGTGGTAGAAAGAGCAAGAAAATTGGAATTGGAAGTGAAGCCTGAAGCGGTGACAGAATTGCTGCAATCTCATGATAGTATAAGAACACCTACGGAGTTGCATCTTATGAATGAGCAAAGGAAAATGTTTCTTGAGATGGAATCTATCCGTGGTGAAGATACTGTGAACATGGTTGAAATGACAACAGAGGATTTAGAACATTCCATAGACGTAGTGGGTAAAGCAGTGGCAGTGTTTCAGAGAACTCACTCCATTTTTGAAAGAAATTCTGCAGTGAGTAAAACACTACCGAACAGCACTGCGTGCCATAGAGAAATCTGTGAAAGGAAGAGTTGGTTGATGCTGCAAAGTTTGTTGCTGTCTTATATTAGGAAATTGCCACAGCCACCCCATCCTCCAGCAACCACCACCCTGATCAGTCAGCAGCCATCAACAGGGAGGCAAGACCTTACACTAACAAAAAATTACAACTCATTGCAGGCTGAGTTGATCATTAGCATTTTTTAACAATAAAGTATTTTAAAATTAAAATATATATTTTGTTTAGACATAATGCTGTTGCACACCCAATAGACTACAGTATAGTGTAAACATAGCATTTATGTGACTTGTTTAATTGCAGTGGTCTGGAACCAAACCCACAATATCTCTGAGCTATGTCTGGATAGGTCAAAAAGTAGAACTTTAAATTTGGCAGGATCTCAGATCTGGAACTTTTATAATGTTAATTAAAAAGGGAGTAATGAAACACAGCACCATTTTGCCGCTCTTAACTTTTTCTCTAACGTTTTAAGTAGATTTTAATCTCCTCCAGGCTACCAAGTTAGACTCATCATTGCCCTTAAAATTCAAGGGCAATCTAAAGTCATCCAGTTCAAACCCCACATTTTGCAGATGAAGACACTTTCTAGAGAGATTTGCAAAGATGAGATGAGTACTAGGTTTCTTCTCCCAATGCCTCTCCCTTTGTATCCTGTCACCACATTTTTTTCTCTCTTAAATTTTATTCTCCGGATATTCAATGGAACAACAGTAGCAAGGTATCAGTTGAGAGGTTTGAAAGAATGGATGATGGAGAAAATATTTCCTTCTTTTTACATTTCAAGATCTCTCCTAAAGTTAGAATATTTTATAATAAGAGAATGAAACAGTGCTGATAAATCTGTCTTTGACTAACAGGAAGAGAATTCTGATTAAAACTTTATTTTCCCTTTTTATTCCTTTTTTTTTCCTTTTCCTTTATGAAAACAAATCTCTTAAATAGAATGTCACATTCATGTGTATACACATGCATACACACACACACACACATGAATATATATATTCATTTTGGGAAACCAATATTTTACCTCCTTGTATCTGAAAAATTCCCTGAAAGTTACTTGTTCTATGGCTGATTGTGATTAATTTATTAAGTTATTTTTTAATACAGATCAGACTGATTATGATTAATGTGTTTACCTGCCAAAAGAATAAAAAGAAAGTTAGTTTAGGCAAGCAACCCATTGTGTTCTACTTGTTAATAAGTCATTTGTTCTATGAATTTTGCCTCCTGGGTTGTTTACATTTTGGAGCAAAGTCAACATTCCTTCATTCAAAAAATAATAATACTTTATCAACCAACCCCCAGTATAACCTTCAGTCATTTTAAAAGAAGTTAAGACAGGTTGCCTCAAGATTATTACAAGCATAGAGTGTGGGGAAAGTAGCTACCTTCATTCGGCTACTAATAAGTCTTTGAAGCCCAAAACTAGATACAAAGTGATTAGAGATGACTTGATCTGAGGGACACATAGGATTTTAAGTGTCCACATTTGAACAGAGAGCTAACTATCAGCTAAGCAGAAGTTAGGATGCAACATGCAGTGGGTACATTGCTGGCTTTTGCTTCCCATTCAGTTTAATGTTCCAATTTTCATTGCTTTCATTTTTTTTCCTCATAAGAAGCTTACTCTTGATCTGATTACTGAGACCTTGCCCTCTTCTAATCATCTCACTTCTCTCATCTTACAGTATTTTTCAGAACCAGTATTTACAGTATTTTTCAGTTCTTGCTGAAAACACAAGTTTCCTCCTCCTCTCCTTGAAACCAGCCCACTGCCTGGCACCATTTCTTGAAACAAATCATGATGCCATTCCAGTCTAACAGGCAACTTGCAATTTCAAAAACAAATTCAGCTGCAATCACTTTTAAAACATCTTACGAGGTTACTTTTCTGTCTTACGTCACCCAGGTTTCCAGAAATCTACTCAAAATGCCTAATGAGGCAATAAATTTCTTTATTGACTGTTCAGAATGTGGAAACAAATTGGAGTGACTCACTCAGGCCTTTTCTTAACCCTCTTATTCAGCAAAACAGTTTATTTTACTGAAAGAATAGGAAAAAAAGAGCTGACAATTTAAAATTAACTAAGTAGGCCCACCCTCTTTATTGCCTGTAGGCTATTCGTGACGATTTTTTTTGCAAGAGTGTATGTTACAGCTTAAATGAGATTGTAAAAGAGCAAAATCTTGGCTTATTTATCATCTTGTGAAAATAATTCCCATGTTTGCCTTTTCATTTATTGTGATTTATTACTCCAACTAATTTTTAATGCAGAATTTTCTTGCGTTGTGTTTGTTAGTTTTATGATTTGTATTTGTTTTGTCTTAAGGAGCAATGGTCTTCTGTTAGGCCTTAATCCATTGGTAGAAACTGACTTGAGGGACTATCTAAAAAACAAACCTTGCTTATAATGCATTAGTAAGGATAGAAGATAACACAGGAAAAAGAAAGTGCCATCAAAACTTTACATTTCTCTCTATAGTTTGCTTAAACAAATATTTGAAATATTTACATTTGAAATATTTGCTTAAAAATATTTAAATTATTTGTATCCCCTGAACATATTCCAAATGATATGGGTAAAGGTATTGAAAAATGTTTATGGATTAAAAAGCTAACAACTACATGAAGAAAAGTATTTGTTTATAAACACATAAAGAAAATACATCCTAAAATAAATATGTTTACAGTTTAAAGTGAGCTTAGAGTAAGTGTAGCTGAAACTCCTCAATTTACAGATATTGAAAGAAAGGGTAGGGAAATAAAGAGATTTAATAAACATCACCAGAAATTTGGTACAAGGCACCAGATCTGGAACTCCCATTTCCTAAGCTCTGAGTGTTTATTCCAATATTTCATTTTTGCCTTCCTTACTTTTCATTGCTGAACCTGAAAATGCCATATGGTATTAGTTCCTTTTTCATGCACCCATTCATAAAAAACAAATCTAAATGGATGTGGAGGAAGGGAGGAGATCATCTATGCCCCAGAATGTTGGGAGTCAGCATTTTATTTTCTCCTTGGAAACAATGGCCTTCCCCACAGTTAAAAATAATGTTTTATGTTCCCCTTTTCTCTTCTTTTTAATTTTGACTCTTCCATACTTATTACTTGAAGTTCAGAATACTAATATGAGTATGAAATATGGAAAGGAATTGAAAATAACATTGGGTAACTATAGCTTCTAGTGTGTTAAAAATCAATGCTGATTATTGGTTTGTGAAATCTTTTCATGAGTTCTTGGAATTACCAAAAGTGGGATGATACTAAGGAGAGAATAAAGATAGTTAATAATAGGAGGCAATTGATTGCTACATAGTTATTTATTTTAAATTTTCAAAACAATGAGACCTAAGTTTATATCATCATCTATGAAATTTGGATTTATGTTTATATGTACAATTAACATTTATTATAGAAACATAAACAGAGCTAGAAAATACCCTGGATATTTAATGTTAAACTCTACATTTAACAGGTAATGCCTAGGAAGATAAAGTCATTTATTTCAATGGTACACAGCAAAATAGTAGTAGAGAAAGAGCTAAATATACCTAATCTCACGTTATTTTTTCCCAACAAGCAGGCTCTCACCTGTATATAAGGGTACTTAAATGTTCTTACGCAGATAATTTGAGTTGTTAAAAATAAATATACAGATGAACTAATCCTATACAAGTCCTTCATTAACACGATCACTTTTCTAAGCAGCACTGAAGTTACAGAGAAAAGTTTACTAATCACCATAACATCTTAATACTGCCCCTTAAGTGCCAATGAATTACTGAAACCATGGCCACTATTACAAATCATTTATGCCTAAAATAAAGAGCATAAACAGAAAAACTCTTTACTAACATGAAGATATTGCAACTCTCATTCTCTTTATTAACTCACTGTAATGGAAGACTTCAAAATCTAAATTAAAGGCAATTATGAATAAGTAAATCCTACTAGAAATATAATTACCAGTCCTGAAAAGAAATGGATTTATCTTAAGATTTTATCAGAAAAAATAAAGTTTTGCATATTCCTTACCATAACAGTTTTACACACACACACACACACACACACACACACACACACACACACACCCAGTCGTCTGGGTGAGCCTTATTGACAGCTATTTATTCTGTGAACTCACTTCGCACAATCTTCTTAAGTCATCTTCTTAAGTAATATAGAGATGTGAATGAGTTGAAAACATGGACTCTATGAGAAGACTACCTGATACTCTAATAGGTATATCCCTAATATGCCTTTGTGTATCTTTCTCAGTTGCAATACTGACCAGAAACTTCCGAATCAGTAAAACAGACGATTATTTAAATTTCATATGAGGATAAACATTGCATTACTATCTCCTAAGGTCCTAGAGTTTCTCTTTTATGGAAAGAGAGTGCATCTCCTTGACAGGAGCAGTTCAGATTGGTTCATTTGGTTTTCATATATGGCTAAGCAACTAACGTAAAGTTGAGAATCTGAAGATAGGGCTCTTCGTTAAAAGTTTTCTCTAAACAGTTTTTGTAACTTTGAATAAAAGACTCTGTACCCTTCTGAGCATTACTTACTTATTCATACCTATTAAATTGTTTGGGATGTGATAATTTCTAATTCTCCTTCTAAGTATTCATATTCTGAATAATATTTTACCTCTAAATGGCATTTATGTACTATACACTTTGTAGTTTACTTAATGCCACTTTAAAATTACCTAATTCATATCAGAACGAGGATAAGTTTTACCTGGTAATCCAAATCCAAAATTTACTTTTCCACTTCTCCAATGGTCCATAAGCATACTCAAGAATATAAAAAAATTAAAGAGCAACTATTCAAGTTACAGAATACTGATATAAGAATTTAAGGATTTTCTGATAGTATGAACTAGTTTATTTAGTACAAGAAAAGGTTATTCAATGAAAAAAACACTATATTAATTTATCTTATATCTTAAAAACTAAGATTTTCTCTGGTGGCTAATTCACTTAAAATAATGAAAACATTAAACTGACACTTCTTAGTTATCTAACGGGGTGGTAATGAACATTTCCTGGGATTTCATGTCAGTTCCTCTTCTGTCATAACTACTTTCTCCATCCACAGGGATGGGTGCCCACGAGCAAGTGAAACTCTTTCCTCTAATCCCAGCTGACTTGATGTAGCTGGATCAATCACACTCTTTCTCCAAGGAATGTAGAATTAAAATTGAGAAACTCTTTTTCAGCTTAATCCAAGTCTTTGGAAATAGACGTAAATTCATAAATGTGGAGGAACCCTAGTCCAGCTTCTCTGAGGATTGGAATCAACAGCTGGCATAGAAACAGAGATGAGATAGACACACAGAAAGAAGCAGAGACCGAGCACAGAGAAAATATTTCAGCAGACATTAAGGATCCAGTTTCTGTCTCTCCTAAAGAACAAGCCTTTTTTTTTTTTTTTTTTTTTTTTTTTTTTTTTTTTTTTTTTACTATTAGATGACATGAGATAATCCAGCAGCTGTTTAATACATATATTTTTGGTTTAAATTTGCTCAAATTGGAATTGGTTGCTTGTGAAAAAAGAGTCCTAATTAAGTACAGGATGTTTTAGTAGTTTTGTTAAAACCAGCCATATAGACATCCAAAATAAAGAAGTTTCAGAATCACCAATGTGAAATAAGTTGGCATTAGTAGTGTGATCTATACTGATTATAAAACTATGCTCATAATATATAACACAAATGAGTCTTGTAAAGTAGAATTATCAGTAATATCATCAAAGTAATGGTTAAAGTAAATTTTAAAAATATGTTTTATTATAGTTTGTTTCACCAAATTTTTACAGCTTTACTCACTTTAAACACAGTTCACTTTTAATTTTCATTATATTATAAAGAAGATTAATTTGCATTTTACATTTTGCCTCCTAATGTTTTCTAGAATAATGGACTTTCTACTCTCAGCCCCTTGGTAGGCATAATAAGAGTGTTTCACTGCCTACGTTTTAAGGCAATGTTCAAATTAGCTTACCTACTCTTTTCATCACATCTTATGTTTTAAGAGCTCTGTGAAGCAATGAAAAGAGTATAATGGAACCACAGATCAAGGCACCTCATTCATTAACTTTTAAAATATCACCTCATTTATTTAGTCTTCCCCTGGAGTTTCTCTTTTGATAAGTAGCAATTTTATTAAACCTCCATTTAAGCTAAATGAGAAAGAATGACATACTTTGCTACAATACCTATAAAGACGATATTCTTACATCTAAATTTACTTTAGGCAGGAACATTACAGTGTAATCACAACATCTGTTTTTTTGTTTGTATATAAGCAGTGGGAAGAATACTACTAGCTTTTAAATTTATAGCACACCAAATAGCTAATACAGATTCTGGCCATGCGGGAAAACTTTGATGAAATTACCCTATCTAAGGGAACAAATTGGGTGAAATTACTGGCAGGCCAGTATATTTGAAAGCATGCTTTAAGAAGTCTGAAGGAAGAAAATCCTGGTATCAAATGTAATTCATTAAAAGTAACAATGCAGGTTGTCCTGTAATTGGGTATGTTTGAGGCTCCAGACAAAAATCAGTAACATTATGTCCTCTAAATTAAAGAATAACTATCATGGGATTCAATACATCACCTTGCCAATATAATTGCTTTTGTAATGAAAATATACATCTACTCCCAGCACTTTGGGAGGCTGAGGTGGGTGGATCACGAGGTCAAGAGATCAAGATCATCCTAGCCAACATGGTGAAACCCCGTATCTACTAAAAATACAAAAAATTAGCCGGGCATGGTGGTGGGCGTCTGTAGTCCCAGCTACTCGGGAGGCCGAGGCAGGGGAATCGCTTGAACCCGGGAGGCAGAGGTTGTGGTGAGCCGAGATCACGCCACTGCACTCCAACCTGGGCGACAGAGCAAGACTCCCTCCCAGAAAAAAAAAAAAAAAGAAAAGAAAAGAAAAGAAGAGAAAATATACATGTACTCTGGGAGAGTGTATGAGAAAGCAGTAGCTTAAGGAAGAATGCTACAATAGCCCCCCCTTATCTGTGGAGGAAATGTTCCAGATCCTCAGCGAATACCTAAACCGCTAATAGTATCAAACCCTATATATGCGATGACTACTAATAAAATAGTATCAATCCCTATATACACTATAACTAATCATAAAATAGAAGAATTAAAACAATATACTGTAATATAAGGTATGCAAATGTAGTCTCTATTTCAAAATACCTTATTTTACTGTAATAATTTATTTTCAAACTCTGGTCGGCGGTGAGTAGCTGAAACCTCAGTGAGTGAAGCCATACGATAGTGGTAGACTACCACATAAATCTTTAGACTTTTACCAGGATATTCCTAGTAAAATATCCAATTCACAAAGAATGGAAAAATCAATGGCCTATAGGATTTACAAGAAAAGTCTGAGGGGAAAAAAACACTTTCTATTATATAAAAAACCCATAAATATTAAAGTAATCCAATGAATATTATCTAGTATCTTATTCAATAGCAGGAAATAAAATTGAGAATCAGAAATCCAACTCTGTTCTCCCCTCAAGCCCCACCCCAAAATTTTTATATAATGATCTCCTTCTTCTCACTAGCCACTGGATCATGTCTTTTCAAATTAAAATTCTATGAATTTTCTACTACATAACTTCTCTCAGAAGTATACACATGAAAAATTATATTTAAAGACAAAGTAGCCCCAACTTCTGATGACAACCATCTTTTCCCTATGCTAGAAAGCCCCCATTTCTTCTTTAACAGGACAGAGGAGAGTTTTTGCCCACTGAGCTACTTTCCACAGCTGGATAAAAACTTCTCCAAACTACTAGATTTTACTTTTTAGTTCACCCATGAATAATAATGAGCTATTCAATCATAAGGAAGAAATAATGCCAGCTCTACCCACATTCTGAGATTGTCTTTTGAATCACAACTCATTTGCCCTCTTTTGCATGTGGCTAGTTTGTTTCATTAAAAGTGTGCATGGAAGTTTTATAGTTTGCTATAGTGTGAGCGGAGAATCATCACTCACAGAATTCAATGCTCGACTCAGATTACATTATAACCACTTCAGAGAGGGGCATTCTGTGTTTACATGGACAAGGGTCAGGTACAAACCAGTAACAAAACATGTTTCTTCCTGCAGTCAATTCCCTACCTACCACAGAAACATCACACTGAGAATCTGAAGAAAGCTATGAACTTCTCTCCCCAACACTCCAAAATGTAGACTGAAACTCTACACACAATATGATTTCTCTTACTGAGAATTTATTCTTTTCACATCAAATCTAAAAACAAAGAATTGTTATTTTAGTTTTTGGTTTTCAATGCCAAATTTAACAAAACGGATACTTCCAGGAAAGCATGCTGAAATAAATTCTAATTGGAAAAAAATGAACAAAAACTAGATAATTATTTCTTTCCCAGGAGCAGTGTTTCTCAAGCTTGGCGGCACATTGGAGTTACCTGGGGAGCTTTAAAACATACTGTGGCCTAGGTCCTACCATCAAATATTTATATTTAATTGGTCTGTGGTGCCCTTGGCATTGGAATTTTTTAACTCTCCCCAGGTGACTCTAATGTGCAGTCAAGGTTGAAAAGCATCGTACTAGAATGCAAATTAGTGCAAGATTATGTTAATCTTTCAAGAATTAGAAAAGTTTTGTTGGAAATAAACAAGACTAAAGGTTATCTGATACCATTCTACAGTTACTGACATGCTAATTAAAATAAGAAAAAAGCAGTAAAATATCGGTTCAAGTAAGAATATAATATTCAATCTTTATAAATCCCTTTAATGTTATAATATGAAATAAGATATTTAGTAAGACTATGTATCCATGGGTGAACAACCTAAATTTCAGAAACATGCCTACATTTAAATTGTACTAATTCTCCTTTGCTACCTATGGAAGATCATGGAAGAAAAATCCCAGGTTTATTTTTGACAATTATATTGTCCCACATATTAACTTTTTCCAAAGAATTACCAGGAATTGTGTGGCATCAACTAAACAATATTTTTCAGAATTATAGGATGAGAAATGGCATTTGAGATGCCCAGATTATTATCTACTTTATTATAATTCAGAAAAAAATTAAGATGATTAATAATCCTAGATTCTGAAAGGAGTTTAGTCAGAATTAGGGGCCATCAGAGTAGCATTAATTTTACAGAAAAAAAATGAATTGGCTGGGCACCTGTAATCCAAGCATTCTGGGAGGCCAAGGTGGGTGGATCATCTGAGGTCAGAAGTTCGAGACTAGCCTGGCCAACATGTGAAACCCCATCTCTACTAAAAATACAAAAATTAGCTGGGCACGGTGGTGCATACCTGTAATCCCAGCTACTCCAGAGGCTGAGGCAGGAGAATCACTTGAACCCGAGAGGCAGAGAGATCGCGCCATTGCACTCAAGCCTGGGAGACAGAGTGAGACTCTGTCTCAATAAATAAATAAATAAAAATGGTGGAAAGGGAACATCTCAGTATATATTTGTATATAGTCTTGGTTTTGAAAAATTTTAAAGTATCATTGTTATAAATAAATATTAAAATTAACAAATAAAACAGTGCAAATGCTCATGCTGGTATTTTAGGGTTTTATTCTAAGTACTCATGGGAAAACATTAAAAAGAGTCTGGTCAAAAAAAATGAAAGCAATAAGTATAGAAGATGGTTTTTATAGGTATCTTATACAACAAGAGAATACAGATTGAACATTCCTAATCTAAAAATTCCAAATCTGAAATGCTCCAAAATTTGAAATTTTGAGCACTGACACAATGCCACAGGTAGAAAATTCCGTTCTCACTCACGGGTGGGAATTGAACAATGAGAACACATGGACACAGGAAGGGGAACATCACACACCGGGGCCTGTCGTGGGGTGGAGGGAGGGGGGAGGGACAGCATTAGGAGATATACCTAATGCTAAATGACGAGTTAATGGGTGCAACACACTGACATGGCACATGTATACATATGTAACAAACCTGCATATTGTGCACATGTACCCTAAAACTTGAAGTAAAATAATAATAAAATTAAAAAAAAGAAAGATCTGAAAAAAAAAAGAAAATTCCGCATGTAAGTACTTGACACAAACTTTGTTTAATGAACAAAATTATTTAAAATATTGGATAAAATTAACCTTAGGCTATGTATATAAGGTGCATATGAAACATAAATGAAATTTGTGCTTATACTTGGGTTCCATCTGGAAGATAGCTCATTGTGCATAGGCAAATATTCCAAAATCGAAAATCCAAAACACTGCTGGTCCCTAGTATCTTGGATAACGAATGCTCAACCTATACTGTGAAGGCTTAGAAAAAGATATACTAAGAAAGGAGAAGAAGGAGAAGAAGGAGGAGGAGGAGGAGGAAAGAAGGAAGAATAAGGAAAAGAAGAAGAAGAGGAAGAGGAAGAGGAGGAGGAGGAGAGGAGGAGGAAGAAGAAGAAAGAAGAAAAGAAGAAGAAGAAGAAGAAGAAGAAGAAGAAGAAGAAGAAGAAGAGGAGGAAGAAGAAGAAGTTTATGACCTAAAAAATATTTGTCTCCTTTTTTTGTTTGTTTGTTTGACAGAGTCTCCCTCTGTCTCCCAGGCTGTAGTGCAGTCCCGTGATCTTGGCTCACTGATACCTCCACCTCTCGGGTTCAAGGGATTCTCCTGCATCAGCCTCCCAAGTAGCTGGGACTACAGGCATGCACCACCATGTCTGGCTAATTTCTGTATTTTTAATAGAGACGCAGTTATACCATACTGGCCGGGCTGGTCTTGAACTCTCAACGTCAGATGACCCGCCCACCTAAGGCTCCCACAGTGCTGGGATTACAGGCATGACCCACCGGGCCCAGCCTGTCATAAATTTTTAAATAAAAAAAAGCAGTTTCAAAAGAAATATGTGATATGATCTCATTTGTGTAAAAAAGTAAAGGTACATACAAAGTGATAAATAACAGTAAGCTTTGTTCATTGAAATTTCATCACCACTTTTCCCTGGGACATGGCAATAGATTTAAGTTTCATATTCTTTTAGCTTAATGTCCTTGGCTCCGCCCACCACATCCCTGGCTGGTGCTCTGTCTGCTGGACTTTACTGAGCGTCCCTCTTTCTTCAGGGACCATGACTTTCCCTCATTTTTTCTTCCCACTCCCTTGGATTCTGGAAAAAGCCTCAGGCTGCAAGAGTACTAGAGAGAAAACTTCAGGAAACACAGATATGAGCTACATCTAGGGTTTGGAGAAAAACCAAGATTATTCCCCCTCTGTGTCTTCTTTTTTTGCAAAAAATGGGGGTCATCCTGGACAGTTTGCCACAAAATGACGAGACATGATGAACCACAAGATGAGACATGGGCTAGCTTGAAGTTGGTAGTTAAGTCCTCAGGATGGAATGCTGGTAAGGTATGAGATAGTAGGAACAAGCAGGATTGACTGTTAGGATTCAGCTTCCTTGTTCCTGTGTTACCCTTCTCATCTTGGGCTTCCCAACCACCATAATTGCTCTGGAACAAGATGAGACTTGACTATGAATTAGGAATTTGAAAGAGAATTTCATAGTAGCAGAGAAATTAGTAGCCAAGTTAGCTGGGCAATAAGGTGGATATATATAAGGTTTTGGTTTTGAGTTCTCTTGGCCAAAAATAGGTTTTACTCAGGCAAGCGCTTGACTCTTAGTCTCCTTCCAAAGCTAACTCTACTCTGAATCAGGAGGTAGGAAAGTCAAATAAACAAAGCAGTAACCACGTTAACTTTTCTGACCAAAGGCAATTTAGGGAGAGTTAGAGGCTAAACAATATTATGGTGGAGAATGTCGCAGAAGTTCCAAAAGCAGTCTATCAAAGGCTTTTGAATAAATATTAGGCTTTCAATAAAATTTTGTGACTGCATCTCCTGATGACTAATCATTCCAAATGTGAAAATGTTTCATCGTCTTTGTTCACAGTGCAGGGCAAAGTCAAATCTGAGTTTCATACAAACATCTCAGCAACTACTTAATGAGATTTGACTATAAAATAATGAAACTGAATTTCTCTTTTGTTACAGATTGGCTCTGAGACAAACTCTTTAAAAGGAATTGAAATATCAGCAGCCCCACTCAATTGAGGGTATGTTTCCTAAGGTAAACATACGACAGTGCTCATTTGGTGTGGAATGACTGAAAAGGACTCAGCCTCATTATGTGGTTTGCAAACTGGAGCACATCAGAATCACCTGAAGAGCTTCTTAAACTACAGTTGACTGGGTCCCATCCTCCACATCTTCTGTTTCAGTAAATCTGGAGTGGGTCACAAGAATTAGCTTTCCATAAGTTTCTAGATGATACAGATCTACTGCCCTGGGAGCACATTCTGGGAATCATTGCTTTAGAATAATATTACCTTATGGTCTACATAGACATGTTTTTAGAGGATTTCAGATGTTTATGGGAATTATTAGATTGTATTGTTTTTATTTTGATCATCTGCTAAAAGACATATTAACATTAGCAGTTTTTCATCCACATAGCCAGGTTACATCCAAGTTTTTCTATGGAGTTTAAGTTGCAAGAATTTATATTTGTATGTGTAATCATATGAGCACAAAATTATTACTAGTGTTAATTTCTAGAACAGTATTTCTCAAACTGGGTCATTAAATGTATTTGAGGGAACTATTAGTCTCTTTCAGAAACACTAGCAAGGGTATAAATTAATGTAATTGACAAAGAAAACACATGAACATTCTTTTTCATACGTACACAGCTCATTGTTTTAGCCAGTACAGTCAGTAAAGTGGCATTTAAGAGTGTGCTTTCCAACTATTTCATGTCGAGGTACATAGAGAAATTTAAATTTATTTAGGACCCTTTTGGGGGAAGTGAATGGAGTTGCTGAGGCCAGGGGAGCTAGCCTGAGGGCTCTCACTGCCCTGTCCTGACTAGCCCACTGGGAACAGAGGAAATTTCTGAATGTCTTGGAGTATTATTACCCTATTTTGAGTGGGTCCTAGCGGGTTTGAAGCTCTTTATTAGGGTAACTTTTGTTCCAGAATTACATAATAAGGATGCCATATCTAGACTTAGGTATTTAAGATTGGATGGCCATTGCAGAAGCAATACATCACAACACCTAAAGGAGGACAATTTTTCAGGATCTCTTCAGATTTTACCACCCGCCCCACATTCTGTCCTTGAAAAGTGGGAGTACCTTCCTGTCTTCATGCCCCTAGCCCTGCATCTATCCAGGTGGTGTAATAAACCTTAGTCACTGGCCAGGTGCCGTGGCTCATGCCTGTAATCGCAGCACTTTGGGAGGGCAAGACAGGTGGATTATGAGGTCATGAGTTCGAGACCAGCCAGACCAACATGGTGAAACCCCTTCTCTACTAAAAACACAAAAATTACCAGGGTATGGTGGTGCATGCCTGTAATCCCAGCTACTCAGGAGGCTGAGGCAGGAGAATCGCTGGAACCCAGGAGGCGGAGGTTGCAGTAAGCTAAGATAGCACCATTGCACTCTAGCCTGGGTGACAGAATGATACACAGTCTCAAAAAAAAAAAAAAAAAGTCATTGACAAGAGCGTCCCCTATTCCTTGGAAATGTTAAAAGAGAAAATAAAAGACGCCAAATATTAAACTAGTTGCTACTGTCCAATGGTGATTTTTCTCCAAATTGTTCTGTGTATAGTGTGTCTAGAAATAACTATTAATCTCTTCTCTAACCAACATGGTTTGAGAATTGAAGTGTGTAGGATAATGTGCATTTTCACATGTAAACATCCCAAAGTATGCATACATATTGCAGTGAAATGTTAAGATTGCAAGTAAATTTTTATAGCAATACAATTTAGCTAATTCAAAGGAATAACATAATTTACCTTTGATGATTTGGGAGAAATGCCAAGATTTTACATAGCCTCAAGCTAATACTTCCTGAGTAAAAATCATAGACCAGAAACCAGTCTCCAAAGCTTTATGTGTCTTAACATCTTTCTCTGCTCAGCAATCATGTCAGCTAGATACTCTTATTATCATCATTTTATAAATGAGAAAAAAAATACTTGTGATACAGTAAGGTTATGTAACTTGCTCACAGTCACACAGCTTGTAGATGGCAGGGCTGTAATTCAGGCCTAAAAACCAAGTCAGCCTTCTGCCATTTTTAATGGTCATCCAAACACTCCAGGGACAGCAAACAAGAATGTGCTGACTGAAGGCATTTTTATTATCTATATTTACAAAAAATATTTAAGATGCCAGGGGTGACTACTTAAATTATGGACCACTATGGAGCATGGAGCATGATGAAGACACTAACATCAATCAGTTGGTACATCTATATTTATTGATGGAAAGATGGCTATGAACTGGCAGTAAATAATTAACTTGTAATAAACACAGTAAGTGTTTTTTAACAGGAATTTTCTTTCTTTTTTCTTTATTTCATTTTATTTATGTATTTATTTATTTTTTTGAGACAGGGTCTTGCTCTGTCATCCATGCTGGAGTGCAGTGGTGCAGTGGTGTGATCTCGGCTCACTGCAACCTCCACCTCCCGGGTTCAAGCGATCCTCTTGCCCGCAAGTAGCTGGGACTACAGGCACATGCCACCACGCCTGGCTCATTTTTGTATTTTTTTGTAGAGATGAGGTTTCTCTATGTTGGCCAGGCTGTTGTTGAACTCCTGAGCTCAAGCAATCTGCTCTGCCTCAGCACCCCAAAGAGAGGCATTACAGGTGTGAGCCACCACACCCAGCCTGAATGGGATCATGTTAATAAAGGCATCTGATAGCTGTACTGATAGTGGATAGATACAGTCAGGTAGTAAGATAACACTGGATTCTTATTTTCTAAATACGGTTTATATCTATAGTTCTATTTTTCTGAATTTTTGGTAATAGGTATGTGAATTATTTTTTATTTAGGAATAAGCATAACTTTTTTAAAAAGGTGCTCCAGTCATCAGTATGTAATATTAATTGCTAACATTTATTGAGCACTTACTATGCACCAGGCAATGATCTCACAGTTGTTTATAGGAAATCTCATTTAATCTACCTTTATGAAAACAAAAATGTTGGCCCGGTGCAGTGGCTCACTCCTGTAATCCCAACACTTTGGGAGGCCGAGGCAGGCAGATCACTTGAGGTCAGAAGTTCGAGACCAGCCTGGCCAACATGATAAAACCCCATCTCTACTAAAAAGACAAAAATTAGCTAGTTGTGGTGGCTCACCCCTGCAGTCGCAGCTACTCAGGGAGGCTGAGGCAGGAGAATTGCTTGAACCTGAGGGGTGGAGGTTGCAGTGAGTCGAGATTATGCCACTGCACTCCAGCCTGGGCAACACAGCCAGACTCTGTCAAAAAATAAACAAAAATGTTGAAGTAGGTATTATTAGCTTTTCCATTTTACAGATGAAGAAGCTGAGGCCTACAGAGATTCCACAATCTCTCAGTGTTCAAATGCTAGCAGGCTGAATCCTGAGTAAATGTTCCCAGTCACCACAGTGCAAGGATCTGCAGTTCTTGGGATATGGTTCACAAAAGCCTGCTATTGCAACATTTCTCCTCAGGATGCTCAGTATTATACTCCAGGTATCAGGCAGGATCTTGGAATTTTAAAATAAAATCATTCATTCAACCTGTTGGCCCCCAAATACATTAACTCTAATGAAACCAATCTATATTTACAAAGTATTTGAAATATTGGTGATTAATAAGGATTGAACAAAAAGAAAAAAAAAATAGTATGAATGAAAGAACTCAGGTCTGGAAGCCAAAAACAGAAAGCTGTTTCCAAGCACTTAGGAAACTAATTTGGCTGGGTTGTTTGCATCCAAACAAGGAATGTGTTCATTTACAAGTGACTGGTCTCTAGTCTGTTTAACACCTAAAGATTTAGAAAATATACCTAATCCCGTTTTCTGACTTCCTTCCTTTGTCTGTTATATATTTTCATGCAATAAAAATAAATGTAACTTCATTTCTGTAAGGCGTTTATCATTCAGATCTGTCACTGACAGGCTGATAGCAAAATCTCTCTCTCCCTGCTCTCTCACTGTGAATTTTCTCTCTTCCTTTGCCCATTATGGCTCAGTGGGAGGTTGGGCTGTAACTGCAGGATAGCTATGCAGTACCTAAAACACACTCCAGCATTTCAGGTTCTGATAATAAGCTAATAAAAGAATTAAACTTTTCTTCCTACTCTTCTGCAATAACAAATCCATTTTAAAAGAAATATTCAACTCCACAACCATTTTATTTATTTATTTATTTATTTATTATTTATTTATTTATTTTTCTCTGCTAAGATTTGGCTGGCTTCACTGAAGTTTCTCCCCTCCTTTTCTTTTCTCACCCTGGTCACTCTGGGTAAGTGGGCAACATAGAGCAGGAACACAAGATTGACCCATACTATTCACAGAAGCTATATGACGGACAACTGGGCCCACATTCAAAGCATCCTAGCTTTCCCTCCATCTTTCCCTGCATCTGATTTCAATACAAATATGTAAAAAATAATACTCATCTTTAATGCTACTGCAGGTAAAAGCACTCAAAAGTACAAATTTTGTATGAAGTTGTTCAGTGATTTTCTTAAACGTGGAGAAACTGTAGATTCTGGGAAGGTGCGCAGTAAAGCTGGCTTTGGTGGGATACAATTGTTTCAAACACTTGCCTCTGACTTCATTCTTTAATGAACATCTCTGGAATCAGTAATTACTGTGGGAACACATCTTTAGAGCTATTCTCAAAGAGCAAAATTGGCAGAGGTTGGTTTTATAAAGTTCACAAAATGAATGGTGCCTTATTGCCATAAACAAAGGGATTTTTAACAGCCAGCTTTAAAATACCGAGCGAATTACTGATAAGTGAATCAGTGAATAAAGGTAAGTCTTTAATTGACAAGAAAATGAAGGATTAGTCTAATAGTGCATTATAGCAATACGCCATGAATTCAAACTTAGGCCTTCTTCTGTATTTGAACTCAGTAATTTAAAAGCTCTTTTAAAAAAATAAATAAATAAAGACTATTTCTTCTAAAGCATTTCTGCTTAAAATTTCCTAAAATGTGTGGTCCTACTATTCAATCCCAGCATGAATCCTCTAAGTGACTATCATATCCTCATAACTGTGTGTGTACACTATTTGAGGTGACATTGTAGTATAGAAAATGTTATCTATAATATCCAAATACTTCTTATATTCAGGCATTTTAGGTATTTTACAAAGTACTTTCTACTTCCTTGTTTTCCATGTTGAATTTAATAAGTAGGGATATAAACACTGTCATAATGTTTTTGTTTTTTTTTATTTCTTCTCTTACTCTCTAAAGCTTTGATTACTTTTAAAAAATTACTCATATCAATATTAAGTATATTTCTTTAAAAGGGTAACCCAATATATGTTTTTCAAAAGCATTTTTTCAAACATAAGATTTTCACTATTATTAACATTGAGGGATTTAAGCTTTTTAAGAAAGTTCCCAAAGTAAGATAAATCATTTATTGAACAACTACAATTAAGGTACCAGCTATACATAGACACTCACAGAATGTTTAAAAATGAGGCATTTATTTAATTTATATGCAGATGTATTTTAGTTTCTTTTACTAAGCCAATATCCTTAAAATAGAAAATAAAAAGACAACAGTGAAGAAAAAAAAAAGGAAGCAAAATAAGAAAAAAGAGTAATGAGCAGTTACTGAGCATTTACTAGGTCCCAGCCCTGTGCTTAGCACCCGAGAGCTACAATTGTATTTATTTCCCGCTACAATTCCAGAAGGCAGTTATTATTCCCATTTTATGCACAAGAAAACTGAGAGCATAAGATCAACAAAATTCATAGACTGCTAGCAAGACTAATAAAGAAAAAAAGAGAGAAGAATCAAATAGATGTAATAAAAAATGATAAAGGGGATATCACCACCGATCCCACAGAAATACAAACTACCATCAGAGAATACTACAAACACCTCTATGCAAATAAACTAGAAAATCTAGAAGAAATGGATAAATTCCACGACACATACACTCTCCCAAGACTAAACCAGGAAGAAGTTGAATCTCTGAATAGACCAATAACGGGATCTGAAATTGTGGCAATAATCAATAGCTTACCAACTAAAAAGAGTCCAGGACCAGATAGATTCACAGCCGAATTCTACCAGAGGTACAAGGAGGAACTGGTACCATTCCTTCTGAAACTATTCCAATCAATAGAAAAAGAGGAAATCCTCCCTAACTCATTTTATGAGGCCAGCATCATCCTGATACCAAAGCCAGGCAGAGACACAACCAAAAAAGAGAATTTTAGACCAATATCCTTGATGAACATTGATGCAAAAATCCTCAATAAAATACTGGCAAACCGAATGCAGCAGCACATCAAAAAGCTTATTCACCATGATCAAGTGGGCTTCATCCCTGGGATGCAAGGCTGGTTCAATATATGCAAATCAATAAATGTAATCCAGCGTATAAACAGAGCCAAAGACAAAAACCACATGATTATCTCAATAGATGCAGAAAAGGCCTTTGACAAAGTTCAACAACCCTTCATGCTAAAAACTCTCAATAAATTAGGTATCGATGGGACGTATCTCAAAATAATAAGAGCTATCTATGACAAACCCACAGCCAATATCATACTGAATGGGCAAAAACTGGAAGCATTCCCTTTGAAAACTGGCACAAGACAGGGATGCCCTCTCTCACCACTCCTATTCAACATAGTGTTGGAAGTTCTGGCCAGGGCAATTAGGCAGAAGGAAATAAAGGGTATTCAATTAGGAAAAGAGGAAGTCAAATTGTCCCTGTTTGCAGATGACATGATTGTATATCTAGAAAACCCCACTGTCTCAGCCCAAAATCTCCTTAAGCTGATAAGCAACTTCAGCAAAGTCTCAGGATACAAAATCAATGTACAAAAATCACAAGCATTCTTATATACCAACAACAGACAAACAGAGAGCCAAATCATGAGTGAACTCCCATTCACAATTGCTTCAAAGAGAATAAAATACCTAGAAATCCAACTTACAAGGGACATGAAGGACCTCTTCAAGGAGAACTACAAACCACTGCTCAATGAAATAAAAGAGGATACAAACAAATGGAAGAACATTCCATGCTCATGGGTAGGAAGAATCAATATCGTGAAAATGGCCATACTGCCCAAGGTAATTTATAGATTCAATGCCATCCCCATCAAGCTACCAATGACTTTCTTCACAGAATTGGAAAAAACTACTTTCAAGTTCATATGGAACCAAAAAAGAGCCCGCATTGCCAAGTCAATCCTGAGCCAAAAGAACAAAGCTGGAGGCATCACACTACCTGACTTCAAACTATACTACAAGGCTACAGTAACCAAAACAGCATGGTACTGGTACCAAAACAGAGATATAGATCAATGGAACAGAACAGAGCCCTCAGAAATAATGCCGCATATATACAACTATCTGATCTTTGACAAACCTGAGAAAAACAAGCAATGGAGAAAGGATTCCCTATTTAATAAATGGTGCTGGGAAAACTGGCTAGCCATATGTAGAAAGCTGAAACTGGATCCCTTCCTGACACCTTATACAAAAATCAATTCAAGATGGATTAAAGACTTAAACGTTAGACCTAAAACCATAAAAACCCTAGAAGAAAACCTAGGCATTACCATTCAGGACATAGGCATGGGCAAGGACTTCATGTCTAAAACACCAAAAGCAATGGCAACAAAAGCCAAAATTGACAAATGGGATCTAATTAAACTCAAGAGCTTCTGCACAGCAAAAGAAACTACCATCAGAGTGAACAGGCAACCTACAAAATGGGAGAATATTTTCGCAACCCACTCATCTGACAAAGGGCTAATATCCAGAATCTACAATGAACTCAAACAAAATTTACAAGAAGAAAACAAACAACCCCATCAAAAAGTGGGCAAAGGATATGAACAGAGACTTCTCAAAAGAAGACATTTATGCAGCCAAAACACACATGAAAAAATGCTCATCATCACTGGCCATCAGAGAAATGAAAATCAAAACCACAATGAGATACCATCTCACACCAGTTAGAATGGCAATCATTAAAAAGTCAGGAAACAACAGGTGCTGGACAGGATGTGGAGAAATAGGAACACTTTTACACTGTTGGTGGGTCTGTAAACTAGTTCAACCCTTGTGGAAGTCAGTGTGGCGATTCCTCAGGGATCTAGAACTAGAAATACCATTTGACCCAGCCATCCCATTACTGGGTATATACCCAAAGGACTATAAATCATGCTGCTATAAAGACACATGCACACATATGTTTATTGCGGCATTATTCACAATAGCAAAGACTTGGAACCAACCCAAATGTCCAACAATGATAGACTGGATTAAGAAAATGTGGCACATATACACCATGGAATACTATGCAGCCATAAAAAATGAGAAGTTCATGTCCTTTGTAGGGACATGGATGAAATTGGAAATCATCATTCTCAGTAAACTATCACAAGGACAAAAAACCAAACACTGCATGTTCTCACTCATAGATGGGAATTGAACAATGAGAACACATGGACACAGGAAGGGGAACATCACACTCTGGGGACTGTTGTGGGGTGAGGGGACGGGGGAGGGATAGCATTGGGAGATATACCTAATGCTAAATGACTAGTTAATGGGTGCAGCACACCAGCATGGCACATGTATACATATGTAACTAACCTGCACATTGTGCACATGTACCCTAAAACTTAAAGTATAAAAAAAAAAAAAGATTCCCAGCAAATTTTGTGAAGTCTGGTTTTAAATCCAGGTTTATTTAACTGGCCCGCTAAGTGCCAGATACTCTGCTAGGCACAACCACATGCTAACTTACTTACTGAAGAATGAAAACAAATTCTGTCTTCTCAGATTTCACACCTCACTCAGAACTCAACGAAGACCACAACAAAGCGCTCGAGAGAAGCGATTTACCAGGGTGTCTGGGGGTGCTGTTATCATCGCTGCCACACTAACAAATAAGAAGCATTTCGGCCGGGCGCGGTGGCTCACGCCTGTAATCCCAGCACTTTGGGAGGCCGAGGCGGGCGGATCACGAGGTCAGGAGATCGAGACCATCCCGGCTAAAACGGTGAAACCCCGTCTCTACTAAAAATACAAAAAATTAGCCGGGCGTAGTGGCGGGCGCCTGTAGTCCCAGCTACTTGGGAGGCTGAGGCAGGAGAATGGCGTGAACCCGGGAGGCGGAGCTTGCAGTGAGCCGAGATTGCGCCACTGCACTCCAGCCTGGGCGACAGAGCGAGACTCCGTCTCAAAAAAAAAAAAAAAAAAAAAAAAAAAAAAAAAAAAAAGAAGCATTTCCAGGGGAAGACAGATCCAACACGAGACAGGTGTGCTGAGAAAAGGGTATCATAGTCTTGATTTTGTCCTTTCGCAAAGGGTAAATGTAAACAGGAAATACCAGAACACCTAAATGTAAACAAGTACTTGAGGAATTCTAAAGTTGTTCTAAGAACTATGGAAAAATATTTTTAAAAACATTCATATTATTAAAAATATGGAATATTGTTATGGTTGTTATAGCCAGAATGTATCATGGCTCCACTTTTATAAATACTATTAAAAAGTGGTATTTATATCATACTCCTTATAAAATTTCAAACGTCACATTTACTGCAGTGTTTTGTCATTCTTTGTAGCACAATTTAAAATGCACTCCAAAATGGACATGTGATTTTTCTCTTCCAAGTATAACTGAGAATTTTTTCCATTTAAAATAATTCGTGAAGCAAAAGTAAGCTTTCACACTATGCAAATAATATATAATAATTTAACACAGTCACATAACATTTAATAGGCAATAAAATATTCTAAAACTTGACCAATGTTTCTAATATTTATAAATTGCAGAGGGTGATTACTTCAGCAGGCTTTTTCACGGAAAATTCCAAATTTTCTTCTTAAATAAGAGATACGATCAAATGCATTTCAATATAAATAACTTGTTTTATCAAATGTGTAAGAACTTATCACAAATAAAGATAAAATACAGGCATACCTCAGAGATATTGTCAATTTGGTATCAGACGATTGCAATAAAGCAAATATCACAATAAAGCAAGTTCCATGAATGTTTTGGTTTCCCAGTGCACAAAAAAGTTATGTTTACAGTATGCTGTAGTCTATTAAGTGTGCAATAGCATTATATCTTAAAAAAATGCTCATGCCTTAATTAAAAATATTTTATTGCTAACATATTCTAACAATCACATGAGGCTTTAACAAGTTATAACCTTTTTGCTAGTGAAAAAGATTGATACTGGAAGCAATGGGTTCTGGCTTCCACTCCATCCCTCTTTCCCCATATCATCACACTTCCCAATTGTCCCCTGACTCTTCTCTCCCACTTTTCCACCAGCCTGAACCCCTGCCACAGCCTGGGACCTCCTCAGGGGGCCTCAACGTCGATGGCTGCTCACTGAACAGGCTGGTGGTTGCCAAAGGTTGAGGTGTCTGTGGCAAATTCCTAAAATAAGACCGTGAAGTTTGCCACTTAGATTGACTCTTCTCTTCATGACAGATTTCTCTGTAACATTCAATGTTGTTTGATAACATTATACCCACAGTAAAACTTCTTCCAAAATGAGAATCAATCCTCTTAAACTCTGCTGCTGCTTTATCAACTAAGTTTATGTCATATTTTAAATCTTTTGATGTCATTTCAGTAATGTTAACAGCATCTTTACCAGGAGTAGATTTCATCTCAAAAATGACTTTCTTTGCATCCACAAGAAGCAACACCTTATTCATTCAAATTTATCATGAAATTGTGCAATTCTGCCACAGCTTCATGTTCCACTTCTAATTCCAGTTTTCTTGCTATTTCTACCATATCTGCAGTTATTTCCTCCACCAAAGTTTTGAACCCCTTCAAGTCATCCATGAGGATTGGAATCAACTTCTCCCAAACTCCTGCTATGTTGATATTTTGACTTCCTACCATGAATTATGAATGTTTTTAGTGACATCTAGAAGAGTGAATCCTTTCCAGAAGGTTTTCAATTTACTTTGCCCAGATTCATCAGAGGAATCATGATATATGCCAACTATAGCATTGTAAAATATATTTCTTATGTAACAAAATTTGAAAGTTGAAATTACTCTTTGATCCATGGGCTACAGAACGGATGTTGTGTTAGCAGCCATGAAAATACCATTAATTTCCTCATACATCTCCATCAGAGCTCTTGGGTGACCAGGTGTATTGTCAATGAGTAGAAATATTTTAAATGGAATCTTTTCTCTGTGCATGAGCAGTGGGTCTCAACAGTGGGCTTAACATTCAGTAAACCATGCTGTAAACAGATGCGCTGTCATCCAGGTTTTGTTGTTTCATTTATAGAGCACAGGCAGAGTGGATTTAACATAATTCTTAATGTCACTAAGACTTTTCAGAATGGTCAATGAGCATTGGCTTCAACTTAAAGTTACCAACTGCATTAGTCCTTACCAAGAGGGTCAGCCTGTCCTTTGAAACTTTGAAGCTGGGTATTGACTTCTCCTCTCTAGATATAAACATCCTAGATGTCATCTTCTTCCAATAGAAGACTGTTTCATCTACATTCAAAATCTGTTGTTTAATGTAGCCACCTTCGTCAATGCTCTTAGCTAGATCTTTTGGATAAGTTACTGCAGCTTCTCTATTAGCACTTGCTGCTTCACCTTGCACTTTTATCTTATAAAGGTGGTTTCTTTCCTTAAACCTCAGGAATCACTGTCTGCCAGCTTTCAACTTTTTTTCTGAAGATTTCTCATTTCTCTCGTTCTTCAAAAAGTTGAAGAGTTGGGGCCTTGCTCTGGATTAGACTTTGGTTTAAGGGAATGTTGTGCCTGCTTTGATCTATCCAGACTACTAAAGTTCTTCCATATCAGCAATAAATCTGTTTCACTTTATCATTACTGGGGTCACTGGAGTATCACTTTTAACTTCCTTTAAGAACTTTTCCTTTGCACTCACAACTTGGCACACTGTTTGGTGCAAGAGACCTAGCTTTCAGTCTGTCATGGCTTTTGACATGCCTTCCTTGTTAAGATTAATCTAGCTTAATCTAGCTCTTTAAGTGAGAGATGTGTGACTCTTCCTTTCACTCAAACACCTGGAAGTGATTATAGGGTTATCAATTGCCCTAATTTCAATATTGTTGTGTCTCAGGGAATAGAGAAGAGCAAAGAAAGGGAAAGAGATAAGGGAACGACTAGGCTATGAAGCAATCAGAACATTTATCAATTAAGTTTGCCCTCTTACATGCAGGAGGTTCATGGTGCCCCAAAACAATTCCAATAGTAATATCAAAGATCACTTATCAAAGACCACCATAGCAGATATAATAACAATAAAAAGGTTTGAAATATTGAGGAAATCACCACAATGTGGCACAGAGACACAAAGTAAGCACATGTTGTTAGAAAAATAATGCCAAGAAAGGAGGGAGGGTAGGATGGCTGACTAGACGCAGCCAGGTGAAACAGCTCCCACCTAGGGACGGAGACAGATCTGTTCCTAACAGATCTGCAGAGCGAAGGCACCAAGAGTGGAGGGAAGACACAGAAGCTAAGCTGAAGGGGAAGAAAACTGGGAACCTTGGCACGGAGCTCCCATGCAGCAGGACTCATTCTTGGCTCACAATGGCTCCAGGGAAATGGATGAGTTGAACTGGCAAGGAGCAACCCACCCTCACCGCAGGGCTCTGGGACTCCAGCAGGAGGAAATCCCTCGACCATCAAGGGCATTTGAGTTGGCAGGGAGAGCTGCTTAGAGAAGTGGTAGGGGCAACAAGACAGCTGATGTGGAACCCAGAGAGTTTGATGCGAGAGCATCTATAACATAGCACAGCCAAGGACAGTCACCCCCTAGACTTGACTTGCTCCTTTAGGAGACTTTAGCCCTAGAGGAACTGTCAGACCTGAACTCTGCAAGGCAGCCTTGAACATCAGACATAACAAGTACGACTTGAGCACCCCTTGGCTTGCTGCCCTCTTTCAGGGCCCCAGCCTGGCCATGCCTCCTGGCAGAGCAGTCTCGATTGCCCTGGGGACTCACAGCATAGCTTCTGTGCTGGTGGGCCATGTCTGACTGGTGGAGAGTTCCAATGGGGTGGCCCCTACAGACACACACCAGCCCACAAACTCTCCCACCCACATACTGTAGATTCTCCCAGGCCCAAGGCAACTCCTCACATTACTTTGCTGGCTCACATCTGTGAGAGCAGATTTTGCTTTCCTTGCCCTGCCAGCACATGGGAGTACAGACCACCCCACCTCCCCCGACGGACCACCATTGCAGATGGAACATTTGCAGGCACAGAGCCAGCCATCCCTGCCCCTGCCAGCTCCCTGACCTTGCACTAACACTGAACAAAGAACAGCAGAATTCTCCCCTGCCCTGAGGGATCGCTCCTGCTTGCGGGGCACAGAAAAGGCACCTAGACCTGTGCCTGCAGGCACCCTGTCCCCGAGCCAATACCACCTCCAGCAGGACCCTGCACACAGTCACCAGCAGGGGCCCCACCCCCTCCCCAGCTGCACTGCCTTTGCCACCGTGGTAAACATCCACAGGGAGGCAGGCACCACAATACCCGCTAGTACTCTGCCACAGCTGTTGCTACTGCTGCTGTGGGCATTCGCAAAGGAGGATGAATCCCGCTGTCCCCACACTTTGAAATGCTTTGGCTGACACCACTCATTGAAGTGTAGTGACCACTGATCTTGGGACCCCTCAGCCCCTCCCGCGCAGTGGATTCCTAACCTCAAGGAGCCGGAGAACAAAGTCAGGGCCCAATACAAGTCCCCCAAAGATAGCATACAGTCCAGTGGTTGGGAGCTGACCACTGGCCCCCTAGGATCTTCCGGAAATGAAGCAAGTTGGCAGAATCCACCCTACACCACAATCAAACCCTCAAGGTCATAAAATATAATAAAAGAAAAAGAAAATAATCCAAAGGTCAGCAATTTCAAAGACTGAGGGAACATCATGCACCCAACACAGCAGCACCCAGATTGATAAAGCAAGTTCTTAGACACCTTCAAAGAGAATTAGACTCCCACACAATAATAGTGGGAGACTTTAACACCCCACTGACGATATTAGACAGATCACCAAGACTGAAAATTCACAAAGATATTCAGACCTGACTTCAGCACTGGATGAGATGGACCTGATAAACATCTACAGAACTCTCCATCTAAAACAACAAAATATACATTCTTCTCCTTGCCACATGGCACATCCTCTAATGATCACATAATTGGAAAGAAAATACTCCTTAAATAATACAAAAGAACTGAAATTATAACAATCTCTTGAACCACAGTGCAATCAAATTAGAAAACAAGACTAAGAAATTCACTCAAAACCATACAATTACATGGAAATTGAATAGCCTGCTTCTGAATGACTTTGGGGTAAATAATGAAATTAAGGCATAAATCAAGAAATTTTTGAAACCATTGAGAACAAAGATAGAACATATCAGAATCTCTGGGACACAGCTAAGGCAGTGTTAAGAGGGAATTTTATAGCACTAAATGCCCACATCAAAAAGTAAGAAAGACTTTAACAACCTAATATCACAAATAAAACAACTAGAGGAACAAGAGCAAACAAACCCCAAAGCTGGCAGAAGACAAGAAATAACCAAAATCAGAGCTGAACTGAAGGACATAGACACCTGAAAAACCATTTGAAAGATCAATTAATCCAGGGGCTTAAAAAAATCAATAAAATAGACTGCTAACTAGACTAATAAAGAAAAGAGAGAAGATTCAAATAAACACAATCAGAAACAACAAGGGGATATTATCACTGACCTCACAGAAATACAAACAACCATCAGAGAACATTATGAACACCTCTATGGAAATAAACTAGAAAACCTAGAAGAAACAGATAAACTCCTGGATGCATACATCCTCCCAACACTGAACCAGCAAGAAACTGAATCTCTGAACAGACCGATAATGAGCTCTGAAATTGAATCAGTAATAAATAACCTACCAACCAAAAGAAGCTCAGAACCAGACAGATTCACAGCTGAATTCTACTAGATGTACAAAGAAGAGCTGGTACCATTCCTGCTGAAACTATTCCAAAAAAATGAGGAGGAGGAACTCCTCCCTAACTCATTCTATGAGGCCAGCACCATCCTGATACCAAAACCTGACAGACGGAAACAAAAAAGAAAACTTCAGGCTAATAACCTTGATGAACTTCAGGCCAATAACCTTGATGAACATCAATGCAAAAATCCTCTATAAAATACCGGCAAACCAAATATAGCAGCACATCAAAAAGCTCATCCTCCATGATCCAGTAAGCTTTATCCTTAGGATGCAAGGTTTTTCAACATAAATAGATCAATATATATGATTCATCACATAAATAGAACTAAAGACAGAAACCACATGATTATCCCAATAGATGCAGAAAAGGCTTTCGATAAAATTTAACACCCCTTCGTGTTAAAAACTCTCAATAAACTACGTATTAAAGTAATATACTTCAAAATAATAAGAAACATCTATGACAAACCCATAGTAAACATCATACTGAATAGGCAAAAGCTGGAAGCATTCCCCTTGAAAACTGGCACAAGGCAAGGATGTCCTCTCTCATCATTCCTATCCAACATAATATTAGAAGTCCAGCCAGGGTAATCACGCAGAACAAAGAAATAAGTGCATCTAAATAGGAAGAGAGGAAATCAAACTATCCCTGTTTTCAGATGACATACTCCTACATCTAAAAAGCCCCCTAGTCTCAGCACAAATACTCCTTAAGCTGATAAACAACTTTAGCAAAGTCTCAGGATACAAAATCAATGTGCAAAAAGCATTAACATTTCTATACACCAACAACAGTCAAGCAGAGAGCCAAATCAGAAACATAATCCCATTCACATCTGCCACAAAAAGAATAAAATATCTAGGAATACAGCTAAACAGGGAAGTGAAGGATCTCTATGAGAACTACAAAACACTGTTGAAAGAAATCAGAGATGACACAAACAAATGAAATAACCTTCCATGCTCACGGACAGGAAGAATCAGTATTGTTTAAATGGCCATACTGCCCAAAGCAATTTATAGATACAATCCTATTTCTATTAAACTACCATTGATGTTCTTAAAAGAACCAGAAAAAAACTCTTTTAACATTTATATGGAACCAAAAAAGAGCTCAAATAGCCAGAGCAATCCTAAGCAAAAAGAATAAAGCTAGAAGCATAACGTTATCTGACTTCAAACTATACTACAGGGCTATGGTAACCAAAGCATCATGGTACAGTATAAAAACACACATTTAGACCAATGTGACAGAATAGAGGGCACAGAAATAAGGCCACAAACCTACAACTATCTCATCTTCAACAACCCTGACAAAAAAAAGCCATTGGGAAAAAATTTCCTATTCAATAAATGATGTTGGAGTAACTGGCTAGCAATATGCAGAAGACTGAAACAGGATCCTGTCCTTAAATCATATGCAAAAATTAATTGAAGATGGATTAAAGACTTAAATGTTAAACCCAAAACTATAAAAATCCTGGAAGCCAACCTAGGCAATACCTTACTGGACATAGGAATGTGCAAAGATTTCATGATGAACATGCCAAAATAATTGCAACAAAAGCAAAAATTGATAGATGATGCCTAATTAATCTAAAGAGCTTCTGCACAGCAAAGGAAACTATCAACAGGGTGAACAGAAAACCTACAGAATGGGAGAAAATTTCACAAACTATGCATCTGACAAAACATAGTTTTTAACACCCAGCATCTATAAGGAACTTAAACAAATTTACAAGAAAACAAAACAAGAAATCTCAGTAAAAAGTGGGCAAAGCACATGAACAGACAATTCTCAAAGGACAATATAACATGCAGTCAGCAATCATGAAAAAAACTCAACTTTGGGAGGCAGAGGTGGGTGGATCATGAGCTCAGGAGATCGAGACCATCCTGTCCAACATAGTGAAGCCCCGTCTCTACTAAAAATACAAAAATTAGCTGGGTGTGGTGGTGTGCACCTGTAATCCCAGCTACTCGGGAAGCTGAGGTAGGAGAATCATTTGAACCTGGGAGGCAGAGATTGCAGTGAGCGGATATCGTGCCACTGCACTCCAGCCTGGCGACAGAGCAAGACTCCATCTCAAAGAAAAAAAAAAAAAAGAAATGCAAATCAAAACTACTATTGATTAAAGTGTAAATTAGTTCAGCCAGATGGAAGACAGTGTGATGATTCCTTTAAGACTTAAAAACAGAAATATTATTCAACCCCGCAATCCCGTTACTGGGTATATACCCAAAGGAATATAAGTCATTCTCTTATAAAGACACGTGAACATGTATGTTCACTGCAGCACTATTCACAATAGCAAAGACGTGGAATCGACCTAAATGCCCATCAATGGTAGACTGGATAAAGAAAATGTAGTTCATTTACACCATAAAACAGAATGAGACCATGTCCTCCACAGGAACATGGATAGAGCTGGAGGCCATTCTCCTTAGCAAATAACACAGGAACAGAATACCAAATACCACATGTTCTCACTTATAAGTGGGAGCTAAATGGTGAGAACACATGGACACATAGAGGGGAACAACACACATTGGGTCCTTTGGAGGGTGTAGGCTGGAAGGAGGGAGTGGATCGGCAAAAATAATAAATGGATACTAGGCTTAATTCCTGGGTGATGAAATAATCTGCACAACAAACCCCCATGACGCAAGTTGACTTAGCAAACTTGCACATGTACTCCTGAACTTAAAAGATACATTTAAAAAAGAAGACAAGTAATGACACTACACTTGCTTGACAGAAGGTCACCACAAACTTTCAATTTGAAAAAAATAATCCACAATATCTGCTAAGCAATAGAGCAAAGTGTAATAAAACAAGAAATGCCTATATTGGAGGGGAAAAGAAAATTTCATCTTGAAGAAAGACTTATGCTCCAAAAATGCCAAAGACACTAAGAAAATTATTTTCAATGTTGAGTAAAATGGCCTAAATACATGACACAGCAAAGTAAATAGCCATTTCATGAGACAACACAACCCAATTGGAAAATACAAAACAAAACTTACTCAAAAGGACAATAAACATACTATATATAGAATAATCTTAATAATAAATGATCTTGATATGGTTTAAATTTTAGCCTTATACTTCATCGTCTCTCAAATTGAAAAACATCCTGAGTTACTGAGTAAAAAGGTTACTTGTGGAAATATTTTGTTTCTTCCCCATCACTCAGTGGTGGTGTCAATGGTTGTGCAAAGTAGCCAGAGCTGGGTATATGCTGAAGACAGTCCCAGAGAAAGTTTCTGTTGAATTCCATGTGGAATGTCAAAGAGCAAACGGTCAAGGATGACCTAAAAATTTTGAACTGAAGAACTGCAAGGAAGAAGAAGATTGCAGGGGGAATGGATTAGAGGGTGAAAATAAGGAGTTTGATTTTGTATACTGCAAGTTTGGGTATCTATTAGGGACCTATGGGGAGAAGTTGAGGATGTATATTCTCACCTTAGTCCATCAAGAGAGATAGATGAAAGTAGAAAATTTCCTCTATTCTGAGTATATTTGATTCTAAAAATTTATTCCTAATTCTATTTAACGACTACGAATTAACACTAAAATTGATCTCTGCTCTGGCACGCAGCTCAAAAAGCTTGTTAGTTAAACAATTGAAAATTGAATGCTTTTAGATGAGCAAGAGAAATAAAGTACAAATTCAGAGCTACAGAGACGGAGTATCTGTAATCTGGGGAAGAAAAGGCAAAATTGCCTGATGGGATCAAATTTGTGTTAACCAACAGTCAGATCAGGGGTCAGCAAAGTATGACTGATGGGCCAAAGCCAGCCTAAGGCTGTTTTTGTGAATACAGTTTTATTGACCAAAATCACGCCAATTTGTTTATACATTATCTATAATGACTTTTGCTATACAATGGCAGACTTGTATAGGTGTCCCAAAAGTCTTAAAAATTTACTATCTGACCTGTTATAGAAAGTTTACAGACCTCTGAAGTATAATCAAAGCACTAAGACATACCGTCAGCCCTCCTTATCAGAAGGTTATGTATCCACAAATTCAACCAACTCTGGATCAAAAACACTTGGAAAAAAATGAAGCCATAAAAAATAACAATATAGCTGTAAAAATGATACAAATTTTAAAAACAATGCAGTACAACAACTACAATCATGCACAGCTTAAAGACAAAGATACGTTCTAAGAAATGTGTGCTCAGGTGATTCTGTCAGTGAAATTATCATAGAGTGTATTAACACAAGCTTAGATAGTAGCCACTACATATCTAGGCCATATGGAATAGCCTGTTACTCATAGGCCACACACCTGTGCAGTATGTTACTGTACTGAATACGATAAGCAATTACAACACATGGTAAGGATTTGTGTATCTAAACATAGAAAAGGAACACTAAAAATAAGGCATAAAAGATAAAAACGGTACACCTCTCTAGAGCACTGATACAGTTTGGATATTTGTCCCCATCTAAATCTCATGTTGCCTTGTAATCCCCAGTGCTGGAAGTGAGGCCTGGTGGGAAGAGTTTGGGTCATGGGGGCAGGTCCCTCATGGCTTGGTGCTGTCTTTGCCATAGTGAGTGAGTTCTTGTGATATCTGGTTGTTTAAAAGTATGTGCACCTCCTCTCACTCACTCTGTCTCTTTGTCTCTCTGTCTGCGTCTCTCTCTCCCTCTTGCTGTCTCTTGCTCCTGCTTCTGCCAAGTGACATGCCTATTCTCCCTTCACCTTTCACCATGCTTGAAAGCTCCCTGAGGTTTCACCCAAAGGTGAGCAGATGCGAGCACCATGATTCCTGTGAAGCCTGCAGAATTGGAGCCATTTAAACCTCTTTTCTTTATAAGTTACTCAGTCTCAGATATTTCCTTATAGCAATGCAAGAACAGCCTAATACAGGCATTTACCATGAATGGAGCATGCAAGCCTAGAAGTTACTCTGTGTGCGTCAGTGAGTGAGCGGTGAGTGAATGTGAAGGCCTAGGACATTTCTGTATGTACTGTAGACTTTGTAAACACTGTGAACCTAGGCTACACTAAATTCATGTTTTTCTTCAATAATAAATTAAACTTAGTTTACTGTAACTTTTTTATGTTACAAACTTTTTAATTTTTAAGCTTTTTTACTCTTGAATCAACACTTAGCTTAAAGCACAAACACATTTTACAGCCACACAAAAAATATTTTCCTTCTTCGTTTACTTGTTTTATGATTTTAATTTTTTATGTTTTAAATGTTTTTCTTAAAAACTAAGACATCAACAAATGCATTAGACTAGCCCTGCACAAGGTCAGGACCATCAATGTCACTCTCTTCCAGCTCCACATCTTTTCTCACTGGAAGGTTTTCAGGGACAATAACACCAATGAAACTGTCATCCCCTATGGTAACAATGCCTTCTTCTGGAATACCTCCTGATGGACCTGCCTGAGGCTGTTTTACAATTAACTTTTTTTTTTTAAGTAAAAAGAGTACACTCAAAATAACCATAAAATGTTTAGTACTCTAAACACATAAACCGGTAACGTAGTCGTTTACTATCATTACTAAGTATTATGTACCGTGTGTAATCGTATGTGTAGGTTTGTTTATACCAGCATCACCACCAACATGTGAATAATGCATATGGCTACAAGGTCACTAGAGAATAGAAATTTTTTAGCTATATTATTATCTTATGGGACCACCATCATATATGTGGAGCATTATTGAGTGAAAAGTTTTTATGTAGCACCTGACTGTATTTACACAGTATTTACATTGTATCAGTTATTATAAGTAATCCAGAGATGATTTATGGTATATGGGAGGATGTGCATAGGTTATATACAAATACTATGCCACTTGATAGGAGGGACTTGAGCAAGCTTTATTTCGAACCTCCATTACAATCTGAAAGAAAAAGCACATATAAAAATATTTCTATCACCATACGAAGAAGATCCAATTGCTTCCCTAATTTTTTACCGTGAAAACTGCACCACGAAGAGTTAAGTAATTGCCAATGATATCATAGGCAAAATAGGGCACAGTGAAGCTTCAAACTAGGCAAAATAGCTTGAGAGTCCATGCCTTTAATCCCTATTCTATATGCACATTATTCTCCTTTTACCCAAAAGGAAAATGAGGATCAGGGAGATTAAATATGTTGTTCAGTATTACGTGGGTACCAAGTAGTAAAGCTAGACTTCAAAAGCAAAGCTATGCCTCCCATTTTCCCAAGTAATTATTTCACTATATTAACCCTAAGGAGATAAAGAATTTTGAAGGTTACTGGAAGAAACTTATAATCATATATGGGTTGGAAAAATACACAAACCTACAAGAAAAGGAGCTCATTTCCATCCCAGGGAACAAATGATTTGTCTTATCTTAAAATAATGGCAAGAATGATATGGTTTCAGTTGTTAACAATAGCAATGCATACAATAGTCTTTAGAGTCTTTAAATAGAGTCTTTTAAAAAACTTCAATTTTTAAAATAAGGCAAATACACAATCTGCAGAGTATCTCTGATGCTATGAATGAGATTATGTCTAGAGTACAATGGTGGCAGGATACTCCTTAACAAAAACAAAGCAAAAATTAGATTTATTAGAAGTAATGTAGAAGGATGGATTGGAATTAAGATTCCCCTATGAAGCAGAGAGAAGTAGAATGACATAATTTCCAGTAAATGATCACAAGAACATAAGTGACATAATAGTGTGAGTAAATTGCAAGCTCCACAGTGTTCAAACTGAGGTATCTGATGTTTTCCTAATGCAGAAAACCAAAATGTCCCAGAAACAAGACATGGTAGTGATAAGAGTTTTCAAACACTTGACGATCTGTTGAAGTCCAAATGCTTCTATAAGTGACTCATTTGAACTTGTCTCCTTTTAGCAACTGTACAATCAACAAATATTCACCATGTGCCTGGCCTTGTCTTTAAGATGGTTGGTGTGACACACCTTAGCTGCTAGGAAAAAAGCTTCAAAAAGGTCAGAGAAAAAACAAATGTGAAACCATGATAAAATGCTAGCACAGATTATTAAATAGTTGAATATGTAATAATTAAGTTTATTAAATAAGTGTATTTGAATAATAAATGCTGCTCACCCAGAGGGAAATTGCTTGAGCTCCAGATCTTGGCTGAAGTGATTCCTACCCTGCAGAAAGTTAATAGTGGAACTTGTGGGCTGCCATGCTCAAATCACATGGCACTGCTACTCCTACTAATAATGGAGACAGTGATATAGAAGACTGCCTAGGAAAGATTATGAACTTCCTAGGCAGATAGTGAAGGACATTGACAGCTTTGTAAACTTGGGTAAACCTCTTAACTCCTCTTAGCCTGTTTTCTTATTTTTAATTGAGATAATGATGGGTCCTAAGTAAAAATATTTTACCATGTACTACAAAATCATATTTCCTAGCACAAAAATATGGTTAAATAGAAATCGGATGACATGTATCTGGGGTTCTATAAGAGGAAAATTAAAGGAGATGTCAACTAGATCCTAGCTCACAGTGTCTCATGATCCATCATAATCACCTTTGTGTTACTTAATAAACACCTGTATATTGTTAATTCTATGCCAGGCTCTGTCCTAGGGACTTTACAGATATTAACTCATTTTATCCTCATCAATATTTGTTTATGTGTACTATATTTTACATTTTGACACTTGACAATTGGGAGGACAATTATATCCATCCCGGATGCCAAAGACAAGAAACTACCAGGTAGTTACAAATGCATTAATTCAGCAGTCCCCAACCTTATTGGCACCTGGGATCAATTTCCTGGAAGACAACTTTTCCATGGACTGGGACTAAGGTGATGGTTTCGGGATGATTCAAGAGCATTACATTTATTGTGAACTTTATTATTATTACATTGTAATATATAAAGAAAGAATAATACAACTCACCTTCATGCAGAATCAGTGGGAGCCCTGAGCTTATTTTTCTACAACTAGATGGTCCCATCCAGAGGTGATGGGAGACAGTGACAATCATCAGGCATTAGATTCTCATAAGGAGTGTGCAACCTAGATCCCTCATACGTGCAGTTCACAATAGGGTTCACGCTCCTATGAGGATCTAATGCTGCCTCTGATCTGACAGGAGGCAGAGCTCAGGTGGTATTGCCAGTGATAAGGAGCAGCTGTAAATACAGATGAACCTTCCTTTGCTTGCTTGCCACTCACCTCCTGCTATGTGGCCAGTTCCTAACAGACCAAGGACTGGTACCAGTCCATGGCCCGAGGGTTGGGGACCCCTGCATTAAATTTCTAAATTCAAGTTTTGTGAAAATAGCTTTGGGGTCTATCATAGGTTCTTGTTCAATAACCACCTCAAAACTAAACACAGAGGTAGAATTTTTCCCCAGTTGAAAATAGACATAATATGTATACTATCAGACTCCATAATCTGATAGATAAGTCTCTGGTATTAAGGTCAGGATGTTGAATGCCGTATTATCCATTGCATCACAGAATTACATCATGTCTAAGTGAACAAAACCTAGTAGACAGGAAGAGAATCAATCTAGCATTTTGTTAATGGTCAATTTGAATGATCCCACAGTTAATCTCATAGGTTGTGGAGAAATATACCTGGGGAATATGAATCTACAGGGTCCCAGAGAAATACATCGTGCAGCATGGCCACAAACTTACTTTGTGACTTTAGTCAGTTATCTCCAAACTTCTCTGTTCTTTCTTTTGTAAAATGAAGGTCATATGCCCAAAGACAATTTCAGGAATACAAACTGGAACAGAATTAAGAAGTCTCCAAACCCCTCAGCTTATGATGACTCCTGGAGAGACGCTAGTCAACATAGGATTTGCTATGCTGTGGCACAAAACAACCCCCAGATTCACGTAGCTTGATACAGCAAATATTTATTTCCTTTTCATGTCGCAATGAACAAATGGCTTTCCTCTTCTTTTTACAACTCAGAGATCTCCTTGCTCCCATCTTGCAACTTGGCCATTTTAAAACCTTTGTTTGCTGCTTTGCAGATGACAAAGATTATTGAAAATTTATCCTGGTTCACTTAACTCCTTCAAACTGGAAGACAAACATCCCTTGGACTTATGTCCTGCACTTGTCACATGACCCCAACATAGCCACAGGGGATGCTTGCAAATATTGATGAACACATGGAATATTTGATTAGCATTCATGATCTCTTCCAGGACAGATGAATGAATATGCTCAAGATAATATCAGTAGCACATACCAGTTTCAAGGCCAGAACTCAGGAATTCTGGCTGCCAGTTCAATGCTCCCTTCAGATACCATGTGGGGTTAATACACTAATGTCTCCAAAGGCTTTAAAATTGGCAAAGGAACAATTCTTTCTCATTATAATAGCTTGCATTTCATAGAAATTTCTTAAAGGAAAAAATAAAACTTCTTCAACCAATACAGAAATACATACTCTTAATTAGCTTACTAGCAGGGTTACAAAAATCTGCCTACATTTCACCATTTTACATTATTCCAGAAACTGTATCCCAAAAACTGTTGTACTATGGTTCTTCTTTGAAAGGTTTTTATCAAAGCCCCAATCCAGAGTACACCTACTTGGTATTCCATCCTCTGCAAGTCAGAGTGTTTAGAGTGGAGAATCTCCTCGTGTGAATGAAATAGACTAATAAGTTGAGCTACAAAGTATGCAGATTCCTCAGAGGTATTTGAAAAGGTTTACAAAGCTTTCTAGGCTAAAAGGTTGGATCTTTAAGATCCTTTCTTTAAACCCAGAATGAAGGAATAAATCCCATTGTGTTTTGGTGGCTGGCTGCTTTCACGCAAGCATTCTTGGCTCCAGCCGTTCATGTTAGAAGCCACGGGTGCAATTCAGTCTACTGGACATTTTAAGAAAATGTGGTTAGCCAAGATCTGGGTTATAATAAAATCCTGAGTTGATCCCATGACTTGGCCAAACATTTAATTTTTTTTAACGAGTAAAGCTTTTTACATAACTACAATCAAGGATAAAAGAGGACAAGAAAATGGGTAGTTGTTTTTCATTTCACCATATTGATAGTTGCGAAGATCTTTCTGCCTTAAAAAAATAAAAAATAAAAACAGGTTCCTCATCCTTTCATTAATCCAGCCAAGAAAATAAGTGGACAAGTGCATACCTGTGGTGAATGCCATCAACACCTTCCATCTCCCACAGTTATCTACTAGTTCATTTTCTGCATTTTTTTTTGATCATTGCAACTCTTGAAGTCAGCGTTCAAGTAGTTTATGAGAGGCACCTCTGACATTCTAATAAAAATGCTGGTCACTACCTCCTCATTTCTTTCAAGACAAGGAAATTCAGTACAAAGACTGAGAGTTTTCTGTTCAAGTTTGTTCCTCTATATGCAAAAAGAAATAGTTCTAGTAAACCATCTTCTAATGGACATGCTGAAATCTATAATACATGTTCACTTTCTAAATAGATTGTTTCCATTCTTTTAAGCATTGAAAAAAGTACCACTGGGGGCTCCTGGGCAAGATGGCCAAACAGGAACAGCTCCGGTCTGCAGCTCCCAGTGAGACCGACACAGAAGGCCGGTGATTTCTGCATTTCCAACTGAGGTACCAGGTTCATTTCACTGGGACTGGTTAGACGGTAGGTGTAGCCCATGGTGGGTGAGCAGAAGCAGGGTGGGGTGTCCTCTCACACGAGAAGCACAAGGGGTTGGGGAACACCCTCCCCTAGCCAAAAGAAGCCTTGAGGGACCGTGCCAGGAGGAATGGTGCTATCCAGCCCAGATACTATGCTTTTCCCGCAGACTTCGCAATCCACAGATCAGGAGATTCCCTCGGGTGCCTACACCACGAGGGCCCTGGGTTTCAAGCACAAAACTGGGCGGCCTTTGGGCAAACACCAAGCTAGCTGCAGGAGGCTTTTTTCATTCCCCAGTCGAGCCTGGAACACCAGCAAGACAGAACCATTCACTTCCCTAGAAAGGGGGCTGACACCAGGGAGCCAAGTCTAGCTCAACAAATCCCAACCCCACGGAGCCCAGCAAGCTAAGATTCACTGGCTTGAAATTCTCACTGCCAGCATAGCAGTCTGAAGTCAACCTGGGACACTAGAGTTTAGTGGAGGGATGGGTGTCTGCCATTACTGAGGCTTGAGTAGGCGGTTTTCCCCTCACCGTGGATACAAAGCCTCAGGGAAGTTCGAACTGGGCAGAGCCCATGGCAGCTTGGGAAAGCCGCTGTAGCCAGACTGCCTTTCTAGATTCCTCCTCTCTAGGCAGGGCATCTCTGAAAGAAAGGCAGCAGCCCCAATCAGGGGCTTATAGATAAAACTCCCATCTCCCTGGGGCAGAGCACCTGGGGGAAGGGGCAGCTGTGGGTGAAGCTTCAGCAGACTTAAACGTTCCTGCCTGCTGGCTCCCAGCAGGATCTCCCAGCACGGTGCTCAAGCTCGGCTAAGGGACAGACTGTGTCCTCAAGCGGGTCCCTGACCCCCATGCCTCCTGACTGGGAGAAATCTCCCAGCAGGGGTCGACAGACACCTCATATAGGAGAGCACCGGCTGGCATCTGGTGGGTGCCCCTTTGGGATAAAGCTTCCAGAGGAAGGAGCAGGCAGCAATCTTTGCTGTTCGGCAGCCTCTGCTGGTGATACGCAGGCAAACAGGGTCTGGAGTGGACCTCCAGCAAACTCCAACAGACCTGCAGAAGAGGGCCCTGATTATTAAAAGAAAAACTAACAAACAGAAAGCAATAGCATCAACATCAACAGAAAGGATGACCACTCAAAACTCCAACCAAAGGTCACCAACAGGAAAGACCAAAGGTAGATAAATCCACGAAGATGAGGAAAAACCAGCACAAAAAGTCTGAAAAATCCAAAACCAGAATGCCTCTTCTCCTCCAAAGGATCACAACTCCTTGCTAGTGAGGGGACAAAATAGGATGGAGAATGAGTTTGATGAACTGACAGAAGTAGGCTTTAGAAGGTGGGTAATAACGAACTCCTCCAAGCTAAAGAAGCATGTTCCTACCCAATGGAAGGAAGCTAAGAACCTGATAAAAAGTTAGAGGAATTGATAACTAGAACAACCAGTTTAGAGAAGAACCAAGATGACCTGATGGAGCTGAAAAACACAGCACGAGAACATCATGAACCATACACAAGTATCACTAGCCGAATCGATCAAGTGAAAGAAAGGATATCAGAGATTGAAGATTGACTAATGAAATAAAGCGTGAAGACAAGATTAGAGAAAAAAGAATAAAAAGGAATGAACAAAACCTCCAAGAAATATGGGACTATGTGGAAAGACCAAACCTACATTTTATTGGTGTCCTTGAAAGTGACAGGCAGAATGGAACCAAGTTGGAAAACACACTTCGGGATATTATCCAGGAGAACTTTCCCAACCTAGCAAGACAGGCCAACATTCAAATTGAGGAAATACAGAAAACACCACAAAGATACTCCTCGAAAAGAGAAACCCCAAGACACATAATCATCAGATCCACCAAGGTTGAAATGAAGGAAGAATGTTCAGGGCAGTCAGAGAAAAAGGTCAGGTTACCCACAAAGGGAAGCCCATCAGACTAACAGTGGGTTTCTCTGCAGAAATCCCACAAGCCAGAAGAGAGTGGGTGCCAATATCTGACCTTCTTAAAGAAAAGAATTTTCAACCCAGAATTTCATATGCAGCCAAACTAAGCTTCATAAGCGAAGCAGAAATAAAATTCTTTACAGACAAGCAAATGCTGAGAGATTTTGTCACCACCAGGCCTGCCTTAGAAGAGCTCCTGAAGGAAGCACTAAATATGGAAAGGAAAAACCGGTGCCAGCCACTGCAAAAACAAACCAAAATGTAAATACCATCGACACTATGAGGAAACTGCATCAACTAATGGGGCAAAATAAACAGCTAGCATCATAATGACAGAATAAAATTCACACATAACAATATTAACCTTAAATGTAAATGGGCTAAATGCCCCTATTAAAAGGCACAGACTGACAAATTAAATAGAGTAATCAGTGTCCTGTATTCAGGAGACCCATCTCATGTGCAAAGGCACACATAGGTTCAAAATAAAGGGATGGAAGAAGATTTACCAAGCAAATGAAAAACAAAACAAAACAAAAAAAGCAGGGGTTGCGATCTCAGTCTCTAATAAAACAGACTTTAAACTAACCGAGATCAAAAAGACAAAGAAGGGCATTACATAATGGTAAAGGAATTAATGCAATGAGAAGAGCTAACTATCCTAAATATATATGCACCCAATACGGGAACATCCAGATTCATAAAGCAAGTTCTTAGGGACCGGCAAAGAGACTTAGACTCCCACACAATAATAGTGGGAGACTTTAACACCCCACTGTCAATATTAGACAGATCAAGGGAGAAAATTAACAAAGATATTCAGGACTTGAACTCAGCTCTGGGCCAAGCAGATCTAATAGACATCTACAGAACTCTCCACCCCAAATCAACGGAATATACAATCTTCTCAGCACCACATAGCACTTATTCTAAAATCAACCACATAATTGGAAGTGAAACACTCCTCAGCAATTGCAAAAGAATGGAAATCGTAACAAACAGTCCCTCAGACCACAGTGCAATTTAATTAGAACTCAGGATTAAGAAACTCACTCAAAACTGCACAACTACATGAAAACTGGACAACCTGCTCCTGAATGACTACTGGATAAATAACGAAATTAAGGCAGAAATAAATAAGTTCTTTGAAACCAATGAGAAAAAAGACACACTGTATCAAAATCTCTGGGACACAACTAAAGCAGTGTTTAGAGGGAAATTCATAGCACTAAATGCCCACAGGAGAAAGCAGGAAAGATCTAAAATCAACACCCTAACATCACAATTATAAGAACTAGAGAAGCAAGAGCAAACAAATTCAAAAGCTGGCAGAAGACAAGAAATAACTAAGATCGGAGCAGAACTGAAGGAGATAGAGACATGAAAAACCCTTCAAAAAAATCAATGAATCCAGAAGCTGACTTTTTTACAAGATTAACAAAATAGACCGCTAACTAGACTAATAAAGAAGAAAAGAGTGAAAAATCAAACAGACACAATAAAAGGTGATAAAGGGGAGATCATCACTGATCCCACAGAAATACAATCTGCCATCAAACAATACGATAAATGCCTCTATGCAAATAAACTAAAAAATCTAGAAGAAATGAATAAATTCTTGGACACATATACCCTCCCCAGACTAAACAAGGAAGTAGTCAAATACCTGAATAGACCAATTACAAGTTCTGAAATTGAGGCAGTAATTAACAGCCTACCAACCAAAAAAGCCCAGGACCAGATGGATTCACAGCCGAATTCTACCAGAGGTACAAAGAGGAGCTTGTACCATTCCTTCTGAAATTATTCCAAACCATAGAAAAAGAGGGAATCCTCCCTAACTCATTTTATGAGGCCAGCATCATCCTGATACCAAAATCTAGCAGAGACACAATAAAGAAAGAAAATTTCAGGCCAATATCCCTGAGGAGCATCAATGCAAAAATCCTCAATAAAATACTGGCAACCTGAATCCAGCAGCACATCAAAAAGCTTATCCACCACAATCAAGTTGGCTTCATTCCTGGGATGCAAGGCTGGTTAAACATATGCAAATCAATAAACATAATCCATCACATAAACTGAACTAATGACAAAAAACACATAATTATCTCAATAGATGCAGAAAGGGTCTTCAATAAAATTCAACACTCCTTCATGCTAAAAACTCTCAATAAACTAGGTATTTATGGAACATATTTCAAAATAATAAGAGCTATTTATGACAAACTCATAGCCAAAAATCATACTGAATGGGCAAAAGCTGGAAGAATTCCCTTTGAAAACCAGCACAAGACAAGGATGCCCTCTCTCACCACTACTATTCAACATAGTATTGGAAGTTCTGGCCAGAGAAATCAGGCAGGATAAGGAAATGAAGGATATTCAGATAGGAGGAGGGGAAGTCAAAGTATCTCTGTTTGCAGATGACATGATTGTATATTTAGAAAACTCCATCGTCTCAGCCCCAAAACTCCTTAAACTGATAAGCAACTTCAGCAAAGTCTCAGAATACAAAATCAATGTGCAAAAATCACAAGCATTCCTATACACCAATGATAGACAAAGAGAGAGCCAAATCATGAGTGAATTCCCATTCACAATTGCTACAAAGATAATAAAATACCTAGGAATCCAACTTACAAGGGATGTGAAGGACCTCTTCATGGAGAACTGCAAACCACTGCTCAAGGAAATAAGAGAGGACACAAACAAATGGAAAAACATTCCATGCTCATGGATAGGAAGAACCAATATCTCAAAAATGGCCATACTGCCCAAAGTAATTCATAGATTCAATGCTATTCCCATCAAGCTACCATTGGCTTTCTTCACAGAATTAGAAAAAACTACTTTAAATTTCATATGGAGCCAATAAAGAGCCCATATAGCCAAGACAATCCTAAGCAAAAAGAACAAAGTTGGAGGCTAAAGATGTAAATGTAAGACCTAAAACCATAAAAACCCTAGAAGAAAACCTAGGCAATACCATTCAGGACATAGGCATGGGCAAAGGCTTTGTGACTAAAACACCAAAAGCAGCTGCAACAAAAGCCAAAATTGACAAATGGGATCTAATTAAACTAAAGAGCTGCTGCACAGCAAAATAAACTATCATCAGAGTGAACAGACAACGTACAGAATGGGAGAAAATTTTTGCAATCTATCCATCTGACAAAGGGCTAATATCCAGAATCTACAAGGAACTTCAACAAATTTACAAGAAAAAAATAAACAACCCCATTAAAAAGTGGGTTAAGGGTATGAACAGACACTTTTCAAAAGAAGACATTTATGCGGCCAACAAACATAAGAAAAAAATCTCATCATCACTGGTCATTAGAGTAACACAAACCAAAACCACAATGAGATACCATCTCATGCCAGTTAGAATGGTGATCATTAAAAAGGCAGGGAACAATAGATGCTGGAGAGGATGTAGAGAAATAGGAACTTGTTTACACTGTTGGTGGAAGTGTAAATTAGTTCAACTTTTGTGGAAGACAGTGTGGTGATTCCTCAAGGATCTAGAACTAGAAATACCATTTGACCCATCAATCCCATTACTGGGTATATACCCAAAGGATTATAAGTCATTCTACTATAAAGACACATGCACACGTACATTTATTGCAGCACTATTCACAAAGCAACGCTTGGAACCAACCCAAATGCCCATCCACGATAGACTGTATAAAGCAAATGTGGCACATATATACCATGGAATACTATGCAGCCATAAAAAGAATGAATTCATGTCCTTCGCTGGGACATGGATGAAGCTGGAAACCATCATTCTCAGCAAACTAACACAGGAACAGAAAACCAAACACCACATGCTCTCACTCATAATTGGGAGCTGAACACTGAGAACATATGGGCACAGAAAGGGGAAGATCACACACCAGGGTCTGTCGGGGCATGGGGTGCAAGGGGAGGGATAACATTAGGAGAAATACCTAATGTAGATGACGGGTTGATGAGTGCAGCAAACCACCATGGTCCATGTATATCTATGCAACAAACCTGCAGATTCTGCACCTGTACCCCAGAACTTAAAGTATAATAAAAAAAATAAAAAGAAAAAAAGTACCACCACTTATTTTTGCTAATCTGAGATAATTCTGTGTCAATAAAATTGGAATTTGCTGGTAATAAAAACTCGAACTGATAAAGTTTGATCACATTTTATTTTATTTGCTTACTTACATTTCAACATCACACAGCCAAATTTAATTTCTTATTTATCTTTGAATTTTGTGTCCCTAGCACCCTGGGATCAGTTTTGAGAAAATATATTTTAATAGATTAATAGACAGTTCTTGGTCTATAGAGAAAATAATGTGTGTTCATTCAGAAGTAATAGTGTAATAGTGAATGAACATATTTACCAATGTAACTAGTTCTGCTTCCTTCATGATAAATTTAAATTTACAAGGTAAAAAAAATAATTTTTAATTACTAGAGATATAAAGCACATAATTATATAGCCTATATATAAACATACAGCCTATGCTAACCAAACTAAATGTTTATAATTTGTAAATAACCAATAAAATGTTAAAGGTAGAAAGAACCATTGAGAGCTTCTAGTTCTTTCCATTTGATGAAAGGTAAGCCCAGAAAGGAAAAGATCCCAAAGGCACATGATGAATTCATAGCAGAATCCAAATCCAAACCTGGTAGTATGAATAAAAAGTCAGTGCTTTGTTCTTCATTCTATTTATTCAAATATGATAAAATATGTAAAGAAATTATTCACTTGTATACCAGATGTCATTAATTTTAATTGATGTGACCACATAAGGTATTAATAAACAGCTCTCAACAAAAATATTTGAAGGGGTCGTTAATCTTATTTAAATCTTGGAACATAATACTTGGAGAATTCAATTTTTTAAATTGTAAATATAAAATATTTGCTGTGTTAGAAACAAAATTGGAAGACACTTATTCAAGAGGTGATCTGCTCTTGTTTTCCGAGTGGTAAATGTTAAATTCTACATTTCTGAACAAATTTATTTATCAGTTTTAAATTCTACAGACATATTTACAAGCAGAATATTCACATATTTATTAATATTTTTGTTTCATGCTGAGAATATAGAAGAGCATTATGATAATATCCTTAACTTGATACATCTAATTTTTATACACGTGCCCTATATTTATAACTGCAATATTTTTGGCATAATCTTAAACAGATGGTGGGGTATTTAATGATGCCTCTGGGTAAAAATCAATAGTATCTGAAGCCAGGGTTTATGAATTCACAGAAAGAGAAATGTACATCTTCTATCACTTCAAACACTACTTTTGAGTTTGTTTTCTATTTATCTTTATTACCCAACATGGAATTTTTTTAATAAGGATTAATAAAGGATTTTGTTTAGGATCAAAAAAAATTTGGAATACAAAAGGAACTTACACCTGAGATTTTTCTCTGAGGACTACAGACCACAGTTTTCTTTGTTTAGGGTATACAATATGTTTATAACTTTATGCTTCTCCTTCTACCTTTGCATAAAAATACTATGCACGATTTTCAACTCATATCCAGTGATGTTATGTTGTTACAGTTTTTAAGTAATAAAGGACTTGCGACTCAGGAAAATCATTTCATTTGAACACGACCTAAGATAATGTAATACTAAAAGAAAGCCTTTTAGAAAAATAAATGAATTTAAAAATTTCTGGAACTCCCCAGAATAGCTGCTTATTTTAAAATCAAATTAACAATATGCAGTTAAATATAAAATGTTGTTATACTTATATAGTTAAATATTTCTTATTATTGCTTTGGAAGCATATGGAGTGATTTTCATTTTGCCATTTAAGAATACAATATAATAATTTTTAAGAAACATAATATGAGACAGTTCAATGTATAAAAATCTCTTTGCAATGTGATTATAAAATCTTCCAAAATTATCTTTGAGTAGATATTTTCTTTCAGTGAAGAAAACGTTACACTCGTCCACACAAAAGAATTATTTTCTAACTTGAGAAACCCACGTTTCATGAAAGTCACTAGCCTGTCTCAAGGTTTAATTGAAACCAAATGAAGTCTAGTAAAACTAATCAAAACCAAACAAGCCTTGGGCTACGAGAAGAACTTACTGTTGGCAGGTTTCACCTCGAGTTACGGCTCTTGAAGATTTGGTTAGAATACTCCACAATCAAATTTAAAATGCTGCCATGCCTTCTGAACTAGACATAAAATTTCTCCCAGAAGTTCTATGAATAGTTAAATTAAAAATGCCACCTTATTACCTCAGAATTATACTATGACCAGTAAGAAAGGCAAATGATGTTAAATTAATTAAGAGAAAGTAGTGGATGATAAAAAATGAAGTTTTCCAGATATTAAAATCTATATGTTACATTAACACCACTCATTAAACAGAAATTTCAAGAAATCTCTCAAAAATCTCAATGCATAATTTGCAGAGATGATGTCACAAGAGCTGAAATCTCAAAACAAATGCACGGGTGGGATAGAAATCAGTAAAAATGAAGAGAAAAAGACAAACTAGGGTTATTGGAGGGAGTACCGGACCAGAAGCTGAACAGGGCCATGTGACTCTCAGCTTCTTGCACTTGAGTTTTGCTACTACTAAACAAGAGTAATATTTCTAACTCTTACCGTACACTTCTCTCAGATGTAGTCATGTAAAGAGTGATGCAAATGGAAGTTATTGTGAAAGCGTAAAACAGATAGCAGCAAATATCTGTGAGCTAAGGAAGAGAAAAGATGATCACTCCGAAATTACTGGTTCATTAATTACATTTTCCTCTTTTGTATTTGAAGGCAAAGAACTGATAGAGAAACAGTGACTTTAGCTTTGAGAAATAAAAATACAAGTATTTAGATGCATTGTGCTACATGTTAAGCAAGAAGAAATTTATTATCCTCTGAGTAATGCATGTCTTAAGCAAATACCTATGCAATGTTTCAACAGAATAGTAAGTAATATGACCATTTGCTGAATAGAATACAAATGTTACATATAAAAGTGATTTAAGAGACTGGTGTTGCAATATGGAATAGGTCCAAGAATGACTTTTCATTCCATGCACTTGGGCTCCTGCCAGGTTACTTTAAAAATTATGGAGTGTTAAAAAAAAAAATAGACACAAAATAAAACAGGAATGTCCTAAGGGAAAATATTAAGAAAATTTTCCTTTCAAGCAGTTAGACAGATAATCTACATTTTTGACAAGGAAGGAACAAAGAAATATGATTGAGACATATAGTAAAGTTTATTACCAGTAATTTGATATGCTTACCCAAGCTTTCTGGTTAACTGAGGACATACTATGCCACTGTTACTTTTATTTATAATTTTAAACTGATGACAATCTAAATAATTTAATAACACATTTTATCACTTTCTTTATACTAGTATAATGCACTAATAGTTATACTATTAAGTTCGTAATTAATTTTGGGTAACTTAGAATATGGCCTTTAGGCTAAATGCCATTGTATGCACCTTATGGTCAGACAGATTTTCACTAGTTACTTTCCAATTGCTAATGTCTTATATCAATTTAAAATTGCTAAACAGTCACTCTAATTATGTGCTCAAACTCAACTGCATTTGTCCATAATAAGTTATCTGGCCTTGTGGTATGCATTGAACAAGAAAAAACAGAAGAAAAAAATCTCCAAATAGTTCACTAGAAAGACTACGCATAAAACTCATAAAATGTGCTTTTTTGGGTGTAAGCAGAATACTTACTTATTAACAGCCTTCATTTGATCTTAAATGAATAGATTTCAAAGTTAATGTGTTTTCTGAATTCACTGTCATTGGTGAGATTAGGCCTATCTCCCGGTGTGTATGGGGACTAAGGAAAATGATGATGTGCCATATCCTCGTTACTCCAACAACTTCTGTTGAAGTGAAATTACACTGAAAAGAGAGTATCAGGAGCTTCTGCTGATGGTAGGCTATTCAGATCAGTCCTCCTGCTAAGAACAACTAAAAATAGCTTGATAAACTATTAAAAAGAATTCTTTTTTAATTTATCAAATAACTTATAAATTCAAGATGAAATATGGGATGAGATTCAGGAAAGGATGAGAACTCATAAAACCACACCCAGTACTTAAGGCTACTTTTGCATTGAGGCTACTTACCAATATAAAGAAAAAGCTGAGAAACGAGTAGTGAAAATGCCTTGCAGGGGTCAAAATACAAACTGTGGTGTCCATGATCCTCAAAGATTGGCTATATTGGGCTTAGAAGCACTCCTTCTAAAGCATACCAGGGTTACAACTCCAAAGGATTGCTTCCTAAGAGGACAAATGAACCAGAAATAAACTACCCAATGTGCGTACTTTACAGCTCAAGTTTGCATTATAAAGGCCTAGAAAATGTGAAGCCTTGAAATGGAATCACAGGCATCTAGGTTTTCTAGCACCTCTAGACATGTAGCAAAAGCAAACCAAAATCCTCTGTGTAGAAACATAATGTTATACTGGGCCTCAATACTTTTCTAAAATGTTTTCTCTAATACAATGTCTAGCCCACAGTCAAAGATAACTAGGTACTCAAGAGAAAGGCACCGTTTATAAAACCCAACAGAAACATACTCAAGACACTTCACATATTGGAATTATCATATAATAATTATAAAATAATCGTACTTAGAATTTAAAAGAAAATAAAAGCCAAGCTGGAAAAATGTAACAGAGTATTTTCAAATGACACAGCGTATTTGAAAAGGAACCAAATAGAATGTATAGAACTGAAAAGCATGGTAACCAAAATAAGAAACTGGATGGATTTGAGAACAAATTGGATCCAATTGAAGAAACTTTGTGAAATGCAAAATAGTTAAGAAAAAAAATATCAAGAACATCAAGAATAAAGCTCAGAAAGACAAAAATATAAAACTGTTGGGGAAAGGATTTGATGATACATTAAGGATACAATAATAAAATCTAACATATATTTTATTGGAGTTTTCAGAAAGAGAGAAAAAGAACAATGTATAAGCAATATTTAAGTAGATAATGGCTGAGAATTCTCCAGAATTAAAACATATATCAATCCACAAATTCAAAAACCTAATGAAACCCAAGCAGATAAAAAGCTGACAAATCATAGTGAAATTCAGAAAACTACAAAGAGGAAATCTTAAAGATATATCTATTTATATGATATGTTTTTTCAATGTACTAAAATAAAATAAATTTCAATTGACAATTTTATATCTAATGAAAAAGGCTTTCAAGAATGAAGGTGCAAGAGACATTTTCAAAGAAACAAAAAGCAAGAGACTTTACAACCATCAAGCCTCTATTAAAGGAAATTCTGAATGATAGACTTCAAGCATAAGAAAAATACAGCCGACTCTTCAACAGCAGAAGTTTGAACTGTGCGGTCCACTTATAGGCAGATTTTTTTGCAATAAACACAGTTGTTCCTCTTATCGATATTCCAGGGTTCCTCAACTACACGATTTGATTATGCTGGGATTTGGGTATCCACGTGGGAGAGAGGGGAGTGGTGTTCCTGGAACCAGTGCCCCACCAGTAGCAAGGATGAATGTAATCCTGAAGCCCAAACGGAAGCTCAAGAGAGGCAAAGGGAAAGGGAGCACAAGAAAAGGGATGAAGGTGAGAATTAAAAAAAAAAAAACTGCCCATCAGGACTATGTTCCTTACCTGGGTGAGGAAGTAATCTGTCCACCAAACCCCAGAGACACAGAATCTACCCATGTGACTAATCTGCACAGGCACTCCCTGAATCTAAAATAAAAGTTCAAAAGGAAAAAAAGAAAAGAAAAGAAAGGGGGATGGAAATGTGGATAAATGTAATTAAACACTGACCTTGTAAAACAATAATAAAGGTGTTTTATGTAATTTACAAAAAAAAATATGAAATTAGTCTCAGGTTCTTGCTTTCAAGATGACAAAGAAAAGAAGGAACCATGTCATGCCAAAAAGAGGCACAGCCACATGCAGCCTATTTGCTGCAGACACTGTGCCCAATGTATGCCCAAGGACAAGGCTACTAAGAAGTTCGTCATTCAAAACAGAAGAGGCTGCAGCTATCAGACATTTCCAAAGGGAGTGTCTTCGACTCCTGCGTGCTTCCCAAGGTATATGTGAAGCTACGTTAATGCCTGAGTTGTGCCATTCACAGCATGTTAGTTGAGAATGGATCTCATGAAGTACTGAATGCACCCACCATGATTTAGACCTCCTGGTGCTGCCCCATGACCTCCAACAAAACCCTTGTAAGGAGCTGAATCCTTAAGGATTAAAGAAAAACAATCCTCTGGAAAAAAATAAAATGGAAATTATGCTTTATATATAATTTACATATATATGTATATTTATAATTTATATACATATATAATATACATATGTATGAAATTAAATATTTCCATTTCATACCATATAGATGAATTCCAGACTGATTATATATGTAAATTTAAAAGGAAGAACAGTAAATGTTCTAAAAGATATAGAAGAGAATCAATAGGACCTCAGAGTAAGAAAAGACCTCAGCCGGGCGAGGTGGCTCACGCCTGTAATCCCAGCATTTTGGGAGGCCGAGGCAGGTGGATCACTTGAGGTCAGGAGTTCAAGATCAGCCTGGCCAGATGGTGAAAACTCGCCTCTACAAAAAATACAAAAATTAGCCAGGAGTGGTAGCGGGCGCCTGTAATCCCAGCTACTTTGGAGGCTGAGGCAGGAGAATCACCTGAACCTGGGAGGCAGAGGGTTGCAGTGAGCCAGGATCAGGCCACTGCACTCCAGCCTGGGGGCGACAGAGTGAGACTCGTCTAAAAAAAAAAAAGAAAGAAAGAAAGAAAAAACTTCTTAAACATTACCAGAAAAACCATTAATTTAAAAATTGAGCAACTTCATCACATTAAAATTAAGTAACATTTTCCAGAAGGCATCCTTAACAAAGTGAAAAGTCAAGCCTGCTGTGAGGGAGAAGATATTTGTAACTCGAATAACTAACAAGGGCTTATATCAGGAATATATAATGAGCATCTATAAATCAATACGAGAAGGTCAGGCAACCTGATTTTGTAAAAAGGGAGAGGGGACTTGAACAGGCATTTTACAAACTGGATATCCAAATAGCCAATAAGCACACTAAAAGAAAGATACTCAACCTCACTCATAATGGGGAAAATTCTAGTTAAAAAAAGCAATGAGTTACTACATTCACCAATACATTTGGCTTATGTTGAAAAATCAATCAATAAAATTTGCCACGTAAACATTTTAAAGGGAAGAGCTATTACTGAAATTCGACATCCATTTATGATTTTTTAAAAACTCAACAAACTAGAAACAAATGGGCACATTCTTCCATATAACAAAGGGTAGCTACAAAAGGAATTTTCTGCAATTACTTAATGCTAAATCTGCAATGGTAAGACATTAAGCACAAGACAAAGATATTCATGCCACCATTTTTATTCAACATGTCAGTATTGATAGCTGTCAATATTTGCAGATGATGTAGCTTTTTGAAATAGAAAATAGAAATAATCTACAAATTGATGGAATTAATAAGAGTTTAGCAAGGCCATTTTTTATAAAACCAGTATACCATAATCAATTTTATTTTTAAACATCAGTAACAAAATATAAGGTACAACTTATCATAGTGTACAAAAATTAGGCAACAAGGAAAAAATCAAAGAAAAGATATGCACCAATTCTAAAAGTTTATGGAGAGAAATTAATGATGCAAGTGGAGATATATATCATGTTCATGAATGGCAATATAGATATGTCAGTCCTTCACAAATTGATCTACAGACTCAGTGCAATACCAACCAACATCACAACAGAATTTTTGACTATACAGCTGATTCTAAAATGGAAATGAAATTGAAAGAGCCATGAATAGCTAAGTACGCTTGCATGCAAATAAAAATGGGAGGGCTAGCTCAACTGATATCAAAGCTTACAATAAAATAGATTAATATTAAGATACCGCAGTATTAGCAAAGGGAACAGTACAAAGACCAAGAGAAAGCAATAAAGATCTTGTGGAAAAAACTGATACATACATCGACCTTTTATTTAGGTGCCTGCATAATAATAAGGAAATAACTGCCTTCTCAGGGTACACTGCTGGCACAATTTTTAGAGCTTACACTAATATTTGGGGAATCTTTTTGTGTCTTAATGAAAATGGTCTTTATAGACTCTCCTTAGCAAATGCCTATATTTCAATTATGCTCATTCTCCTAAAACAGCTCTTTTGCTGTGCTATTAAAATCAGGTAAATTCTCTAAGTTATAATAGTACTGTCAACAAAAACCAGATATGTAATTTTGAAAGGGTAGAAAGTTTAAAAAGTCATGATGAACACATCTGGTGTAGATTATTGCTATAAAAGTATTTATTGCTATAAAGATATTTTATAGGTACAGCCTAAAAAATGTTCAATAAATAAAAAACTATTTCAAATGATTTTATTTTTTACCCACTACCTAGATTCTTACCAAAGTAAGAGCAGCATTAAAAAGTAGATGCTGTACCCCTCTTTCCAATATGTAATTGGAAAGCAGACTGAAATAATGCCTCAAGGTTAATCTTCCAAAAACCTATTTTAATGCTTTCTTTATAAAACTTTGTAATATGTTTCTTTCAAATTACTATTAATATCATTAGTGCTTATTAAAAATGTAATATATTGAGTGTTAAAGTGAATATATAGGTATTAAAAACAGATAAATTTTCCAAAATTGTATTTTCATCATATTGACATTAATTTCCACATTTGGTGACTCAGAAACTAGTATTGTAGTTTTGAATGGAATATATGTAGTATATAATATAAATACATTTTTGTTTCAATTTAGCCTTTTCCACTAAATTTTATCATATTAAAATGTTAAGAACTTGGTAAATTTTTTAAACTTATGAAAGAAACAAACATTTTGTCTTTCACATTCAAGCAGAATGTGGACTTTTACTTTACAATATGAACATTTCCATATTTTTAATTCTTTAGATACGATCCACTTTTTTCTAAAAACAAAATACCCAGTGAACTTAATTATCAGTTATTAAATAATTTTAATTATTTATACACTTAACTATTAAGTATATAAAACCACATGAGGTAATAAATCTACTGAAAACTCTTGAAAATTTCTAAGTCGCATTGAAAATTGCTAAGTCGGATATTTTTAAGGAGTTGTTGATGTTAGAAGTGGTCACTGCAAATATATGCCCTACTTTTAGGAAAGAAATACTGTTAGAGCTCTCTTCACGTTACAGAATTAGCACAGAAATCTGCTTCCAATTAAAGAAACTGTGGGAGAACCCAGCTGTATTTAAAATTTGGCAAACGTATTAAACTGTGCTCCAAATGCTTTGGTTTCAGCAAAGCCTATACGGTATTTTTTCATGTCTTTTCCTCCTTAACTTTAAAACACATGTCCAGAGAATGGATCTGTCAGCGTCTCCTTCCAGTTACAATGATTAGAAAAAATTTCAATATTCAATGCCTGCGGTATTTTCTCCCTCTAACACACACAAAGGGTGGAAAAGAATATTCATGAGGTCACCTGTGTAAACCAAAGGATTTATATCTTGGTTGTCAGAGTGTTTACAAAATGATTCACTTTTACATAGAACCAAGAAGCTAAGTTTTGCCAACAGCTGATGGTACTCAAGCTATGAGTGGTTTGGATTTAATCTGAAATATAAAAGCCAAGAAGATTGGCTTTTATATGAAACAAGAAGATTGTTTCAAGATAGTTTTAAAGTCCCCACAACTACTTTTTATGACCCATGCAATAACATTTTGAAAACTATGGTTCTACATCAATTTGGTTATGGAGAAAATGTTTTCTAGGGATACTAATTCAAATATACAAATTAGAAGGACTTTTGAAATTAGAATGAGTAGAATGAAAATAGTATGGAAAAACCACTAAAAGTAATCTAGAGGATGTAAAAAAAATCGTAGAGATCTATCTTCAGAACTTACATCATCCATTTCCCCTTTAAAAGTAGAAGAAATCAGCATGTTTTTCTTTCATTAGCTCACTCAGTAACAGTTCTTTCATTTTCAAGCTTTAGTAACAGAAAGTTCTAGAAAGGCGAGAGTTTTTAAAGTGCAAGTAGACGTCACACCTTTAATGTCGTATTTCCTAGCTTTAAAAGACCATCTATAAGCAGAAGCAATATCTTTTCTTCCTTGGGATAGATGGAGCACAAAGTAATACAATTAGAAATTACTAACACATCTATAGAACTTACTGTATGTCAAGCACTATTCAAAATCTTTTACATATATTAATGTATTTAATCCTTCCAATAATCCTATGAGGTAGATACTGCTGTTATATTATCAATATTCTACACACAGAGACAAACAAAAGTTAGACACAGACAAATTAAGTAGAATGTGAAATTAAGTGCAGCTATTGCGTTGTACAACTGGAATTCAAACCCAGGCACAAATTCTTGAGCCTTTAAACACTGTATTATGATATAAGGAAGCATGACAAAATCAAGTATAAACAGATTGTTACTTATTAAGCTCTTGCACCTCCAGGATATGATTTAATCTATTGGAATTTCAGTTTTTTTCATGTGAAAAATACCAAGTATGGCATAGAATTATTTATATTTCAAAGAATGTGAGTTCCCAGAATATATTGACTATATAGTACATATCAGTTCCTACCAACACAAATTTTTCACATGCCTATTATTCACAGCTCAGTTATAAAACAATGCAGTATTCCTGGTTCAACCTGGAGTAGTAAACATTTTTTTTTTACCTCCTTTCCCTTTAAAAATTCTAAAATGTCTGTGAAAGGGTTAAAAAAAAAAAGACTGAGGGTCCCCTTGAGGACAAGAAAATACCAGAGAAGAAGGCAACGAATAGGAAATTTTAATAAAATAATGAAGCTGAAAAGAAGGTGGCCAAGTGGTGAAAGGCAACATATAGAAGAAACCTCAAATCTAAATATCCAAAAGCATAAAGAAAGCCAAAGGAAATCATCATACACTACATGCCAAAAAAAGGCTCAAAAATGAGACAGGGTGAACCCTGAAAACAGAGAATAAGTGAAATAGAAAATAGGGAAACTAGTTGAAAATCTGCGCGAAAAGCAACTAGATTTTTTGGTGATCAGCTCTCACTAGTCTCTTCTTTTTCAAAAATGGAGGACTGCTCTATGGCAGGGCTGAACTAAAAGGACACTAAACTCAGAAACAGTGTACAGAAGGGAAGGCTTGGGTGGCATCTGAAAATAGAGAAATTAAATACCACCTTATGCTGATTGGTGGACCTCCACACCACCAAACTCACTTGTTACTAGGCTCTGAGAAAAGTGGCAGCCATCCTTATTATACCAGGAAAAAAAATGAAAGAATCATCTCTTCCAACATGGACCTTCAAGGAATGATATGTAGTTTCTGATAGTTAAATTCCAGCAAAACCAATGCACCCCTGGCCAGTTATTCTAAAGTAAAGCTCTTAACTTAGTATTTCCAGCTGAAAAGCTGGAAAAAACTGGTAACTATGCCATGGTAAGCATCCAGTAAAAGTTAAAAGGAAAATTGTATGATTATTGAGTGTATAACTTTAGGTTACTGCTATCTAATAGAACCTTATATCAATATAGGAAATGGTGGAAATTTTTTTACATCTGTGCTGTTTGATACTATTGAGCAGTTGAACTGTGACTACTGCAACTGAGGTACTGAATATCAAACTTCATTTAATTTTCATAATTTACATCTAAGTAACCACAAATAGTTACTGCTTACCGTATTAGACAGCACAGCTCTAGTCAAGGACATTGGAAAAAGTCAAAATGGTGGTGCTTCTTGGCTGCTTGTTGCCACTTTAAAAGAGGTCGCAAAGAAATAAATTTCGCAAGACTTACTTCATTTGAAAGGAGAGACAAAAGAGAATACAACTTTGCTAAAATGTATGTCTTTCATCCCATTACCTTCAATTTATATTGGCTGAAGACAACTTCACTTGGGGCCTCACTTAGTTTAGAAAACTAGCCAGCTCCTGTATCTCAAACAGCAAAAGATGAGATGGGACTCCCAAGCCTCTCTCAGTCACATTGCAATTTGTTCTCATGAGGAAAGATCAGTTAAAAAGACTGTTCTCTGTTTCAGATGGTTTCAGAGTGTAGCTTTCATTAAGTTGATCTTTTGAGTGTGTTACACACATCTCTTTTGTCATTTTTATTTCATTTTTAGCTTTTTCTCTCTAGATGCTTTTGTTTTGATGTTTTCTATTGAAATATCTTCTATTTTATGATTTTCTCCGTTTGCTATTAAGACTATTTATTGATTTTTAATTTTAGTATTGCATTTTTTCAGCTCTTGAATGTTCGTCTGAATCTTTTCGTAGATAGAATTTTTTTCTTTTCTTTTCTTTTTTTGAGGTGGAGTCTCACCCTGTCACCCAGGCTGGAGTGCAGTGGCACAATCTTGGCTCACTGCAACCTCTGCCTTCCGGGTTCAAGCAATTCTCATGCCTCAGCCTCCCACGTACCTGGGATTACAGGTGTGCACCACCATGCCTGGCTAATTTTTTGTGTTTTTAGTAGAGATGAGGTTTCACCATCATATATAGCATTTCTATATTAAAAGTCTACATCCTTCATTTATTTTCCAACTTTTCCTCAATTTTTATTAACATTTTATGTATGTATTTATTTATTTTGAGATGGGGTATTGCTCTGTTGCCCAGGCTTGTCTGGAACTCCAAGGCTTAAGTGACCCTCCCTCCTCAGCCTCCTGAGTAGCTGGGACTACAGGCATGCGCCACCATGCCTGGCTAATTTTTTAAAAACATTTTTGTAGAAATTGGGTCTCCATGTGTTGCCCAGGCTGGTCTCAAATTCCTGGGCTGAAGCCATCCTCCTGCCTTGGCCTCTGATATGGTTTGGCTGTGTCCTCACTCAAATCTCATCTTGAATTCTCACATTGTGTGAGGGACTTGGTGGGAGGTAATTGAATCATGGGGGCAGGTTTTTCCCATGCTTTTCTCATGATAGTGAATAAGTCTCATGAGATCTGATGGTTTTAGAAAGGAGAGTTTCTTTGGGAGGCCGAGGTGGGTGGATCATGAGGTCAGGAGATCGAGACCATCCTGGCTAACACAGTGAAACCCCACTTCTAAAAATATAAAAAATTAGCCACACGTGGCGGTGGGCACCTGTAGTCCCAGCTACTTGGGAGGCTGAGGCAGGAGAATGGCATGAAACCGGGAGGCGGAGCTTGCAGTGAGCCAAGATCATGCCACTGCACTCCAGCCTGGGCGACAGAGCAAGACTCCAGTCAAAAAAAAAAAAAAAATGGGGAGTTTCCCTGCACAAGCTCTCTTCTCTTGCCTGCTGCCATGTGAGATGTGCCTTTCATCTTCTGCCATGATTGTGAGGCCTCTCCAGCCATGTGGAACTGTGAATCCAATTAAATCTCCTTCTTTTGTAATTTGCTCAGTCTTGGATATGTCTTTATCGGCAGCATGAAAATGGACTAATACAGCCTCCAAAAGATTACAGGCATAAGCTTCCATGCCTGGAAAGCATTTTAAGTATAATTAAAATAATTATACATTCTTAATTAATTTCAAGTTCTTGTTTGTTACCTCCAATATCTAGATCATCCATGGGTGTGCTTGGATCATTTTTCTTTCTCTTTATTGTCAGTCATATTTTCCTACCTTTGTACATATCTAGTAATGGTTATTATATGTTGGAAATTGTCATGAAAGAACCACAGAGGTTCCATATGATGTTATCTTCCATTAGAGAGGGTTGCCCATTTCCTTTGTTAGACAAATGTAAGAAGGAACTGATGATCACAACTAATTAGAGACTGAACAGTTTTGGGATTTGGTAATAGTTTTGCTAAGCCTCTGTTTACATCTGATTAATTCCTACTCCTCAGTCATGGTGTCCTGGGCTTTTGACAAATGGTTTTTACCAAGTACTCTTCTCTTCAACCCTGAAAGATTTTAAGATCAAGCTCTACTGTCACAGGTTCCAAGGTCAGCTCTTAGCCACTTGACCTTCAATCCTGGCACTTCTATTCAGAGGGAGATTAGCTGTGTGCTTGAGTAAGCCACTCTCGCTCTTTGGTGATATTTTTTTTTCCTTAATATTCACAGATCTGTAGAAAATTTTGTTTTCCCTTTTGATCTGGCTCCTTGACCTCTTGAGTAGTCCCAGAACTCAGCCATGTGTTAGAATCCTCTCAAGTTTATAACTTGTCAGTCAGCTTTCCATGACAACTAACAGCTTTGTTGATTTTTTTTTTCCTTAATCATAGCCTCGGCTTGCATTGAGCTTGTTCTCTGCCCTGATTCAGAATTGGCCAATGCCTCTAGGAAGTTTTAAGCAGCTGGTGATCTTCAGATCACTTCAGAATGGTTCTGCCCTCTCTGATATTGAGTCCTTACTGTTGTATTATACCTTTACAAATGTTATTTTTGTAATTTGTCATTCTTTTCCTGGTAGCTGTAATGTCAGCTGTGGGTTGGTAGCTGGACAGGACTAGTAAATAAACACGAGATTTCAGAATTAATATCTATGGTTAAATAAAATCTCTGCTTGTGCTTACCTGCACATGGAACTGACTGAAACGATTACATTTTGATGGAAATTGTCTTTTCAAAGAAACCACAAGGGAAATTTTCAAAAAGCCTGTGTCTTTTAAACTTTCAAAGCAATCTCTAGGTCTCCAAATCTGTACTAGCAGGAAATGGACTGTGAAATTTGTCTTTTCCGAAGAAGGAAAAGACAACTCTAACACTCACCTAACAGGAATCCATAGAGAATAATAGAAAAAAACAAACAAACAAACAAAAACTTCCCAAATGGAAAATCCAGGAGCCACGGAGAAAACTAGAACAAAATAGTTACTCCCCAAAGGCAGAATAATGATGGTTAGTTTAGGAAGAGCTAGCACTGACTGCTCAGCAGGATTTGATAACTCTAATGAACCAATGACTTTAGTTTGTATAATATTCTTGGCTTTTCTGAAAAGAAGTATCTTTGTGGTATCCTGTCCCACTATACAAGTGATTGTGTGTAAGTCAGGGGAGGAGTGATTAATAACTCACCTTTTAGTGTATACGTTGCCAGATAACAATTAGATTTAACTGGCCCAAAAGAGAGAATTATACATTCCTTGAGCTATGTCAAGTAATATAAAAATACTTTGGATTACTGTATGTCCAAAAGTATGTTTTAAATGTATCAAAAAATAAATAAATGACTCATTTGTATCTGAGTGATCAGGCTAGGAAATAACGGTATTCATCAACCAATACCCATTCTCTCATCCTACTCTTTTAGTAACAGAATCCCTAAATATTTAATTGAATGCATGGCAGCTAGGAAAAGCTATGCAAATAAGAAACAGCCTCCTGGATGTGGAGCAGAAGAGGTTTGTGCCACTGCGGGTAACTTTGACTTCTTCCTCCCTTCCCTTGTGTTGGACTGTGGTTGTAGTGACGAGTTTTGACTAGGCGGACAAGGGAAACGCTTGGTGAAGCAACAATGTAGAAGAAATTTGGGATCTTGGATGACCTCAAGGGGCAGAGCTTCCCTATCTATCCCTTCCCTCCCCGGTCCCATGCAACCACAACAGGTTCTCATCTTGCACTTTTACATGAGAGAGACATGAGATTTGTTTAATCCATCATCCCTTTATTCTTTGTTAAAATAATGTAAGCCTATATTCTACTTAATATATAAGCTTTGTAGAAATACATCTTTTTAAGGTATGTGTGATTTATTGATATAAACCAAAATTATATTTTATAAGAAAATAAAGAAATGCTGGCCCGAAATAATTTTGAAGGCATCAGGTATTTCTTAATTATATCTAATTACATTAGTGCTATTTTGCCAGACGAAATATTAATATGCTGTGTATGCATAGACATAATTCACAAAACACTTTCACATATGCCTACATTAATTTACATAGCATTATTTATTAAGAATTATATTCATGGTTATACTAAAGATTGATAATCTTGCAAGTATTGCTTATTGCAGAATACCTAAGCTTCAATTGCCTGCAAAGGTAATAGGATGGTAGTGGAAAGAGCCCAAGACTTGTAAGGGAGAAGCACTGGGTGATTCCTAAGTCTACCCGTGCCACTTCCATCAGCTGTGTGCCCAAAGTAAGTCATAGAATCTCTTTGAACCTCAGTCACCTTATCTACATATTGAAGATAATAATCTCCCATTCATTTCACAGGATGAAATCAATCAGGTTCAAATAAAATAATATTTATGAAGGTAATTTATAAAGTGTTGCTAATTAAACATGTAAATATCAGAAGTGAATAATAACTCAATAGACAGTAAGCCTTTCAAGAACAAGCTCCTTCTAGAACAGAAATAAAACTTAATCTGTGGCAGAAAAAGAGCAAAAACAAGGAGTAAATAAAGCTAGCTGTAAGAGTGAAAAGTAGATGTCTGAATTCAGATAAAAGATTAAAAACAAAAAATAAAAATTATAAAAGTAACATTTAGCTACATGAAATCAAGCAGCTCTTATTTCTCAAAATAACATTGATCAGAAATTCTAATTGATATCATTGAATATCAATTAAATATTTTAAGATCTTGAAAATATTTAAATATTTTCAAGATGTAGGGCTTGTTGGGAGCTGTAAGAGATACTTGGTAACTTATGAAAAGAATTAAGGAAGAAGAATTTGTTAGAAAACAACTATTCTGCAGCTAAAAATGTTAATTTGCCAAGGTAATCATAGGGTTAGAGACTTAGATACTTCAAACAGATTTTTTCCTCACTATAAAAGAAATGGAATACTATGAAACAAATACAAAATATATGAACATGAAGAGAAGAATACAGCCTTAGAATGTGGACAATTATTATGAAAAGAATATTTTACAGTAGCCACATAATCCCCTTAATATAAATAAGAACCACAATGAAAATTGGAGATAAGGAAACAAAAGCAAAGTTAAGACTCTATTTGGTTCCTTATTAAAGTGAAACATGTAGATTGCATTTCAATACAAAAAAGTATAAACTGAATGTATGAAAATGTCTTTCTCTTAAAAGTTGTCCCAAGATACTATCTCGCAAAAATATATCTTTATTACATTAAAATGTTAATCCAAATAATGAAATTGAACACTAATGGTAGAAATAAAATGCACAGAAATTACTTTTCAAAGTACATTTTTCTAAGTATGTAATTATTATTGAACTTTTATAATACTTTAAAAACAGTAAGGTTTAATCCACAACACAAAGAAAGTGTTTGCATATTTATTTTCAACGCTTTTGTTCCCTAAAACAGTCCTTATATCCAATAATCAATTTGCTTTCAGATAATTGTGTCATGGGTAGAGTAAATATATCATTAGATCTTAAAACTTATTCATTACTCATTTACTCTTGAATTTAATTATAGTTTATGCAGTTAAGTTTGATTTCTTCTTATTAGAGAACCATGAAAAATAATATTAATCAAAAATAAGAAACCATTTTTCCTTGCAAATATTTCTAACTCTTCAAAACTAAGTGTTTTAAAATTAAATTTTTTAAAATTGAACCCTGAACAACTACATTTACATTGTCACAAACAACCCTATCGTATTTCCTAAAACACATCATGCCTTTACTGATTCCACTGGAAATGTTTCAGTGATAGGACTAGGGTGGTCAGTCTTTTTATCCTCACATCATAAGATTTTTTCCTTTCTTAGTTGTTTTTCTTTGGGAAAAAAATGGTGCAACATGTGAATAGTAAGAAAGAACAAAATAGGAATACATTTTCTCCTGAATGCAAACTTCCATTTTTATCTAATAAGCTATATCCAATTCTTCAGAAAATCCCCTTAGCTCCTTTTTCAAAATATACACAAATTTAATCGTGTCTCATAAATTTCACACCACCACCATAAAACATATGGCTGTTCAATGACACCAACATGATGTGCCTGATGTTGACTTAGTTTGCTAGGGCTGCCATAATAAAATACCACAGACGAGGTGAATAAAATCAATCTATTTTCTCACAGTCATTGAAGCTGGAAGTTCAAGATCAAGGTGCTGGCAGAGTTGGGTTCTTCTCAGGCCTCTCTCTCTGGCTTGCAGATGGTCAACCCTCACATGGTCATTTCTGTATGTGTGTGCCCCTCTGATGTCTCTTTTGTGTGTCAGAATCTCTTCTTACAAGGACACCAGTCAGACTGGATTAGGGCCAATCCTAAGGGCCTCATTTTAACTTAATTGTGTCTTTAAATTCATATCTCTAAATACAGTCTCATTCTGACCTACTGGGGATTAGGGTTTCAACACAGGAATTTGGTTGGGGGCTGGCAAAACAATTGAGTCCAAAACACACATATACAAAAATATATATGTTTATATACAGTTGATTCTCATTAGTTGTAGTAGTCATGTACTAAAAAGTTATTGCAGATGCTGAATGAACAAATATAGAACCATTGCTTCTATGGAAAATACAGGGTTAGGTTTCAGTAGCTGGTCATGTTTTTGTCAAACAATCAATTCATAACCTTGTTTTATGTGTGCTTCTGTTTAAAGACACTTTATTTAATACATATTTCTCACAAATAATTCATTGCATGGCCTTTGAATGATTTAAAGCCTGGGCTTTAGAGGGCATTTGCATTACATAGGTTTGTTTGCTGATGTCATCATAAAACAAGCAGTCTTATCAGCATTGTGAACCTATTCTTTCACATGACCCTTTTACTGCGTAAGACACAGCAGGTATTTTTCAATTCTTGAGCCTCCTTATCTGCAGAACCTGAATCTCATGCAAGTTTAACATTTTCTGAAATCTGTGAGTTAGCCAGCACTAGCCCAGAAGAATTTAACATTCTCCTGACCCTGTGTAATGTGATGATAAATTTTCTATGGCCTTCATTTAGCCACGCAACAATGTTGTTCCGTATGCTTTTTCTATTGGTCATCATCTTATGAATTCACAAATTGAGTTTTTTTCCATAGCTTCAATACATAAGTGTTAATTTATCATTTTTGTGGCCTGATGTGCATATTAGTGAATTTCCTCTATTTTGGGGGCATACTGCATTGTTGATTCATTAACATTAAATTCATAATCAACAGTTCTATCACTTATGTCTGAATGAAATTGACCTAACACACATACTTTCTCTGTAAGGCACATCACAGCTTCTTGCACTTAGCAACACTAGACAGCACTTCAGCACTTTGCATCAGGGCAATTTTAAACAACAAAATCCCATGAAAATGCAAAAATAAATGTGGCCCCAGATAGACTGCAATAAGGACACTTGTTTACTGCATGAGAGCTAAAACCAGAAAGCAGGGCAGAGAATCACCTTGTTCGAACATGTGCATTGTGCATCTCAAATTTTTCAACACATTGTACATGCATGTGTTGTAATGCATGTATGAAGTATAGATTTGGGGGTTATTACCAAGTAGGGAAATTCACAAATATGAAACCTGCAAATATTGATGATCAATTGTGTGTGTGTCTCTCTAGTTTTACCCTCATGTCTGCTTCTGTGCTCTACACTCAATGCAACAGCCAGGTTGACTCTTCTAAAATATGTGAGATAATGTCACTTCTTCAGATCCTCAGAATAAAAGTCAATGTGCTGACAGTGGCCTACAGGACCCTCCGCAGTTTGACCCTGGCTATTTCTTTGAGTCCACCTTGGCAGCTCTTCCTTACAACCACGTTGGCCATCTTGCTGTTACTTAAACTTGCCAAGCCCTCTTTGGTGTCAGGGCCTGCCCTTGCTATTCTCTTTCATGCAAAGCCTTCCTCCTCAGCACTGCATCACTCTCTCACCTCTGTTAAGTCTCCACTCAAGTCTTTCCAAACCAACCTGTTTGAAATAGCCCGTCATTCCAATCCCTTTTCTCTCTTTCTTGCTCCATTTTTCTCCATTGTACTTATCAGCATCTGTCTCCTTATATGTTTTACTGGTATGTATGGTGATCATCGTTCTTCCTCCTGTTTGCTTCATGAGGGCAAACAGCTTTTTCTTATTTGTATTCACAGTGCCTAGAATATTGTGAAATCTCAGTAAATATTTGTTGAATAAATTATTGAAAGAAAGAGATGTATTTAATTAATTTAAAAGTGGATGGAAGAAGAAATACAACCTTGTAGAAAATATGCAAACACTCATAAACTTTGTCAAAATTCACTTTGTGTTTTAAGGTTTGTTTAGATCAATCCCTTTCTGGTTAAGATATAAAATTGAAAAGTCAGAAAAAATGGCCAAAAAAATATTTAATGAATTGGTGGAAATGTTTTGGTTTGACTTTCTAACTAAATAAGAATGAATTCAGATTTTACTTGAATACTATACACTATGGGTTGAATGTGTCCCCCAAAGTTCATGTGCTGTAAACTTAATCCCCAATGCAACAGTGTTAGGAGGTGAGACTTTTAATTGGTAATTAGGTCATGAGCGTTTTGCCCTCATGAATAGATTAATGCCCTTATCATCGGATTGGGTCCATTATCACAGGAGTGAGTTCCTGATAAAAGGATGAGTTTGGCCTCCTTCCTCTCTCTCATGAGCACTTGTGCTCTTTTGCTGTTCTGCCTTCTGCCATGAGATGACACAGCAAAAAGGCCCTCCTCAATGCCAGCACCCGGCTATTGGACTCCCACCCTCCAGATTGTAAAAAATAGATGTCTTTCCTTTATATGTTACCCAATCTTTGATATTCTGTTATAGCAACACAAAACAGGCTAAGACACCACGTATTCCCCCATCTTCCCTTTCTTTTCTGTTGTTTTAGAAAGATAAATCTTTCCAAAGATCTTTGTTTTAAAACCAGTAAATCAAACGAAGAATCTCCCAGTTTGTACCTATAACTGATAAATACAATACTATTTTTAACTAATCAAAACACAAATCCATAATGAATTAATTCCCTAGACTTTGGAAAAACTATTTTGCAAAGATGGTTTCTAGAATGAGATACCTATTATGGTTTATCCTGATATTGTACTTCCAAAAACCATCATGTTAAACAATACAACTGTAGTGTCTCTTCAATCAAATTGATAAATGTATCTCAGCCAACCACTCTCTTCAATCTGATTCTGCTTTCTCTATTTCTGATCCTGTAAGAATCATGGCAACCTCTTTGCTTGAGCTCTATTTGAAAACAAACAAAATGAGGTTCTATTTTATAAATTTAAAACAAAAAAATAGTGTACCTATGCTGAAAAGTGCTTCATACAAAAGAGCATATTTAAAGGGGTTCTTAATCATATGTTTGTAGGAACTTAATCTGCAAACCAATGTCTATATCTGACATTGTTCGGTCAATATATAAGAGACTGATAGGCTAAATTCCCAAGGTCTAATTGTTTTAATTAAAGTCTCAGTTTAGGAAAGCAACAAAGTTAGCAGATTATCTTCTTTATCTTTATGTCGTTTTCCCCTCCTTTTACAGTTTAGTGACTTCCAAGACCACTAGATAGTTCTGGTCTAGCATAATAAAATCTTATTTTATTTTGCTAGGAGGAGAGGGATGGAGGTTCTATAGCAAAGAGTGAGATTTATTTTCATTGTATGTCTGATTGTTCATGTATTAATTTTTCAATAATAAAATAATTAGAAAATAAATAAGGCTATGAGGTTAGGTGCCTTGGGATTTTCAGTTAATAATCAATTGCTGTAAGATGAGAAAGTGAGTAAAAGTTTTGAAAGAAAAAATACATTTTCAATATTTTTGTTTCATGTTGGTGTAAAGAAATGCACCTGATTTTCCTATGTTGATTTTGAATTCTGAAAATTTACTGAATTCATTTATTAGTTCTAACAGTTTTTTGTGGATTCATCAAAGATTTCTATATACAGGGCTATGTCATCTGCTAAAAGGGATAATTTTGCTTCTTCCTTTTCACTTTGGACAAGATTGGAAAAGTAAGTATTGCCAAAATATTTGTACTACCTAAAGCTATCTATAGGTTCAATACGATCTCTATCAAAATTTCCATATTTTTCACAGAAATGGAAAAAAATGCTAATATTATATAGAACTGCAAAAGACACTGAATAGCCAAAGCAAACTTGAGAAATAAAAACAAAGTTGGAGGCATTAAACTGCCTAATTTTAAATTATATTACAAAGCTATAGTATGTAAAACAGTATGGACTGGGCACAGTAGCTCACGCCTGTAATCCCAACACTCTGGGAGGCCAAGGTGGGCGGATTGCCTGAGGTCAGGAGTTCAAGACAAGCCTGGCCAACATGGTGAAACCCTGTCTCTACTAAAAATACAAAAATTAGCTGGCCATAGTAGCACATGCCTGTAGTCCCAGCTACTCAGGAGGCTGAGGCAGGAGAATCTCTTGAGCCCGGGAGGCAGAGGTTGCAGTGAGCCAAGATCGCACCACTGCACTCCAGCCTGGGTGACAGAGCAAGACTCCATCAAAAAAAAAACAAAAAAAACAAAAACAAAACCAAAAAAAACCCCAGTATGGTGCTGGCATAAAAGCAGGCACACAGATCAATGGAACAGCATAGAGAGTGCAAAAATAAACCCAGGCATATATGATTAACTAATTTTTGACAGGTCACCAAGAAGACACTATAGGAAAAGGATAGTTTCTTCAATAAATAGTGATGAAAAAACTGGATATCCACATGCAAAACACTAAAATTGGACCCTTATATTATACCATATACAAAAAATCAAATCAAAATAAATAACAGACCTAAATGTAAAACCTGAAATTATAAAACTACAAGAAGAAAATTAGGAAAAAGCTCCTTGGGGTTGGCCTTGGCAATGACGTTTTGGATATTATACCAAAAGCTTAGGCAACAAAAGCAAACAAAACAAGACAAAATGGCCGGGCACAGTGGCTCACGCCTGTAATCCCAGCACTTTGGGAGGCCGAGGCGGGCGGATCACGAGGTCATGAGATCGAGACCATCCTGGCTAACATGGTGAAACCCCGTCTCTACTAAAAATACAAAAAAAATTAGCCGGGCGTGGTGGCGGGCGCCTGTAGTCCCAGCTACTCGGGAGGCTGACGCAGGAGAATGGCGTGAACCCGGGAGGCGGAGCTTGCAGTGAGCCGAGATTGTGCCACTGCACTCCAGCCTGGGCGACAGAGCGAGACTCTGTCTCAAAAAACAAAACAAAACAAAACAAAAAAAACACACGCACAAGAGAAAACAGGTAGGATGGCATCAAACTGAAAAGCTCTTCTGCACAGCAAAGTAAATAATCAACGAAATGAAAAGGTAGCCTACAGATTGGGAGAAAATATCTGTTAAGGGGTTAATATCCAAAATTTATAAAGAACTCACACAACTCAATAAAAAAATGGGCAAACGACCTGAATAAACGTTTCTTCAAAGAAGACATTTATATAACAAAAAAGAAGGGAAAGTGAGAAATGAGAACTTAAATTCATAAGACATTTAATATATATTAGGGATTATTTTACTAACTTATTTTATTTAATCCTAATAGCATTTCAAGGTTATGGTATGACTCCACTTTAAAAAGAGAAAAAATGCTGTAGCAAATATACACAAGTGAATCACACAGAAGTTCATTCACTCAGTGGGAACACTACTTTACACCAGTAAATGTATAAATGGCAGAATGGTCATTCTTACGTACAAATGGCTGGGCGATGTATAAATGTCTAGAGTATCATTCCTATGAGTGTGGGATTTTGATGGGCAGTCAGTGAAACATTTCTGGTGTCTGCTGCCAGATTTAGTCTTCCATTTTGATACATTTAAGAAGACTCATTAGTCTCATGAATGAGAGTAGAGAAGAATGTAAAGAAGACAACAAGGGAACCCAAAAATTGCTTATCTGACAAAAGAGTCAGGGATTACTTAGATTCAATAGTCATAAAAATGACTCCAATCTAACAAGATAAAATTTAATGAAAAAAGTAAAATTCAGCTATTAGAATTTGCAAAATTAAAATTTCAAATATGTAGAAAGGCACCGTTGAGTAAGTACCAATGACAGGGTTTTTAGTAAATTTGAAGTTCATTATTGGTCAATAATGTGACGTGTGATAAAAGGGCGAAAATATCTAGTGAAAACTTTAAGCCATGCAAATAAAGGTGGAGTGGCCACAACAAAGAAAGTAAAAACTTCATGTTCATTGGCCTTAGTAAATCACAAATAAAATATCTGTTCCATTTGGAGAGGTTTTGACAAATTGGAATGATCTTTGCTGTTATGTAAGAGATTCATACGTTCTAAGAATTGTCAACATTTATGATTTCTGAGCTTTCTTGCTACTCATAATCATCTGAAACTTTCACCCTATGCAAAATTCTCTTTTGTTATTGTTATGATCGCCAAAATTTAAAGTATTACTTCTATAACTGTTACCTAATGGTCTTTACTTAATTCCTTATCAGTTTCAACCTACTCTTAAATTGCTCTGGCTGTAAATGAGATATAAGAAAGGAAAATCTAACCACCTGATAATCTGCGCAAATACTTGTATTAAAGCCTGCATATCCGTTATCTGAAGAAGATGAATGAAGACACTTGACAAATATGAGACAAATATGAAATTTTTAAAAGGTTATATAGTGTTATTATAGATAAAATATTAAAGAGAAACTGAAGTTTCATCTTGAAGCTTGTATAATGAAACAATATTGAAATAACAATACAAAATCTCCTTCAATTGAGTCTTTGCTCAGATGTCACCTACCCTGCCTACCTTATTTAAAACTACAGATACACTTTCCACTTCTTCTTTCTTAGCTCTTACTACCTTTTCACATGATATATTATGTACTTATTCTTTTCTGTTTATTGCTTATTGTCTGTCTTATTCCTCTAGCATGTAAATTCCATGAGGGTATTGTCTGTTTACCAATGACTCTCAAGCACATATGAATGAATAAATACATAGTATCACCTTATAGTTTTCTAAATGCTATAATTATTGTATTTGTTAAAGTTCAGTTTCAGAGAAAATAATCCACACTTGGTATTTTCAGACCCAACTTGTGTATCACAGGGTGTTAAATGACTTACAGAATCACTGGGAGAAATGAACAAAAATATTCTAGGCAGAGCCTTCAGGAAGAACTCCTAACGTCACAATTCAGAAGTGCACCATGGAGGAAACTACAGCCTCTTCTATGACAGAAAGCTGTCTGGAAAATTGGAAAGTTTCAGTATAACAGCTTGCTCCAGGATCACAACATCACTGACATAATTTGTTAGCAACCAAGATTAGTAAGCTGACAGCACAGCGCCATTAGCAACAGGAAGCTACTCCTACTATTTCTGGATTCAGAAATATCTCATGTTTTCTAGATTATACACATACCTTTCAAGAGGAATTAACATAGTCATGGGGAACAATGAAACCAGCAACTCATTCTGTCTTTCTGAATTTGTAATATTGCTCACTTCTTTCTACTTATCTGCTCTGTTTGTCTTTGCCAAAGACTGATTTTTCTGTCTCCAGTCCACCTATAAGAAACTAGAGCTTTTGTCCAGGATAGATCTCATATTAAGCCACAAGACAAAGTCTCAAAAAATTTTTAAAAATCTAAGTCATATCAAACATCTTATCAAATGACAATGGAAAAAAATAGAAAGTAATGACAAGAGGAAATTTGAAACACGTTTGAAATTTACAAATGTGTGTAAATTAAGCAACATAATCCTGAACAACCATTGATCAATGAAGAAATTAAGAAGGAATTTTAAAATTTCTTAAAACATATGAAAATGGAAACACAACATCCCAAAACCTATGAGATGCAACAAAAGCAATGCTAAGAGGGAAGCTTGTAGCAATAAACACCTACATCAATAAAGTAGACAGATTTCAAATAAACAGCCTAATTATGCACCTCAAGAAGCTAGAACAGCAAGAAAAAACTAATCTCAAAATTAGACGAAAATAAATAATAAAGATCAGAGCAGAACTAAACAAAGTATAGACTAAAAAAATACAAAGATAAAGTGAAGAGTTGTTTTTTTAAAAAAGATAAAATTGATAAACTGCTAGCTAGATTAAGAAAAGAGAAAGAAAATAAAATAAGATCAGAAACAAAAAATACATTACAACTGATACCACAGAAATAAGAAAGATTATTCGAGATTATTATGAACAACTACATGGCAACAGATTGGAAAACCTAGAGGAAATGGATATGTTCCTGAACACATACAACCTACCAATATTGAACCAGGAAGAAATAGAAAACCTGAACAAACCATTAATTAGTAACAAGATTGAATAAGTAATAAAGAGTCTCCTAACAAAGAAAAGCCCAGGACTGATGGCTTTATTGCTGAATTCTTCCAAACATTTGAAGAAAAACTAACTCCAATTCTTCTAAAACTATTCCAAAAAATTAAAAAGAGGGAATTCTTTCTAACTCACTCTATAAGGCCAGTATTAGCCTGAAAACAAAACCAGACAAAGACACAACAACAACAACAAAAGAAAATCACAGGCCAATATCCCTGATGAATATTGATGCAAAAATCCTCAACAAAATACTAGCAAACTAAATCTTACAACATGTTAAAAAGATAATGTGCCAAAATCTAATGGAATTTATCCCACAGATGCAAGGATGGTTCAACATAGGCACGTTGACAAATCTGATACATCAAATCAATAGAATAAAGGACAAGAACTATCTGATCATCTCAATAGATGCAGGAAAAAGCATTTGATAAAATCAAACATACCTTCCTAATAAAAACCTTCAACAAATTAAGCACAGAAGGAAAATATCTCAACACAATAAAGGCCATATATGATAAAACCCATAGCTAACATTACACTGAATAGGAAAAAGCTGAAAGCCTTTCCTCAAGAACTGGAAACAAGATAAGAATGCACACTTTAACCACTCCTATTTAGCATAGTACTGAAAGTCCTAGACAGAGCAATCAAGCAAGAGAAAAATAAAAAGAATCCAAACTGGAAAAGAGGAAGTCAAAGTGTCCCTCTTTGCAGGCAACATGATCTTATATCTAGAAAAACCTGAAGACTGCACCAAAACCCCTTAAAACTGATAACAAAATCAGTACAATTGTAGGATACAAAATCAAAATATAAAAATCAATAGGATTCCTTAAAACCAATAATAAACCAGCTGAAAAAGAATCTGGAAAGCAATCTCATTTATAATAGCTACCAAAAAAAATACCTAGGAATACATTTATCCAACGAGGTGAGAGACCGCTATCAAAAAAAGTAGAAAACACTGATTAAAGTGATCGAAGAGGACACAAACAAATGGAAAGATAGCCCATGATTATGGACCACAATAATTAATACCATGAAAATGACAATACTACCCAAAGCAATCTGCAGGTTCAATTCAATTCCTATTAAAATACCAATAATGCTCTTCACAGAAATGGAAAAAACAATCCTAAAATGTGTACATAACTACAAAATACCCTGAACAGCCAAAGCAATCCTAAGCAAGAAGAATATAGCTGGAGGCATTGCACTATCTGTAGGGTGGGAGAAAATATTTGCAAACTATGTGTCCATCAAGGGACTAATATCAAGAATATACAAGGAACTCAAATAATTCAACAGCAAAAAATAAACAAATAATCCTACTACAAAGTGGGCAAAGGATCTGAGTGCACATTTCTCAAAAGAGGACATAAAGATGACCAAGAGGTATATGAAAAAAATGCTCAATGTTTCTAATCATCAGAGAACTACAAATAGAATGGCTAGCAAAAAGACCAAAAAAAAAATATCAAATGCTGGCAAGATTGAGAGAAAAGGCAGCTGTTATATACTGAGTATATATTATACTCTTATTCATCTGTTTTTTCTTAAGATTAGGAGTTGCCTTGTCCTTTTTCTAAGTGACTTTATCCAAGATCACCTCCTGACATTAAGTGACCAAGTCTTTTACATGATTCCCAGAATAGCACTAACAACATACTCTAGCACAGCTGGTCAGGGAAGGATCACAAATATGAAGATCATGGCTGGAATAAACAATTATCATCTCCATATCTTGCTGAGAAAGAAAAATAATACCATTACTGCAAAATAAAAGTTTAAAGGCTGGGCAGGAAATAGAAAAGCATGCTATAAATTATTTCAATTTACTGGGATAATTGTTAAAATAACTGTTTTCAAGAATTCTTTCAAATTTCCATAATTTAAAAATCTCTTCATTGCAACTTAGTCGATTCCTAACTAGTAAGTAATTGTAAGAAGAACATGTTATCCATATGAGTTCAAGAGTTTAATAGAAAAATGCAAAGATTGGACCCCAACTACTATCAATTTTTGAGTCTATTTTCCTTTTGTTTTTTTAATTATAAAAAAGCACTAAGAAATAATCCTATTCTTCTTTTAAATAATTTTAGAAGAGACAATAGCCACAGTTGATATTAAGAAAAGCAAATAATAGATGACTTTAGGAAATCTATCAATCACCATACTGGATATATGTTGATATCTCTGAAGATTAAATAATGCACTTTTGCCTTATTCAAATCCTGGTATAAAGTTGGACTGTATAAAGACCAACAAATAGTAAACACATGAAGCTACTTGGTTTTAATGCTTGAGGCTAATATAAATTTTATCCAACATTGAAAGCTGAAAGGCTCAATAGCCAGCTCAAATACTCTAGAAAGGAAGTTTATCAATACAATCCCACACCAATTACATATGCTAGATGGTTTTATTAACCATCATAATGAATCTCCCTTAAGGCTGACTCCTGCATGCCCCAAATTAAATGGATCCTACCTGTGCAGCTCAGATTCCCATTTCATCAGTTTTCCAAACATCCTCTAAACACCTAAAGCTTTTAGGTACTCAGTGCCTAGTTAATGGATTCTACAATGATGAATCTTGTCTAGTAAATGAAAATATATCTCTGCCTAAAGCCAAACATATCAGAACAAAATGAATGTAATGTTCTACCTTAAACAAAGCAACACATACATTTTTTAATGTGGTTTGTTTTCCTACATTTGTATAGTATATATTAAAATCTGCAATATGTGAAACTCTATCACTGAAATAACTACTATTATTGATTTCAAAGGAAAATTATTATAAGTGTGACATTTAGTTAACACATAAAATCACATCAATAAATAGAAATAGAGAATATTTTCTTAGCTTTGCTTTTCCTACAAAAAATTATTTTATTGGAAACTCCTGAGGGTGAAACACTTATATAGCATTCTTTTATGAAGATTATTTTAGCTTATGGCTTCTTAACATAGCATTCTTTTGTAAAGTTTATTTTAGCTTATGGGTTCTTAAAAACAAATATATCCTGAGTACCTATTCTGTACTGGGCAAAATTCAAAATGTTGGCCATAAGTACCCAAATAGGACAAACATATTTCCTGGTCCCATGTAATGGGGAGTAATATATACTAAATATTCACACATATATTATACATCTATGTCACATAGGTACGTGGATATGTGTGTGTAGAAAAGGTAGGTATTTTTGTGAAACTTTTGTTTTAGGCACGTGTGTGTATGTGTGTGTATATGTACTGATGACACAAATATCTTACTATGATGACAGCCAAAAACACACAAAATCTAATGATCTAGTAAATGAATGCAGCTAGAGAGTATTTTCAGGAACATAATCATGAAGATTAGAAATATTAAGGATTTGAGGTAGCCACCAAATATTTTTAAGCAACAGGAATGCTCAGATTTTCATTTGTAAAACATCTTTTAAATGATATGCGGTGAATCAACAATAGGGAAACAGAACACAAGTGAAGACACCAGTTAGGAGGTTATAGTTCACGCTGGGAATGATAGAAGCTACGAGAGAAAACAGAGGCAGAGAGGGGTGGACAAATTCCACATATATCAGGGAGCTTGAGATGAAAAGACTTTGTTAAGAGACACACCAAAGTGTACACACACACACACACACACACAAACACACACACACACAGCCCACAAAGAAAAGGAGAGAGGAAAGCAGAAAATTAGAAAGGAAAAAAGGAAAACATGGCATATCTCAAGCATCCTCATACTTCCCAAATTTTTTTAGGATGTATCATTGCCAATGTCATGCACAGTAAAGGCCTCTGGTTATGGAGGTGTAATATTAATATTAATCACTAGCTATGGAATAAGTACAGCAAGAGAATCCTTTTTATTTCTGCCAGAAATTACTTATTTTGAATCGCAATGAAAAGTATCTATCCCTCCATCCTATGTAAAAATGGTGGCAACCACAGTTTTTGTTGCAGCTCTCTCCATCACAGACAAACCCACACAGTGAAAAATGTTGTTCCCAGGAGGTTAGAGGGAAACGCCACTTCCACAGTTATTGATATCCTTACTACAGACAACTGCATCACAATTCAGGAACATACTGGACGAAGCCCAGAGCTACTTCTTTTCTATTACATTTAAAAAGAGAATCCAAAAAAGTGCAAGGACCCAGACCTTACTAACTGGAAAGAAGATGAGCATTAGCAGGATTGATCACTCCAAGAATTGAGCCTAAAAGATATAAACCAGTTCTTTCTCCTAAAGACAACTCATTGACTTTAGAATTTGAGATGAGAGATGGCACATTTGGGAAAATATAAGCATGCTAATCACTACAACAATTCTAATGAAAAGTGATATCTGTACAAAAAAAATTTTCAATCCTATACAACCAAACCATGTGTGCCAGATATTTAGCAAGAGGGTTACTAAATTTATTTGTTCATAAGTGGCTAAAATAAAGGCACAGTAGATTGTGATTCAGACTGGATTCTGGAGACAAGCTCTCTGGGTCAATCTTCTGATCAGTTGTCTAACTTCAGGCAAGTTACTTCATGTTTCTAAGCCTCAGTTTCCTTATCATTTTTTCCATCACAATTAGTTGTGAGAACTAAATGAGGTTCAATCATAAAAACGTAGTCTAGAGTTTGGTACTTACTAAACACTCGGTAACAATTATTATTAGAAACATAGCTATTGTTGTTGGAAAAGAATATGACATTTGTTCATTCAACAAATATTTACCAAGAATTTACGACTAGAAATAAGGCTAACGTGATGGTTAATTTTATAAGTCAACTTGACTGGGTTAAGGGATACCCAGATAGCTGGTAAAATATTATTTCTGGTGTGTCTGTGAGGGTGTTTCTTGAAGAGCTTCTCATTTGAATCAGTAGACTAAGTAGAGAATATCCGCCCCTACCAATATGGATGTGCACCATCCAATACTTTGTGGGCCCAGATAGAACAAAATAAGCAGAGGAAGGGAAGAATTTAGCTCTCTTTCCTTAAGGTGGAACATCCAGGTTATGCTGCCCTAGGGCATCGGAGCTTCTGATTCTCAGGCCTTTGGGCATGGAACTTATACCAAGGAGGCCCCTGGTTCTCAGCCATTTGGCCTTGGACTAAGATTTACACAATCAGTCCCTCCAACTCAAGCTGAATTACAACAATGACTTTCCTAGTTGTCCAGGTTGCAGATGAAAGATCGTGGGACTTCTTGACCTCCATAACTGTGTGAGTCAATTTCCATAATACATTTCATTTTTTTTTTTTTTGAGACGGAGTCTCGCTCTGTCACCCCGGCTGGAATGCAATGGCATGATCTCGGCTCACTGCAACCTCCACCTCCCAGGTTCAAGCGATTCTCCTGCCTCAGCCTCCTGAGTAGCTGGGATTACAGGTGCCCGCCACCACACCCACCTAATTTTTGTATTTTTAGTAGAGACGAAGTTTCACCATGTTGGTCAGGCTGGTCTCTAACTCCTGACCTCATGACCCTTCCATCTTGGCCTCCCAAAGTGCTGGGATTACAGGTGTGAGCCACCACGGCTGGCTCATTTTGTCTTCTATCTATCTATCTATCTATCTATCTATCTATCTATCTATCTATCTACCTACCTATCTTACTGCTATCTATCTTACTGATTCTGTTTCTAAGCAGAACACTGACTAATACAGCTCAAAAATATTTTTACATTTGGAAAACATTCAGGCTGCAAGTGGAAATGTGCCTCCACTTTGTCCTCCAGTCGAGGCAGCTGTGACCCAACAGCAGGCAAACCCAGTGGCCTCAGCTGTGAGCACAGCAGTGGGAGCACCCCCCATCTGGAGACCACCAGATTATCTCTTCCCAAGTCTTCACCATGGTGACCTACAAACAGACCTCAGTGTGGCCAATGTATTCCTCCATCGTATGCTGACCTTGGCATAGCTGTCAGAGATACTTTCCACAAAGGATTTGGTTCAGGGTTGGTGAAACTGGATGTGAAAAAAAAAAAGTCACGCAGTGGCATGGAATTCTCAACATCTGGTTCATCTCATACAGACACTGGTAAAATTACTGGGACGTTGGAGACCAAATATAAATGGTGTGATTATGATCTGACTTTCACAGAAAAGTAGAACACTCTGGGAACAGAACACTCTGGGAACAGAAATCACAGTTAAAGACCAGGTTTTTCAAGGTTTGAAACTGACATTAGATACTACCTTCTCACCAAACACAGGAGAGAAAAGTGATAAGATCAAGTCCTGTTACAAGGAGAATATATACACTTTGGTTGTGATGTTGACTTTTATTTTTCAGGACTTCAAATCCATGGTTTGGCTGTCTTTGGTGATGAGGCTGGCTTGCTGGGTACCAGATGACCTTTGACAGTGTCAAATCAAAGCTGACAAGGAATAACTTCTCGCTGGGCTATACAGGACTGGAGACTTTCAACTACACATTAATGTCAATGATGGGACAGAATATGGAGAATCAATTTATCAGAAAGTATGTGAAAATCTTGACACTTCAGTGCATTGTACTTGGACATCAGGTACCAACTGCACTCATTTTCGCATTGTAGCTAAATATCGGTTGGATCCCACTGCTTCTATTTCTGCAAAAGTCAACAACTCTAGTTAACTGGAGTGAGCTACACTCAGATACTGAGCCGAACAAATACTGTCGACTCTGGTAGATAGAAAGAGCACTAATGCGGGAGGCCACAAACTTGGGCTTGCCTGGAGTTGGGAGCTTAGTCCAGCTGAAAGAAACCTTCAGGATATCAGAAGATTTGACCGTAGTATATTTTCAAAGTGACCAGCAGGGCTCCCCACCACCCAACAAAAAAAGGTGATCAAAACTAAGAATGAGCTAAACAAGAACTGTATTTTAAATATTTAGACAGTTACTTGATAGCTGGTTTATAGATGAATTGATTATCTATCTGGATACAAATGCTGCAGTCGTGCAGTCACATATCCATTATTTAAAGATACGTAGGCCTGGTGTGGTGACTCATGCCTGTAATCTCAGCACTGTGGGAGGCCAAAGCAGGCAGATCATGTGTGGCCAGGAGTTTGAGACCAGCCTGGCCAACATAGCGAAACCCTGTCTCTACTAAAAATTACAAAAATTAGCCAGACATGGTGGCACGTACCTGCAGTCCCAGCTACTTGGGAGGCTGAGGCACGAGAATCCCTTGAACCGAAGAGGGGGAGGTTGCAGTGAGCTGAGATCGCGCCACTGCACTCCAGCCTGGGTGACAGAGTGAAACTCTGTCTCAAATAAATAAATAAATAAATAAAAATAAAGATATTTAGGCCAAGGAATGAGATTACATGCCTGTAATCTCATCACTTTGGGAGACCAAGGTGGGTGGATCATTTGAGGCCAGGAGTTGGAAATAGCCTGGCTTTGGTACAGCCAAGCAGTCTCTACTAAAACTGCAAAAATTAGCTGGACATGGTGGTGTGCACCTGTCATCCAAACTACTCAAGAGGCTGAGGCAAAGAGTCACTTGAATCTGGAAGCGGAGGTTGCAGTGAGCTGAGATTAGGGATAAGATTAATAGCTGATTATACATTGCAGAAAAAGAAGGTCAGTGAAATTGAAGACATTATACAGAAATTATTCAAAATAAAGCAAGCACAGAGAGGAAAAAGTCTGGGAACCAAAATGAACAGAAAATAAGTGACCTGTAAGACAATATTGCATAGTCTATCTTACATATAATTGGAGTACCAAAAGGAGAAGAGTTAGAAGGAATAAAAAACAGATTTTTGAAGAAATAAAGGCTGAGAAATTATCAAACTACAGATCCAAGCAGCCCGACAAGTCCCAAGCAGAATGAAACTAAAGAAAAGCACATTGAGACATTACAAAATTAAATTGCTGAAAATTACTACTAAAGTTAACCTCTTAAAAGCAGTCAGAAGAAAAAAAGACACATTACATACTGAGGAACAAAGATAAGAATTACGGCAAACTCCTTAGAAAGTACTTAAAACTAACACAACCTTTAAAATACTGCATAAGAAAAAGAAACTGCCAACCTACAAGTCTTACCCAGTGAAAATTTTTTCAAAACTGAGGTGAAATTAATACTTTTTTTTTTCCATAAAAATAACCACTGAGGGAATTAACCCTCAATAGAACTGCACTACAAAAAATGTCAAAGGACATTCTTTAGACAGAAGGAAAATAAAATCAGACAAAAATCTGTATCTGTACAAGTGAATGAAGAGCACTGGAAATGGAAATAAAGTGAGTAAATGTAAACACTTTTTAATCTATAAAATTAATTGTGTGCTTTAAAAATATATTGTGGTGTTTGTAGTATACAGAGAAATAAAATTTTCACCAAAAATAGTAGAAACGATGGAAAGTTTGAAAATAGAAGTATATTGTTATAAGATTCTTACTGTATACATGAACTGGTATAATATTATTTGGAAAAGTACTATTGCAAGGTAAAGATGTATATTAGAAACCTTAGCGTATCCAATAAAAAACACAAAAGTAAAACTAATGGTAAAAATAAAATAAATTTTAAAATCTTAATTAATCAAAAATAAAGAAGGGAAAAGAGAAAAAGGAACAAGAATGGACGAGACAAGTAGAAAAAAACTGCAATACCATAAATGTAAACACAACTATACTGAAAATAATGATACATTTAAATTGTCTGAACATCTCAATTAAAAACAATGAAAAAGCAGTGCTTGTCAGATTGAATCAAAAACCAATACCTAAGACATTATCTAGAAGAAACCTATTTTAAATATGAAGACATATAGGTTAAAAGCAAAAGGATTAAAATAAACACACAAAGCAAACACTTTTAAAAAGAAGCTAGAGTGTTCATATTTATATAAGACAAAGTAGAGTTTATAACAAGAAATGTTATAAAAATACAAACTTTATAAGATGAACAATTCCAGCAAATCTAATATACGGCTTGGATGGTAATAGATGTGTTAACTAATTTCATTGTGGTAATCATTATATAAGGTATACATATATGATAATTGTGCTGTACACTTTATTTACAATCTTGGTCAATTAAATATTTTTTACAGAGAATGATATTCGTAATTTTGAAGGGATCAATTCATCAGTATACATAAAAAACCTAAATGTGGATACACTAATACCAGAGGTTTAAAACTGATAAAGATTGAAAAAGAACTACACATATCCAATATTATAATTGAAGATATGAACACTTTCAGTAGTTGATAGAAAGAGAAGGCAGAAAATTAGCAAGGGTATAAAGTGCCTGAACAAAAGATTGACCAGTCTCAATAAATTTAAGAAAATTGAAATCATATGAAGTTCTGTGGTCACTAAAGAATCAATTTACGATGGCTCACGCCTGTAATCCCAGCACTTTGGGAGGCCGAGGCGGGCGGATCACGAGGTCAGAAGATCGAGGCCATCCTGGCTAACACGGTGAAACCCCGTCTGTATTAAAAATATAAAAAATTAGCCAGGCGTGGTGGTGGGCGCCTGTAGTCCCAGCTACTCCGGAGGCTGAGGCAGGAGAATGGCGTGAACCCAGGAGGCGGAGCTTGCAGTGAGCCGAGATCGCACCACTGCACACCAGCCAGGGGGACAGAGGGAGACTCCGTCTCAAAAAAATAAATAAATAAATAAATGAGATTTAATTTAAAAATCAATAATATTTGGGAAATCATCAGGTCCAAAAATTAAATAACACATCTGTAAATAAACCATAAGTAAGAATAAATGAGATAAAATGTAAGCTAAATGAAAACATACTATATGAAATTTGTAGGATGCAGCTGAATAAGTGTTTCAAGGGAACTATACAGCATGAATAAAGATCTAAAAACCAGTGAGCTAAGATTTCTCTGTAAGAAACAAAAATAGAAAAACAAATTAAACCCAACGTAATTAGAAGGAAGACAATAAAGTTGAGTGAAAAAAATCAAGAAAAAGAGAAAAAAATAAAGTACATCAATGAAACTAAAATCTGGTTCCTTGAACAGAGGGAAAAAATGCTAAAGCATTAATTGGACTAATCAGGAAATAAAACACATAAATACCCAACATCAATAATGAAGAAAATGGACATAAATACAGATTTTACAGACATTAAAATGATTAAAAGGTAATATTATGAGCAAACTATAGGCTTATCAACATCTTGGATGTAGTGGCCTAACTCCTTGAAATACATAAACTGACAAAAGATTCCTCAACAAGTCACAGAGAACTAGATAGATAGCCTTAAAACTACTAAACAAATTGAATTCATAATTGATATTCTTCTTACAAAAAAAGCTCCATGCCTAGATGACACTGGTGAATTCTACTAAACATTTAAGGAAAAATAATATCAATTTTGCATGCATGCTTCCAAAAAATAGAAAATAAAATACTTCTCAACTTACTTTATCAGTCCAAATTACCTGATTTGAAAACCAAACAAAGGCAATATTTGAATAAATGAATAAATACATGTATACATATTTACATGAAACAGACCTATAAGTCACCTAAACATAGTTGCAAAAATCCCAAACAAAATTTTAGTAAACAATATCCAAAAATGCAAAAAAAGACAAAACAATAGTACATTATCTCAGCCCTATGGAGGTTGATTTAATATCCAGTAATCAGTATAATCCAGCATATTATTACATAAAAAAGAAAAAGCATATGCTCATCTCAACAGATAAAGAATAGAGCATTTGATAAATTCACAATTCAGTCATAATAAAATTTACCTCCAAACTATGAATGGAAAGCAACTTCCTCAACCTGATAAAAACATCCAGCAAAATTGGCTAACATCATTTTTGTGAAAGACTGAATGATTTCCTCTAAGATCAGGGGCAATGTGAAGATATTTGTTCTTACCAGTGTTTTTTCAAAATTATATTGGGAGTCCCAATTAGTGCAATAGGGCAAAAATAATATGATTAAAAGTATGATAAATAAATAAAATGTAATACATGTTGGAAAGGAAAAAATGAAACTGACATTATTTACAGATGAGATGATCATTTATGTTGAAAACGCAAAGACACCCATAAAAAGTGTTACTGGAACTGAGCGTAGTAAAGCCATGGAATCCAAGATGAAAACACAAAAATCAGTTATGTTTCTATATACTAGTAAGGCTCAACTAAATATTTAAATTAAAATGTCTTTTAAAATAGAATGAACAAACGTGAAGCATATAGGGATAGTATACTTACTAAACTTCATGCTAGGCCTGTATATTAAAATCTCCAAAATATGGCTTGGTGGAATTAAGGAGAGCTAAAAAAATTTTAAAAAGTGAGAGGGATATCATGTTCACGAATTACAAGATACAACACTAGAAAAGGTTTTAATTTTCTCCATATATATCTATAGCTTTATGAAATCCCAATGAAAAGTTCAGCAAGCATTTATGCAGAAATTAACAAGGTGATTATAAAATCAAATGGCAAGGCATAGATCCAAAATAGCCTTAATTTTTTAAAAGAACGATGTTGGAAAATTTACACCACTTGATTCTAAGATGTATTATAAAGCTAGAATTATCGAAGCAATGTGGTTTAACAATTGACATAAGATCAATACAACAGAATAGGTAGTCCACAGATATTATCCATTTATTTATTTATTTTGATTTGATTTTTTATTTTTTAAGACAGAGTCTCACTCTGTCACCCAGGCTGGAGTGCAGAGGTGCCATCTTGGCTCGCTGCAGCCTTTCCCTCCTGGGTTGCTTCAAGTGATTCTTGTGCCTCAGCCTTCTAAGTAGCTGGGATTACAGGCGTGTGCCACCAGGCCTGGCTAATTTTTGTATTTTTAGTAGAGACGGGGTTTCACCATGTTGGCCAGGCTGGTCTTGAGCTCCTGACCTCAAATGATCTTCCTGCCTTGGCCTCTCATCAATTTATTTTTTGAAAAACGTGCCTAGGTTATGCAACAAAGGACGCATAGTCGTTTCAACAAAGAATACTCTAATGAGTATTTATGCACAAATAAAATGAACATCGACCCTGACTTCAAATCATATACATAAATTAACCTGAAATCGTTCATAGAATTAAACATAATAGATTATACAACATGTAAAAGGAAATATAAGAGAAGGTCTTGGTGATGTTGGCTTAGGCAAACAATCTTTGGCCAGGACACAAAAAGTGCAAATTATGAAATATCAATTGTTAAATTGGACATCATTAATATTAAAGGTTTTCATTTATCAAAAAACACTGTTAAGGTAATAAAAAGTCATGCCACAGACTAGGAACAACATCTGCAGACATATATATGACAAAAGATTTACGTCATATATATTTAAAGAATTCTTAAAACCCAACAGAAAGAAAAAAGATGCAGTAAAAATGAGCATCCTGAAGAAGATACTCGAATGGACAATAAGCACAAGGAAACAGGCTGAAAGTATTAGTCTACAAAGTATTAGCCTAGATGACACTGGTGAATTCTACTAAACATTTAAGGAAAAATAATATCAATTTTGCACACATGCTTCTGAAAAATAGAAAATAAAATACTTCTCAACTTACTTTATCAGTCCAAATTACCTGATTTGAAAACCAAACAAATTCAAGTTAAAGCTACAATGAGATACCATTACATACACATTTTAGAAGGGATAATTTTTTTTAATGACCAATACCAATGGTTGGTGAGGTTGTGGAGCAAGTGGTATGTGGTTGAGGGAACTGCAAATGGTTTAGCCAATTAAAAAAAAAAATACCTTGTAAGTTACTTAAAAAGTTAAGCAGGAACTTAACACGCAACCCAGTAATCCCATTTCTACACAATTAGCTATGATAAATCAGAGCTTTATCCACAAAAGCCTTATACTTTAATGTTCACAGAACATTATTCATAACATTCCCTAACTGGAAACAATCTCAGTGTCCATCCACTTGTCATATATGCAGTCAATACAGGAGACTGCTCAGCAATAAATCAGATGAGCTACTGATACCCTCAAGGATCTGAATAAATCTCCAAAGCATTATGCTAAGTAGAAAAAGCCAGACACAAAAGTCTGTATACTGTGTTATTCCATTTACATGAAATTCCAGAAAATGCAAAATTGTAATGACAGAATGCAAATCAGTAGTTGCAGAAGCTGAGGGTAGGTGGAGCCGATTGACCACAAAGGGACTCAAGGGAATTTTCCAAGGTGATGGAAATGTTTTCCATCATGATTATGATGTTGGCTACATGACTATATGTATTTGCCAAGGACACAAATTGTACACTTAAAATGTGAGTATTTTTATTATGCATAAACATGAAAATAGAGCTCATTTTAAAAATATTTACCAAGACAGTTCTATTTAATCCTTGCAGTCCCTTTATAGGTTAAATTACTATCATTACATAATTAGAGAAGCAAGGTTTAACCTTGGTTATATGGCTGCTAAGTGGTGAAAACAGAGCTATTCCCTTAAATATGCTTCTTACTCCTGCACTGTAATCTAAATCAAATGCCTAAATTAAGTTAATGCCATCTATATCCACTGATATAAGGAGCCAAAAAAAGACCTGTGATTCAATTAATATAAGCTCTAACCCTAATGTCCTCCTTCTTCAAGAAACCGTATTAGCTCTACCATCTTAATCATTTTACATCATTTACATACAAATAAAAAACATATTATGTATATAGATAGTAAGTTCCAGGAAACTGGTACAATACATAAACAATATGTTGCAACCTTCCAAATTTCTCTAATTTTGCTACAAATATAACCTGTACCAAGATTTCCTCTTTTCCTTTCAATTTTACATTTGATAAATTTTAAAAATTTTGTCTGGCTTTCTCTTTTCATACAAATCAGAAATGTGTTTTAATTATTTTCTGAAGTATAAAACAAAGGGAATACTTTTCCTTTCCTATAAATCCAGTTAAGTTTATTAAAAGATGACATAGGAATGTTTTAGCACAAAGAAAACAGAATTTGTTTGTAACATGATGTTCCTTCCTAGTCTCAATAAACAGGCCAATAAAAGGTATTTTTTAGTGTTTTTAACATTTGCCCCATAAATTCCATTTATTAGAATTACATTCTTGAAGTTAACCTGTCAGTCTAAGGTATTCACCCTTTGAAGAGCAGCCTATTTGCTTCCCAGGAAAGCTAAGTCGTACTGTTATCTGGAGTGTCAGAGCAAAGAATTTCAAAGGGAGACAGCTGCAGAATCCATTTCAGAGCTCCTTGATCTCTGGATTGGAGCGTATACATACCCCTCTAAATTGTCTAAAGGGAAATTTAGAGTTTACTTTTGGAATATTTAAAGGTAATTTGTTCTGATTAAGGTGATATTGGGAAACTGTTAGTCCAAGAGATAATGACTATTTAATGTGGGTAAATGCTGACATGTTAAACTTCAACCCAAATTTGTTTTGACAAATATTTGTTCAATCTATGCTATTATACAGAAACCACATAAAACTATGTTTACCAAAGTGTACATCTTGTTGGGGACAAATGCTAAAATATGTAAAAATAAGATGATATGATGTCTGGATTTACTTCAAAATAATATAGGGGGAAATTTAGATGGGGGTATGGATAGGACAGAACTCACAATTGGTTGATGTCTATTTGGACTGGTTAATAGCTGCAAGGTAGTTTGATATACTATTATGTAATTTTGGTATTTTTCAAAATTCTCCATAATAAAAAATAAAATACCTACACAATTAATACAACTGAAAGCTGCATTTAAAAACCACTGCTTATGCTGAAATGACAAACAGTTACGTCCTAAAGCTCTTTGGCAAGTTAGTTATTGAAAACTAGACTGCACTTTTCATTTGATTTAATGTTTTATATACCTGATGATTAGGTTCCTGAGTCCATCCACAGAAACCTAGAAATGTTTATTTTAGATGTACTCATCACAATGCTTTCACTAAGTTATGGATTCAAAAATATTTTGTGGGCTGATCCCATTACATGGGGATGTGGTAACATCCTCATATAATGATATTTTCATGCCGTATTATGTTCCACAGAACTGAGGAAAAAAAAAGAAATTTAGCTGCACCAGATACGTGTTTTCCAAACTGTCACTGATCAGTCTAGCCTCATAGACACATGATACAAGATATCATCTAATTCAGTGTAATATTTGAATGAAAAGCGACACTATTAAGAATTGTAATGAAACAAAAGATATAAACTGAGACTGCCCCCAAATAAACCAGAACCTCTCATCGCCGTATCTACAAGGCAAATATTCACATGTTCTTATGCTGAAAGAGTTAATGTATCACAGAAACTTAATGATTATTTGCTAGTTCCACAACACTATTACTTTACAAATAAAATCTGAGAACTCTAAGATTATACGTTGATTTTTTAAAATCACAAACTACAAAATATTACTGCCTTTTTCCTTCTCTTACTATACGGATTTACAGCTTACATTTGCCTACAGATTCTATATGTTCTAAATGATTTCTCATATTTTAGGCAGGTTAAAAATGATTTGGATGATAATCTCAATTCATGTCTTTTGTACTGTTCACCAAATCTCACGTTATTTTCTTTCTCCGGCGTACAAGGAAAGAGTAGATTTCTTAGCCCCTAAACAGTTAGGTGGCACCATGTGACTAATTCTGGCTCATGAAATGTGACTAATTCTGGCTCACAAAATTTAGCTGCACCAGATACATGTCTTCCAAACTGTCACTGATCAGTCTGGCCACATAAACATATGATACAAGATATCATCCAATTCGGTGTAATATTGGAATGAACATTTAAGTAATGAACACTTAAGTAATGATCCATCTCACTCACTACTTGCTTGAAAGAATCTCAGCTACGGCAAAGACTAAGCTAAGTCAGAAAAATAAAATTAAATTATAAAGCTAAACTTCATATATTTCCTATGGTAGTCAGGAAAATCCAGGCTATACAATGGTAACAAATGAATCTTGAAATTTCAGTAACTTATGTCATAAAAATCTTTCATCTTCACTTAGTACTCAGTGTATTTCACTTCATCCTTCACTTTGGTGCGGCTCCTTTCCAAGCAGAGTCTTAGAAATCCAGGCTGTTTCCATGCTGGAGCTTGGCCATCTCAGGACACAGGCCAGAGTCGGTGAAGTGACTCTGATGCCTTCTGATCAAATTTCATGAGCCAGAATTAGTCACATGCTGCCACCTAACCGTTTAGCGGCTAAGAAATCTACTCTTTCTTTGTATTCAGGAGAAGGAAAATAACATGGAATTTGGTGAACAGAAGCTAATCTTTCAGAAAGACATAGGAGGTTTTCAACCAACAAGCGGGTCTTTCTATACTTTAAACAAAGTGATACAGTATTATTTGTATGACTATAATGGCCACTGCCCTCCAACTCAGCACGATGATGTTTGAAATACCACAAATGAAATAAATGATTTCCAGAGGACAGGCTTAGCACAAATGTTTTCAATAGCCCATTCTGATTAGAAGAATGCATGAAATCGTTCTAAACAAAATGTCTCAAATTATAATATCATCTCTCTTTCTGGTGTTGTACATTGAGATAGGCCAAAATTTCATCACAGCCCTCTCTGAAAGAAACTACATTCTGAGGAATGGGACCAGTGAGTCTGGCTTCTCTTCCTCAGGTTGAACATTTCAGTCACTTAAGTTTTTTTTTCATTATAAATCTGTTCTGAGGGCAAAAAAAAAGAGAAAGGGCTTTAGAATCTACGATTCACCATATTAACTATACTCATTAAAGTGATAGAGGACTAATGTGGGAGAAAATGTATTTAAAATCTAAAAATATGATTACTTAAAAAATTGGGGGTAATAGTTTTGATGGAAAGATAACTATTTCCAATACATTTGGTGGCATGTGAATTATTATACAGAGTGATAATTAAAAGACTCAGTCTACTACTTATGCCTAATAGATTGTGACTAACCATCTCTAAAGTTCTAATTTTGGAATTCTCTCTGATATTTACAATGTGATACAGGCAAGCCACTTAATTTCTTTTCTAGTTTTATACTATCCTTAACAATGAAAATAATACTCTTTTCCACAATGCATTAGAAAAAGATGGTATCTAGTGGATAAAATTGAACCAGTGAGGTAGGAATTTGAGTTTAAAGTTAGCTTTCATCTTTAATTTCTCTTTTCTTTTCTTCTAAGGACTACATAATTGGCAGTTCATACAACTCTAAATACCTGTGTCCCACAGCTCCTTCCTAAGAAAGTTGCCACAGACAATTATTTTCATTAGACAAGTCTTGTGTCTACGACTCTGGCTTGAAGATCAGACTTAGTTCTCAAGGTAAAGATAACTGTGTGTTCAGGTGATCATATCATTGAGCTTTTGAATTGGGATCACTTTGAGAGTAAAATGGGGAGCTAGAGCTATCACTAGTTTCACCTGGAAAACAGGCATAAACTTTGACCTTTTATGTTGGCTATTTGATATGGTTTGTCTGCGTCCCCATCCAAATCTCACCTTGAATTGTGGCTTCCATAATTCCCGAGTGTTGTGGGAGGGACCCGATGGGAGGTAATTGTATCATGGGGGCGAGTCTTTCCTGTGCCATTCTCATGATAGCGAATAAGTCTCACGGGATCTGATGGTTTTATAGAGAGGAGTTCCCTTGCACATGCTCCCTTGCCTGCCACCATGTAGGACGTCCCTTTGCGCTTCCTTCATCTTCTGCCACGATTGTGAGGCCTCCCCAGCCATGTGGAACTATGAGTCTATTAAACCTCTTTCCTTGATAAATTACCCAGTCTCAGGGATGTCTTTTTAGCAGCATGAGACAGACTAATACACTAGTTAAAGAATAAGCTGTCCTCAGTCGGGTCTAACCAACTCAGGGGACTTACTTAGCAAGAGACTGCACTTAAGGGATGATCTGTGTACAACTACAACAAACTGACTCAACCAGTTCTTCTTTCCTGGGGAGTATAAATAAGTGGTATCCAAAAAGAGGAGCAGAGGCAACTTCTGGGAGGCTCATTGTTGGCATGAGGGTACCAGAGCTGTTGGGTTCCAGGAGGACCTGCTGAATCCCAAAGGAAGGTGTTGCTCTGTACCTCCAAGAAATTACTATACCTTTAACCTTAGGGATATGAAGCAGCTTCCTGAGATACCTCATTTCGCTAGTTATCCTTATCACAAATTCCCATCATCTAATATAATTTGAAAGCATCCCCTCTCTGCAAAGTTAAGAGTATACACAATGCAGACTATCATTGGAATTGCATTGCTGTGGAAGGGAGTGGGCGTTATGGGATAGCAAAATGAATGACCAGGTCACTGTAAATTTTGGGTTAAAAATTAGCCTTCCAGTGAAGCTGTAAAATCAAGACTGTATGAATAATAAATTTAGATGCTCATGAAAATGTGTTCACTTGAACATTATGCAATTTTTAAAAATTTCTATAATCAGAGCAAGTAATATTTTTTACCAGACATCATAAAGACTGGACTAACCAATAGTTCGTAATGTCTTGAAAACAGAATACCAAGTGAAAATTCAGAGGTTGAAAAAGAATTTTAAAGTTTAAAATATAAGACAATAAAATTCTTCTAAAATTTGTGTAAGAAGTCCAAATATGTGCTTTTAAATATTAGACTGAAGATTGTCAAGATCAAAGATTTGATCTACTGCCATCTAGTGGAAGTTTAATTTATATTAATTAATGGCTGACCAAAAGAAGCAAAACCAAAACAAAACAACAACAAAAAAAAAACAGTCTAATTTTCAAACTCTAAGCAATGTCAACAATTATCTACTCTAGTGGCTTTATTCTCATGGAGTTACGAGGCTGTAATGAGGGCATCTTAGGCACCACCTAAAGTGCATGAGGAGTAAAAGAATACAGCTCTGAGGTTCCCAACCCTAATCCAAACAGGGTCATTGCACTTTCTAAAAATATTTTGAGATTCCGAGTCGATTTTATTTAAGAAAGAATTCTACTTTAAGAAAAGTTGTTGAAAGTCCTGATCTGGTCTCCTGTCCATCCTGATAAACCAATAAACACCAGTTTTCCAATGTCACACAAATGACTAGTGGCATAGCTAGCAATAGATATGAGATCATCTGATTCCTACTCTCATTGAAATAATTTTGGAGTAACAAATAGACTTCAAGTGCAGCGATCTTTGTTCAATAGCACAAAGAGCTTATTTCCTTTAAAAATAGATTGTTTCCTTGATCGTTATTTAAAATAACTTGACCCTACTACCACCCCTGCACCATTAGAACCCTGAGTGGGAACAGAATCTCAAAATAAATAAATGGAAATGAGATCATGGCTGTAAATGGTAATTATATTATGTCAAAAACACCTTTAGAGTTACTTTAGAGCTCCCTAAAAATAACAATTAAAAAGTAGCTTGTAGAGGATATTTCCTCTCTTCTCCTTTACATTTATGTGGTGTTCAAGGTGGACAAAGTACTTTTGGAAAAAAAAAAACTATAGCTTTTTAACACCGTTTTATATTTTATGAAATATAAAACTATCAATTCTGCTGGAGTGCAAAGAAGTTACACTACTTGTCCCGAGTGAGTTAGAGTCTTTTCTCAGCTCTCCTGACTTCGTGTCCAGCAACAGAATGGATAAGTAAGAGATACAAGAGGAAATAGGTTTATGGGGGGTGGCTATTATTGTTTTCCTCATCTGTTTACTTAGGATGAGTGAAAGTTGGTCATTTTTGAGTTCTGGGAGGGAAGAACTGGTTGAGAGGAAGGTGATGATACAGGAGAAGGATCATCGATGGAAAAATTCCATGAGGATTTAAGAGAGGGTATAACCCAGAGTATATGTGGAGGGAAGAGATACTACTTCCCAGGAGCAAGAAAGGGCATCCACATCTATGACAGCATTGTCACTTTGACATGTCTCTCTTCAGTGTACCACAAAACATTTTTATGAAATGACATTGACATATTCATATTCACTTCTATATATATCCTATATAGCCTCATATAATTTGTGAAGTTGTAATTCAAAAATACCTAGGTTTTTAAATGCCTGTCTTATCAATTCTTTCTTCCTTTATTTTTCATCTAAATGTGCATCCCTTATATCATACCACATAATATTTTCTCTCTTCATGTTTAAAAACAAGATATAAATATTTATATAGTGAAACTTCAATATTATTCAAAAGACATATGTATTTTTAGAATTTGTGCAACTATGGTAATTTATACAGAGTAAAATAACTAAATATTTCAATTTTCTTTCATATAACTCTAAAATTTTTCAAATTTAGAGCAGAGAAAATATTTTTATAATCAAAACTTTAAAAATTCAAATTTTAAAAAATCTTTTTTTTCTGAGTCTATCACAAACTACTCTGTAAATCTGAGCAAGTTGAATACCATTTCTTTACACATTTTCTGGGCACATTTAAAAAATAAAGGAATTAAACAATTGTCTCAAGTCTATGTCAAACTCCAAACAGTTCTGGTTTTATGATATAATTGTTCTCATTTTAAATATGTACTCTTAACAGATAAATTGCTTAAATATGTATTCTTAATATATAAATTGCTTATTTTTTTATGCACATAAGTCATTTAAAATTTTAAAATATTCGTGGGCTTTATAAAAAGCCAAATAACAAGAGAAGGTGCTTCCACAGGAGAGAAATCACTTGAAAAGCTCGAGGATACATTTAAAAACATGAATTTTATATATATAGGCAAAAATGACAATAACCTGTTCTCAGGGAGAAAAGAAAAGTTTCCAAAAACAAATAAGGTAGTACATTTTCCATGTACCTTTGTGTGTTAGCTAGAACATAAGAAGATCTCAAGTTATTAGGATTTCTGAGCTGCTTCTTGACTAAATAAAACATAAAAATCATGGGCAGCTGGCACCATCAACTCCAGGAGGGCCTAAGATGTCAGGTAAGCTACTGAGTGAGAGAAAGAAAAACGTACCCAGTAGGAATTCATGGTATAAAGTTAGCCTACATCATGGAGCAGTCTGAATAAAAACAGGCTGGATTTTAAATGAAACCTTCCTTTTGTCAAAGCAATTTGTATAAGAGAGCAAAATGTCATTGGTATAACTTAATAAATATATATTATTACCCTATAAAGGACCTCAGAACACAAGCTTTATGAGCACAGCGGACTTTGTCTATTTGCTTTACTGCTGTGTCCCTCAGTGCTTATAGCAATGATTGGCACATAGTGCTCAACCAATATTTGTTAAATGAATTGACATGCTGGACTTCTTCCTGCTGTTAGTCTAGACTAGAGTACTAATGAAATCTGATGCTCAAATGAGTGAGTTTAGATCAACAATTACTCATTGCATGTCTAACACATATCAACAAAATTATCTATTACTGTAGTGACCACATTTGCAAAACCTAAACTCATGTTACACAATCTGCAAAGTACAAATACTTTCATGATGACAACAGATTTGCATATCCAAAAATATAATCTTTACCAAAACATTCAGAAATTAACTTTATATTATAGAATGGCCACATAATTTCTAATGAAAAATGGGTCACTACTGAAAATGAAAGAGGGCACCATCAATAATTACCCTGGTACAATAGGCATAAACTAGACATATCCCCGGAGAAATGGGGTATATGGTCTCTCCAACAGCCCCCATACTGAAGCCTATCCCTAGAGAAGAGATATGTTAAAAACCCACTTTCTCAGTCCTAGAAAAATCAATTAACTAACAAAGGGAAAAAATAACTAAAATGAGTTTAATAAAAATTTTTAAAGACTCCTAAACCATCATCCTAGGAAGGTAATAGAAAAGCTTAACTCCACTGCAAAATGAATATCTTGTAAGAGCTGAAAAGCTAAACAGATCTTATTGCACTATAATGACATGCAAGACGATCTCTGTTGATGTTTAATAGGATGTTGGGTAATTGCTGTTAAATAAAAGGAGAAACGGGGATTATTAAAAGGCAATATTACTATAAGATATCCCAAACAGAATGTGTAATTTCTTTGCTTTATGATTTATATACATAGTTCAAACAACAGGTACACCTACAAAATATCATGGCAAAGTTCAGTTGATCGTCATCTTCATTATTAGTACCATGAAAGCATGGATAAAACTTGAAGGGAGTAATAACAAATTGTAATAGATTAGATGAAATTGTAAAAGCATCATAAAATTGGCACATAGGTGTCCAAATATGATGCTATTTATAGTATATTATTTTTCACCTTAATGAGACACCTGAAAATTAGTTGCATCGTTACTATTAATCTAAAAATACTCATGCCTTTGAACATCCCTCTGCCTCAATCACTGGAAACACTTACTGATGCTCTTCTCTACCCAAATACGTCAGTTTCTCTCAGAGGCAGGGAAAGACAGAGATAGAGATGGAGGTGGAGAGAGGGAGCGAGCTCATGAACCTCTTTTTAAAATGAAACCATTTTTAGTTTCAGTCATTCCCAGGATAAGATGAGAAAGAATTCTGATTTAATTAACTTGCATTCACAATCCCCTGAAATCATTTGAACTAATGGGGGTTTTAATGAGAAATATTTTTAAAGAATCTTGTCATTCTCTATTCTATAGAATACATCATACTAGAGTTTGCCTCCTCAGAAGCTTGCATTTTATTTGAAGTCCTGTTGCTCTCATTGACATTGAAACACACACTTGAACAGACTTTGCAAAACTTACAGAAGAGAAAACCTAACAGTACTCCACAGGTCCTCTTATTTAGCCCACACAATTATCTTTCCAGTTAGGCATTACTATCCCCATTTCATAATAAGAAAAGTGAGGCTTGGAGCACTTACAAAGGGTTTTAGGTCAGGTCTTCGGATTAGAATCTATTATTTTCTTCCTGAGTACAATGGAGATTGTTAAAGGACAGTCTACGTGATCAAGTATCTGATTCTTGAACATTAGACACTTGGACTATGGATTAATTGTCTTTACAGAATGCCACTAACTAGGAACCTAACCTCTGGTCATTCTAGGGTATCATGGTCTAAAATATTAGCTCTACCATCGAGCTTTGCAAAAATCAGAATAAATGGTTTCATGTATTTTTACATGTGACTTCGGACATTTGTATTTTCTGATATATACACTGAGCAATGGAGGAAAAAGTAGAATCAATGGATTGAATATTATTAGTTGCCTGAAATTGTAAACTTATATAGATATTATTAAAATAACATAGAGTCTTTTTAAACAACTTTTTAAATGAAACCAATATTTGATGGGATAAAACTGATGATTATAACAATGGTTGACAACTTGTTCAAATAAAAACAAAACTTGGTTAAAGAGGTGAAGTAAAATTAAACTTTAAAAGTATTTATGAAGCATAAATACATCTCTGGTATAGCACTTAACTACACTGCATTAATATTTATTTAAATATATACAAACACATACTCTCTACATTCCATACTTCGAAGAGTAAAGAACATGAATTTGCACATCTTTATAATGCCATCCTTTGCAAAAATGCACTAGAATCCTCACAGTCTTTTAAGGTATGTACTATTGCACAGATGAGAAAACTGGGGCCCGGGGAAGTTATGTAACTTGTCCAAGGTTATGTATCTACTAAGTCATGAAGTTCAGAATCAGAACCAGGCATCTGTACAGAGATTTTATGCTCCTAACCACTTCTCACAGTACCTCATGGAGTTAAGTGATCACTAAGTAGTCATTGACACTATTATCTCTAGTTTTCACTGTGTAAAAATTAACATTCTGAAAATAAATGTTTTAAGTACTTTACTAGTGCTTAAGTCCTATACTTTAAGTGCTTTCTCAGTAAGTTCAGAAGCAATGAAAGGAACTGCTATGTTGACCTTGATTCTTTCCCACAAAGGTAATTATTAGTAATGCGAACATCAAGGAATCTTGCGAGAAAAAATAATATCAAATTCTAACTGTACCGAGAATAGCGTAAGGCATGGGCAAAATCAGAATATGATCCTTAAACCTGCTATTGAGGTCTTTGCACCACATCCATGGGCCTAGTGGCCCCCAAACACAGAGATGATAGTCCTCCTTCACCCTGCATTCCTCAAACCTTCCAAGGAGCAGTGTATTGAGTTCTAGGTATCAGGATCATAGAAGAGGCAAAGGCACAGTGGAGAGCACAGTGGAGTGGAGTTTCATTCAAATGAGAATCATAGGGGTCAAAACTTCTGCTTTTCTAGATTTTTTTAAAAGAGGGTACCATAAATTATGTAACCAAACTAAACACCTCAATTATACATGAACATATATTGATATAGTGTTTTCATTATGAAAATCAATAACAATGTTGAAGTTGGAGTTCATGAGAGGATCATTTTATTGCCTGCACAGTTTCTGACATATGGTAAGTGTACAACATTGTTCTAGAAAGAAATAGAAAATTGAGAAAGAAACTGGACAACATTTCATCAGGAAGCTAAGAAACTACACAATTCTGTTTTCTCCTTTCCCTTCCCCAAATTAAGCTGATTCCCTGAAAGTCAACAACTTGTCAGCTATGCCCTCTAGTCTTGACCACTGTAGATAAAAACTAAAAAATCTAGCATTAGGCATAAAATATATTACTACATATTCAGTAATTGTAAGATTCTTTTAACATCCTGTGGATTGCAGTGGGTTGTAGACACAAGATGTGTAAACAGGAGTGAGAACCTGAACTACCTTACATGTCTGGATAGTCAGGGTCTAAATAAGCCAAAGTGACATTCTGCAACTGCCAAATTAATGAGAATTAATTTTGTCATAAAATAGGTGTTATATTTAATAAGTAAAATATCTAGGAAAAAGAGGAAATGGAAACATTTAGTCTAATACTTATTTTTAGTAATTCAGACTTACAAAGACATTTTACTACTAACATGACCTTACATTTGTCTGGTATGTCACTGTTTAGAAATTGTTTTGGTATGTATTACCTAAATGATCTGATTGGGTGCAGAAATACCAAAATATGAAGAAAATATTAATGTAGATATTATTGCGAACTCAATAGCTTTCAAACTGACCTATAAAATGCTAAGGTAAAAATATATGTGAACATTTAAAAAACTGAACCAGATACACCATTAATGAATGTAATATATATAAAAAATCTGTTTCTACAGCAAACAGCAAAATCACATGTACTGATTATTCAGTTTGGAATGATTAGGAATGCATTCTCTCAAGTCAGAATCCTTCGTTCAAATCCCTCTTTTGCTGCTTGTTAGTCATGTGACTTTGAGGAGTGGCTTAGCCTTTTTGAAACTCAATTTTCTCAGTTTTGTAAAATAAGGATAGTAATTATACCAAAGGATTGATTTGAGAATTAAATGAAAGAATGTGTGCATAGCACATAGTGTAGCATATGGCATATAGTGGAAATATTAGGCCCCAGCAAATATTAGCCATTAACTCAAAGCCTTTTGTTCCTCCTCTTGGTTCAGCAACCAGTTACAGAGCAACCTCACTGATCAATAACAAGATGTGTTATCTTCAGTTCGTGGAAATACTCGGTAAACACCGAAATATATTGATACTGCTTTTAAATCATGTCGTAAGGGTTAAGCAGGAAAAAAAGCCAGAATATGCAAATGTTTTAGGTCAGTTTTATCTATTTCTTTGCCATCTTACAAATAAGCAATTCTCAATCACAAACTTACTAGTTTTGCTGTGTAAGCCTATGCCCTAATATTTACTCCACTTTCCTAATTCAATAATTAATTTTGGAATAAGGACCGTACAATTATGGTATCAATAAGTACCAGTATGGGGGGGTGTTACATTATTTCTATCTTGTTTATCATTACTTTAATAAATTTAGAAAAACAAAATAGTATTCAAATGCACACGGCTGTCAGTTACCACGTCTTAAATTAGGAAGTAAAGTAACATTTTCTTTAAGATGCTTTACATTTTCTCAGTCACTCTCTGAACTCTTAACTGTAATTTTCTAAACAGAAGATGCTGGACAGTCCTACTATTTTTATTGTCTTTGAGAAACATTCGTTTCTAAGTGGGCACAATTCATCTCTCAGTATTTACAAGGTCCAGAATTATATTTTTAAATAATTGGCTAGATGCAAATATCTCATCTTTGGGATAACTGGAGACTTAAGCAGAATAAAAAAGATTAAGAATAACAGTATAATTCATTGGTTAAAAAAAGTTCAAACTGACCCACCCAAATCTATTTAACCAATCTTGTCATTAAGATATAATATCTGTGTTAACTGAATTCAGAGCTAGCAAAGTGAACCCAGATATCATTTCCATTTTTACTTCATCATAACCATAATTATTTTTAAAGAATACTAATATAAATGATTATTTATTAGGACCCAATTGCATTATTGTAGGATAGTGGAAAAATACAGCTCAATAAGGTCCAGTCTCCCATTTTTCCCTATGATATGTGAATTCTACATACAGTATTGGATTACATAAGTAAATGTAATTTATGTTAGTACTATAAAATTGTATAATCCTATCTTGCTGGTTTTTAACATGAAGATTATTTGGTAGGGTAAAAAAATATTGACCCAGTCTTTCCGAATTCTTGACACCAGTCTTAGCTGTCCCGGGAACTTGAAAGTACGTATTTTGGGCGAGATACTTTTCCTCTCTAATACTTTTACAAAATAAAGACTTAAGCTGATTTCAAGCTCTGAAATTTCTATTTTTCCAGATATAAAAGTAAAGATATATATATTTTCTAATTATTTCATTCTCTTCTCATAAAAGGTAGTGAAAAACAGTTTAAAATATATTTTTAAATCTAAAGACGATTTTCAAACATTAACAAAAATATCATTTTTGCCAAAACATTAATTTCCTCTTAGCAGTAGTATAATAACCAAAAGTATAAACTTAAATAGATAACTAACATAAAATCAATCATGCTTTGGCATTATGTTATCAGATTATATCAAAAACATCTAGAAATCACTCAAGATTATTGTACTAGTTTACAGATTAAAAATACATACATTAATTATAACGCTGACATGGGATTCTATATTTCCTGATTTATTATGCTTTGTAAAGCATTTCAACATTCCATGTTAACTGCTTACCTTTTCCAAGTAATTTTTCATATCATGAACAGTAGAGCTGGATACTGTAATTTGCTTATCATGGTTGCTTGAATCTACATAAATTTCACCTATTTTTAAGTTTTTAAACACCAACTAAGTTGGCTCAATTTTATATTTAATAAACAAAATGATTTGCATTTCCTTATGACTGGCTATTTAAGAAAAATAATACAAGGACCATTTAATCTGAGATTTATTATGAAGGGCCAGTGAAATAAAAGGCTTAACATTGATGAGGTAAAGCTGACATCAACTGGTACATAGTGGTAATAGTTGACAACAATAATTGTAATCCCCAGAATTTGTATGACCCTCCCTCTGCAATTTATAATGTACTTATAATTCATTAATTAAAACATGGATTTGAACCTTAGGAGCATCATTCATTATTCTTAGAGCTGGGGGTGGAAGAATTCAATGTGGTCTCTGTCCCCAAGGGGCTTTCAGTCTAGTGGCAAAGACGTACACACATGTGGCCCTACAGCAATACTGACTGGCACACAGGCAATAAAGGAGATGAAAAGGGGTGGAGAAGTGAGAGATTCTGGTCGTGATGATTTGGAGAGATTTCACAGAAGAGGAGACATTTAACTTGGTCCTTGAAGCAAAAAAGGATCTAGACTCTTAAAAAATGGGAAGGCATTTCACACAAAGAGAAAATCTCTATGCTGGCATTGTCTTGAATTTTTGAATGCAGGAGAAAATGGAAAGAAATTAAGTGATCTGATCAAGGTGATAACAAGAGAAAGAGTCGGAGGTACACTATAATTTTTAACTCCGGGGTCAAAATGGTTCCTGCTACATTACATTGCTTCCTTCTCGAGGGGAGACAATTTCTCTGCTTTCACGACCACCTTCGCCCCCCATTTATTTCTCCACGTTGCTACGCCCTTTACAGGACCTTGCTAGGATGTCCACAGAAAAACACAGAGGCAGCCACGTCTTCATAAAACACATTACATTTCGGCTGTGTCTAAAAATCAAATGAACACATGTAGGTATATTTTTGGCCCCCTTTCCTCACCATTCTCCATCATTTCAAAGGAATGGGAGTTTGCGCTGTCGCCACATGGCACACTCAATAAAATGTTGATCCATTCCTTTAAACCTTCCATTTTTCTACTTCAGTTTGTCAAGTGTTCCCAATTCCAAGAAATCATAATTCATACTGTGCGGGAGGTTGCAGATTTTTGGCTCTGGAGGTTGTGCAGATGTTATTCCTTAAGGAAGACGATCGTGATTGCCTATGTGAGTAATAGCTGTGAGTCGGCTAGAAGCCAAAAGTTCTCTTACAGCAGAATGTATAAACCATTCTCCTACTGAAAGAAGGCCCCCAGTAGGATAATATATTATTACACATGATTCAAATTACAGGATCTGCAGCAGGGGAGCTCGTGACTGATTCAGGACAGTCGCCCCCTGAATACTGATGATGGGATGATGGAATACCTCATGAATTAAAAGGGCCATGGTTTCCCATCTAAATCCTTCATATGCTTTAAAAAGTGACTATGCCTATCATTGCATTCTCTAAGCTTCTTAAATGAATCATGCACTATTATGAAACCCTTGTCAATATTTTTAAAATTCCATGTTTTTGAATAATTATATTCAAAACATCCTTTTAAAAGAAAGACAATGAAACTTCACCTTCTCTGCTAGAAAACTGTGCGCCTTTAACGCAAATATGCAATAAAGATATGACTTAATAGAAATTGCATTGAAGTGTGACCCAGTTTTGCTCTCTGGGATTTTATAAAGCAACCTGAAATCTTCACATGCCACATGTTCCAGCCTCTTTAAGTTATCTATAGAAAAAATGACTTTATCCCTGACAACTAAATACAAATGTGCAAGGCAAAATTGTATTTCCACAGGTTTTCTGCAGATAAATGAACTCATTTGTGAACGTTATTTAATTTGATCTACTTTGGTTATGTAACAATCCTATAAATTTGCTAAAGGTATTACATTGCAAATGGATAGCAGGCATTTTTATAGAAACACTAAGGCAAATGTTAAATATTACACATTTTAAAAAAACAAACTGTATTACTGCAATATATTCTGAAATAATACGTAAGCTGGTCCCTTAACTTCTTTTCAAGCTGGTTCTTGTATTCATTTTTTCTAGTAAATGGATGCAAATCAGGTGCATTGTGCTGGGATGGGAAGGGGGAGATTTGTCCAGAAATGACCTCAGTTCTATTCATTAATAAAATGACAATGTTGGCTGAGAGCAGTGGAGAATGAAATATAACAAGAGTGAACTTTCCTCCATGTGACAGATGCATACAAGTGCTTTTTGGATAAAGCACTGTATGTAAAATGGCCACTGCAGCATAAAATCTGGAAACGTTAAAGGAAGTTCTAAGATACAGATTGTTTGAAAAACCTGCAACTTCCATGGCAATGCACACCTTATTCTCTGTTGCCTTGTACAATTCTGAACCCCAACTTGGAGAAGCATGTATTCATTCATAAGAAGAGGGATCAGACAATATAAACAGAGGTTTAATGTTGTTAAGAATTTTTTTTAAGAAAGAGAAGATAATTTTTGCAAGTTCAAAACAAAATAGAATTGTACCCAGAATCACTTTCAGTGACGGCAGACACCAATGGGGGGGGGGGGGGGGGAGGTAAAAGCCATCAGAGAGAATGTAGCCACATTTTTGCATAGCGGTTTAAATTATGCCAGCAGAATAATTAATGGAAGGACCTAATATGGAAAGGGGGGGGGGTGACAGGAAAGGGGGAAGTCTATGTTAAACAAAGTTCATTACTGCATGATGTAAATGAGTTTCTCACCAATGATGTCACTGATTGGCTGAGCTGCAGAGCTGGCTTCGAGCATGGCCGGATTGGCTGCTAGCTCTTCTGGTGCCTGCCTGCTCGGGCAGCGGTTGAACCAGATACTTTCTGTCTCTCTTGTTGTCGTTTGAAGCAAATCTTGTTCAGCCCAGCTGTGTCTCCATAGTAGTGGCACCCTAAGAGAGAGTCTCCCTCCTGCTTCCCACAGCTCGTCTGTGAGGCGGTCGCTGCTGTGAAATACCAGCTCTTGGTACCAAGCCCAGACAGCGTTCTCAGATCCATCTATAACACACACACACAAAAAGAAAAATAGAAAAAGCAGTTCTTTCATCTGAATTGCATCCTAAGGAGGATTAAGAAGGCTTCTATTGCTACTGATTTGTGTTCCTTCAATTTGATGGTTAAAATAGTTTTTGAAATACAGTATCTTCTCATCTGCAGTAGAACACCATTGGTTAAAATTGGTTAAAAAGATGGGGGGAACCCCCCTCTCCCATGTTTACCTTGATTTCAGAAAAATAATTCTTCATTTTCTTCCTAAGCACCGTAACTGATGTTTTTGGTCCCCTACCAGAATTTTTAAACTCTCACCAGATTTCTAATTACAGCCGAGTCATTATTTTTCAGGTTAAGACAAGGGATCTTAATTAGCATTCTTTTTTAGCTATGCGAAATGAGACAGGGCATGAAACAGAAACAATCTATGGAGAGGCAGAGAGAGAGAAAGAAAAAAAATCTGTGCAGCTTTTACAGTTGAGCTGACACCCCCTCCTTCCCCGCTCTCCCTCCACCCCCCTTGCAAAAAGAATGCAGTCATATGAACTTTACCAGACAATGGAGTACCTACAGGCTCTCCCCTAGACAAGTCCTTTATAACCAGCCAGTGCTATGTGCTGCAGACAGTGGCCAATCGGCAGGCTCCTTTCTGCAGCAGGGACACAATAGGTGCATTGGCCACACTGTCCTCCTAGACCCTGACAGCAGTTCAGGTTCATTCATTGTACACTGGAAGGCACATATGTCTTTAATATTCACTGTGAAATTATCAGTGCGACTGCCTTTATTTCACCATAATTACATCAACCTAATTACCGCGCACAAGCTGCAATAGCACTGTTTGCACAGAGTGGCGCATAGCCATGCATGCCGTAAAAATATGCATGAACATGCCTGCTTATTTCAATAATAAAATCCACCAATTTTCTTCCCACAGCTTCCTCCAGAATACTTCAGTGGAAGATAGCCATCGCTTTTCCCCTTCAAAAGAAAAAAGCATATGTGTGTGTATAATACATATATATACATACATATACAAATAATACATATTAATTAAACATTTTCCTAGTCATTTATTGGGGTGAAGTATAGGAGTAGAATCTAGTCAGTAAATACAAGGTCATTAAATACCTAAGGCATTTACCCCGTATTACTAGGCATCAGAGTGAAGGAGTAAGTGAATCTGCATGAATCACTATAGCCATGACTACATGCCGATTTATTTTGAGTCTAACTGTCATGCACATCTGCATATGCCTAATTTATGTATTTTTATATTACATAATTATGTCATGCCTTGAAACACTGACTCAAAATGCTTGAAAAATTAAATCTTCGCTTTTTGTGTATTAGTTCAACAGAGTTAGGCAGTCTGTGGTAGAAACTGTCTGCTTTTTTATTTTATTTTATGCATGTTACATTTACATATTCATGAACACAAAAGCTGTTATGACCGAGGATTCTGCAGCAGGGGATGAGAAGGCACGATCCCGCATACAGATGTATTAATTTCTAGGGGAAGAATGGCAGCCTATGATGACCAGGAAGAGAAGATGTTTGGGGGTTCCATTTGGGGTTTACCTCATTATATAATAAATGATGTCGCTAACCTGCCAACAAATGTTTAAGTATAATAAACTTGGAAAGTAAAGCCAATTTGTATTATTCGTGGCCATTCATCCACACTGTAAAAAAAAAGAAGCATTTTGAAATGCAGACTTCTGACTCAGGTCCTTGCAGGTAAAATAAAGGGGATGTGCTCAGAAGCTGCTCATTATTTCACAATTTACATATTTCTTGCTCCAAATCAGAATGCTAAGCTTTAAGCTTTGATTATTTTCTAAGTCGGAATTTTACCAATGTTTGCCTGTATTTATTGGTGTATTTTGATAGCTCATGATTCTGTAATCAGGAATGCAATTCATCATTAAAGTAGGCACATTAGGAGAAACAGTAACCTATTTATACTCACGGTGCTGTATGTTTATAACATATAATCATTCCAAAGAGAAAGAATCCCAATCATTTTTTATAATTTTTTATAAATTTATATTTTGTAGTCCTGGTTTTTAAATATATGTAAAATTGGTATCATAAAATGTATTCCAGTTGCTTTTGAATTTTATAAGCATTTTAAAAGAAAAGCACAGCTCTTCTATCTATACTTTCCAAAAATCAAGTTTTAATAGGAGGGATGGGGAAGCCAAATTCCTAACTAAACCAAAAGATCGTACGGCTCAATCATAAAAAACACAAATAATATAAGAAAATACTGCATTTTTATTCCTGAACTGCTACACACATTGAAATTGAAATACCTGAAATCATATATGTAAATTAGTTGCTTGATAGATAATGTAAAATCCTTTTTTCTCTAAGTGAATGCAGGTAATTTCAGAAAAAAGCAAAGCTTATGCAACTACTTGCCTTGCCTTTTTGATGATTTTCCTATTAAAGGCAAATTTGCCTAAATATTTGAATTAACCATAAAAATGTACTAGTAATAAAATTAAATTATGTAGACCTCATTCCTCTCTCCCCCTCACTTTCACACACACATATATATATACATATGTACATACACATATACATATATGTCATATATGTAAATACACATATGTATAAAACTGTGGCTGTCCTTTTTATTTCATAAGAATGTGTGACTTTTCTACCCACTCATCCCAATTCTTTGAACTGACACTGAACAACAACAAAAAAAGCTTAGGAAAATCAAAGAGGTCATACTTAACTGTGAGTTCACCATTTTGCTAAGTAAAAATCAAAACAGAGTTCAAACTGTCATAATATCACATAGATTTAGATCCCACTAACACATAGAATGTGTTTGGAAACTACTGTTATTCAAAGAATTTTACTGAATATATTAATTTCATAAACAAGATTAGTGGATGATTCATATCTGACTCATTTCACAAAATAGTATTTGTAAACAAACACTAAAAATATGGGAGGCCTTTCTTAAATACTACAATTCATTAAACCAGACAAGCTAGGCTTCCTACTTAGAAACACTCTGCCATTGAGTTGCTAGACATACTCGAAAAAAATATTGCATTTCTTATGGTATTCTACTATCCAGTTTTTACTAGCCCTCTCAGATCCCAAACACAAATTGCAATGATGAAATTTTAATATACTACTCAAATTTGAAATAATTTTGCAATAAAATTTTATTTGGAACCACTTTACTAGGTAAGTTAATCAAAAAGTAGACCTTAGAAATTTAAACCATCCTTTTATATAGGACATCCAAAGAAAATTAGTAACTAGTTAGTGTATTTCCACCCTATCATGCTGCTATCCTTAATTAAAATACGATTCTGATCGGCTGCTGTCAGGATATTTTTAATTGGTTGAGTTTTACTATAGATAAGGAATTTATGACCTCCTCCCATAAGATCAAAGACATGCATTTATAACATAACTGTATGGAGAATATAAACGTCATCTATGTTCCCAGGATGAAGGAAAGCAAACTTCTTTACAAAGATCAAAAGCTCAACCTGAGACATACAATCATGATGATCTCACCAAAAGAGTGAAGTCTGCACAAATTGGCTGTAAGAATGTGAAATAGCAGCCAATCGCATTAACTTTATGAATAATACAATGCATTCTATAAGAAGAGTGAACTTGAAAAGAGACACAAAAATAATAAAAAGCAACTTGTCTGTCTGCTCATTGACTTATTCTTATTAAAAAAAACTTAGTTTTAATAAGTATGGAAAATATTCATTAACATGAAGAGACCACTGTTTATCCCCCATCTACAAAATGACAAGCATTCAGATGACAGAACAAGATGCAGCTCATCATCAGAATGGCCCTAAATATCTGACTGCTTTTTGCCCACAAACTTATAGATTAAAAATTCAGTGTTTATGCTTTGGATTTCAAATACACAACCCTTGAACTATTTAATAATGATCATCTTTATAGGATGTGAAAGGCATAAGAATTTTAAAGGTGTCATTGATGGTTCAATTAGTCTACATTCTGATACCAAAAAACACTTCTCAGTGCACAGTTATGGTTGATCTTGTTTATATTGACCTCCAAAAGGTGAACAGTGTATCCCTGTGGGAAAACATGGCACCTCAATTTTTAAAACTGGCTTCTTCTCTTGCAAAGTTCCCAAACTCTTTTAATGGGATTATTTACTAAAGATACAATTACTTCATAAAGATAACATAATAAATCATGACATCTAAATACCCAAAGGAAAAGAAAATCTTCAAGCAGATTAACCAGCTAATGAGAAATATTTTATTAGAAAAAAACAGCCACAGGTTTCAGCAACTTTTAACTTGAATCTGATGGTCTATAATTACTATGATTTCTTTTCCTACATACAAGAAACAGCAGAGAAATTTAGAAAGAAAAATGAAAACCTTTCATCTGAGAAGTTGCCACCAAGTATCTAGGACTATCTCATTGTCTCAGAGTAATGATTTTCATGCAAATAAAAATTATTTTTAATATCCAGATGAATTAGAAAGAAATATTATCTGTAGCCAGGCACGGTGGCTCACACCTGTATTCCCAGCACTTTGGGAGGCTAAGGCTGGTGGATCACATGAGGTCAGGAGTTCGAGACCAGCCTGACCAACATGGTGAAACCCTGTCTCTACTAAAAATACAAAAATTAGCCAGGCATGGCGGTACACGCCTGTAATCCCAGCTACTAGGGAGGCTGAGGCACGAGAATCTCTTAAACCCGAGTAGACAGAGGTTGCAGTGAGCCAAGATCACACCATTATACTCCAGCCTGGGCAGCAGAGTAAAACTCTGTCAAAAAAAAAAAAAAAAAAAGAAAGAAAGAAAGAAAGAAAAAAGAAAAAGAAAGACATGCTCTACTCAAGCTCAAGCCATAGACTAAGTCCAGAATTATATTAAGCAGTAGTTATTAAATTAATGATTAACAAGAAAGTTGTCAGATTGTATCTCACAATCTGCATGTAGGGCAGTAAAAAAAATTGTTCACTGTATACCACAGATGCGCAAAGGAAACATGGCTTCTTCATTTTCTAAAAGTGATCTAATTTTCATTATATGCTCTACCCCACTGTGTAATTACGGATAAGGAGAAGAAATTAAATTTGCCAATTAATTTATCTCATTGCTTTTTGGTTTCAACAGCCTCTTCTGAGTTATTTCCTCTTAGGTGACAGATAGATGGTCCTCCAAAATTTTCCACATCCTGATCCCTAGAAACTGCATATATTACATTATGTAGCAAAGGATAATTAAGGATCCTGATGGAATTAAGGTTGCTAATCAGTTGACATTAAAATAGGGAGATTTTCCTAGATTACCTAAATGGATAAACTGTGATAAAATTATTGCTTTGGTGGGAAACTGGTGAAAGTACTAAAGTCAGGAAGACTAGAAAGTCAGAGATGATATCATGATATGTAGGATAATCTCTAAAATAATAACATAGGAATTTATTACTGCAAAGCTGTTAACAAGATGAATAAAATTTAAAAACTGATTAATCCAAAGAAAGGCAAAAGAAGAAATAATAAGTGGAACAACTAAAAGACAATCAAAAGAGTATTGATTTAAAGCCAGTTTTTCAGTAACTACATTAAATATGTTCATAAATATTGAACTCAAGGATTTTTAGACTAAGTATAAAAACATATTAACTGTGTGCTGTTTATAAGAGACAAACTTTAAATATAAGTATAGAGACCAATTGAAAGTAAAAAAGATGAAGAAAGAAATCCCCAAACACTACATTAAAAAAAAAGAAACAGATTACAATGATACGAGACAAAGAATTGAAGGAAAAAAATTATAGAAAACAAATAGGGCATTTTGTAATAACAAATACGTTAATTAAATAGGAAGATATAACAGCTTACATTTATATTAATCTACTATCATAATTTTATAATATTTTAGGAAAAAACTGGTCATCTCCTAGAAGGATTATTTTAAGTACAAAATTAACCAAAATGACTTTTATCAATATATAGAGAACATGTCAATAAAAAACTTCAGCATATATATTTCATCCTTTTATAATTACATGCAGAATATTATCTTTACAAATACTTAATTGAAAAAGATGTTGGACCATAGCGTAAGTACCAGCAAATTTCAAAGAATTGTAATTATACCATATATTTTATCGGACCAAAGTAGAATTAAACAGATAAACAGTTATAAAGATAATTCAAAAGTAGAACTATAAAGATAATTTGAAAACAACACATAAAAATAACTCAAAAATGTCTACATAATTGAAAGTTATGTAACATATTATAATTAACCCATGTGTCAAAGAAGAAAACAAAATGAAAATTAGAAAATGTTTTTAACTGCATAGTAATAAAATACAACCTGCCAAATTTGTGAAATGCATGTAACTGTAACAGTGATTTAAAAAATACTATAGAGGTAAATATATATATTTTTTAAAACACTAAAATTTAAGCTTTTATTTAAAAAAGCTAGAAAAATAAAAACAAGTTAATCCCAATGAAAGTAAAAGAAAAAATATATATTAACTGCAGAAATCAATGAAACAAAAAGCAGTCATAAAATAGAGAAACTCAGTACAGAAAAATAGTGGTCCTTTGAAAATAATTTAAAATAATAAATTCCTAACAAACATATATTATGAAAAAGGAGCAAGATAATGCCAACATCATTAATGAAAAAAGAGAACATGGCTACAGACACTAAAGGCATTAAAAAGGTGCACAGAGGATATTAGAAATAGCATTGCACCAGTAACTAGAAAACTTACATGAAATGGATTAATTCCTTAAAAAACACAACTTACCAAAATTGGCATACAAGAAAACAAAAAACATGAATAATCACATATTGAACCTGAATTAAGCACCTCCCTAGAAAGAAAACTCCAAGACCAAATGGCTTTACTGGTAAAATTTTTCAAAAATTTAAGATAGTCACAATACTAATCCCATACCAAATCATTCAGAAACCAGAGAATGATGGAACAATTGCAAACGTCTTGTGAGTCTGGCATAACATTGATAACAAAGCCTGACAAAAATTTTACACACAAAAAATGAAAACTACAGAACAATATTTTCATAAATATCTAAGCAGAATTTCTAATCAAAAAATTCATGCCTTGAAGTCATGTATATATAAAAGGATAAAACATCCTGACCAAGTAGAGTTTATTCTAGGACTGAAATGTTTTCACTTTTTTAAAAGCATCAATATAATTCATCGCATTAAATAATGAAGAAGCAAAACCATGCAACCATCCTAATAGATGCAGAAAATTTATTTGATCAACTTTAACATTTATTCAAGATAAAAACTCTTACCAAACTAGTAAAATGAAGATATTTTCTTAGCTTATAATAGATAGATATATAGATAGATAGATAGATAGATAGATAGGTAATAGATGGATAGATTCTTAAAAGTAAAATATTGAATGCTTTTCCCCTTACTTCAGAAACAAGATAATAATCTCCACTATTGTCACTTATGCTCAGCATTGTGCAGTTCTTAACATGTAGGAAAAGTCAAGAAAAATGGTATAAATACATCAAAGTTTCATGTAAAATTGTCAATATTTGGAGATGACTCGATGATGCATAATGGAAATCCAAAACATACAAATCAACTATTAGAATTAATAAGTAAATGTATCAGAATATAAAGTCAAACTACAAAAATCAATTGTAGTTTATATACCGAAACCAATTAAAATTTTAAAATTTTAAAATTCCCTTTTAACAATACCATAAAAATAAATCTTTAGCAATAAATCAACAAAAAGTACTAGACAGACAACTTTAAAATATTACTGAAAGAAATTTTAAAGAACCTAAATAAATCAAGATATATGTCATGTTTATGGATTCTGATTTTTAATATTAGAATCACATCAGTTCTGTCCAATTGATCAATAAATTCTATCAAATCAAAATCAAAATCACCACGTTTTGGTGAAAATTATGTTGATTCCAAAATTTATATATAAAAGTAAAAGGCTTAGAATAGCCAAGATAATATCAAGACTTCTATATCAGATATCAAGAATTACTATGCAATTAAACTAATTAAGACTGTATTGTATTTGTGCAAGGGCAGACAAAAAAAACAGCATAAAACAGAATAGCATTCTAAAGCAGATCTACTCATAAACAATTATCTGATAATATACTATAAATATTATTTTTTCTTTTTATTCAGAAGAGAAGTTTTCCAGTGATTGTGTTAAACAATTAGATATATATGGTTTTTAACACCCTGTATAACAATTAATTTATAGTGACTTATAGACCCAAAATGGGAAAAAAGAAAAAAAAAGAAAGTTTCTATTTAAAAAACCTAGGACAGTTTTTTTTATAAGCTTGGGGTAGACATATATTTAAGAAACAGCAAAAAGTGACTAGCCATATTGTTAATAAAAGAATAATAAATTATATTGTATAAAATAAGAAAGTTATATTCATCAAAAGTCACCATTTAATAGAGTAAAAAGGCAAGTACAAAAGATTGATTGCATTAATGTCCCCAGTTTTTCATGCTTTTTCATGAAACTTTCAATTCCTCTTACTACAGAGGTAGAGATTTTACTCCAACCCTTAATTTCGTATCAGCTTTCTGATTTGCTTTGGCCAATGGGATGTTAACAGATATGACAGACAGCTAAAGGAAGCTGAAAGAGCTGACCATTTCTGTTTCAGCTCTTGTTTGTCTGCCATGATTATAAGAAAATACTGAAACTTGCTTTCTGGAAGATGAAGCATGTGGAGCAGAGTCAAACTGCTTCAGTTTCACCAGATACAGCCATGCTAGATCAGTCAATAGGCAGCCAACCCAGACGTGTCAATGAGTCCAGCTAATAACGGTAGAGCAGCTTGTTTTCCCACAGATGACCACAAATGCATGAGAGAGCATGAAACCATCCGAAACTTAGAGAATCTCAAGTTAAATAAGTGCTATTGCTCTGTGACTCCCGGATTTTTTTATTGTCTGTTTTTTGACAATATTATGGAAAGAGATAACTTATATAGCAAGAAATATATTGCAAGAAGGTTCAGTCCATGCAATATATATAAAGGGGTCACATTCAAAATATATAAAGAATTCCTGACCGGGCGCAGTAGCTCACACCTGTAATGCCAGCACTTTGGGAGGCCAAGGTGAGCAGATCACAAGGTCAGGAAATCGAGACCAATCTGGCTAACATGGTGAAACCCCGTCTCTACTAAAAAATGCAAAAAATTAGCCGGGCGTGGTGGCAAGCACCTGTAGTCCCAGCTGCTCGGGAGGCTGAGGCAGGAAAATGGCGTGAACCTGGGAGGCGGAGCTTGCAGTGAGGCGAAATGGCACCACTGCACTCCAGCCTGGGCAACAGAGCAAGACTCCGTCTCAAAAAAAAAAAAAAAAAAAAAGAATTCCTACAAATAAGTAAAGAAAAAATGTAGGCAACCCAGTTAAAAATGGGAAATAGAAATAAGCAATTCACCAAGGATATAAAAATTTAAGCTACAATTAGATACGACTACATAGCTAACAAAATTGCAAAAATTCAGAAGATTAACATTACTGATAGCAGCAGTGGCCCATATGAAGCTGCTGCTGCAAAGATGCTGGCTGCAGCGGGGAAAGGCACGGCTGGGGCCGCGTGCTCGAGCAGAGCTGGTGGGAGCTGGGAACAGGTGGGAGTTTCTCCCCCAAGTTGGTGTGGTGAGAGCCCGCCCACCTGGGCACGGCTGCAGCCACATAACCACGGCTTCAGACCTAGGCATCCTGTGCTTCTGGGGCCCAGGAAGCCCCCCTGCCCCTGCAGGCTTGGAAGTGCCTGCTCCCACTGCCTGGCATCTCCCCACTCCTGGCACCCACTCTGATTTCAGAGCAAAGTTGTGGCCAAACCTGGGCACTGTCATGACCCAGCCAGGCGTGTACACGCTTAGGGCGGTACTGACATGCCAGCACCCAGCCCCCTAGGCCTCCTCTGAACTTTGGGCACTGAGGAGCATGGGAAGGAGGCCGAGGTGGGGCTTAGGGCAACTTGGCGAGGGCACAAACAGCCTGGGCATCATGAATGGTAGCAGGAGGCAGACAGGTTCCTGGGCAGAAACAGGAAGATCCCCATTAAAACCCCACCTTCACGCCAGAGATGGCCTGAAGCCTGGGGGCTAAGCTGCCGGTTCCACAGACCAGAGTGGAAACTTACGGTGCTTTCTCCAGGTGTGCCCATGGCCACCCATGAACCAATCAACATGCACTTCCTCCCCTCTGAAGCCCATAAAAACTCTGGACTCAGCCAGACTCAGGCAAACAATGGGATGGCCTGCCTGCAGATAGGAGCTACCCAGTCCAGGTTTCCTCTCTGTTGAGGGCTGCAGAGACGTTGGAACAACCTGCCTAGGGATAGGAGCCACCCACTCCAGGTCTCCTCTCCACTGAGGGCTGGAGAGATGTCAGGATAACCTGAGCGCAGATAGGAGCTACCCATTCTGGGTCTCCTCTCCATTGAGGGCTGCACTCATCAGGCCAACCTGCCTGTGGAAAGGAGATACCCACTTTGGATCTCCTGAGAGCTGTACTGTTGCTCGAATAAAGCACATCTTTGCCTTGTTCACCCTCCAGTTGTCTGTGTACCTCATTCTTCCAGGATGTAGGACAAGAACTCAGGATCCACCAAATGGCAGGACTGAAAAGGCTGTAACACAAGCAGGGCTGAAACATGCCCCTCACTTGCCATGTTACAGGTGATGAGAAGGAGAGGAAAGGGAAGAGTTGAGGCCTTTCAGGGATCCCAGACTTAGGAGGTCCCTGAGCCAGGGCTATATCACCCTATTTGGGGCTCTGTGGTTCCTGCTGTCTCCAAGCTTCCAGGTGCTACCATGTTCCCTGGTGCCTGCAGTGGAAGCCTCTTGCAGTACACCTGGTCCAGCTGCAGCAGGGAACCAGAGCCCATGCCAGCGCCTGGTGCTGCCCACCCCACAGCAGCTCACATGCCTAGCTGAATGTAGTGGCTGGACCCTGCATTCACTCACTCACTCATGTACTCACTCATGTACTCATGTACTCACTCACTCACTTCTCTGTGCCTGGCTCGCCCTTGGCAGACATGGAATCTCGGCCAATAGCGAAAGCCAAGCACAGCCTACCAGGCTAAGTGGGCAGAATGAGTCCAGTGGGCTCAAGCAAAATTTGGGCAAAGGTGCCACCAGCCGCAGAGGTGTCTGGCTGGCAAAGCAACAACCCAGGAAGCCCGTGACAATATCAAGTGTTTTCAATAAAGTGAATCAATCAAGCCTCTTGTACTTTGCTAATTTGGCTATAAATTGGTACACCCACTCTTTGCCAAGATCAAATAAATCTGAATATATATACGCCCAGTGATCCAATAATTCCACCTCAAGGTATACAGTCAAGCAAAACAGAACGGTATTTCTACCAAAAGACATGCATAAGAATATTTGGGAAATAGCCCAAAAGTGCATCAATGATAGAATGGGCAAAATAATTGCACACATAATAAAAATGGGTGAACTATTTCCATGTTAAACAACACAAATGTTGAGCCGAAGGAGTCAATCACAAAACTATATATACCATATGATTCCATTTATATGACAGTTAAGAACAAGTATAACTCCTGTATAGTGATAGAGGTCAGAATAGTGTTTCCTTGGTTGGGAAAAAGAATGTTAACTAAAAAGGAGCACAAGAGAATCTTTTGGGTTCAGGAAACCCAGATTTTATATCTGAATCTGGGTGGCAGTTACACAAGTGTGTACATGTGTGAGTTTTTATCAAGATGCACATTTAAGATTTTGTCTACTGTATATATGTTACAATCTAATATAAACTTTAAAAAAATGTAGTGGAAGCTAAGCTTCACCAAAATGAAAGAAAAAAATGCAAAAGAGGGAGATATGAGATGCCAGTGTCATGGAACCCAAAATAGAAGAGAGGTGACAGAAATCTTGATTTCCTTCCAAGGTAAAGGGAGATTCCAGAACAACATTTGTACTCTAGACATGGAGAGGCAACATGTCCAGATGGCAATAGTGTGACTCAACAGATAAAGATCATGGCAGAGATCCCTCTTGCCATTGTCCTGTTTTCTTGTACTGAGGAATTAATGTCAGCTTGAACCTTGTCTTTTTATGGGTTGATGAAGAGCCTGCTTTCCTTTTTGTGAACTATTGCCTGATCACCATCCTCAGTTCACTCCACACAAGTGTCCTGCCTTGACGTTCTCCTGAGAACTGGAATAGGCCTTTCTGAGCTACGAATAAATTATGGTACCCACTCCCCTAGTTCATATTCCTGAACAGATGTTCAGTAGCTGGGCCGTGAGTAGTTTTTCCCAAAATGAGCAAAATAATCTCCAATATTTTAAAGTCGCCATATATTACATGTAATAAAACACAATCCTAACTTATGTAATCTTAATATTAGTCAAAAAACTTGCCAAAACTACACACTAAATGAAGTACCATCTTTAGCAACACTACAATTCATAAGTGCATTTTGACATAAAACTTAATAAATCATGTATAATGCTTTTCTGTTTTTACTTATCTTAATGTTTTCTGTGAAATAGAACGAGATTTTGAGTACATTGTTTTCTTCACAATATTTACAAGATTATACCATCTTGAGCTCTGTGTAAATGACACTTAGCAATCCAACAATGTCACAAAGGAAATAAGATAGTTATCTATACAGAAAAATGTTGACAAAATTCCCTTAAAAAGCAGAGCACAGAACAATAAGCATAATTCTGTGTACAAGTGTGCACATGCACATGCATGAATACTACATTTATAATCAGAATTTAAAATATCTGGGAAGATACCAACCAATGTGTTAAGATTTGCTACTCCTTATTAAATGGGTTGGGAAAGGAAATGGGGACCTTTTCTTTTAACTGTATTTTTAATAACAAATATAACTAAATAAAATGTTAAAAAGAAATGACACCAAGCATATGCATCATTTAGCAACATGATGCCAAATGTACAGATATTCAGGAACATTTGGCTTATTCACTTGTTTTTCCCACATTCTTCCAGATGGTGAAGACCATGTAGATACTTCCTCAGTTAATATTTAATGAGTGTTTACATTTGTGGTGTCTTCCTTCAATATGGAGTTACAGAGATTAAAGAACTTCCCCACATTACATTCATTTCTTTCTTAAAAAATTAACTGTGTATTTCTGAGGTGAAAATTCAATAAACTAAATAGCAAAGTAAGGTAGTAAGAAAAGCACAGGCTTGGGAGGAAGCACAGGTTTCAATCTTGGCTTTTCTGCTTTGAGATGAAATTTATTCATTTATAAAACAGAGATCAATCATCAAACCTATTTTAGAATGTTGTCACAATGATGAAATAAAGTAACATGTTAAAACATCTTCCTTGGTGTATAGCCCCCAAAAATGTACTCGATGCATGTCATCTTCCTCAGTCTCCCTGAAAATATCCTAATCTAAATAGCACTTAGAATAAAATCATTTTTTGTGTAGTCCCAGCTACTCGAGAGGCTGAGACAGGAGAATCGCTTGAACCTGGGAGGCGGAGGTTGCAGGGAGCTGAGATCACGCCGCTGCACTCCAGCCTGGGTGACAGAGCGAGACTCCATCTCAAAAAAAAAAATCGTTTTTTGCTGTTTATATGATGCAGAATTTTGAAGATCAATATACCCTGGTGGTGGGGAAGTATTTAAAAAAAAACTGAGAAAACTTTAAAATTCTTTTAGCATTAAAAATACATATGAGATAAACTGGTCCCTGCTGTGAAATCTTCTAAGGCAGATATAGTTCGGGAAACAGATGCAAATCTGGCTCTTGCATTGACAGCCTCCCACCAATCTTATGGAAAACGTGTGATTCTCGACTGAATCAACAAGGTAGAGTTTGGCTAAAGGTTATCTTACAACTCTGAATTTTGAGAGCAATGTTAACTCTTCCAGGACTTATTTTTTTTTTAACTGTTTATCTTGGTAACAGGTTGCTGATATTAGCATCCATCCAAGTGTCTCAATAGAAAGCCACCACTATGCAATTACACTTTCTTTTTTCATACCATCCAACTCTGGCCTGGAGTGGATAAAGCTTGCAGCATTATATATAAAGCAGTTATATATGACAATTATTCAATTCAGTTCTGCTTCACCTGCTGGGACTTGGGTTCCTACCCTTGGCAGATAGGAAAGGGGCCGCGGTTGTGGGCAGCATCCCCCTCCTGGCAGCAGTGATCCAGGCTACCTTGCCTGCTGTGATGAGGAATGGCAGCCCTGAACTTACCTCTTTGTTGAACCCTTACTTTTCTTCTTCACTGAGATTTGCCTAAAACAGGACTTATTCAAGTTCATTAAAGCCTGTCTCTGTCTAAAAGACCTCTTCTCCAAAGGAGAACACAGCTGCTTTACTCTCCTTGCAATCAGAAAATTGGTGTTTAATCAGCTAAATTAACTTTTCTTTCAGCTACTTCTTTCAGGAGATATCTCTACATTAAGACTTTCAAAAAGCAAAATCTCTGCATACATAACTGGAGCCTCTCTCAGATGACCTCAAAATCACAACACAGTCTTTGCTCCCTTAGGAGCCAGTGGAAACTCTATCTTTTCCTAAACCATGGTTCAAAGAATGGCCCTCAGTTTTGCCAGTGTCTTCTAAGCAAGGACACTTCAATGAATCTCAGTTCTAGTACATTTGGAAGAAAAATGCTACATTTTCAGGTGCATTTATATGCTGTCATCAGATAATGAAAACTATGTAACCAAAGATCTTTCTCTTTTTGCCTTTGATGCCAGAAAATGTGAAGCAAAATTTGTTGCACAAGTGTTATAAATTGTGCTGCCTCTGCTTCCGTTAGAGGGATTTTTTTTCTCTCCCATAAATGTCTCCTCTTATTCAGTGCTTTAACCTCTAATCTCTCAAGTCTTTTTTTTTTAAACAGGTTGGCGGATATATCATTAGTTTCCCATTGCTGCTGTAACAAATGTTTGCAAATTTATTGGCTTAAAACAAGCCAAATTTATCATCTCACAGTTTTGGAAGTGAGAAGTTCAAAATGGGTTTTTGTGAGCTAATATCAAAGTGTTGGCAGTGCTGTGTTTCTTCTGGAGGCTCTAAGGAAGAATTTGTTTCCTTGTCTTTTCCACATTCTAGAGGGCACCCACATGCCCTGGCTGGTGGCCTCTTCCTCCAGATTCAAACCCAGGAGTGTTGCATCTCACAGATCGTTCTTCTCTAGTTATATCTCCCTCATATGCTGAAACCTTCCACCTCCCTCTTCTATTTTTAAGGCTTTGTGATTACAATGGGCCCACTCAGATAAAATCCAAGGTAATCTCAGCATATGCTGATTAGCATCCTTAATTGTATATGCAATTCTAAATCTCCTTTGCCACATAATGCAACATACTTCCAGGTTCTGGGGATTAGAACATGGACATCTTTGGGGGAACGTTATTCTATCTACTACAGAGGGCAAGTCTCAAATTAACAAAAGAAAATTAATACTCAGCCAATGTATAAAACTTGAGTTGAAGAATAATCTAGGGTCAAGAACAACACCAAAATCCCCTTTAGAAAGCAGTGATCAGCATGAGTGGTGAGATAATCAGACAGAAATCATCAACCTGAGAAGTGGCAATGGAGGGTGAACTCAGACAGATGGGGAGACCTAGGAGACAGACTACCAGGCACTAAGAGAAAGGACCAGGACATCAAATAGAGACAGGCCACTCTCTGGGACCTCCTCCTCAACACACCCAGGTTTTTTGTTCTCTCTTTCTCTCTGGCCTCAATTCCAGGCCTTACTACTTGATTGTTGTATGCTAGGATTGAGGGAATATGCATGCAAATACTAGACAAAGCACTTGAGGGAGGCCTTCTCCCACAGTACTGGTGGCTGTGTAATAGATGTTCTCAATTACCAAGTGCTTAAACTGAGCCCTATGTACTTAGGCAGCCTGTTTAGAGTTCTTACCCACTTGCCAATGACACTTGACTGCTGAATCCAAATATGAAAAAACTATAGATAGATTCAAGGACCAAAATTATGGATATGCCACTGAAAATGTATGGTAGAGTAGGCCGGGCACAGTGGCTCATGCCTGTAATCCCAGCACTTTTGGAGGCTGAGGCGGGTGGATCACAAAGTCAGGAGTTCAAGACCAGCCTGACCAACGTGGTGAAACCCCGTCTCTACTAAAAATACAAAAATTAGCCTGGCGTGGTGGTGGGCACTTGTAATCCCAGCTACTCAGGAGGCTGAGGCAGGAGAATCGCTTGAACCTGGGAGGCAGAGGTTGCAGTGAGCTGAGATCACACCACTGCACTCCAGCCAGGGTGACAGAGTGAGACTCCGTCTCAAAAAAAAAAATAAGAAAAAAAAAAGAAAAGAAAAGAAAAGAAAAGAAAATGTATGGTAGACTATTAAGGGGCCTAATAACCATAAACCCCTTTTCCTTCATAAGTATATTTATTTTCTTCTGTTCCTATAGAAATTTAGTACAAATTTGGTGGCTAAAAGTAATACACATTTATTCTCTTGCAGTTCTGGTAGTTGAAAATCTAAATGCATCTTAAAGAACTAAAATTAAAGTGTTTGTAGGACTGGTTCCTTCCAAAGACTTTCAGGAAGAATCTGTTTCCTTTTCTTTTCCAGCTTCTAGAGGTCACCTGCATTCTTTAGGTTTTTACGTCCTTCTCCATCTTCACACACTTCACTCCAATCTCTGCTTCCATCATCCCATCTCCTCTGAACTTCACTCTTTTAAAGACCCTGGTGATTATACTGGGCCTTCTGTGCAATCCAGGATAATCTTCTTGTCTCAAGATTCTTAATATAATCACATTAGCAAAGTCTCTCTTGCTCTGTAAAATTATTAAGACATGGACATCTTTGGGAGGCTACTGTTTTGTCTACCACAGTGAGGTAACCATGATTTTCAGGTTGGTGCATAGCCAGATGAAATAAAGACTACATTTGACAGTCTATTGTATAGCTACGTGTGACTATGTGACTAACTTCTGGCTAATAAAATATAAACTGAGGTGTTCTGTAAAAATTTCAGGAAGTGTGCCTTAAAATAAAAGGGGCATGCCCTTCTGCCTTCTTCCATCCTGATGGCTGAAATGCAGATGCAATGGCTGGAACTTCAGCAGTTATCTTGGATTAAGAGTTAACCTTTACAGTGGAAACCATATATAACAGAACAAGATGAAAGGAATTTCAGTGTCTTTTGAACACCAAAACGAGCCTGAAATTATCTCTCTGCTTCATAAATTTGAGGAAGAAATACAATTCTGTCTTGTTTAAATCACCACTATTTGGATTTTTCTATTACTTGTAATCTGATTTAATGTTAACAGAAATATATTTTGCATTACATATTAACTTTCATATTTTGTACACACAGAGGCGATATATTTCATTAGCTCTGTATATATAAAATATTTTTTGATAAGTAGAAGGATTTTTATCATAATGATAGTTAAACTGTAAATAACTTCAAGGGGATATGTTTATAAGCAAGGAACCAAAAGGAAGTCTCTAGATAAAGTTGAATTTAGGAAAGTTAAACATAAATTTATATCATTGGTTCATTTCCTGTCACTATGTTGACCAAAGAAAAATCCCAACAAATGTATAATTTCAAAGGATTGATCTAAAAGTTAGCAGCAAATATTGACCAAAGAAAAATGTCAGTTCAGAAAGACTACTCTAGGAGGCTTTGCATAGATCTTCTGTCTCCTTGATGAAATTAGCTTAATTCACCTTTTTAATCCATGTGCTTTAAAAAATGCTAAAATTTAAAAATTTACAAAGGAAACACACACCTGAAGTGATCTATATTTTATCTTATTAATATCCTGATAGCAGGATAATAAATATATATTGCCTGTAGCCTTTTACAGTTCATGAGCTCATAAAAAGAAAATTTTTATATTTTAGGTTAACTTAGTACATATGCATTTTCAAATAGACCTTCTCAAGGCAATTATTTCTATATTCCTATATTATACATATACATACACACAATCATTTCACTGAAACATGTATTGTTCCCAAATTAAATACATGTGCATAATGAAATTCTTTCTGCTTTATATTTTTCCCAGCCCCATTCATTCTAGCTCTGTTGCATCACTGAAGAAGGAGAACAGCTGGTTACCATCTTCTTAATAATGTTTAATTGTATAACTATATAACACATAATATATTACATATGCTAGATGATGAGTTAGTGGGTGCAGCGCACCAGCATGGCACATGTATACATATGTAACTAACCTGCACATTGTGCACATGTACCCTAAAACTTAAAGTATAATAATAATAAAGAAAAAAAAAAGAAAAAAAAACTTTAGGTTATTTAAAAATATAAAACAGCACTGTGGTAAGGAAAAAATATATATTACATACATGTGAATACATAGACTTCTATTACTATATACATAGTAATATTATTTATGAAAAATGTACTTTTGTTTCCCTATAAATAAATTATTCAAATATTACATCAACATATTAAGAAATTTTAAGGGCAGATAATAGAAGAGATAATATTTAGGAGAATGAGTAATAAAATATTATAGTTAACCCATAGAATCAAACTTAGAGTAAAAATGGCCATAAGCACAAGAAAAAAATTACATATTAACAGATCAATTTGTATAACCCCCAATATTTGACTATGTCACATCTAATTAGATTATACCAGGAAAAACAGAATTACGAATGAATAATGGACCTTATACTGACTGCCTCCGACTTGCGTAGAAATGATGCTCTGAAAGCTTAACTGTAAGGTGGTTGTCAGAAACTCAGAGCATATTTTTGTTGTTCCTCCCTAACATTGTATCATAAAATATTTCAAGCTTTCAATAAAGTTGAAGGAATTTTACAATAAATAAGTGTATCCCACCACACCTAGCTTCTCTCACTAACATTTTATTACTGTATAATAGCTACAACATATATCTCAAAATAATTAATTACATTTCTTTCTCATAGCAGAATGCTGTTTTAGGTCACATAAATTGAATTAAGCTTACAGGATGTCACTAACTTACATTAAGTTGTTTAACCTTTCCCAAGACATGGTTTAAGTAGTGGTGCTGCATCTGTGTAATCAAAAACTGAGAAAACACAGCAAATAGGAGAAATAAACCACCATTGTATTATCACCAAATGCAACCACTATAAATGCTTAAAAAATTTTTTCAATACATATTTTTTAAATTTTTGTGGGTACAGAGTAGATGTATATGTTTATAGGGTACATGAGATGTTTGATACAGGTATGGAATGTGAAATAAGCACATCATGGAAAATGGTAATAATAGCATTGGGGTAATAATACATCCCACAAGCATTTATTCTTTGAGTTAAGAACAATCCAATTTTAGTCTTTAAGTTATTATAAAATGTAAAATTAAGTCGTAATTGACTATCGTCAACCTATTATGCTATCAAATAGTAGGCCTTATTCATTCTTTCTAAGTACTTCTTTTCTGTAGCTATTAACTATACCAACCCCCAGTAGCTTTGCCACCCTTTGGTAACCATCCTTCTACTCTCTATGTCCATGAATTCAATTGCTTTTTTAGATCCCATAAATAAGTGAGAACATGCAATGTTTGTCTTTCTATGCCTGGCTTTTTTTACTTAACATAATGATCTCCAGTTCCATCCATGTTATTGTTGCAAATGACTGGATCTCATTCTTTTTTATGGCTAAATAGTACTCCACTGTGTATATGTACCACATTTTTTTTATCCATGTATCGGTTGATGGACACTTAGGTTGCCTCCAAATCTTAGCTATTGTAAACAGTGCTGCAACAAATGTAGGAGTACAGTGTCTCTTCGATATACTGATTTCCTTTCTTTTGGATATATACCCAGCAGTGGGATTGCTGAATTATATGGTAGCTCAATTTTTAGATTTGTTGAGGAACCTCCAAACTCTTCTCAATAGTGGTTGTACTAATTTACATTCTCACCAACAGTGTACAAAGGTTTTCTTTCCTCCACATCCTCACAAGTATTTGTTATTACCTTTTGGATATAAGCGTTTGTTATTACCTTTTGGATACAGGCATTTGTTATTGCCTTTTGGATATAAGCGTTTGTTATTGTCTTTTGGATATAAGCATTTGTTATTGCCTTTTGGATACAAGCGTTTGTTATTGCCTTTTGGATATAAGCGTTTGTTATTGCCTTTTGAATATAAGCATTTGTTATTACCTTTTGGATACAGGCATTTGTTACTGCCTTTTGGATATAAGCGTTTGTTATTGCCTTTTGGATATAAGCGTTTGTTATTGCCTTTTGGATATTAGCGTTTGTTACTGCCTTTTGGATATAAGCGTTTGTTATTACCTTTTGGATATTAGCGTTTGTTATTGCCTTTTGGATATAAGCGTTTGTTGTTGCCTTTTGGATATTAGCGTTTGTTATTGCCTTTTGGATATAAGCGTTTGTTATTACCTTTTGGATATTAGCATTTGTTATTGCCTTTTGGATATAAGCGTTTGTTACTGCCTTTTGGATATAAGCGTTTGTTATTGCCTTTTGGATATTAGCATTTGTTATTGCCTTTTGGATATAAGCGTTTGTTACTGCCTTTTGGATATTAGCGTTTGTAATTGCCTTTTGGATATAAGCTTTTGTTATTACCTTTTGGATATTAGCGTTTGTTATTGCCTTTTGGATATTAGCGTTTGTTATTGCCTTTTGGGTATAAGCGTTTGTTATTACCTTTTGGATATTAGCGTTTGTTATTGCCTTTTGGATATTAGCGTTTGTTATTGCCTTTTGGATATAAGCGTTTGTTATTACCTTTTGGATAATAGCGTTTGTTATTGCCTTTTGGATATTAGCATTTGTTGTTGCCTTTTGGATATTAGCCATATTAACGGGGTGAGATAATGTCTCATTGTAGTACTGATTTGCATTTCTCTGATTATCAATGATGTTGAGCACCTTTTCATACGCCTGTTTGCCATTTGTATGTCTTCTTTTGAGAAATGTCTGTTCAAATTTTTTGTCCACTTTTTGATTGAATTTTTAGATTTTTTCCTATAGAGTTGTTTGAGCTCCTTATATGTTCTGGTCATTAGTCCTTTGCTAGATGGGCAACTTGCAAATATTTTATCCCACTCTGTAGGTTGTCTCTTCAGTTTGTTGATTGTTTTCTTTGCTGTGCAAAAGCTTTTAAACTTGATGTAATCCTGTTTGTCCATTTTTGCTTTGGTTGTCTGTGTTTGTGGGGTATTGCTCAAGAAATCTTTGCCCAGACCAATGCCCTGGAGATTTTCCCCAATGTTTTCTTGTAGTAGTTTCATAGATTGAGGTTTTAGATTTGAGTCTTTATCAACATATTTTTGTTTTGCTTGTCTAAGGTCTTGTGGATGTTTTCTATAATAGTAATTATCCCATCTTTAGCAATTTCCATAAAATTACATAACTTTTCTTGTCATTTTAAATGAGTAATTAATATATACCTCTATAGCAAATTGAATATGTGTTCCAAAATTTACTTGTCATTACTGAACCATTTATTAATACTTTTAATGAAACATTTAGGACATTTTCATTCTGTGCTATCATAAAAATTCTGTAATTAACTTATCCTGTGCTTCAATTTTTCTCCCTTATCTGTTTTCCTTAGATTCTCTGAAGTGGAATTACTGTGTAAGTGGGAAAACAATTTTCATTTTTATTTGCCTAATTCTTAATATGTATTAGGAACACTCTACTTTTTATCTATTAATAAGCATCCGCTTTTGGTACCTAAGGATGGGAAAGAGTAATGACATCTTCCCTTCTGACATTTAAGATCTGCCTCTTTCTCAGTACAATAAGATTTCTCTATTTTATACTCCTTTACAGTAGGAGGCCTAATAATCCAAAAATATAATAAGTTTTTGAGGTATACAGTGAAAAATATCTGGAGGGAGTATCTGTTGCTACAGATAGAGATAAAAGATAGAAATATAACCATTATCTGTACTGGAGATCTATCCATATATCACAAGAGAAAAATTAGCTCACCTCTGCTGAACTCTAATGTTATAAGTATCTGACTTAGAGTCTATTCACAAGCTATTAAAATTATGAAAAATATATATGCAAAATTGAAAGTAATTTATGGCAGCTTTAAGTTTATGCTACAGTGTGAGAGTTGCATTAAGAGTGAAAAGACGAGTGAATTAAAAAGGATATGAAATAAATTATTGGATGAGAAGTGAAAAACAAGTATCTGGCATATTCAATGCTGGAGAAAGCAGTACATTAACAGCCAAAGGCAGAGAAATATTGCAATCTGTTTGAGGTTATACATTCCAGGACTGATACACCATTACATTCTTTGTCTTTGATTCTATAACAATCTGTACCTGTGATTAAAATCTGTGTTTTCGCACAATGGAAGATTTCTCCTAACTCATTAATAAAAAACATTGTGAATCCTGGGCACCCTTATTCAATTACAAAGTCATAAAACAACTTTTGAAAATCCTTTGAGTGACTACCATCAGAGAAATCATAAGCTTATTTTATACATGGCTCACCGGAAAAATCTCCCCCCATTCCAACACCACAAATGCGGGCTCAGTATAGCATATTACATCATAAAATATTACATTAAATTCTGGCCACTACACTGCCTATATACATCTACCCCCAGGCCCAAGGCACATCATTAGAATTCAACCATCACTACCTAAAATCTAAATGTATTTTTTAAACATTTTATGACTACATCACATTGAAGGGCTGTTAATCCCCCGCTCTATGTGCTCTTTCCGCATTCTTAATGGAAATTCTAATCGATTACTTAATCTTGCTATGCTTTTGCTAAGTGTATTAATATGCTTAGGATGTTAAACTGAAGGGTCCCTTCTTATCTGCTGAAACATTATACTTTCACCAGGTTGACAGATTAATTTCCAAGAAAAAACCATTAGCAATAGTCTCCTCCCTGCTATTAACATGACGTATGAAATGAAAATAATTTGAAACAGCTGGATGAAGACTTCCCAGGGTAATACTTAGGGACTATGCTCAGTGTAACATGAATCCATGTTATTATGTAGGAGTAAGATTTGCTATAAAGTTTAAGGTTTGATGTAACTTTTGGAGAATTATCTCAGACCACTAGGATGGAATGCATAGCATTTGAGAGGAGTTGCAGTTCTCTACTGATCTTAGCCAAGCACTGAAAAAAGAGACTAGAAACTGAGAAGTGACTAAAAGGATAACAAAAAGATATTTGCTACACTTTAGCTATAATTGCCTTTTTCTACAAATATTTGTCACTTTGCTAAACTCAATTATATTTTAGTTTTTTTCTATTTAGAAATTGCTAAGCACGCTAGTTTACAACAAAGCAATATCAGAAATTCATTTTTAATACTTAAATTATTACAAACCAATTTTATTCTTTAAAGAGAAGCACTGAATTCTTAAACCTTAGAGTTGCACACTAAAATATTTACAGATTAATTGATAGGATGTTTAATACTTGCTTTTAAATTACCCAGCAGGGCTGGGGGATTGAGTAAAGTAGAGATGAAGTCCAATCAGCCACGTGTTGATAATTGTGGAAACTGGGGGATGAGTACATGAGTGTTTTTACATTTTTGTATCTCACGTATTAATCACCTATAAAATAACGGTCTTATTAAATTCTTTTAAAGGTAGGACCTCTATAGCATTTTTTAAAAATCACCTGCTATGTAGATAGAACATGTCCTCCTCAAGTCCATATGTTGAAACCTAATCCCCAGTGGGAGGGCATTAGGAGGTAGGGCTTTAGGGAGGTGATTATATTCTGAGGGTGGAGCCCTCATGACTGGGATTAGTGCCCTAATAAAGGGGCCCCAGAAAGCTCCTATAAGAGCTTTCACAGAGGTCCCACCTACGAACCAGGAAAAGGGCCCTCACCAAACACCAACTCAACCAATGCGTTGAGTCACTCAGGAGAAATGCGTTTAGTCACTCAGGAGAAATGACTAAAAGGATAATAAAAAGATATTTGTGACACTGCAAACATAATTGCCTTTTTCTACAAATCTTTATCATCTTGCTGAAATCAATTTTAATGTATTTAGAAATTGCCAAGCACACTAGCTTACATCAAAGCAGTATTAGAACTTCATTTCCTAATACTTAATTGCAAACCAATGTGACTCTTTAAAAGGAAGCACTGAATTCTTAAACCTTAGCACTGCATGCTGAAACATTTCAAACACCAACCCTGTCAATGCCTCGATCTTAAACGTCCAGTCTCCAGAACAGTGAGTAATAAAAACTGTTGTTTATGAGCCATCCAGTTTATGGCATTTTGTTATAGAAGCCCAAACATAGACACTGCCTCTAAAAATAAATATATGTGGAGAGACAGAAACAAAGAAAAGAATATCCAAAAAGCTAGACTTTGTTTCCTAATACATGCAAAAGACAAGAAAGGGCTAGCTGCAGAAAACAACATCCAAGACAGAAAAGGAAAACCAAAAATGTCCATGTCAACCACAGGAAACTAGAGATCAATGGTAATTTTTTTTTTTTTTTAGACGGAGTCTCGCTCTGTCGCCCAGGCTGGAGTGCAGTGGCGCGATCTCCGCTCACTGCAAGCTCCGCCTCCCGGGTTCACGCCATTCTCCTGCCTCAGCCCTCCCGAGTAGCTGGGACTACAGGCGCTTGCCACCACACCCAGCTAATTTTTTATATTTTAAGTAGAGATGGGGTTTCACCGTGTTAGTCAGGATGGTCTCGATCTCCTGACTTCGTGATCCGCCCGCCTCGGCCTCCCAAAGTGCTGGGATTACAGGCGTGAGCCACCGCGCCTGGCCGGTAAAATTTTAGTAGTTGAAACTTTAGAAATTCTCTATTCTGATTCCTTCTAAGCAAACTGCATCCAAGAATTATAAAGTGACTTGTACTCCAAATAGTCAGTGGTTTGTTTCTTGATCAACAAAAAGTTATCAAGCACACATTATTGAGCCAACCACAATAGTAGATGCTGAAGATATCAAGGTGATAAAAATAAAATAATCGCTTCTTCTAAGGAAGACAGATGATCAAAAAATTAGAGTATATAGATGAAATAACGCTGTAGAGTTATGAATAATACTTGGGGAGGAGAGACAAGAAAAACCTAGTTCTTTATGGCAAGATTATTGCAAATTTATGACAGGGCTGGGAATACAACACATGATTTCTTACCCGAGTTTGAGGTTGTCTTTGTCAGAAACCACTTGGTTTGGAAAGAAAAAAATCCTACACAAACTAAATTTTAAAAAACATATAAGAATACAAGGAACAAAATTGCAGAAATTATAGGAACAATTGCAGAAAATATAGCAAAACTATTGCAAAGAATGAGAAAATGTAAGATTTTGTGAGACAGCAACTCTAGAACCTCACCCCAAATTTGTGAGCCATACTGACATTAAGTGCTCATCCATAAATAATTACTGTGGGAGAGGGGAGTGAGGCTATTGGTGCTAAATGCTGGTCATTTCAGACTCTCGGTGAGGTGTTTTCTCACAGAAGCAAGCCCTGAATGGTAACCGTTTCTTGGTGAAGGGCTGTTTCCAAGGCTTTCTTTATAAATGTGTTATGGGAATTAATAAAACCCTAACATAAAGCGCTCTGAAACTGCTAAAAATGAAAACTCTCCAGTAATATTAAGTTACGTCATGTTAAAATAACGTTGTCTTTTGAAAAAAGTTCAAATAATAAAGCACTATCATTTAAGAGAGATATAATGTTCACTGTTTTGCCAAAAGGAGGTTGGTGCATACTGTTGGTTGATAAAGTTACACAAAACAAAAACAAAAGCAATAACAACAACACAAAAATAGGAGTAAGTTTTGACTCATCTTAATGAAATCTCCTCAACCCCATTCTTTAGTATTAATAATTAGAATTTAGTTATATAAAGATACAAATGCTATGTTATACTTAATCTTTCTTAAACCTACAGAATTACATGATGTTGTATTCTAAAAAGACAGTGGTTTTCAAAACAGACCAAAAAAAGTTAGTTTTGCCTATACACTGATTTCAACTAACTAGAGCTTGAGAACAAGCAAGAGTTTTTAAAAAAGAGTATTTAAAATCAAATATACTTCATTTTATTTCCCAGGAGCAGTTTGGTTGACACTTCCCTAATACTTCAGGCTATGAAACATATATTTTAAAATATTTTGCAGCAATAATGAGACCACAGGAGGAATTATGTGCACAAGAAATAATCTCAGCCTGACAGAAAGGGAATTAGGAAGAATTCCATGTTGGGGAACAGATAACCTGAAACATTGTTTTGCTGATAAGAGTATGGGAATGAAGAGATTTCACATGTCTTTTTCTCATTTATTTTTCATTTTCATTTCTCATTCTTATTCATTTGGACAATTAGTAGTAATGGCAATTAAGTAGTAATAAGCAATTAAGGCAAGACAAACTGTGTCACAAAAAGGACATTATAAAATAAGAACACCAATAAGATATTTGAGGTAAGTTAAGTCATTATCCAGACATGTCATGCTACAAAAGTTTCAGAAAGTTGTCCACGCAATTCATGAAATGAAATTCTGGGAATAAGAGAAATGTAAGAACCCGACTTACAAACTCTACGCTAAAAATGAACCAAAAAGATCAAATAGAAGCTAGAAGAGAAAGGGAAACTCCTTCAATCCTGGATTTAGGAAAGTATAATATTAAAACCACATGTCACAAACTTAAAAAAAAATTATCGGATACAACACAATTTGAATCCAACTGACAAAACATAAGCTGCAACACAACTCCTTTTCGCAAGAACGTACTTTAATTTTATGGTAAATAAGTGGAGATAATTTTATCAAATTCCGCTAATACCCCTCACAAACTCGGAGGAATAAAACAAGAATGTTACATAGGACCTGGGAGAGACAGTCATCCAGCCTTCCCACCAACCTTCCAAGGGTTTGGCAGGTGTGGAGGGGGTACACATCTTTCAGACTGCACTGAGGGATGCTCAAGTAACTGCTAAGACATTATTCTTGGGTCAGTCTGTTAGGATGTTTGTGGAAGGGCTTAGCATTAGCACCGAGTAAAGAGAATCCACTCTCTCCAATGTAGCCAGACATCATCCAATTTGTTGAGGACCTAACTAGAACAAAAGGCAGAAGATGGGTGAATTCTCTCTCTATTTTTTCTTTCTTTCTCTCCCTGTCACTCCTTGAACTAGGACATATATCTTCTCCTAAACTCCGACATTGAATCTCCTGGTTTTTGGGAATTCAGACTCCAGGATTTACACCAGCATCCACTTCTCTCCACCTGGTTGTCAGGCCTTCATACTGTAACTGGGATTTATACCATCTGCTCCCCTGGTTCTTGGCCTTTTGGTGTGAGATTGAATTATACCACTGCTTTCCTGGTCTCCAGCTTGCAAACAACAGTTTTGGAGATTTCTTGGACTATGCAATCACAGGAACCAATTCCCATAATAAATCTCTCAATATATGTATCTCCTATTTGTTTGTTTCTTTGGAGAATTCTAATATACCCCATGCCTGGTCCCATAGCTCTGTTCCCCTTATCAACTACTTATTGCAGATACTTCTCAATAGCTATGACCTATTTCTTATGCCTTATGTTTTATGTCTGCCTCACCATGTGATAAAAAGAAATATTTACAGTGGCAACCAGGTATTGAATTAATTTTTAAAGGTAAAAATTTAAAATGATTATAATATAAAATGCCAATATTCACATAACTGAATGACATATGCTATATAAAAGTCAGTTGGTAAATAATAATTTTAATTAGACGAACTGAGGCACAAATTTTAAAGCATGTTAACAAAATTTATGACATTGAAGGAAGGAGGGGAAGATAAGAGGAAATATAAGTGTGCTAATTATCTAGAATTCCGTAGAGGAAATTAATACTATCTTACTTCTGACATTAATAGGTTGCAAAATATAAATTTAAGCATGTAATTTAAAGCTATAGAAATAGCTGCTTTTAGAACAACGCCGTCAAAAAGCTGTGTACCTTGCATTAGTAGATGACATGAACAATCCCACATCTGTAGTAAAAGGTTGTATTCCTGTTGTGCCTGGGTTAGCTAAAAGATAAGGACAGGTTATTTTTACCCTCCAACCCCACTATCATGGGAAAAACCTGTAATACATAGAGGGAACAATATTTAAATTTCAGGTATATTTATTAATTTGACAGAAGTGGTGAGAAAATAGGGTCATGTTAACCATAACAAGAATTAATATAGCTCACAAATTAATATATCTATATGAAAGGGATGGCATGTGAAATATTTACTTGTGCCAGTAACTCAGAATGAGGAATATTAAGGGTTATTTTCTGTCTGCTTGTTACTGCATTTCCCCACCAAAACATAAACATAGACCTTACTTACTGACAAAAATAAAAACACTAAATCCTTAGATAATATAGTTTCAAAGGATTTCAAAGATAAATGTTCTCAAATTTTTCCCAATTACTTAAATATCAACTTTCAAAGCAGCAGTTCTTTTCCATTTCCATAGTAAGCTAAAAGAGAAAAAAGCAACCACAGATTAAGAATGGAGAATTCAAGCAAAATGGCCATCAAAGAGTCCCCTTTCTCCAGGGAAGCTGACTGACTTAGTAGACTTGTTGTGCTCAGTCATTGGCTGGGAGCAACACATAGGAAGTGTGGCCTCATCCTAAACATGGCAACACATTTTGCGTGCCTTAGTTAGCTCTGCTTTCTATAAATGGAGACCTGTGAATCCATGACCACCACAACATTCTTCAGAAGGCTTTTGGAAATAAGAAAGTCTCATTAATAACAATTTAGGCTGGTATTTACAAAAGCTCTCTTGTTAGGAAATTATTTTAAAATAAGAGTTCTCTCTCTCTCTCTCCCCTGCCCCATCCCCATACGCTGACATACACTGCTCTGAGATTATATCAAACACTGAAAAATTAACCCCCAAGGAAGAGAAGAAAGAAGAGTGAATGTCTTTCTATAACTTTATCATCCCTAAAAGAATTATACTAATAAAAATATGTAGATTGCTTGCCCTTACCCTGAGGCTGTTTGAATCTAAAGGGGAAATTGACCTAATATATTTTCCGGATTTATTACATATGTTATCTCGTACCTCTTCATAGCATTATTCTATATATGTATAATTATCTCTATTTTCAGAAATGAGGAAATTGAAGCTCCAAAGAATTGTAAATTGGTTTAACATAATCATTAGCTTTTGAATTGAGGTCTGGCAGCCTTTAAATGTATTCCACTGTATTCCTTTGAAATCTTCCAAACAATTTTGGACTTAGAAAAAATTACACAGCAAATTAAAAAAGGAAGTGATATCCCAGAACTTAAAGTAAGATAAAAATGTTTCTACCAAAGGAAGTAAAATGTACTCAGCAATACAACTTAAATTTCTAAAAGACACATAAGGAAAAAATTCAGATAATTCTTTTGTTGTAAAAATTCTGAGAGAATATGAAAATAAATTTATTATATAACCTATAAAACGAAGAGATGAAATGTACTATTCAGCAATTTATCAATGTTATTTATGAATCTTTATTAATCTATGTATGTAAGATGAGAGTAATAAAATACTCACACCATAGAGCTGATTGAATTAATACGTGTGCAGTGACTTGCGATGGACTAGCCAGAGTTAGGCAGACTTCACAGGCTGAGGGCACAGTCCTTCACAAGACCTCTCACTCACCTCAGAAACTAGCCACAAGCTTATGAGTTCCAAGGCCACCAGCACTTCTGACCAACAAGCTAAATACTCAGGGGTTCCTACTCTCTCTTCATGCTCAATCATTTAATAGACTGACAGTGACAGAGAATTCAGGAAAGTCCTATACATATAATTACAGTGTTATTATAGCACAAATAATACAAATCAGGATCAGCAAAAAGAGGTGCATAGGGTGAAGCCTGAGAAGGTCCCAAATGTGTAGCTTCTGATGTCCTCTCTCCCTGCAGAGTCAGGACACATCACCTTTCAATCATTGTTGTGTAACAATACACATTGTTACCCAAGGAAACTCATATGAGCTTCAGTGTCTAAGTTTTTATTGGAGTTCTATTTTGTGGGCATGATATATTGAATTACTGGCCATGTGATTGAACTTGATCTCCAGTTCCTACTCCCCTCCCTGGAGGTCAGGCTAATATCACATGGTTCGAAGTTCCAACCCTCTAAAAACATGGCTAGTCTCTCTGGATTGGTCAACACCATCCTGAGTCATCTTGTTAGCATAAACTATCTATGAGCTCACCATGAGTCGCCTCATTGGCATAACCTATCAGAACATACTATGAATAGCAAAAACTCTCCTGTCACTCAGGGAATTCTAAGGCTTTAAAAGATAACTCCCGGGAACTGGGAAAAAAGGCCAGCCAAATTATTTATTACACAATAATATGCAAAGCACTTTAATTGGTGTCACTTAAATAACTGACATATATTATTGTTCTTGTTGTCCATATTCACAGGATACTAATTTAGAATAGAGTTAAAAGTAGGTCCATAATTTAACCGTTAGCCTCAGAGATAGCTGAGGATTTGGGTTAGCTTTTCTAGGATTTTTGTAGACTTGTTACATTTTTACTTACAAGTTGAGTTTCCGATCAGTGTTTCCCAGAACATTAGTGCCATGCCTAGTCTGCTCAAACAGAGTCTCTGCTCTTGAGTTCAGATTGACTTTTACAAGTCAAAATAGGTTTCAGCCTGGACTAAGTTTACTTAGCTTTAAGACAGGATACATGATAGGCCACATTGCATGAATGGCAACAACAAATCAGAGGAATTAAGAGACTTACTTCATTGATAGGATTTGGTATTCTTAAAATCTTTCTTGCATATTAATTAAAGGAGTCACAGGAGCAGACTAGACCCTAGATTATAGAGAATTCATCTGTTGTTACTACATTCCAGACCATACATTTGATCCTCATTGCTGAAATTGTTTACTGAGTAACAAGTATCAGTGAAATTCTACTGTACTGGAGAATGAGGGCCAGTCATGTGAATATGAGGAGAATGTTATGAATCTTACAAGGTGTAAAAGCTGACAGGGCCACCAGAGCATGCAGCTTCCATGAACTGAGGTGGCTCATGCTCATCTTGTCTCATCTCCTGAGACTATGTCCATTTTAGCAATGAAGTAAGTCTCCTAATTCCTCTGATTCGTTGTTGCCATTCATGCCATGTGGCCTACCATGTATCCTGTCTTAAGGCTAGGTAAACTTAATCCAGGATGAAACCAATTTTGACTTGTGAAAGTAAATCTGAACCCAAGAGCAGAGATTTTGCTTGAGCAGACTAGGCATAACGCTTATGTTCTGAGAAACACTGTTTGGAAACTCATTTGTAATTAAAATGTGACAATTTTACAGAAATCCTAGAAAAGCAAACTCAATAATGCAGTGATTAGATGCTCTTAATGGTAAGAAACCCACTTCAAGTGAGTTTAAACATAGAAAGAAATGTGTTAACCCACATGATATTGTTTGGCTGTGTCCCCACCCAAATCTCATCTTGAATTGTAGTTCTCATAATCCCCACATGTTGCGGGAGGGACCAGGTAGAGAAAATTGAATCATGGGGGTGGTTTCCCCTGTCTTGTTCTTGTGATAGTGAATTAGTTCTCATGAGAGATGATGGTTTTATACAGGGCTTCCCCCTTTGCTGGGCCCTCATTCTTCTCCTTGCTGCCACCATGTGAAGAAGGACATGTTTGCTTCCCTTTCCACCATGATTGTAAGTTTCCTGAGGCTGCCCCAGCCCTGCAGAGCTGTGAGTTAATTAAACCTCTTTCCGTTATAAACTGCCCAGTCTTGGATGTGTCTTTATTAACAGCATAGAACAGACTAATACACCACACAAATGAAAAGTCTAGGAGTAGTGTAGACTTCACATGGAATTCTATCCGGGTTCTGTCTCCATCCTCTGCTCTTCCTCCAAGGAGAATTTGTCCTTCATGTGCTTGCTGGGTTTGTCATGGGTGCAAAATTGCTGCAGTTTTTCCCAGTATAATGGCTTCTCACAAAACCATCCAGAGAAAGAATAAACATGTTTTGATGTTTAAAAAATCAAAGGAAAGTCATGGTCTTTACTTTGCAGAAGCAACATAGATGCTGCCCAACCCTGAACCGATCGCCATTGTCAGAGGAATGTTAAGCACTAATGGCTTAGACCCAGACTCCATGTCCACTGTTAAACCAAATATTGCTGCATGAGGAATAGGATTAACTTGCTGGTCTGGGTTTTGTTTATTTGTTTCAAGGGTGGAGATGAAAGTAGATATATAATAGCTTTTTCTTTCCTGCCCAAGTTTAGAAACAAGTGAAAAATAAAACACAGGGGATGGACCTATGGAGATGTAAGCCTTTTTACTGACTGGCTGGATAGGAAACATGGTTTAGCTCATGGCCAAATGAATTTGCTCACATTTCAACTATAGATGTCTGGAGACCCTCATCGAGACAAAGCCTGTACCACTGAGTTTATTCCAAGCTGCCTTGCAGAGGGGAGAAAACCTAATAAGAAGAAATGGGACTGACTGGAGAACACTTACTTTATTTTTCTACCTCATAATCAGATGTCATTCCTTTTCCTTAAGGAGGACTGAGTGAGAAGTGGGGAGCATTATTCCACCTGAGGTCCCTCCACAAGGAAAAATAAAGCCAAGAGCTGGAAAACATTTCACCTTCTTCGCCTACAATGATGATGATTAGTTTGGGTTAATAACAGCTTACTCCTCCAAAATCACATAGTTGGTAATCTGATGTCTTGTTAACAATGAGTACAGAAAAACTGATGCCAGGGAGTTCATTGGCTCTGTCCACTGCAGACAGTATAAAAATATATCATGACAGAGACTTCCTAAAAAACATGGCAGACATGTGCACCTCTGCTCCCTCCCCAAACCTGACTAAAATGACACTCAGATAGTTTAAAAAAATAAAATCATTAGCCCACAAGGACAAATAAGATGAGAAAACAAAAGCACTCTAATGAGACCAATAAAATTTTGAAAGCTGACTTATGGATAGAATAATAGTAACAGATAGGTAAGTGAATTCTTGGAAAGAAGCCAGGATAAATAAGTCCATTTGTGCCATAAAACTCCAGAAAGGCTCAGGAATCGAACGTAACCACTATCTCCAGAGGACAGGGAGTAGGGATGTGGGGAGGTGAAGGCATAAAACAGGAAGATTGCTTTAAAAAGTCTGAAACAAAAGTATTCGAACCCCAGCTTCCTGTTTTAGTCTGTGCAACAAAATTTTTTCAGCTTTGAGAGTTCTAGATAAGCTGTGCCATAGCATAGAGAAACCGCTGATAAAAAAAAGACAAGAAGCTGGATGGCACAAAGGGAAATAAGTGAAAGTCTGACTGTTAGATCATGAGAACATTCCTCCAAACCCCAACCATACCCAGACACCTACATCAGGTAGGAAGTGTTGGGAAATCTGACCAACCCACAAGAAATGATGGGCATCCCTTTCTAACCACCCTTCAGGAAATGCAAGAAGTCAGTAGGCATTGCCGCAGCAGACAGAGTTCCCATAAGCATTTTGGCTTAAGGCCATGAAATATTTGAGCAAACCTCTAACTTCATTGTAGCTACTTTGCCTTCTGCTTCATTGCAGATCTTTAAAAAATGGTATATGAGATTGAATAGAATGATAGGCTAATCTATTATGACCTAGCAAATTTAGCTCAAAAATCCCACAATTGTTCAATGGAAGGACATTCTCATGATAACTTGTCATGATAGTGTCTACCCTGAAGCAACTGTTAACATATACTGAAAGGAAATTTTATACCTACAGGAAAAGAAGATGCATATCATTTTCAAGAAATCGAGCTATTACATGTAATCAAATATATGAATGAGACAGGATAACAATATAACACTAAAAAAATAATAATAACACTCAGGCTGGGCTCAGTGGCTCATGCGGATAATCCCAGGACTTTGGTAAACTGAGGTGGGAGGATCGCTTGAGCTCAGGAGTTCGAGACCATCCTGGGCAACATGGCAAAACCCCATTTCTACAAAAAAAAATTAGCTGGGCCTGGTGGTGAGAGCCTGTGGTCCAAACTACTTGGGGGACTGAGGTGGGAGGATCGCTTGAGCCCAGGAGGCGGAGGTTGCAGTGAGCTGAGATCATACCACTTCACTCCAACCTGGGCGACAGGGTAAGACCTTGCCTTAAAAAAATAAAAAAATTAGGCCTTGTGCTGTGGCTCACATCTGTAATCCCAACACATTGGGAGGCTGAGACAGGTGGATCACTTGAGGTCAGGAGTTTGAGACCAGCCTGGCCAACCTGATAAAACCCTGTCTACTAAAATAAATAAATAAATAAATAATAGGTGGGCATGGTGGGTTGGTACGTGACTGTAATTCCAGCTACTCGGGAGGCTGAGGCATGAGAATCACTTGAACTGGGGAGGTGGGGGTGCAGTGAGCAGACATCTGCCACTGAACTCTAGCCTGGGTGACAGAGTGAGATGCTGTCTCAAAAAAATAAAAAAAAATTTAAAAAGTATCTCATCACAATAGTAATTAAAGTGGCAATCTTAACTTGAAAACATAGATGAGAGATATAGGACATACTTTACAAAAATTATAAAGCTTTATTGGAAAGAAATTTATTCTCTAATAAGTAGAAACACATAATCATGCTCCTGGATGGAAAAACAGTCATATATAATTTTGGACCTTCCCAAAGTAATATGAACGTTTAATAAAATCCCAAATAAAATTATAAGCTCTTTTTTGGACTATAGCCTTCAGGTGACAAATTTTATTTGGATAATTAATTAATAAAAAATATTTCAGAATAGTCTCAAACAAGGGAGAAACTAGGCTTAGCAAATATTAAAATATATGCTGAACAATCAATAGGTGAAAGAGTATGGTACAAAAATCAACATATTACATCATATTGAAAAGTAGAAAAAACTAAAAACTGACCCATACATCAAAATAAAATGTTTTTAATTAATATATGAATAGATAATTGTTTTCCCAGTTTAAAAAAAATCTAAGCGGACTACTCAAACTAATAATATCCCATCCCTAAATACACTCTAAAAGTGCAATATATCATGATACAAAGCATTAATAATATCCAGAATGCCTCAAATAGAATAAAACTGGACATTTAGCCTATTGTGGCAGTGCTAAGTAGTAGTCAATAACCTTTGAACTATCTAAGAGAAAGAGGTATCTGCTCCCCTCAAAACAAATGAGACTATAAAATTTTGAAATTTCTGAATTTTAGCCATAAACAAAAATTGAAAAAAGCTAAAAAACATCTAGAGCAAAATGTAATAGGAAAAGTTTAAAATTTAATTATAATTATTTTACAAATAAAACTCCAGATTCAAATGGGCAAACTCAAGAGCAAACAACTCACTAAATAAAGAATATCATTTTAATAAACACACATTAAAAATGTTTAACCTCAATTGTATCTCAAATACTAACTGTAAACTCAGTCATATAATTGCTTACTGAAAGAGTAAAATTAAATTAAATGATGCATGCTTTGGCAGAAAATATCTTAAAATTGGCACAATCCAGAGAAAATAAACATGTCCTCTTTTAAGGATGACACAGAAAATCATGAAGCATTTCATTAAAAACAAAAAAGCACTAAAAAGAGGAACACGAGTCTCAGTTAATGAAAAAAAGCTAAAATCATAATAAAGTAATTCACCAAAACATGAAGTAATTTGGCAGTTACTGTAACTGCAAAAAGAATTCCCGTGATTAATTCAAATCAATGCAACAAACATTTAATGTTTACTTAGTATGTGTTAGTCCTTGTTCTAATGTTATAGAGAAGTAAATAAATACAAAAGTAATAAATACACTCTCCTAGTTCTCCAGGAGGCTATGATCTTCTTTGAGTCTGGAAGTGGGACAGTAAAATACAAAGACTAAAGAAAGTATAATTAAATGTAATGCATAATAGTGGAGTATAACCAAAACTGATATACATACTATATTATGAGATAGAAATTGTTTTAAACTCTTTTTTGAAAAACTTTGGCATTTCATATTATGAGCTGTAAATATTTCCAAACCATTTATTCAGTAATTCTATTTCTGGAAATGTAGTCCAAGAAAATACATTCAAAAGGAGAAAAGATCACAATGCAAGGTTGTTTAGGCAGTACAAAACTGGAGAGTGTTTCTTGGAAAATTGATTATATTTAATAATAATTATGAAGACCCTAGCAACTAAGGGGAAAATTTTAAGACATATTTAAAAAATGAGATGCATAAGTTTAGTATTCTGATAAATATGTTTAAAAGTATCCATTTGGAAAAAATCTGGAAGCAAATAACATAGTAGAGACACATATGCCAGGATTCAGGATAGCTTTCATTTATATTCAACATTTTATTGCTTGCCAAAAATATAGACTTCCCCTGGGCAAACATTCTCTCAAGCTGTTTAATGCTATTGGATTCTTTAATAATTAAGACAATGTAAACAAAGGAGTTTTAGACCCTTTGCTAATACAAATTTTAGAACCCTAGATTCGCACTGTTCCATTTTCCCAGGGATTCTTTTAGATTTACATCTTAACAAGTTAACCAGTTAACTGCTGGAGAACTGGGTAACAGAGAAGATACTTAATAGAGGGAGGGCCTCCGAGGCTTTGGTCGGCCCTGCATTTAGTCCCTTGAAACTGGATTCCTGTCTCTCGTCCTTCCAAACCTGGAGTAAAATTGGAGGACTGAATTTCACCCAATATTGAAGAATCAGAGGCAACGTGGTTTTGTCCAATTATATGGGGAAAAGGAAAAGTGGAACACCATATTAGGTGTTGTGTGTATAGGAAGGAAAGGATAAAAAATTATATATAGTTAAGAAGGTTATTAATTAAAAAAAATTACTGTGAATAATCTGAATATCAGACAATAACATGGACTGCACTATGTCCAGAAACAGCTCCGTGACCCACTCCTAGTTAATTCATTCTAGGAGAGGACACAGCCCTTTCCTTATACTCTCCCCAGGCCCCATATCTCGGTCAAGTGAAATTTCAAAAAAAAAAAAAAAATCCTAACATTTCACCGTATATTTCTCAAAGCTCTAGGTGTTCCTCATTTAACAGCCCATGTTAGGCACACGTGATCCAATCTAAATTTCCCTCACTTAGTAGGAAATACTCATTTAGTAGGAAAACCATTTTTCTGCTTTCTCAAGGAAACAACCAAAATTAAATCTCAATTCAATTTACATTAATAAACCAAGCAATTTCATACCATCCTTGCAGATTCAAATGATCTTCACTCTTTCCAAGACAATGAATAATGAATTACTTAACTTTTTGTAACTAAAGGGTCAATCTGTTGTTTTATGTCATACAGTCTCAGATCACAAAGAAAGTCAACTTTGTGACAAAAGGGGGCAATAGGATTTTGATGCACTGGAAGTAGAAAACATTCCAGATTGAGGTGATGAAGAAAAAGGGGTTTACAGGCTTTATTCTACTGTGTTGATTCAGTGAACAATACTTGGTTCAGAGTGATTCGGGGTTTAACGTGCAGGCAATATAGCAGCAAGGGTTGCAGCTAGAAGTTCAGGCTGATAGTGGGCCACAGTAGGTATTGCATGTTAACTCAGGGTGTTTGCCCTGGATGTGACCAGAGGCCAGACTCAACTCCCCTTTCATTGCATCACCTAGACTTCAGGGCTGCACCTGTCAGGCCTGGGAGCATACCATCGACTGAGCAAGGAGTTGTTCAAGAAATCAGCCTATACCAGACTGTGTGTGATATTCCTTGACCACAGAGACAAGATTTAGAACATGCACACGATTCAGTCTGGAACAAGATGCAAGATGCGACGGTTTCTTGCAAAGTTATGGGGATGAAGTTTAACTGCTCTGGACAGAAAGCTGCTAGGAGATAATCTTTCTTTGCTCGTCATGACATAAGGATGACCCCTGGGATTGCTTCAACCATTTTGCCACCAATATGGAACTCTTCTGCTAAAGAACTAAGTCCGTACGGAGAAGAGCGGAACCAAAGGGGTTAGAGAGAAACAGGTGGAAATGCCGGCTTGAGCCTGCCCCAAGTCCCTTCCTGTCTCTGGACTCCAGGTACAGGGGCCAATAAGCTGAGTGATATTAAGAGTATGAAACAACTTGTATAGTATGTTATATATGTACATATAAGCCAATATATAATAAACTACTCATATATGTGTACATATATGTAATGAAACTTTCCTTTTTGAGACAAAGTCTTACTTTGTCACCTGAGCTGGAGTGCAGTGTCGTGGTCTCAGCTCACTGCAACCTGCACATCCCAGGCTCAAACAATCCTCCCACCTCAGCCTCCCAAGTAGCTGGGACCATAGGTCCGTGCCACCACGCCCGACTAACTTTTGTATTTTGTGTGGAGACAGGGTTTCATCATGTTGGCCAGTCTGGTCTCAAACTCCTGAGCTCAAGCTATCTGCTTGCCTCAGTCTCCCAGAGTGCTTGCCTCAGCCACCGTGCCCAGCCTGAAACTTTATTAAGTGATGTATGCTGTAACTTATAGATAACTTACAGTACATATCACTCATCAAATCATTCTAATAACTTCTAAATTGCTTCTTGATGTTTAGAGTGTTATGATCTTTTCTTTGATGTGACTGCCTCTAGCTAAATAATGTCTCTTTTTGAGTCATGATTTGACATAAGAAACTATATCAACTCCTTCCAAAAATTCCTCATAAAAATGTTAGTTATTATGTAATATAGTCTAAACAGGTAGGGAATTTTTCTTCACACACAAAATGTAATTAATTATACTGGATCTTCTCTACATGTCTGGTAAACTACCAAAAATTATATCCAAAATGTTTCTAGTTTTTATAATACTCTGATTTTTACATATTAAATTCATGTACTACTAATTCATAAGATATTTATTAGAATATCATATTTAATTACTTAGCCTAATTTTATTGGTATGTTAATCTTAAAACTATAAATCTACCTAATATTACTTGGAAAAATGTCAGGATCCAATAAATTGAAAGGTCATAAAATTTATTAAATATTTCATTTGTGATATCAGTTTTACGTAATTTAAGTGTATGTAACAGTCTTTTTATTATAACTATTTTGCCTCAACTGTTAAATCATATGCCTTTATTTCTACATCTTCTCTTTCACAGCATTATTTAGTTTTATAAGCTTAATCACTTTTATCATGCATTAATCTGCCAGCTTTAACAAAAATTTTTCAAGTTAAAGTAGTGAAAGCTATAAAACTATAATAATTTAAACCCAAATCTTTTTTTAAAAGTCCACTTTCCAATTTCTTAATTATTTCCACTTCACAATTTCTATTGAATATTCAACATTTGATAAAATTTCCAAACTGTGTTTGCTATTCTAGTGAATCAGGCTATAAATAGAGGTATATGACTCAATTTTCATTAGGTCAATTCCCCCAGCCAGTTAGTATATCATTTAATTCTAATGTTTATCTAATATATGATAATAGTATAAAATCCATCAAGAAAGGAATTTAATTTTATTTACATCTTCTATCACCTCACCCAGAAATAATTGAATATAACAATGTGGTACTAAATAAAAATATCCAAAAACTTTTATGACAGTTTAGCCTAAACTCCAACCTGTCCTTCAGATTTTGTTAACACAACTACATGAAAATATATCATAAGATTTTTATGCAAATATTTGCCAATTACTTGTCTTGAATAAAGAAAATAAAGATTGATATATTATTATTTCTGGTATTTCTTCTAGTTCCATGATGAATAAGAAGACATAAAACTATTTTCAGTCTTGAATTTCACATTTTAAGTGAATTATTAATCACTTTTACGTGAAATAATTGAAGCTTCATCAGTGATAATTGAAATTCTAGTCTTTATACACACATTTTTCCAAAAGTGGGAAAGTTTCATAAACTGTTTCCAAAAGTATGTTTCCAAGTGAGTCATACATAAATCTGGACTATAATAATATGCACATAATATTATTTTGTTATGCACTATTAATATTTTATATCTAGAAATGCTTGAGTATTTCTAATGTAAAATGAAGTTTGGATGGTACTTTCTAAATTTTTATATTCTTTATTGATATTCTTTAAAAAAGGTTTGAAAGCTGATATTATTTCAAATGCGTTATTATGTGAAAGTGATTGATGTGATATATGAAATGGAATTGATAATTTCAATTTCATTTGAATTGAAAGGATTGATGATCCACCCCTTCTTTATTCTTTTTAATTTAAAGACAGGGGCTTGCTATGTTGCCCAGGCTGGAGTATAGTGGCTATTCACAGGTGCGATCACAGTGCACTGAACCCTTGGGCTCAAGTGGTCCTACTGCCTCAGCCTCCAGGACTACAGATGCATACCACCATGCGAGGCCAATTTTCCTCTTTGATGTTTGCCAATTTTCCCTGTTTGATGTTTGCAAATTTTCCTCATTACAACTATGAGCTTTAATGGAACATGATCAACATACTAATGAAATACATGTGTTAAGCACTTTCATCTATTATTGACACAAAGTTTAAGCAATTTTAATGCTTAAAAGCAATGGTAAGCTACTTATACATTTGTTGAAATAATTGTTTTTATTCAATAAATGAAAATGATTTGTTATATTTTATATTAATTCTTGACATTATCAAAACATATTCCACTTTCTGATTTTTACCTAGCATCAGAAGATGGCCCAGTAGGCAGTTTATTATTTTATTTCATTATATTTTTGCTGTGCTCTCACAAATTCTAAAGATTCATGTTTATTACATAGGCATCTATTGCTATTCAAACTCTCAATTATCCCAATAAATTCCTATGAGTATGTGTAGTTCCAAACAATGGCGCTTGTTTAACTAAAGGATGATGAAAATGTTGATTCTCCTAAAACATAGAACACTTTTTAGAGAATGCATATGCTTCTTACCATGACATGATTACACCAGGTGAGTGGAACTGCTAATGTTTTGGATCTCATTCCAAGTAGAGGACTATTTATCAATAGCATCCTATGACAATTCACTTGAATCAGTAAGTTTATTGTAGCTTGATTGTTATCAATGATCTTACCACTTCACCACTCCATTCATCTGTGTGTTTGGGGCATGTACCTTTGCAGTGCCATCCACTTTGTCTCTGGGACCCACAAAGTGACCTGACAAATGGAATATTAGTAAGCGTGTCCAAGCAGAGGCTTGAAAAACACATGTATGACTAGGCATGTGCTTGCTCCTCTGCCTTTACTATGAGAACATACTTGGACTAACTTTCTACAAGGTGAGACAGGTGGAGCAGAGTTGAATTACTCCAGTTATCAAAGCCAGTGCCAGCCCCAACATATGTGAGCAAGGCCAGCCAAATCAGGAAAGACACCTTAGCTGGCATGTATCTAACAGCAGCCACAGAAACAAACCCAGCTGAGATTAGCTGAGCTCACACGAAAATACCTGAATCTCATAAAACCATAAGCTAAATAAATTTTATTAATATATATCACTGAGTTCTTGTGGCCACAGGCAGCAGGTGCAATTTTATTTACTAATTTCTTTTTATTAATTTTACTACTTATTGAAGTTACTATTATTCTTTTTTTTTTTTAGCAATCAGTGAAAAAGTATTTCAAGTTTTTAAAAACTACTCTTCCTATCCAGATATGAATTGGTTAACCATCAGTCCAACCAATGAGTCTCATAATTTAGTGCTGTTTAAGTGGGTTTTCTGTTACCTACGGCCAAAGACAACATAAATGATGTAATTTTTCTTTCATTCTGTATGCAATGAAAACTCATTGGGTGATGGCAACACTTCAAAGTCTGTCAAGTATAATGGCCAATACTTTGTCTATATTTTCTGTGCATACACTTTACCTAGAAGCAAATTTTCCAATTTGAATACAATTACCTCATTTGCTTGCTTGTGAGCCAATAATGATTACATGGCTTTTAACAACTTAGAATAGTCGCAATCACTGAGATCAACATCCAATGCAGTAAGATGATGTCAGTAGAAACTTTAATAAAACCAACTTCATTTTCATAAATTTGATAGTTATTGAATTAAAAATATCTGGGAAAAGGGTCACAACTTAGACTTTATAAAGAATTATTTAGCAAATTAAAAATTAAAATCTGTGCTGCAATCTCTATATCTTCTAAGAGGAAATAAACCTGACAAATATTATATTAATTCTAGGAAAATAATTTGGAAAAAGATTCACAGCAAAATGTGACTTGTTTTAATGAAATGACATCAAATTAGTAACTATTTCATTGGGGTAAGAAGAAACTGGGTTTTAAAATGTTGCACTTAAAATTAAAACAAAATACTAATTATCTTTTATCAAACTAGCAAAAATTTACAATGATATAAGCCTGGCTGATGAAGGCAGCAAAACTATTGATAGGGCAATTTTTTACCACGGTTTTGGGAAACAACTCATCAATACAAATTATAAGGCTTAAATATATTTATTCTTTTTGGCCAAATAGGTTGTATCAGTTGGTTTTGCTGTGAAAACCACTTCAAAACTTAAATAAAATGACAACAATTTATTATTATAGTTTTAACTGAGTGGTTCTGGTCATGCTGGGCTCACTTGTGCACTTGTATCACGTGTCAATCACGAAGGCAGCCCTGCTTCTGCAATTGGCTGACAATCAGCTGGAGTGACAGGGGCAAATGAGTTCTGAACCTCTAGCTGGAAGGAGCCCAAGAATCAGAGCAGAAGCTGCAAGACCTCTTAAGACCTAGGTTTGGAACTAGCACAGTTGGCATTCCTGCTCTGTTTATTTTATTTAATTTTTTAAAGACAGGGTCTCACTTTTCCACCAGGGCTGGAGTGTATTGGTACAGTCATAGCTCACTACAGCCTCAAACTCTTGGACTCAAGTGATCCTCCTGCCTCAGCCTCCCTAGTAGCTGGGACTACAGGCATGAGCCACCATGCCTGGATATTTTTTAAAAAGATTTTTGTAGAGACAGTGTCTTCCTGTGTTGCCCAGGCTGGTCTCAAATTCCTGGCCTCAAGCAATCCTCCCACCTTGGCTTCCCAAAGTACTGGGATTACAGATGTGAGCCACTGAATATGGCTTCTGCTGCATTTTATTGGTAAAATCGAGTCACAAGTTCTGATTCAAGTAGTGGAGAAACAGGCTTCACTCTTGATGGGAAAAATTTCTCAATGACATTGCAAAGGGGCGTAAGTGCAGGAAGTATGGAAAAATCTGGCCAATTTTGCAAACTACCACATAGATTCTGACAATAGTTCTAAGGAATTATCTTAAATATGAAGGCTGGGAAGACAATGCACAAAGTTGTTTATTACAGTAAAATTAGCAGAAACAACTCCTCGAACTCTTTAGAAAGATTACCACATATGTTATGAAAAGTTGACTTTGTGGAATAATAAGGAGACAATATTTAAAATATGAGGAATAGATATATGTGTTATAAGTGGAAAAAACAAAAATGCACGAAAGTAGTAAGATCACAGCCAAATCAAACTTCTTAAAAAATATGGCAAAAGTCTGCATACCAAAATGTGTTTGGGTAGTGAGTGTATATTTTTTAATCTGCTTGTTTTTCTGAATTTCATTCTTCTGTATGTTGCACATGTGTAGTTCCCCCACTATTGGATATACATTGATTAAATGTCATCACCCCTCAGCCATTCTTTTTTTTTTTTTTTGAGACGGCGTCTCGCTCTGCCGCCCAGGCTGGAGTGCAGTGGCACAATCTCGGCTCACTGCAAGCTCCGCCTCCCGGGTTCACACCATTCTCCTGCCTCAGCCTCCTGAGTAGCTGGGACTACAGGCGCCCGCCGCCATGCCCAGCTATTTTTTTGTATTTTTAGTAGAGATGGGGTTTCACCATGTTACCCAGGATGGTCTCGATCTCCTGACCTCGTGTTCCGCCCACCTCGGCCTCCCAAAGTGCTGGGATGACAGGCGTGAGCCACCGCGCCCGGCCCAGCCATTCTTTTAGAACAAATTTTAAAGATAAAACGTGGAAAGTAGCATCACACTTCAGAGTGGCGAAAGGATGTTTTCAATTTATTTTTCAAGTGAGAAGTGACCCAGACACCCTGGAACACCAAACCCATCATGACACTAAAGCATCCAGAGAGAGCATGGGTGTAGACACTGTGCACCATAGACAGAAAGGCAGAGAACTTCAGTAGAGAAGAGCCACAATACTCATTGAACATATTAGCCCAACCTCAAGGCTATTCGCTGGTCAGGACTTGATTTTCCAAGCTGTACTTTGGGGAAATGCATGAGCAAAAACTGAGAAAATTCTGTTATCAGTAACTAGGGTCTTAGAGCCAAAAGCACTCGTTCAGCTCAGACCAAATCACACAAATTAGTGGTGGAGAAAGGAATAGAAGGACAGAAAAGGAAGACTTTGGCTACTCCAGTTCAGAATTATAAAACTATGGCCGGGCGCGGTGGCTCATGCCTGTCATCCTAGCACTTTGGGAGGCCGAGGCGGGCAGATCACGAGGTCAGGAGATCGAGACCATACTGGCTAACACGATGAAACCCCATCTCTACTAAAAAATACAAAAAATTAGCCCGGCGTGGTGGCGGGCGCCTGTAATCCCAGCTACTCGGGAGGCTGAGGCAGGAGAATGGCGTGAACCTGGGAGGTGGAGCTTGCAGTGAGCCGAGATCACGCTACTGCACTCCAGCCTGGGCGACAGAGCGACAGTGCGTCTCAAAAAGGAAAAAAAAAAAAGAATTATAAAGCTATGTGGTGAGAAAAACATAAAAATTATTTATATATGTTTAATAGCTAGTTGAATACAATTATATGTAAGTATTATATACAGCCTGTTTCCAAGTACAGTTCTAACCTACAAGTTAGCAACTTGTGAGGAGGTAGGAGGTGGAGAACAGTCCACCTGTAGTTTTGCTGTTCTGTGCCCATTATAATGAGTAGATGGACCCTCGGCACCTTTTTTTTATTTTCCTTATCTAATGTATACACTCTGTCATGTTAAAAATGGTAGAGAACATGGTCTTTCAAGATCCTTTCTAGCATCAAACTTCTACAATTTGATGATTTGGTGTTAAACGGTGTTCCCACTAACCATCGGATCCTGTGGGGACATCTCACTGACTCCTTGGCTTGCTTAAATTAAGATCTAGAAAATGAGGAAGCAAATACCTCTTCCTAGAGGCCTTTGTCTTATTCTGAGAAGCACGATCAAGTGTTCTATGTATAGTTCTACAAATAGACCATATAATTCCTCACACGTTAGGCCCTAGGCTAGGACAAAATTAATCACTACATTATGTTACCTTTATAGTCAGTCCTCCCTCATTAGTTTCCCTTTTAGTCCCTGGACCAGAAATGGACAGACAGCTCCTACTTCTCAAAGAAGCAAGTATTCTTCTATACATGGCACTGATCCTAATATTCTACAATTCCAGAAAACCATACATATTGTGACAAACTAATCCATGTTAATCCATGGTCATTCTAACAGTGTGACATAAGTAGTTAAGAACCTGATAATTACACTGGGGTTTGTGGTCATTTGTAATGGCAACAATAGGAAACCAATACACATGACCAAAACATGTTATAGTTGTGAGCTAATGCAGTGCCATATGTATCTTCCATGTATCTACTTACATTTTCTGTTTAAGCCTTTGGAATAGACTAGACCAAATTTTGAAGTCACATAGAGTAATATTTCCTCCTAAGGCATAGTATTAGAAAGAGCTGCTTGCATTTTATTTCTCTGAATGAATTTTATGGGAAAACCGATTTAAGAAAGAGTGACAGAAAAAAATAACAACACTCTTCAGAATTCAGAGACACACAAAACAAACAAAGTCTTTCCAGGAAATAAAAATAAGAAAGAGCAACCAGTCTTAATATATACATCATGATACACAAAGGAGATATATAAAATGAAAACAAACAAAAAACAAGAGAAAGGAGGACATTGTTCTATTATGTCTTCTTTACATTTTTATTATATCTTGTCTTATAGTAATCTCTTTCAAAAGACAGACTTTCATAGATAGACCTATTTTATTAAATAGAGTAGTATCTTTAGTTGTTTAACTTTTTTGTGGGTTTTACACAGTTAACTTGATAAATTATACTTATTTAAATTGGCCAATTCATTTTTATGCCTACTGAAATAAACATGTTGAAAATATTTACCTTTTCTCATTAAAATAATTTCAGTGATTGTTTTATATGGTCTGAGTATATTCTTCCAGGAAGGAATTTATTATTTCTTATACGATGTTGACTTTAGAAGAACACCAATCATCTAAAGTTTATTGATTATACAAGGAACATGATATCAAATCGACTAGAAACCTTAAAATTAGTTTGGTAAATTTTAACAATCATTCTGTCCAACTAGTCATACAGAACTTATATGATAGGGGAGAAAAATCATATTTTGATGATGCAATTGAAACAGAACAAAGGCATTTTTAAGCAGCCAAAATTGAATTTCTGACCTTTCCTACAAATTATCTAGTTCAAAACTCTTCACACTGAAGAAAGTAACCATTTTTCTCAGCCAACCCCACTTTTCTATACAGATTCTTCTTACAGTCCACGTCATATGTCAGTAAATCATGTTCCCAAATAGTCTCTGAAATCACTCAGGAGAAGGAGCACTGAAACGTCGGACTCCATTTATTTTCCTAAATGTATGATATATTCCTGTTTTTTTTTTTTTTTTTTTTGAGACAGAGTCTTGCTCTGTCACCCAGACTGGAGTGCAGTGGTATGATCTCGGCTAACTGCAACCTCCACCTCCCGGGTTCAAGCAATTCTCCTGCCTCAGCTTCCCAAGCAGTTGGGATTATAGGTGCCCACCACCACTCCTGGTTAATTTTTGTATTTTTAGTAGAGACAGGGTTTCACCACGTTGGCCAGGCTGGTCGCGAACTCCTGACCTCAGGTGATCTGCCTGCCTCAGCCTCCCAAAGTGCTGGGGTTACAGGTGTGAGCCACCACGCCTGGCCTGTTCTTGCTTTTTCTGAGCAACCAAAAAAATGCCAATCCATTGCTAATATGACTATATCATAAATTAAGATATCATAGGTTCAAGTTACACAATTTACACCTTTTATTGGTCATAAGTCACACAGTAGCATATTTTATTTGTCATTTAATTGATTCAAAACCAAAAATATATGTTACTCCTTCTATTGCTAAGCCAGGTATTATGGCAATCTTTACTAAAAATAATCTTATGTGTTTTATCAGAAGTAAAAAATATTTACACAGTTTATAGGGGATTAATATAAAATTTTAAAGTGATAATTTTAATTCACAGACTTCATAAGAATGTTGAAAGATTGTGTTTTATTTAATCTTCTATACAAACCAGATCTTCTTACTTTATGTGTTTATGTCAGGTACAGGTACAGGTACAGGAAGAAGCATGTGAAAGGGAAGGATAAGAACAAAGGAGAGAGGAGGAACATGATCCCTGAATATCTTTGATGACATCAAGTTGAGTATGAGCTTGATTCTGTGGGCATTGAGAAGCCTTTAAAAATGGCTTTTTTTAAAAAGAGTAGCATGACATATTTATATTCTAGTGAACTCACTCTGGAAGCAATGAGGACTATAGAACAGAGAAGAATGATCCCCAAATAGGGAAAAGAGTCATGGGAGATACAAGGAAGTTCTAAACTAAGAGCAGAAGGAATGGAGACTGGAGACAAGCCCTGAATGAGTAAAAATAGTAGACTAGACAATATGATTTACTCCGGGACTTAGAACAAGGAAGGAGATAATTATTCACCCTTTGTGACTTGGGTGACTAGTTGGAAATGTTCATTGACATAAAAAATACAAAAGTCAGAAAAAGTGTCAAGGGAGAGGGGTGGAGACAAATAGTTGGATTTGGCAAGGCAGGATTACATATGACTTTTCCAGCTGGAAAAGTCCAGTAAACCATACGGAAAATTCCTGTAAGTTGGAACTTAGTAGAGAAGTTGAGGATGGAAACATAGCTTTTATGATTACAGTTGACTGATAATCTCATGGGAGAGAAGGATATTGGTCATGGTGGTTGGATAGTTGAGAATATATCCAAGAACAATCGCCTCAATGTCACCAATACTTGAAAAGCAGGTTTTTTAAAAAGACAGAGAAAAGAGAAGAGAAGCCAACAGAGGAGTCTGAGAGGGAATTAGTTGGGGGATGGGTAAGAAGAGACACAAGGCACGGGGTATTCTAGAAGCTAAGAATAAAGGGTAAAGAAGACAAGAGTGTTCAATGCTGTCAAATACAGACAGGCCAGATATGATGAGGATCAAACAGAATTCACTGAATCTTTTTTTATATTTTCATAACATATGGTCTTTTGATACATTATCTTGCTAATTATTCAGGCAGAAATACTTTAATTTCTGTTGAAAAGAATGAGACAATATTTTTGATGCATTGTTAAACCCATTTTGAGTATCATGCTCCTTTCTCCAGCTTTCTGACAATCTTTAGTAGAAACAGAAATCCTGAACACTTCATTTTTAGTATGTGTTTTAAAAACTCACCTTCCACTTATTAGACACTCACAGAATGATTCAATATTCATCATGTCTTGCTTATCCAAGTGCCAGCTATGAGTGGAAACTACAGGACAAATGTCAGAAAGCATTTCATAGACTTGCCACAACCCCTGGAGGGGAGCTGGCATGGAAAGTAAAGTAGCCGGTCTTACATTGGGAATTAGAGCCAAGAAACCCAGCAGTGGGGTCAGTAAGAGGTGATGTAGGGAAGTAGAGCAAGTGTCGCCAAGGATCATGCAAAGCAGAGAGAGAGGGATGAAAATGCCAAGTAGAGAGACCACTGAGCCCCAGAGTGAGTTGCAGTTCGAGCTAGAGCGCCTGTTCTAGTCCTGAGGAGATTCCACTTCCAAACCCTTAGAAATCTTGTAAGAATCTTGCCTTTACTTTGAGGTGAATTGAATGAATCTGTTCCTTGCAACCAAAGCTTAGAGATAAAAACTGCCATGACAGTTGACAGGCAGGGAAGATAACTTCTAGCTCTGGAAGGAAACAAACAGGCAAATGAATAAAACAAACTCAATGAATAGATGAAAGCTGTCCAGAGGGGGTAATATGTGAGCTGAGTCTTAGATGTACTGATCTATTTGACAAGTTAGTTGTGCCAATATGTCTATCTTTATGATGGGAGTTTGAGAGCCTTGGGATTAGGCTTACAGTCGCCAATTCAAAGTGTATTGTGTTTACGAGCTTGATAAATATTTCCTCATTGAATAAAGGGTATGGAAACACAAAAAATTATCACAAAAATGCTTTCTTCAGTACAGCTCAATATGAAAATAAGGGGTTTGGTAATAAAGACAATTTTAAAAACCATTAACAAAGATGTCTCTCCATATTCCTTCCATGCTGTAGTTTAATAAACCGTTTTCAAATAAGAAATTACCCAACATTTATCTGAATGTTGTTGCACCAACATTTTATTCCACTGAAGACAAAAAGAACAAAAATCAGTGCCCCAAACTTTTTCAAACATGTGCAGTATATGATTAATGTCATACTCTCTTTCCCAGATTTAAAAACCAACCAAATAAGCAAAAAGTCATAGTCCCACTAAGCCAATTTAATTTTTTAAATTTCATTGGCTTGGAAGATCATATGTAACTACTAGAAAAATTTTAAAAGCTAAGCAAAATAACTGCATCAACAGCAGGACTTACAATGGGAATACCTAAAATTCCTGTTCAATAATGGTGTTATTATTGAGGTCAATAGGAGTATCTCCCAAAAAAATTCTAAATATACTGTGTCCTGTTCAACAAGCAAAAGTATTTCATTTTCTCATGATTCCTTAGCCAACAATATTGTCCCCAAATATCATGGCATAGGGGAAAAGTGGTATTGGTTTAATTTAGATTTGATTTATGTGCTGTATCATCAGGAACAGATAAACCTGCATAATAAACAGCATATGTTGGCCTTAACCAAGCATGTGGATTCTGTTATATGAAAAGCAAATGTTCAAGTAACAAAATTAATATTAATGTGTTCTGCAAAATCAAAGTCTCGAGCAACTTTTAGTAGAGTTGAATAATCACAGACCCTACTGGGCGCTAAATCTCATTTATTTCACATAATGAAAGAGACCCGGTGGTCTTCAGTATAGAATTTAGGTCTAATGCCCAAAACTAAGTTTGGTATTCTCTATATAAAATGTCTTTCTGTGAGAGAAATACATTTTATAAAAGCTGCAATCACAAGAAAACTGTAATTACGTAGTAGATAACCACCATTGTTACAAAGTTCTTCCAAGCCATATTCAGTCCTTCTGTGTTCTAGTTGCTTCACCTCATTTAGGAATACTCAACTGCAAAGATCATAAGAGACAACAATAAACCAGGAAAGAAATTCTCTTTAAGGACAATCATGGACAAGGCAGGGCAATCATGGCAGGGCAATCATGTCCAATTTTTCCCAGACCTTTGCTAGTAGAGGCTCATTTGTAATCATTTAAGACTCATGAAAATTAAAAATGGATGCTTAAAAATTATTCTATAGCTACCTCAAGATGGCTAGATTTCCTGAAATCTCATATTCTGATTTCACTTTTGATCTCCAGAATCACATTTCCTCATATACTCACATGTCATATGTAGTTTTTTCTATATTTATTGCCCCTCTTCTTGGGTCTGCCATTCTGAATCTCATTCTGTCTACTGTGACAAACAGCAGTTGTCAAGATACCTCTCTCTCCCAAGATAGAACATGAAAGTTTTATTTTTATTGTTTTACTTTTCATAAAATAACTTCTTCCTACAGTAGGCTTACAGACAACCTGCTTAGAACCAAGTGTTCCCTTGTTGATATTTCTCTGACATAGAAACAGATCTTCCCTTTTAATATTAATGTATACTCACATTTAAAAAAAATCATAGAATGAACCATCTTGGAGTTTCCTGTAGTTTTATCTAACAGAAGGTTTTCAAACATTTTGCTGTGGTCTGGGTGTTTGTATCCCTCCAAAATGTTTATGTTGAAACCCAAACACCAATGTGACCATGTTAGGAGTTGGGGCCATTGGGAGATGATTAGATCAAGAGGGAAGAGGCTTTAAAATTGGCATTAGTGCCCTTTAAGAAGAGGCCCCACTGGGAGGCCAAGATGAGCAGATCACGAGGTCAGGAGATCGAGACCATCTTGGCCAACGTGGTGAAACCACATCTCTACTAAAAATACAAAAATTAGCTGAGCGTCGTGGCACGCACCTGTGGTCCCAGTTACTTGGGAGGCTGAGGCAGGAGAATCATTTGAACTCGGGAGGCAGAGGTTGCAGTGAGCCGAGATTGTGCCACTACACTCCAGCCTGGTGACAGAGTGAGACTCTGTCACCAAAAAAAGAAAAAAGAAAAAGAAAAAAAGAAGGAGCCCCAGAGAACTGCCTGACCCCTTTCACCATATAAGGACACAGTGAGAAGGAGTCACGTATGAACCAAGCAACAGTCCGTCACCAGACCCCAAATCTGCCAATGCGTTGACTTGGACTTCCAAGCCTCTGGAACTATGAGAAATAAATTTCTGTGTGTTTAAGCCACCCAGTCTATGGTAACTTATTATAGTAGCCTGAATGGACAAAGACACACATCCCGAATCTTTCCCCGTCATCAAACAACACAAACAAATCTTCTATCTCAAAGTTCTAGATGTTTAACCTCATGTAAACACAAAGGGTAGAAAAAGAAGTAATCTGAGAAACGACTTAAAGCCTCCTATATTTAATTATTAACGAAGTAAAAAAAAGTTGCTAATAGCCTAAAAGGCATTGCTTTAAATAATTTCCTAATACCAAATGATTCTTTTAAGGTATGGCTTGCTCAATATTTTAAAAACCTAATACCATCCATTGCTGAAGCCTTATGTCAAAAACCCAATTATTGAGAATGATGCCATTCATCTCTTAAAGTAACTTACTTTTTTCTGCAGATTAAGATATACATACTTTCTACAAAATATTTTAAAGGAATAAAGAAAAGTGTGAGAAATAAAGATAGCTTGTGATCCTTTACCCAGATATAACTATTTTTTGACTTATTAATTTTATAGTGTGCATGTGTGTATCAGGAAGATGATCATATATTTATATCACATCCCTTTTCACATATTAACAAATATATCTTTTTTAAACTTTTAGGTTAGAGGGTACATGTGAAGGTTTCATAAATAGGTAAACTCGTGTCATGGGTGTTGTACAGGTGAAATAATGACAACAAATCCAGGTATTAAATCTAGTACCCAATAGTTACTTTTTCTGCTTCTCTCGCTCCCCCTACCCTCTACCCTCAAATGGAGACTCTCTCACCACTAAGTGCATTTGCACATCATTTAATGACTTCATACTATTCCATGGTTGGCCTGTTACAATTTTTAAATTGACAATTAGGATGTTTTTGACTTTCCCATATTGAAGACAATGTTGTGATGACTATAGGTGAAATATATCTTAGTTCACAAGCCCCATCCTTTTTAGAAGTGGAATTGTTAAACCAAAGAGTAAGCACATTTCAAAATCTAAACTATATTGTCCAACTGCCTTCCAACCAATATCACATGGGTGCATTCCTTGCGCTCTCCCCCATTCATTTTTTAATAGTCAACATCGATTGCATGCTTACAACGTACTGGGGTGTGTATGTGGTAATAGATAAGGAGATACTGGAGGACTAAAACATGGTTCCATCCAAATCATCTCAGAGCTCATAGTTTAGTAATAGGATATACACATAATTTAAATGTAATGTCATAGATGGCAGCGTTTTGGTGACATGTGCATAGCTAATTAAGGAGGATAAGTAACATTTATTAAACATGTGTTGTGTATCTTCACATTTGTTACCTCATTTAGTAATAATAAGCATTATCAGAGATCGGTCTTATCATTTTTATTCTACCTAGGAAAACAAATTTAAGACTCAGAAAATTTAAGTAACATTTACAGGCTTGGCTGCTGTAGTTTCAGCTCAGTAACCCTCTAGCTTTGTGACCTTTAACAAATGAACTTATCTAAGACTCAGTTTCCTTATCTGTATAATACAAATAAAATGAACTTCAGGATTTCAGCAAGGGAAGAGTCAATTAAATGAGAAATCTTGCACAGCATTTAGTACAGTGCTTGGTATCTAGTAAGCTCTCAATAGACATTGCTACCATTGATACCAGCACTGCCTCTACTAATAATTCTGCTACAAAAGAGAAAGACCACTTTAAAAATAACCCATTTCATAATCAGAAATATTTGACGTTCTATGTAAATCTCCTCAATGCCTTTCAGGGACATTTGACAGTGTAAATATTTCTTCCTTAAGTGAAAGAATTGAAATGTCTTCAATGTTTTCTGTTTTCTATTTACTGATCTTTTAGTTATTTTCACAAAAACGCCGCTGTCTCTTAAAGATGTATTACAGTCCTGCACTTGGCTTTGAGCATCTGAAGAAGTTATAAATTGAGTTTCTAAAGCAATCTAAAATACATTTTTTAAATGTTCCAGCGAAATGAGCGATTAGCATACATGTCATTACCTAAGGGCAGGGAGAACAGACTGCGTTCGGTGGAATCAAGTAAATTATTGGTGTAGAGTTCTGAAGTAAATAAACATCTTTTAATGACTTCAATTTTAGTACTTCTCATTTATGTAAATATGTAAAGTCATAAGAGACATATTCTGAGCCTCTCAAGTAATTTATTAAACAAAATTATTTTTTCTAATAATTGTTCCAGAAATTACTTACAGTTCATGGCACAGCTGGCATTTGGAACTCTTGCCTTAATTTTGATAATGTTTCTAAATAAAAATACGTGTGCTGTTTTTGCTTATTTTGTTAGTTAAACAGAAAGATTGGGTTAAGAGACACAGAGGGAGAGAAGTTTAATTTGTATTTATGCTTTCAATATTCACATTAATCAGCTAAAAGCTTCTATTTGGGTTTTGGAGCACAGATAAAATAGCCCTCAAAGAGAAACTATCTCAATCATCTTCAAAATATAAAGATGTTTCTCATTAAACACATAAAAATGCAGAGAAATTATCTGCCAAAAAATACTCCACTAAGCAGCAGTGAGGAAGCTAAGAAAGGTGAATGCCAATATTTTGAAAACTTACCACTCTAGCCATCTGATTGCCTTCCCTCTCAACCCTTGTCCATCTACCTACAGCTAGTTCCATGGCATGTTTCTTTAGTAGGCTTATTGTCTTTATCAGTTGCTTTCATTTCAAGTTTTAGGATGAAAAGTGTTAGTGAAATATTTGTCCCAAATTTCAATGTGTTTGCTCTTATTTCCAATGGTTGAAAGACTCTGTGGATCACTAAGCCTTAATTACTACTATAGCAAAGAAAGTCATTTAAATTATCTCCTTAAGCTGATAGGCAACTTCAGCAAAGTCTCAGGATACAAAATCAATGTGCAAAAATCACAAGCATTCTTATACACCAATAACAGACAAACAGCCAAATCATGAGTGAACTCCCATTCACAATTGCTTCAAAAAGAATAAAATACCTAGGAATCCAACTTACAAGGGATGGGAAGGACCTCTTCAAGGAGAACTACAAACCAGTGCTCAATGAAATAAAAGAGGATACAAACAAACAGAAGAACATTCCATGCTCATGGGTAGGAAGAATCAATATCGTGAAAATGGCCATACTGCCCAAGGTAATTTATAGATTCCATGCCATCCCCATCAAGCTACCAATGACTTTCTTCACAGAATTGGAAAAAACTACTTTCAAGTTCATATGGAACCAAAAAAGAGCCCGCATTGCCAAGTCAATCCTAAACCAAAAGAACAAAGCTGGAGGCATCATGCTACCTGACTTCAAACTATACTATAAGGCTAAAGTAACCAAAACAGCATGGTACTGGTACCAAAACAGAGATATAGACCAATGGAACAGAACAGAGGCCTCAGAAATAATGCCACGTACCTACAACTATCTGATCTTTGACAAACCTGACAAAAACAAGAAATGGGGAAAGGATCCCCTATTTAATAAACGGTGCTGGGAAAACTGGCTAGCCATATGTAGAAAGCTGAAACTGTATCCCTTCCTTACATCTTATACAAAAATTAATTCAAGATGGATTAAAGACTTAAACGTTAGACCTAAAACCATAAAAATCCTAGAAGAAAACATAGACAATACCATTCAGGACATAGGCATGGGCGAGGACTTCATGTCTAAAACACCAAAAGCAATGGCAACAAAAGCCAAAATTGACATATGGGATCTAATTAAACTAAAGAGCTTCTGCACAGCAAAAAAAACTACCATCAGAGTGAACAGGCAACCTACAGAATGGGAGAAAATTTTTGCAATCTACTCATCTGACAAAGGGCTAATATCCAGAACCTACAAGGAACTCAAACAAATTTACAAGAAAAAAACAAACAACCCCATCAAAAAGTGGGCAAAAGATATGAACAGACACTTCTCAAAAGAAGACATTTATGCAGCCGAAAGACACATGAAAAAATGCTCACCATCACTGGCCATCAGAGAAATGCAAATCAAAACCACAATGAGATACCATCTCACACCAGTTAGAATGGTGATCATTAAAAAGCCAGGAAACAACAGGTACTGGAGAGGATGTGGAGAAATAGGAACACTTTAACACTGTTGGTGGGACTGTAAACTAGTTCAACCATTGTGGAAGTCGGTGTGGCGATTCCTCAGGGATCTAGAACTAGAAATACCATTTGACCCAGCCATCCCATTACTGGGTATATACCCAAAGGATTATAAACCATGCTGCTATAAAGACACATGCACACATATGTTTATTGTGGAACTATTCACAATAGCAAAGACTTGCAACCAACCCAAATGTCCAACAATGATAGAGTGGATTAAGAAAATGTGGCACATATACACCATGGAATACTATGCAGCCATAAAAAAGGATGAGTTCATGTTCTTTATAGAGACATGGATGAAGCTGGAAACCATCATTCTCAGTAAACTGTCACAAGGACAAAAAACCAAACACCGCATGTTCTCATTCATAGGTGGGAATTGAACAATGAGAACACATGGACACAGGAAGGGGAACATCACACAGCAGGGCCTGTTGTGGGGTGGGGGGAGGGGGGAGGGATAGCATTAGGAGATATACTTAATGCTAAATGACGAGTTAATGGGTGCAGCACACCAACATGGCACATGTATACATATGCAACAAACCTGCACATTGTGCACATGTACCCTAAAACTTAAAGTATAATTTAAAAAAAAAAGAAAAAAAATTATCTTGACAAAGAGTTGTCCTCAATGCAATATTACAATAGTCCCTACTAATCCTAGGAGGATGTGTTCCAAGACCCCCAGTATATACCTAAAACCACAGAGAGTACCAAACCTGATACATACTGTGTTTTTCGATCTGATGATGAGACAGAAACTAAGTGACTGAGGACGGAGTAGCCTCCACAATGTGGATATGCTAGACAAAAGGATGTTTCATGTCCTGGGCTGGACAGAACAGGATAGCACAAGATTCCATCACGTTATTCAGAATGGTGCGCAATTTAAACTTCTAAATTGTTTGTTTCTGGAATTTTCCGTTTAATATTTTTGGATCGCAGTTGACTGTGGGTAAAACTGAAACCTCAGAAAGCAAAACCACGGATAAGAGAGGACTACTGAATTACACTGAGAATTTGTGGGATGCCGTGAAAAAGAACCATTCTGCTTACCTTACTAGGAAATACATACGAATGATTTGAAATTAAAGTAATGTAAGGAATAAAAAAATAAGGTTTGTATGTGTTTCTACAATCATTCTTGGCATGGATATTGGATTTTTAAAGCTACTTACAAATGCAGATGCAAAACAGCAATACAAGCCCACTACTAAAAATAAACGATACTCACTTTTCTTTTCCCCATGTGAACTACTCTTAAGAGATCTTCTTTGACCAGAAGAGACTCTTCTCATCTAATTGTAGTAAACATTCTTTTCTTAGAAATGAAACGTCAACCTTGCAAATGCAGTATCAATAAATTCACTATTACATGAAGGTTGAAGAAGGCCAGAAATTTCTAGTTAGATGGGAAAAATCAAAAGACATCTTCTCTAAGTGTCATAGAGTCCTGAAATGACTTTAAATTCAGAGCCATTTCCAGTCCTGTAAGACATAAAATGTAGTACTTGTGTCAAGTGGATTTTCGAGTGGATTATTTATTTCCATCTGTCTCATATTTATGGGCAGGTCGAGTGCAAGATCAGAGGCTGCTTGAGAGACATAAAAAGACTGTACTCTAAAGAAAAGAGCAAAGTTTAAACAAGAAAATAAGACTCAATGTTTGTAAAATTAACTGAAAAGCTTCAGGAATAGCTATAGTTTTTCACAATTCAGGCAATTTCATGTATAGATTTTAATTTGCAAACATGAAAATTTGACAATCCCCACATTATTATAAAAAGAATATGTAGAAATGATTGTTTATAGAAACAAAAAAGATATGCATGCACGTATTTCCTAAGAAATACATTACAGGTCAGTTTTATCTACTTAGTTTTATTTTCTTTGTCTCTATAAAACTAAGTTTCAGTTTCCCAAGTTCTCCTGCAGTGAACGCTATTCAATTTTAGAACTCTCATTTACCTTTCCTAGGAAACTCCAATCTTCATTAAAGTTTGTACCAACAATTAAGCAGGAAAGTAAATAATTTGATATAGTCATATTTTAAATAAAGTTTCTTGACTTATCACCACACATTAAACCAGTACATAATTTATATTAACTGTAGATCTATATCCTCAGAACTTTTTAATTAGTGAATGCTTTATTTCCCTAATGTAAGCACTGTTGTTTGTTGAGAATCTTATAAAATATTAAAGAAGTTACTCTGATGTCCTTAGATAAAACTAAATTAACTTAGAAAATGAGAAAAGCATAATTAAATCGGGTACTATGTAGCATTCTACCAGTCCATGATTATAGGTGAAAATAATAGCTTGTACTAAAAAGAAAATATGTACAGCATTCATTGGTCTTTTGGGGTAGTTCACATTAAAAATGGGATATTTTGGCCTGGTGCGGTGGCTCAGAACTGTAATCCCAGCACTTTGGGAGGCCAAGGTGGGCGGATCACCTGAGGTCAGGAGCTGGAGACCAGCCTGGTCAGCATGGAAAAACCCCATCTCTACTAAAAATACAAAAATTAGCCAGGAGTGACAGTGTGCACCTGTAATCCCAGCTACTTGGGAGGCTGAGATGGGAGAATCACTTGAACCTGGGAGGCGGAGGTTGCAGTGAGCCGAGATCATACCATTGCACTCCAGCCTGAGCAACAAGAATGAAACTCCATCTCAAAAAAAAAAAAAAAAAAGGAATATGTTTAGAATCAAATAATTTATGTCTTACAATTTATGAACAATTGTTAAGGGCATGAAATACAGTTTTTAGGGGATCAGAATTTGCCAAATAGGATCTTTCAGCTTTCTTTTAACTTGAATGTATATTAAGTAGTCTTTATTCTGAGCAGCCTTTGCTTTCTTATTTAAGTGTTCTACACCATTATTAACCTGGGACTAATCCCAGGTAAGCTTTTCAAATAGAGAACTTGTTGTAACATTGATTTTTTTAAAATGTTAACTTCATATCTCAATGGCTTGTACAACAAAAGATCTCTTCTTGCACATGTGTCTGGCTTGGGTTAACAAAGGTTTCTCTTCTTCATGGTGTTTTTGGAACCTGGGCTGAGGGAGACTTCTCTATCTTGTGATGCTGGAACACACAAACACACATGGCTTTAACGCTTGCTATAGCAAAGGAAGAGCTTAGAGAACTCACAGCCACTCTTATGAGAAGCACTTTATTTCTGTTCACAGCTCATTGGCAAATTTTGTCCCTGAGTACTTTAAGGAGTGTTAGGAAATTTTCAGGCAAAAGGAGAAAAATCAATTATGGTGAAGACTATTATCTACCACCTCTTACTCATTAAGTTTTCAGTTTGCTATTCTTCTGACACATAACGCATACTCGGCACTACCACATGGGAAACAGCCTGAAGCCCATCCAGTCAGTCCCTTAATCTCAAAGTCCAGAGCGTCTACGTGAATGCAATAATCCCTCCCAAGTCCAGAGCTTGTTTCTGTTGGTCTGGAGACCTCTAAATTTAAAAGCCAAATTGCCTGTCCTACACACACACACACACACACACACACACACACTCTAAATGAAGGGGTGGCAGAGCCAGAATAATTACAATAATACTCACTTTTAGAAAGGAGAGGAACAGGACATACGTCTCAGCCCATTTAAATCCTGAAGTCCTGCGGAGCACAAGCAGCAAAGGCTCCCCACCGGTATGTGGCTTCTGTCTCTACCCTATGACAGTTTCTTTTTTTTTTCCATTCCCTTCTGTGACTGTATCTGAAAATAAGACTCCACAGCTTTGCCAGCCCCCTTTTGCTCACATAAGCTTCAGTGCACAAAGGTCATTTTCAGCCTCATACCGTCAAAGGCTTCTTCAGTCCTGGCTTGTGGTCGTTTCGGCAGCACATTACCCTCAAATACTTAAGAGGCTTCTTCTCCACCCGTTTCCAGTCCCTGCCCTGTGCCAGTAACTACACTCACACTTTCAAATACCTGGTTCTTGGATCTCCTAGAGAGCTCTTTGTTTTCTCAACCCCATGTCACTTTCTCTCAATTGGATGGGGCGACCTTCAACATATCTGCAATAACCTATGGGAAGGCCTCACTATTAAGGACTTTAGTCAACTTAAGGTCTTTAATCAACCAAACAGTTTTCTTGAATGCTCTGTAAAATCCCTTTGCTTACTGCTTTGGGTCAAGAGGCAGTTGTTTTTTCCCATACTGTAGGAATCCTCATTTCTAGATCCTCTTTATTTCTTCTCATTTCTGCTTGTGAGCCAGCTGATTCTTTCCTGAATTCATTTTTGTTTTAACGGTACCTTGCCAAACATAGCCAATAGCAGTTAACATCTACTATTTTGGTTCTAGTTTCCCCCTTTCATCCAGGAGCTAAAAGGTACCTAGGCCTATGGTCTGCCTTCCAAGTCCTGACTTATCACAGTTTCACCAAATGTTTTACTACCATGTAACATTAATTTTCTTCTTTGCCCGCTTCAGGGTCAACATTCTCAACACTTGTCTACTGCCTGCTGAGTACATATAAAGGATTTTGTGATAGCAAAACTCAATTTCTAAAATCCATTTCTGGATTAGTGAGAATAAATTGGGTTATACTGTGGTAACAAATTAATCACACAATCTCAGTGGCTTATGGAGGCATGGGTTAATTTCTTGTTCACATGAAATGTTCAGTTTATGTGGGAACTCTGCTCCATATAGTCATTCAGGGAACCAAGATACTGGTTGTATCACTGTCTTTTAGTCGCTGTCTCAACTTTTGGATCCTGAGGTGGCCAAATCAATAGGAATTTACAATCATACTTTTAAAGTGACACATGGCACTTCCTCTCAAAACCTTAGTCTACAATTAGATGCATGCCCCTGCCCTAATGGCAAGGGAGGTTGGGAAGTCTTTACATGGGCCTAGGAAGGAGAGAAATAATGATTATCATGGGGGCTAGTGATTTCCATCTCCCTGTATTTATAATATTTAGATACATGGGAATAAGCCATAGCAACATCATTTGATCACCACCATTGTTGAGAAACATTTTTCAAAATATTGGATTATGACTATGAATGGGAAGAAAGAGTTTCATCCATTTCTTTTTAATTATAAAAACACCTAGTGACTAATAATGTATACAAGAAAGCTATATAACAATCTAATTGGCTCTTCATGAAAAATCTTCCTTCATAACTAATGATCCCACTTTGAAAACAGACGATCGAACAACAGCAAAGTCAGGAAACAGTAAGAAGTGGGGCAGGAAAATGGAGAAAGAGAGATAAGTCAAAGGAGAAAAGGAATCGTGGTAAAAAGGATAGTGGCAGCCGTGCTAAGTTATTGGATACTACATCCATCACTCCAGCACCCAGCATTCTGAGAAATCAAAAGAGGGGGAAATAGGAATCTCATAGAGATGAAAAACCATCAGGACCTAATGAGACAAGCAAAATACTTAAAATATTTGCAAAAGTATTTGAAACAAAGGTTAAAATTTTTACTTCATAAATAGCTCATTCAAATTGATAAAAATATTTTTTATAAACCAGCTCTCTAATACAGAGATAGGATCCCATAAACTCTATCTATAAAGAATCTGAGAGTAAATACTTTAGGCTTTCCAGGCCATAGAATCTCTGCCACAACTATCTGATCCTTCTGTTATAACAACAACCACAAAAACATAAACAATAAAATATGTAAATAAATGGGCAGGGTTATTTCTCAATGAAACTTTATTTACAAGAATAGGTAGCAGGTTGAATTTGGTCTGCAGCTCAGAGTTTACAACCCCTTGCTCTAATGAAAACAAGGGCAAAGAACTGTAAGAGGATTTCTAACAAGAATAAACTACTCAATAAATAGAATAAGAAAACAATGTTCAACCACACTAGTAGTAAAAAAAGCAAAGGAAAACAATAACGTTCTTATTTTTACCTACAACATTATGAATTAAATACCATAATACATGACTAGAGAGAAGGAGAGGATATTAACATAAATTTCACAAACTATCTGAAGGCCAAATTCATACATATTATACATATATTAATATATAATATGTATACATATAATACATATATTAATATATAATATGTATACATATAATACATATATTAATATATAATATGTATACATATAATACATATATTAATATATAATATGTATACATATAATATATAATTGTGTGTGTATATATACATATTTTCTTATATATATAAGAAATATATAAATTCATATATGTATTTCTATATATATGTATGTATATACAAAGAGAGAGAGACTTAATTAGAATTAGGAATTCTTACTAAGGACATGTGTTTGGTTTGAATTTTTAAATTCTAATTAGTCAAATGCTATTTATAGATGAATTAGGAGCAAGATAATAATTCTAGGTTGCCATAATAGTAGTTTATTTAATAAAAACTGCGCACTTTTATAGCCCCATTATTTACTGGCAGAACAAAATGGTAACAAGCGCAAAAAGTCCTACAACCTCTCTACTGATTATAAGATTTCTCAGTGTTAGCAGCATGAGGTCCCCTATTCAGTTCCATTGTTATCACCTTCCTTCTTCCTATGGATTGAGCAGCTGTCTGAAGAAATCATATTAAGCAAAAGCTAGAAGCATGTACTTTTACCCACAGGACTGTCCACCTTGCATGAGAAATCCTAATGTCCCCATTTGTCCATGAGTCTGACAATCTTTGGATAAAAATATTTCCATAGCACCTTTAAACTGTAAGCAGAGTCATTCCCAAGTTTTGTGAGTACTTGAAAAATGAAGATTCCACTAAAAAGTAAGAATTGTTCCCAATATCTTCTCAACTATTGTAAATAAATGGAAGCACAGGTTTATGAAGTGTCTCATACCTAATAAATCCTTTTTCTCTTTTTGAAGTTATCTTTTTTCTTCCCAGATCACAAAAGCAATACATGGATCACTGACAAATGTTACAAAGAAAAAATTAAAAAGAAACAATACTACATGATGCTAGTACTTAGAGTTAATTACAGTAGGTATCATGACAAGTATTCATCCAGATTTATGTGTGTGTGTGTGTGTGTGTGTGTGTGTTTGCCAAACTAAGATCTGTTAAACTATTCTTTTCATTTCATTTGCTCTATTTCACTTAAAACAGCATAAAGCATTTTAATGTACATAAAGAAAAATGAACTCCTTCACTTTTAACCAGACTGCATTCCATTGGAAGCGTGCACCATAAAGTAGTTACACAATCTTCTACTCGTGGACATTGAGCCCACAAAACTATTTTCACTCTTATACACTCTAATGTGAGCATTTCAATACCTGTATTTAGGTGAGGTTTTCCTATTAGTTTCCCTAGGATAAATTCCTAGAAATGCAATTTTCTATGTCTAAGAGACTCTAAATTAAAAATTTCACATTATATTAACAGATTAACCTTTAGAAAAGTTGTAACAATTTACTCTCTTCCTAAGTTTGGAATATGAACTGTTTAAATAAATTGTGGTACTTCTACAGACTGAAATCCTATGTTGCAAAAATTAATCATATAGGAAACTATGCCTGGGACTGTATCAAGTTAAACATGATACAAGACACAATAAAGCATATCAATGATATGATATATTACTATATAAAGTACAATTGTGTGTGTGTGTGTCTGTGTGTGTGTGTGAAGAGAACACAAGACAGAAAGTGCCACAATTGAGGAAAAGGCTTAAAGCAGACTTTTCTTTCTCTATATTTGTTAAAATTTCTAAAATTTACATATTTTACTTGTAATCTGAAAAACAATCTTAAGAATATTGGCAATCACAAAGCTAAAGAAATAAGTCTTCACATATTTTGCAATTTACCTGATATTGAACATAGTATTGTAAATCAGAAAGCCCTAAAATTTGCTCCCATCTGTAATGTTTAAACATGCTGGACTGAAATACATTTGCCCAATAAAGAACTTGTTAACTCATGAAAACTCTTCATGTCTAATAGCAAACAGAATGAAACCTTTTTGTTCCTCACTGAGAAGGTAAATAAAGGGCAAAGCAGTGAGGTCTCCAAAATCAGACAGAAAAGCCATGCCCCAGCTATAAGCTCCTGGCTGCAGGCATTGTGGAAAGCAATTTGGAGGGGAACAAATCCATTAATAAAGTTTCAATACTTCAGTGACCTTTGAGCAATTCCAGATGTAGACATGGAGATAGCCCCACAGATAACAAGAAAGGGCCTGCTACAAGAAGGGGCACTCCAGAGCAGGCTTGCAAGAGGCTAGAATTCCGTGGAACCCAGAAAAGAGATTCAGCACAAAAGAATCCAGATTCTTGATGAAATATCACCAAAGATTCATTCTCTTATAAGAGCTTTTACCAGTTCCTTATATTTCCTCCAGTGACAAGGAAATACATGCCAGTCTATATTTCTTGATAAGATGATAGTTTCATCAATAACTAGTCTTTATGATGCACTTATTTCCAATCTATCACTATGCTAATTTTTTGTATAAAGTAAATCATTTAATCTTCACACAAACCCAACTTAGTAGAGACTATCATTAGCATTTTATAATTAGAAGATGAGGCAAAGAAACTTAAATAACTTGGGCAAAGTCATCCGCCTAGAATAGGGATCAGTAAATTTTTTCTTGAAAGGCCAGAGAGTGAATATTTTGGCCTTGCCAGCCTTAAGGTCTCCATCACAACTGCTCAACTCTGTTGCTGCATAGAGAAAATGCATCTATAGACAATACTTACACAAAAAACACAGCTGTGTTGCGAAAATCATTGGTGGGGCCAATATGTTAGGTCAGTCATTTCATTTTTTAAATAATAGTTTTCATTATTTAAAATGAAAACTATTATTTAAAAAATGAAATGACTGACCAACCAATAATTGGTTGGCAGACTATGGTCTGCCAACCCCTGATCTAAAAGGCAATAAACCAAGATTCAAACTCAATACCATGCCTTTAATAATTAAACTGCCATACAATAAGAGAAAATAAAATAAATACGGTTCTCTTTCTACAGTGTGGGCAGGCTCACTAATTCTCAAATATTATTTTGGCTGTCTATATGGTCCTATTCTAAAGAAACTGATTAGGTAATGTGAATTGTTACTTGTCATGATTTAGTGAACAAAAAAATCTGGATGCCCAGGGGGCATAAACAAGGTAGGTAGCTCCCCTAGCAGGATGTGAATTTAATAACCTTATTTCAGAGTATATCTGTAGACCTGAAATTTGATCAGTATTCAGCCTTCTAAAATGAAAGGGGAAAAAAGGAGCTGACTTTGAGCTCTTTTTAATACAGAAATATCTAGTTTAACAAGTCCTATGATCTATATTTTTTCTTAATTTCAAAAATATTGTTACTTTGCAAATTTGTCTCACAAGTATAATAATAATGGACAAGATAGCTATACATGCTTTAAGTTGTTTAAAATTCAAATATTAGGGAAAGATATTTTAGTCATATCTAGTTTTTCTTACAGTTATAAAGCAGAGTTGAAAAATAATCAATATGTTAGGTCAGTCATTTCATTTTTTAAATAATAGTTTTCACCAGAATTTATTTGAGAGTCACATCTAGGAACACAGCATGACTAAAGATAACGTTAAGACTTCTACAATAATTGAAAAGCTACATAATCTATGGGTAAAAGAAAAAAAAAGTCACAAAATTTAAATTCTCAGTCTTTACAATATTCATTACCTGAGCTAATTATTTCTAAATCTGAATCCTCCACAGGAAAATGGCAATCATATCACCTGTTAGCTTACCAGCCTTAGTCTAAAAGTTTTATGAAAAAAAATCATAAATTATTTTGTAAATTTAAAACACTATATTCACGAAAGTAGTCTTCTAAGACCTACAGTTGATTCTAACAAGGAAAAAAAATCTTTGTTTTCTTTGTTCCCTCTCTCCTTCATAGATCTATAATCCCTTCCACCAGAAACAGAATGAAGGAGAGACCAGGAGCTCTCTTTGCCATCCCATCCTTGTGAAAAAGCAAAGTAAACTCATTATCATAGCATTATTTCATTTTTCAGGACCTTCTAAAATTTTTCCTTACCATTAATAATCACCAACATAGGCCGGGCACAGTGGCTCACGCCTGTAATCCCAGCACTTTGGGAGGCCGAGGCAGGTGGATCACGAGGTCAGGAGATAGAGACCATCCTGGCTAACACTGTGAAACCCCGTCTCTACTAAAAATACAAAAAATTAGCCGGGCGTGGTGGCGGTTGCCTGTAGTCCCAGCTACTCGGGAGGCTGAGGCAGGAGAATGGCGTGAACCCGGGAGGTGGAGCTTGCAGTGAGCCGAGATCGCGCCACTTCACTCCAGCCTGGGCGAGAGACAGAGACTCCGTCTCAAAAAAAAAAAAAAAAAAAAATCACCAACATAAGATATAGTCATTCCTAAATAAAATATACAGTCCACAGCAGGTCCTCAAATAAAATCATGTTGTTATAATGTTGATGAGAAGAAAACTGATTCCCAGCTGGGGCCACTGTCTGAATGGAGTTCGCACGTTCTCCTCATGTCTGCATGAGTTTTCTCCCCGTTCTCCAGTGTTCTCCCACGCCTCAACGCTGTGCATGTTGGGTGAATTGGGATGCCTACATGGTCCCAGTCTGCGTGTGTGTGTGTGTGTGTGTTTATGTCAGTGTGCCCTTTGATGGGATGGCATCCCGTCTAGGGTTGGTTCCTGTCTTGTGCTCTAAGCTGTCTGCATAGGTTTTGGACACCCACAACCCTGAACTGAAATAAATGGGTAAATAATTGTCTTACTTGTTTTTATCACTCTTTCTTAAATGTATACATTGCTCACATTTATTATAATATTTAAAATTAGAAGTGTTTTAGTCTTTAGTTAGAAGTTTGCTGATGTTTTTGTGATCAAAATATGCTGTAGGAACTTAACTCTTGTTTATACCAAGTAGCCTGTGGGAAGATTGGTTTCCCCATTCATTCATCTTTTCACTCAGTCAGTTTCCAAGAGCCTATTAACAGTATTAAGTCAGGACTTAATGTACTAGATTCCTAGAGCACTTTCGTCAGAATCCTCAGGGACTGAAGACTAAACAATAATAATATGTACAGAACATCTGTATAAGTAGTTTACACCAACCGGTTGACTAAAATTTTGGCTCGATTTCTCAGAAATATCATAAAGATACTGTAGTAGATGGCGTTACTTTTGGCAAGTGTTTACAGCCCAGCTTTCAGGAAGGATTATACTCCCTCACTGACTAATATCAGCCTTGGTCGTATGACTTGTGAAAAGTGGGCAGAAGTGACACATGTCACCAGCAAACAGAAATTTTAAGAGCCACTATGTAGTCTGGCACTTTCTTTTTACTCCTGTTCTATGAGATTAGAATATTGCAGAGAAACACTGCTCCATGAGCTGGAGTCCAGAGTGAAGACAACGTGGAATCACACTAGGATCAACCCAGAGGACCGTGTAGCAGAATGAGAAATAAAATATTGTTGCTGTAAGTCACTGGTATTTTAAGTCACTTAAGTATCAATGATATCAGTGTTATCCAGTAATAACAAGTGACTTAAATATCAGTGACTAATAGCAGAATAACCTAGGCTCTCCTAAGTGACTAATTAATAAAATGTTAAAGTCCAGTTACACTCTGTACTTTGACAATTTAATTAGAATAATTAACATAAAGAGGGCGGCAACATAAAACATCTTATTTATTCACAAAGAAACAAGCATTTGAGTGTTTCGTATATGTTAACACAGTTGCTTAAAACAGGATATAAGATCCAGTTTTGTCTGCACTAAACCACAAAGATGTTGTAAGGGATTCAGAATCAAAGAAGGATTTTAAAAGTTATTTATAGGATCGGAAAGCATATAGCTAAAGAATCACATCCAGAAATAATATTGGCCATTATTTAGAGATTGGATATTGGGATGGTCACTATCCTGTTGTATAGTTACTTTTTTTCTTTTTTCTTTTTTAACCAAGAGACTTCAAAATTGTTTTCAATGCAAAAAAAAAATGACTCTCAAAATGTATCAGCAAAACTCAATAAATTTTCTAAATCCAGAGAATGAAAATAAATATACCATTTCCTGTCTAGAAGCTAGGTCTTCATATTACACAGATCATATCAAGATCTCTGTTTTTAATAAAAAGTAAATTGTGTTATCAGTATTTTTTAAACATAAAATCTTTAATATCTGGCTCAATACATGAAATATATGACTTTAGGGATAACATGAGATACTCTGCAATTTCAAGAAATTATCAGCACAGCATCAGGGATACCCTGCCCTCTACTGTCAGTACTTTAATTTTGCATCTTTAACTAAATAGTTATTAAATCACTTCATTGAAAATCCAAGGTTTTTTTTTTTCTCTTTATGCTTTGGTATATAAACATTGTTTCTGTTCTATTAGCTGTTTTCTTATAAAATTTAACATGATGTTTCACTTACATATTAAAGTTAATCTCTCTCTTTTTTTTTAGATGGAGTCTCACTGTTGTCGCCCAGGCTGGAATGTAATGGCAGGATCTGGGCTCACTGCAACCTCTGCCTACTGGGTTCCAGCAATTCTCCCTTCCTCAGCCTCCGAGTAGCTGAGATTACAGGCGCCCGCCACCATGCTTGGATAATTTTTGTATTTTTAGTAGAGACGGGGTTTCACCATGCTGGCCAGGCTGGTCTTGAACTCCTGACCTCAGGTGATCCACCCACCTCAGCCTCCAAAAGTGCTAGGATTTTAGGCGTGAGCCACCGCGCCCAGCCTAATCAATCTCTTTACACTACTCCTGAATAATGAAAGGAACTCAGAAAGCTTTCATCTCATCAGTCATTTCTCAATTTATATTCTCTTCTTTCACATTTATTTTTCTTGATTTTTATCCCATTAGTTTTAAAATGTTGTAATTCTTTTACCTGGTAAATGTTTCCTTACGGTTACAAACATGTGTCTATTTTATTTGCTCACCATATCTTCTTGCATCTCAGACTTCCTTTGAAGTCATTTCATTTTTTATGTGGGTTTGCTGATGAGAAATGCCCACTATATTTATTTTTCTGCAAAAATCTTGAGTTTGTCCTTCTTTTTTAAAGGCTTGGAGACAGAAAGTTCTAGATGAACAATTATTTCCCTTCACTACTTGAAGATAATATTCTCCTATTTCTAGCTTCCATTGTTGATGATACTGCTCACCATCACATCCCAACTGGCCATTCTGACTGGCCCAGCTTTGCAGCTTAGCGATAAACTATCCTGCCAACAACCTCATAGACTACTCTAGCCAAGCTCTTGTTAATGCCAGTCTGAGTAGTTTTTTTGCAGTTTTGCTAGGCAATTTCACTTTTTCATTGGCTTTCTACTTCACCTGTGTTTCAAGTTCCTCAATTCTATTTGGTTTCTATTTATCTGTCATTTGCTTGTAACTTCCAGAATTTTCCTATAATGTGATCTCAAATGGTAGTTTAAAATATGTGCATATTTACAGTGCATTGTTTACATCATCTGCACTTATGTCAATGAAGAGTAAACATGTTCCTGAACCATCATTCAATATTTTGCATCGTCATAGTATTCTGGATATATATTAATGATGGTCTTGTAAACAGTAATATTCAATTTTTTTAAATCACATATTTGTCAAAAAAAATCATTTCCCCAATATATTATGCTCATTTGAAAATTACACACATGTTCTACCATAAATTTTTTTTTATTTTTTAATTTTAAGTTCTGGGACACACGTACTTCTGCACACGCAGGTTTGTTACATAGGTGAACGTGTATCATGGTGGTTTGCTGCACCTGTCAACCCAACATCAAGGTATTAAGCCTCACATGCATTAGATATTTATCCTGATGCTCTCCCTCTCCTACTTCCCTCTGACAGGCCCCAGTGTGTGTTGCTCCCCTCCCTGTGTCCATGTGTTCTCATTGTTCAGCTCCCACTTATAAGTGAGAACATGCGGTGTTTGGTTTTCTCTTCCTGTGTTAGTTGGCTGGGGATGATGCCTTCCAGCTTCATCCATATCCCTGCAAAGCACATGATCTCGTTCCTTTTTATCTACCATAAATTTTAACATTAAGTAGTAAGAAAATATATTTTCATTTTTAGAGATGTAAATTTGAATACCATATATGAAATCAATGTTGTATGTATTCTTAAGTGCATGTCCCACTGGTATCAGTAAGGGTCCTAGAAGATCTTACCTATTCAGGGTATTTGTTGAGCAGTGATCCACCTGATAGTAGAGCTAGCTATGTGCTTTGGACACCATATATTTTCAGAGCTTTTTAAGTAATGCAATAAGAAATCTAAAAAAATGCACGTATATTGTTATTGTCTTTAATTACTAAATATGCTGCTTCTCAAATAATGGTTATGTCACAAACAATACACACAATATTAAGTAAAATCTTATCAACAGTCAAACCACTTCTCATTAACCTAAAAACATTTGTCTTATACCTGTAATGTGCTTGGTATTATATTAGGTGCAAATGGTAGAGTGGAAAAACATGCTCCTGGTAAGGTCATAGGTTGTAAAGTTTCTTACAAGACACTCACTATTATGAAACCTGTACAATAAAGTGTGACAAGTGCTAAGATAGGACAAGTACAGCACATTTTGTGAGTACTTAGTTTTGGAAACATTTTTAAAAGACTCAGGTTCTTACGATTTGGCTTAAGAGTACACTTTAGACAGAACCTTGAAAAGTATGTTTTGTTTCTTAGCCCGGAGAATCACATCATAACTCATTTGTTCTCCTGCAATATTTGAAATCCTAGAGGGACACTAAAAACAGTTCATAAAAAATTAAAACATGAAAAAGGTTAGTGATGATTTACAAACAAAGCTTGCTACAGATAGTTGCAAGTCAATACAATCTTGAAAGGGCATCTCTTTTGATAGATGTGTTCGCCCAAAGTAGAGTTTATTAGAGATTCAGAAAATCATACAAATATGTTTTGGTTCCCCGAAATCAAGAGAGAGTGAGAATATAGCAACTGAAAAATAGGTAGAAGGTAAAGTATGAATTAAATATACTTTTAAAAGTATACTGAACCAGTTAAAAATTTAATTTGGTGTAACATGATCCAGCACAAGTTTAAGAGCATCACATATTACAAGATTATCAGGATTAGACACTCATTAAAATGGATGTTCCATTTTAAGTACTATACCTAATAAGTATCATCTTGCAATAAAGGGAGATGACCCATTTTCTGCCTGTTCTTTCTCAACACCAGGAGGTTAAGTTACCAATGGGTGCTGCGTATACACACTCACAGAGTTACGCAGTCATGTGTCTGGGGGTTCACTAAGTCAGAAAAAAATTACAATCCACTTTCCTGGCATCTAAGATTTAGCTAATCTTATGTAATTGAAAGTATCTAGAAACACCATTAAGTATGTGCACATTTGTATAAACTTTCGTGGTAGAATATTTGTCTACATAGTTGTGTTTGTGGCTAGCCACACCTGGCTGTGCTCTTATCTTGGGGGTACATTATCACAGCCTGTTTGAGAGTATTTCGGGAGATCTGAAACAACTGTTATTAGAACTAGTCCTTAACTGAACTCAGAAGTCCTGGGTTTGAGGACCACTCTTCCTCTGAGTCCATGGCCGTGGATAGGCCCTGAACCTGTGAGCTGTTGGTCACAAAGTCCAAATCCCTAAGTTAAGATCTCTGAGGCCATTTAAACTCAAATATTCTGTGTCTCTCTGTGGTTTCTGCTAACACTGATTGAGTCTTGGCACAAGAAGTCCATTTTCCCAACAAAATTTTTTGAGTACCCCCAGAGTAATAATTCATTATGTTTATTCATTGCGAGTACATATTCAAAGGATTTATAAGGTTGGTAGCGAATGGGAATGGTCGACCAGGGCAAATGGGGAATACACATCTATAAATTTCAAACAGTAAGTTCCCAGTAACTTCTTGATTAATCTCTATACTAGCTTAAAAATAACCAAGTAATTATTTGGCATGTGGAGCTTTTACTCTTTTTACTTCAGACAGAACTCTGAAATGGATTTCTTAAATATAAATAAGAATTTTACAAATCATTATCACTTTTGTTCCCACACAATTACTGTAAAAGAATGATTGAAAAAAAAGAAATAATAAAACATTTAATCCCAAAACAAGAGCAGGCAAGTCTCTCATTTTATTAATAGAAGACCACATCTGTCCTTTTTATGTTAAGTGTGTTATTAGTAAGTTGGTACATGAATTATTGGTAAGAAAATGTTTCTTGAGGAAAATGACTTTTAAGATAAATCTTATGTGGAAGAGTATACTGGATAGGAAGGCGTAAGGCAAATCCCAAAAGAGAAAGCTGTCTGGGATCCTGGGTATGAATATTTAAAAAAAAAAAAAATTCCCCTCATTTCACCTTTTTCCTGAGGGCCAGATTGTTCTGTGAAGTAAATCCATTCCAACCTGAATATATTTAATATGAATGAACATTATAGTAAATGTTAACAGGGCCAAATTCTGCTACCACAAAAATTTTAAAACAAATAATCACCATAGGGAAAACAGTCATAAGCCCTGGCTTATGGCTTATGCTCTGTTCAGTTTTTAAAATATGTTACTTGAAATAATTCTGTACAATTTTATCAAGTCCTTAACACTCATTAATCCAGTGGTTTTTTAACTTTTTACTATGACTCCCAGTAAAAAATTCATTTAGTATCATATATATAAACACACACACAACAGATTCATAATGTTTCATTTAAAAAATGTCTGTTCTTATTACATACAGTAGATAATCTGGTATTATCCTCCTATTTCCCTTCTATTTCATTTTTAAAAAGCTGTTTTAGTACCAGTTAATTGATTTTGCCACATACTATTACAGTGTGAACCTCAATGCATAACAGAAAACAGCAGGGATAAAATATTCTCCCCACAAAAACGGAGAAATAGAGAATAAAAAGGAAATGGAGAAGAGAACGGAAAAAGAAAGGAATAGTTGAACATTATAGAGAAAAAAAAATGCCCTTGTGAAATGGATATTTCCAAGGAGAAGAAAAACTCAACTAGAAGAAGAAAAAACATTCCAGAAAATAGTCAGAATTGATCTCTAGAGTTTGAATGATTCAAACACCTTTGAATATTTCCCTCCCACATGTATGAAAACTAGCAACTCCACAGATTAAACATGACCTTTGCTAGATTCATAAACTATGTGCAAGCTACAGGCTGATGAAAGCCAACGTACCCTTATGATTTTTAAAATTATGGCATATTAATTTTTGCATAATATGAAGAATTTTTTTATTCACAAATGTAGAGGAGTTAAGAATCCCATTTTGTTCAGCAACTCTGAGAAGTTAAGGGTTTTCATAATTATTTGTAAGTTCCTGTGTACTCAACTACCACTTACTGAGATGAGCCAACAATTCTGCAGAGCAAAGGTTTCAGAGTTGGAGGTCAAGTTTTGTGTTTGAGCCCAGGTTTTAGCACTTCTATAAAAAGGATTAATGACAAAATCTGGTCATTTTGTAAACTAGATCTCCTCCGAAGTGTAGCTAATCCTTAACCAATTATAGTACCACTATGCATTTTACACATTGTATACTCTATACAAATTTATTGTATACAAATGTATACTCTATACAAATATACCTCATATACTCCATACAATTATAGTATTATATAGAATTACAAAAACTTTTCCATAAGAGAGTCCATTTATAACACAGGTATAGTGCTCCTTTATTCTAATTAGTCTTCCAAATAAAGAGCTTTCCATTTAATTTCCCTACTGTAAAATAGTTTTCCAGAAGATTTGACTTTTTACTTGCCTATTACTTCTTTAGAAATACTCTTCTCTGATCTGCAAGGATTCAGCAAATATCTTGAAATCTACTATAATGAAAATAAATGTTATTTATTTGGTTATCTTTTGAAATTAAATGAGCCGCACTTGCTACTTTGCAGATATTTCAGTGAATCAGTGGTCATGCTTTTTCTTCTGTTGTGCGGAGACACAGATGTAAAAACATCTACAACCTGGTGCATTTCATGATCTTCATTTTTAATTATTTTCTAGTTACTCTACCTACGTAGTTCTCAATGCTAGTCTTAGATCAATTTTAGTTGTGCGACTTTCACTGCCACTAAAATGTAACTTCCATGAGAGCAAGAATTTTTGCTGTTGTTGTTTTTTTTTTTTTTTTTTTTTTTGAGACGGAGTCTCGCTCTGTCGCCCAGGCTGGAGTGCAGTGGCGCGATCTGGGTTCACTGCAAGCTCCGCCTCCCGGGTTCACGCCATTCTCCTTCCACAGCCTCCTGAGTAGCTGGGACTACAGGCGCCCACCACCACGCCCGGCTAATTTTTTGTATTCTTAGTAGAGACGGGGTTTCACCGTGTTAGCCAGGATGGTCTCTATCTCCTGACCTCATGATCCGCCTCCCTGAGCCTCCCAAAGTGCTGGGATTACAGCCGTGAGCCACCACGCCCAGCCTTTGCTGTTGTTTTTAACCGTCTTAACCCCAGCATCTAGAACAATGCTGGGCACATATTACTCAGAAATTGTTCGTTGACTAAATCAATGAAAAGTTTCACCTTTGACTGCACTGATTCTTTAATCTTTTTTAAAAAATGTGTGTCCAAATGTGGGTTAATAATCTCTAAACCCCCTTCCAGTTCTAGAATTCTATGATTCTAATAGTCCCTTGCCCCACCTTGCTCCCACAGCACTCTATACTTGCTGAAAACATGACCATTTTTCATAATCTATTTTCTCAAATTAGACCAAGGGTTTATCAAGAGCAAGTTAAGTTTTTAATCTGTTTCTTCATATCCTCATGATAATATGCCATGATGCCTGGCACTCACAGAGTTAGTTATTCAATAAATATTTACCGACCAAATGAGTGAGACTTGTATAAAATAATTTGCAGGGTGGCAGGCATGCTGGGAAAGAGAATGTTTATTTTTTTACATCTAGCTAAGCAGTTTGAACCACTGGGGATTATTTCTACAGTAGGCTATTGAGAGCTTTTTTAGATTTTTCACTCTTCAATCTTGAAACCCAAGCAGTATTTTTTTCTTCTTCTCTCTGATGTTCCTTGGGGAACTGCAAAAGGCATCATATCCTCTATAGGACCATTAGGAAATTAGCAGTCTCACTTAAGGGCAGAAGCATATTAAAGTCTGCACAAGTAAATGAGAACCTACCCTAAAGCCTTCACCTGAATTTCTCATTTTAGGATTTTATTTTCATATTTTTTAAAATGAGAAACAAACTACAAAATACCTATTATGAAACATCATTTTACTGCATACTCTAAATCACAGTATTTAAAGAAAATAAAAAGACATAACTTTGTACATGACAAATTTCAAAGAATCTTCATTTTATTTATATGTCTAATCTTAAGAAAATGACAAGAAAAGTCACACATTTAGTTTATTTATACATCTACAACAAAAATTCATATTTTATTACTCATTGCAGTATAAAATATGATCATTCTGTTAAAATAACGAAGCTCAAACATATTTGAGTTTATCATCATTCCTTTCCTAAAACTTACTTGCAACAGAATAAACTAAATTTATTCACAGTATGACTGTTCTTCTCTTTGAAAATGAAAGTATCACATCTTTATTGAAACAAGAGTCAGAGTCTTTAGTTCATGTTTTGTTCCTTAACTTTCCATAACTAAAAGTATTGATCCATCCAATTATATGCTCCAGATATATTCAAAAGGGAGAAAAATCAATTATAGCACTAATAATAGCTACCTCTAAACATACTCTTAAGTTAAATGAAGATCTGACTGGAGTTCATTTTACTTATAATTTGCACTCAAAGTTGAAAGAAAGTTAAAGTGTAAGGCTTTTTCTGATAGAAATTTCTTTTGACATTCAAAATGGTCATCATTACTTTTGGGATAAATTTTGTGTTTTAAATCACAATTAGGGAAAGATGGAATCAGACACCTTTGAAAACATTTTTTCTAAGCCAAATGATGCTATGCTTTCACTGGATAGTTGGACTACTCAAAGTAGTACTTTCCAAATTTTCTGAAATGATAAATTGCTATCATATAATAGTTTTCATCTGAATAGTTCAAGCATTTTGCTAGTAAAAGAGGGGACTCAGAACCTCCCTGAGAGGGTTTCTTATATCTCATGGTCTGTTAGATACTTATGCATCCTATAATCATTTACTAAGCAATTTCCACTATAGCATATCACGCACTGTGCTATGCCCAAAGGTTTTAAAGATAAACATCCTGGTTTCCTTCTATAAGGAATTAACAGACTACAAAATAAATAAAATAAATGCTTACTAATATCTGCAAAGTGTGTTCTGCAGTTTGGTCCAAGTTTTGTTGGGCCTGAAACTTACTCAGTTTAAAAGACCTTCTTTGAGAAAGAGAATATGGCCGGGCGCGGTGGCTCATGCCTGTAATCTCAGCACTTTGGGAGGCCGAGGTGGGTGGATCACGAGGTCAGGAGATCGAGACCATCCTGGCTAACACGGTGAAACCCCGTCTCTATTAAAAATACAAAAAAATTACGTGGGCGTGGTGGCGGGCTCCTGTAGTCCCAGCTACTCGGGAGGCTGAGGCAGGAGAATGGCATGAACCCGGGAGGCGGAGCTTGCAGTGAGCCGAGATCGCGCCACTGCACTCTAGCCTGGTCGACAGAGCAAGACTCCGTCTCAAAAAAAAAAGAAAGAAAGAAAGAAAGAGAATATAAACGTACTAAATATAAAGTTACTCATGTATATGAATATTTAGAATAAAAAATCATAAAAATTTTGAAATTTAAAAAGCTGAAAATATCACAATATCAACAAACTCCGTCTTTTCTTTAGCATAATATTTGAAACTTAAAAATTATTGATAGTTTAGGAAACTTTCATCTTCACAACTTATTGGTAGTTATGAAAATTTTTGTGATTGTTCTCCAATTTGGCAAAGTTATCGAGTTTCTTTCATATAAATAAGATTTCAGGTATTGCAAATGTTCCTCCTGCACGTCGACTGAGTTGCCAAATGTCACAGTATATGAGTATGAAACTAAGTTGACTTAGTTAACATGCTGAGTTGACAACACTTATTAGCCTGTTTGTCATAGATCTCTTCATTGCTTTGATGTCATTAGGAGTTTCATGTTATCCTCATTAAAGTCAATAATCACATTTAATCAGCAATAAATTTAAGTCTTTTTCCATGGGTTCAGATGACTCATTCCTTTCTGCTAATTTGATTATCTAATAATACTCTAGCATTCAAGTTCTATTACCCTGAAAAAATAAATCTCTCTCTTCATGACTTATTAGTTTAGTTATGACTTAAACATGTTTTGATGCAATTTGCTTCTCATTATTAAAAAAACTAATTAAATTTATTCCTGACCTTTTTTGCTTTTGTTTCATGCTCAATTAATTTTTCTGTAAATTTGTTTCACTTTTTAAAATATACGTTTCAATCAAGAATCTATAATTTCTTATGTGTTGTATCAAAACATTCCAAAAAGTATTTTCAAATTGCAGCTGTAATAATTTCCCCTTAGTCTTATCTCAAAAACACTATAGTAATTACAATGGGTAGAATGAGACTCAAATCATAACGAATTGCAATTGAACTATCTTTTGCATCATAATAAATATGCATTTATTCTATAGAAAAGTGAAAAGGAAATCTGTGCCTGTGGAAGATGAAGGAAGGCTTCATAAGACAGGTGAATATTGGAGCTGACTTTTGAGAAAGTAACTCAGTATTTACAAGGTAAGGAAGATTGTGGGCAAGAACTTGTGCAAAAGTTCAAACCCGGCCAAACACGGTGGCTCACACCTGTAATCCAAGCACTTTGGGAGGCTGAGGCAGGCAGATCACCTGAGGTCAGGAGTTCAACACCAACCTGACCAACATGGAGAAACCCCGTCTCTACTAAAAATACAAAAAATTAGCTGGGTGTGGTGGCGCATGCCTGTAATCCCAGCTACTCGGGAGGCTGAGAGGTAGGAGAATCGCTTGAACCTGGGAGTTGGAGGTTGCAGTGAGCGGAGATCACGCCATTGCACCCCAGCCTGGGCAACAAGAGTGAAACTCTGTCTCAAAAAAAAAAAAAAAAGACAAAAAGACATCACCATCTTTCTCTTCCCATTAGTTATCCAGTATCCCCATTTTCCTATTTTCACCTATTCATATCCAGTAGCAATTGTAGTTATTATAACACAAGGGCAATTGAAGTAATCCATATGAAGACAAAGTTCTAGATGAAAATAGAATAAAGGCAATTTAAGATTTTTCATTTGTAAAAGTACAGATCATGAGAAGAATACATAAACATGAAGGACATATTCATTTTCAAATCTAGGATGAGCCAAAAAGGAAGCATGTCCTTGAAACTTGAAGAAAACATTTTTTGGAAAATGAATGCATACTTCTACTCAATGGACTTCATCAGCTTGAAACCCCTGAAAGGTAATAGAGATGAAAGTAAAGAGTTTCAAGAAAACTGTAGATGACTTCATAGATGAGAGAGCCTTATCAAAAGGAAGTCGTACCTTTGAATTTCAATCTCTACTCTTTGTGACACACATCAAAGAAAAATGCTGCCACCCCCCCCACATGAATGGTCCTATGAAAGTTGGAGGCTCCTGAGTTGGATGAGCTTTTGGGATGAGCCATATGATTCTAGTGTTCTTAGTTTCTCAAACATCTTTAAAGCCCCTTGGAAAATAAACAGCAGTAGCTAACCCCAAAGCTTAGAGACAAATACATACCTCCTACATATCTCCGTTTCTGAGTAGTGAGTTGTTAATTTTATGCATCAACTTGGCTGAGCCACAGGGTACACAAACATTTGGTGGCACATTATTCTGGGTGTGTCTCTGAAGGCGTTCTTAAACAAGATTCACATTTGAATCAGTAGACTAAGGAGAGCAGGTCACCCTCCCCAGTATGGGTGACCCTCATCTGACCCATTGAGGGCCTGAATAAACAAAAAGGCTGACCTTTCTGTGAGTAAGAGGGAATTGCTCCTGCCTGACTGCTTGAGCTGAAACATTGGTCATTTCCTGCCTTCAGACTCAACCTGAAACATGGGCTCTTCTTGAGTGTTGAGCTTGTTGGCCTTTGGATGAGAACTATACCATCTTTATTCCTGGGTCTCCAGCTTGATGATTGCATACCTTGGGACTTCTCAGCCTCCACAATCTAAGCCAATTCCTTATAATAAATCATATAGTATATATTATGATATATATATTATATATACTCTATACTACAATAATGTATAGTATTTATGTAGTATCATATTTGGTATATATTATGATATAATATCATATATAAACATATATACTATATATAATTATAATATAGAGTATGTACATAGTATGTATATAATTATATACAGTATATATATCATATATTAACATCTATACTCTATATGTATAATTACATATATTATATGATTTATAATATATACTATATTATATAATACATAATATATAATTTTTTATTACATATACTATGATTTATTATATAGTAATATATAATGATATATAAATATATAATAAAATATATTAATATATATCATGATATGTTATATGATTTTTTATATATTAATATTAATCACATTATGTATGATTTATTGGGTCTGTTTCTCTGAACTTTTTTAGCTCTGTTTCTCTGGAGAACCCTGATTAATACAACTAGATATAAACAAGATAGAATTTTATAAGTTAGTTAAGATGAGCATGTTAATTGAATATTCCTATGTATTTATTTGGTCTGTATGTTTGGTATTTGCTAGTTCCGATATAGCAGAAAGGAATAAAGGCAAACCTCATTTATAAACATACAATCGGGAATGTTAAAGTTGGTTCTCTTTACAGCTAAGAAACTGCAATGCAGTGAGCTTAAACACTTTCTCAAATATACACAGCAAATAAGTGGCAGAACCATCCGTAGCACACCTTTCCTGAGTTCTAGGCTAGTGTCCTATCCTTCACGCAGGCTTCTAAGTTCACATTCATTCTTTCCATGCTTCAGTGCTTAACATGTAAAATGATCTCTGAAGCTAACTCACACTTCCCACTTCATTTACTGTGTACCAATTCTTTCTTTAGAATGCATACATTTGACTGAATAAGCCAGATTCTTGGCCTAGACAAGGAACACATGTTTCTGCGTTAGAAAGAGGTATGGCAGTGAAGGACCAGAAGAGAAGAATGTCTGTGGCTCATGAGTGTCTATCACAGAGAATCCTCTCTAATCCAGCCTGAGGTGGGAAGGAAGTAGGCATTGAGATGGTGCCAACATGCTCAACTGCGAGGAGGTCTGAGAAAGAAATGCCAAGGCCTACAGGGAGGGATTAACCTGGTAGCCTCTTTAAGTCTCCTCATCTTCAGACAGGGCTCTGGAAACCTGAACATGCCATACTCAAAGAACACATCCATCATGAAGAAACACAAAAGTTCGCTTCAAGAGGTTTTCCTTGGATATTTTTATTTGAGGCCCTCAGGGTCCATCAGCTAACTGCGTTTGGTAAATTTCACCACTAACTATTCAATTTTGACACTCTTGGAAGTCTCACTCAATACATAATGATACACAGGCTTGGCAAAAATAAAAATAATAAAATAAAATACAACCTGTAAATTATTTTTGCAAAACATATCTGCTTGCTTCAGAAAAATATGTAGAAAGAAAAAATAAGACATTGACTCAGTTTTCCTGGATAGCTTGTAAAGCTAGATGAAAAAAAACAAATCATTTCAAAAACATTCTAATTTCTAAGAAAGCAAATAAAACAGTCATTTAGTTAAGTGTTTATCACAACTATACTTCTATATCAAATTTATAACAAAATTTTATTTATATAACTGGTATGTTTAATGCATTCCTCCCCAGTCTATGGATTTGAGCACAATTTTGCTAGTTTAAATTATTGCAGACTTTTATAGTTGTATGCTTTTCCCTTCCTTGGTCAGAAATACAACATCTACCACCTATTACAGTTGTTCCTATGGGAAAAATCAATCTTTTTGACAATGAAATAAGTCATGACAATTTCCATGAACATCGCTGATGAAAAGCAAGAATAGCCTGTTATGTGCCCCCACCACATAGAATGGACCAGAGGGGGCAATATCCTAGTGTTTGCCTAGGATAAATCAGTCAGATTTTATGAGTCCTTGCATAGATCTGTTTGCTGTGTCAGAACAAGCCACATGTTCCTAAGAGGATTTCATAGACCTCCAGGTGCTGTTGAGCAGCCGCTTGTCCATTGACAGGAGGGTCAATATCCAAGATTATCTATAGGAAGAATTTGACCTATTCTATGGTTAGTAAGCTGTCTGGGATATATTAGGAGAGCTAGTTATAGGTGACGCTAACTCTATACTCACTTCTCATGTCTCTCTCTTTGTGGATGGACAAGGGATAAATGTGGGTAGGCTTACAAATGGAATCAAATGCTTAATCTGGATGGTGGTGATACATCTAAGAAGAAAATCAATTTTATTAGGAGAAAAACGTTCAAATACAAAGAACAAACTATAGTGCATAAAATTATTTTTCCAGAAGGCTATGGTGTTTAAAGTGGTCTGTGACACCTGTATATTTATTTTCTGGCCCACCACTGTCATGAAGCCACATCATACAAATAAATTCAACATAAATATTATGTCTTAACCAATTAGACTTCACTGAAACTTTCCTTTCCACCTCATGCTAACTTCCATTCCTGCTCATCATATCAACCACCTAATGGAACCTGTCTATCAGTTTCTCCTCAGGAGTTGTAAAAATCTGACAGTGGAAATTGATTGCTAAGTGAAATTACAAATTATGAAGAAGATGTGAGAGTTCATAAAGTTCTTGAAAGTGATTTTGGAGGACTGTTTTTATTTTATGGACAGAAACTGGCAGTGAAAAATTTAGCTGGCTTACTCTAGTTAACTACTGAAGAAAAGACAATTGCCTCAAAAGCAAATGCTAAATATCAAAAGATTAAGAATGGATTTGGGGAAAAGTTATGAAGTTTCCATTTTTTTTAATATGATTCTCTTCATAATTATAAAAGTCACATGTGAAGTTAAAGCCCACTTGGGTCTTCAAAAGCAGTCTGTTGTTTTTAGTAGCCATAAATATTGAAAACAATAGAATCTGCTGAGGGTTTATTCCCTTTCCTTTCATGATCCAGATAACCTACAGCAAATTTAATTACCAGATAACTCTCCCCTAGGCAGAATTCCTGTTTTCAGCTTCCTCATTCAATAATGGAGAGGAGTCCTTCTTACGAAAATGAAGCGAGAACAAAACTTTTACTTTATAGCCTAAGGAGTTCACTTAACCACAATTTGAAATATAGAACAAGGCTGAGAGGTGATAGCAGAATATCAGGGTAAAAGATGAAGAAAAGGGAGATATATAGTTTGAGAACCGTATTTAGTATGAGATTTGAAATTTTCCAAAGCACACAAAAAGTATTTCATAGTTCCATAGGAATAAATAATACAAACCACAGAAAATAAAGCTATAAAATCTTTTTCATAGGTGGTAATATGTATATGATACAGTGATTTTAACAGGGTTTACCACAATCAGAAAGAAGGAAAATTTGGGAATTGAGATGTAGGTTTTTTAAAAAAGAGGAAAAAAGCCTGGTCTTTATAAACAGAAAAAATATATATTTTATTGGTAGGAAAGGAAAAAATAACAAAATCCATTTGACCACATCTATTCACTCTCACCTTTTCCTCTAATAAAATAACAACTGTGCTGTTCTAAAGGTGGTAGATTTATATTAATATTCCCCTCCCACCTGAACACAGGCCTAGGCTCCAGTATTAACTCTTTATCTGATAAAGGATGGCCAGGCAGAGGCTAACACACACATACCTTCTTTGCAAGTTCAACCTATGTCTAAGAATTCCTAGTGTTTAAGCCAAGTCATGTATTTATGTTGGTCTTAACTATATTTATAAAAATGGAGCAGAATTCCTCCTTTGATTCTATAATTCACTCTGAGTTCTGGGAGGTTTACATAAAGGTCAGCTGTTGTAATTGTTCACTTATTCAAGAATGTAGTTTAACCTTTTTATTGAGATCTTGGGATTCTTGATATATGAATTTTTTTTTTTCTCTAAAGCCTCTAAACAGACTAGGAAATAGTACAGGGTTTAAGTGATATAATTTCAAACCTGGAAGAGACCTTAGAGAAGATTCAGTTTCTTCATTTTTATAAATATGAAAACGAAGTCCCAGAAAACTAGAGTCCAAACTCATGCTTACACAGCAGTGCTGCAGGGTACAAAGAAAGACTGCAGGATTTGGAGGCACAGGCATCTGAATCCACATCATTACTCCACCATTTAGAACTGTGGGATGGATATTGGGCAAATCATTTAACCCTAGAGGAAGATATTTTGATGTAGTTAGTTAATTTACTCATGCACTTCAGTTTATCCATCCATAAAGTTGGGACAATAATCCTGGCTTTCAGGGTTACTGATAGAAATGTAGATAATGTATGAAAGTTTTTTAAATGTTAACCACAACCACGCAAGACCCTATCTCTAAAAATAAAATAAAATAATATAAAACAAAATTAAAAAAACAAAATATTAACCACTATTTTAATTTACTAGATGAAATTTCAGAAACCCTGTATCTCAGGACTTTTGCTCTTTTTAACAAAGAATATAATGTGAATACTAGTTTTAAAAGTCAGATTCAGATTTCTTAAATCCCTTTAGTAAAAAGCTCCTATTTCCTGGTACTATCCTCCAACAATATCATAATTAGGCCTAGATTATTATTATTTTTTTTTTACATTGAATGAGTCTTAGCAGTAGACTCAGAATACTCCAGAAAAAAGAGGCAATTAATTCAGGAAGTGCTGTACACTGTGGCTGTAGACTTGAGAGAAGGAGAGTTCATTGACACATGAAAGGTTTCTACAAAAAATCCTCCAGTAAGGAAATCTGTTTATATTAGCATCTCCAGTTTCTTTGGCAAAGGTAATACATCATATCTATTAAAACCTCCAAAGACTTGTATTACTTGGTCAAGCCCCACCCCACAAATGGCTTATGAAAATGTGGCTAGAGGCATAAGTTTACTGAAACGATTAATCAAACATAATGTCTTTAATTCCTTTTAAGTGTTAAGTAAAGAAAATATCAAGTCAATTCATTTATTTTTAATTTGAAAATTTCACACATGGGATGAGGAAGAGGGACAAGTGGGAAGAAACTGCTGAATGGGTACAAGGTTTTAACTTGGGGTGATGGAAATGTTTAGGAGCTAGATGGGGTGATGGTTCTACTACATTGTGAATGCATGAAATGCCATTAAATTGTTACTTTAAAATCGTTTATTATGTAGATTTCACCTCAATAAATTAGTTTTTAAAATTTTATACATACATAAAAGATTTCATTTCAAAATATTAAAACCTAAATATTTCAAGTGGCATATGAGAAACCAACAAAAAGTTTCACAGAATTAAAACATACATTACCAACTCAGAGCAAGCTTTCTTAATGGTCTTTAAAATGTCTGTATGTATTTGTAAAAATAAAAATCAATATTTCTTTTAAGCTCTGAAATTGCAGAAATTATATAAAGTCAATACTATAAAAAGAGGAATTTTCTACAGGTAGCTAGTATTTTACAGGCAGATTACAAACCCTCACAAAACACATATTGACAGAGATTGACTGTGGCTGCTGTAACTTAATCTCAGCATTCTGGTGATCTCAAATCTCTGGAGTCTCACTTCATGGTTTATGATACAGTTACATCACAATCCCTCAATAGAATTACAGCTTTGTCACTAATCTCTCCCTATCAGTTATCCTGTAAGGAAGGAAGCTGGAAGGCACCACCAGAAAGAGGCAATGGCATGAATGATTGCATTCAGTCTCTTTCCACAACAATATCTGTAAGTCTGGGAGTGATAAATGGCACCCAAGTTATAAATGAGCAACAAGGTCAGTAGCACCAAGCAGCCAAGAGTTCAAAGAAAAGTCACAGTTCTGACGGGTTCAAGAAAAGGCCACATACTGCTGGCCTGTATCACTAGAGATAAATCCTCCAAGACGCTTTACTGCAATTACAAAACAGAATTAGAAAAGCCCGTTATTGAAGGGCTAAGATTTTTGTCCAGGAATTGAACAAAGAACATTGATTATCATAAAAGTCATTCTTTTCCCAGAAAAATCTTGTATTTAACAACATTCTCTGACCAATCAAGAATCCTAGCGAAAAATATCTTCAAGATGTCAAATAATTCTTTGACACTGAAAGATGTGTAACTAAATAACATTGGTCTTTGTTTTCTTCTTGATCTTTTCTTTTTGTTCTCTTAAATATATCTATAAAGAATCCAGAAGAGACACGTACAGAAATGACCCTTCAGAACTGTTTATGGCTGTGTCTTCCTTTCTTTATGTATTTCCTTAGGTTAATTGCATAACATAAAAATGAGATCTTTCCTTATAAACCAAAATATACAAACCTTATAAGAATATAATTAATAAAAACCATTCACAGAGTGTTATAATGAAATGTCATCTGAGAAATCCTTTTTTTTTTTTTTTTTGCCATTTATGTAATGAAGATCCAGAAAACTTGGGGGTCTTTCTCAAGGTCATGTCACTGGTAATTGGCAGATTAGGATTAATATCACTGGGCACCTAAAGGCTACTCTTACTTTCTTTCCACAGAATAGAAGTTTCCCTCAACTAGGTAGCTACTGTCATCTGTCCTGTAGCATCTAGGTCTCTCACTGGATGGGCCATAGTTCTCAGTTTTGCATGGTCTATGGATTTATATTTCAATATTCTTTTTTATTTCTCATTTATTTGTTCATGAGGATCAAGACTAATTGCACCATATTGACAAATTTGCTAGCCAATTGTCATGCAAAACTGGGGAAGAGTACAAGAAGGGACCATCATTACAATCTTCACCACTCCTCAGAAAAATAAGCTTTATACAAAAGTGTCCGGCCTCTGAGCCCAAGCTAAGCCATCATATCCCCTGTAACCTGCACGTATACATGCAAATGGCCTGACGTAATTGAAGAATCACAAAAAAAAGTGAAACTTAAATGGCCTGTTCCTGCCTTAAGTGATGACATTCCACCACAAAACAAGTGAAAATGGCCAGTCCTTGCCTTAACTGATGACATTACCTTGTGAAATTCCTTCTCCTGGCTCATCCTGGCTCAAAAATCTCCCCCACTGAGCACCCTGTGACCCCCACCCCTGCCCTCCAGAGAACAACCTCCTTTGACTGTAATTTTCCTTTACCTACCCAAATCTTATTAAATGGCCCCATCCCTATCTCCCTTGGCTGACTTTCTTTTCAGACTCAGCCCGTCTGCACCCAGGTGAAATAAACAGCCTTGTTGCTCACACAAAGCCTGCTTGGTGGTCTCTTCACACGGACACGAGTGAAATTTGCTGCTGTCACTCGGATTGGGGGACCTCCCTTGGGAGATCAATCCCCTGTCCTCCTGCTCTTTGCTCCATGAGAAAGATCCACCTATGACCTCGGGTCCTCAGACCAACCAGTCCAAGGAACATCACACCAATTTTAAATCAGGTAAGTGGCCTCTTTTTACTCTCTTCTCCATCCTCTCTCACTATCCCTCAATCTCTTTCTCCTTTCAATCTTGGCGCCACACTTCAATCTCTCCCTTCTCTTAATTTCAGTTTCTTTCCTTTTCTCGTAAAGACAGGAGATGCGTTTTATCTGTGGACCCAAAACTCCAGCACCATTCACAGACTCGGGAAGACAGTCTTTCCTTTGTGTTTAATCACGCAGGGATGCCTGCCTGATCATTCACCCACATTTCAAAGGTGTCTGACCACGCCGGGACGCCTGCCTTGGTCCTTCACCCTTTGCGGCAAGTACCGCTTTTCTAGGGTGCAAGAACCCCTCAACCCTTTCTCTCCATGTCTCTACCCCTTCTCCACTTTCCTGGGGGGCAAGCACCTCCCACCCCTTCTCTCCATGTCTCTACCCTCTCTTTTCTCTGGACTTGCCTTCTTCACTATAGGCAACCTTCCACCCTCCATTCCTCCTTCTCCCTTAGCCTGTGTTCTCAAAGACTTAAAACCTCTTCAACTCACACCTGACCTAAAACCTAAACGCCTTATTTTCTTCTGCAATGCTGCCTGACCCCAGTACAAACTCGACAGTGGTTCCAAATAGCCAGAAAATGGCATTTTTGATTTTTCCATCCTATAAGATCTAAATAATTCTTGTCATAAAATAGGCAAACGGTCTGGTCTGAGGTGCCTGATGTCCAGGCATTCTTTTACACATGGGTCCCTCCCTAGTCTCTGTTCCCAATGCAACTTGTCCAAATTTTCCTTCTTTCCCTCCCATCTGTCCCCTCAGTCCCAACCCCAAGCGTCGCTGAGTCTTTCCTCTTTCCAGTCTTCCTTTTCTACAGACCCATCTGACCTCTCCCCTCCTCCCCAGGCTGCTCCTCGCCAGGCTGAGCTAGGTCCCAATTCTTCCTCAGCCTCCGCTCCCCTACCCTATAATCCTTTTATCACCTCCCCTCCTCACACCGGTCTGGCTTACAGTTTCGTTCCGAGACTAGCCCTCCCCGACCTGCCCAGCAATTTCCTCTTAAGAAGGTGGCTGGAGCTAAAGGCATAGTCAAGGTTAATGCTCCTTTTTCTTTATCCCAAATCAGATAGCATTTAGGCTCTTTTTCATAAAATATAAAAATCCAGCCCAGTTCATGACTCGTTTGGCAGCAACCCTGAGACACTTTACAGCCCTAGACCCTAAAAGGTCAAAAGGCCGTCTTATTCTTAATACACATTTTATTACCCAATCTGCTCCCGACATTAAATAAAACTCCAAAAATTAAATTCCAGCCCTCAAACCCCACAACAAGAGTTAATTAACCTCCCTTCAAGGTGTACAATAATAGAGTAGAGGCAGCCAAGTAGCAATGTATTTCTGAGTTGTAATTCCTTGCCTCCACTGTGAGACAAACCCCAGCCACATCTCCAGCACACAAGAACTCCAAACGCCTGAACCACAGCTTCCAGGGGTTCCTCCAGAACCTCCTCCCCCAGGAGCTTGCTACAAGTGCCAGAAATCTGGCCACTGGGCCAAGGAATGCCCACAGCCCAGGATTCCTCCCAAGCTGTGTCCCATCTGTGCAGGACCCCACTGAAAATCAGACTGTTCAACTCACCTGGCAGCCACTTCCAGAGCCCCTGGAACTCTGGCCCAAGGCTCTCTGACTGACTCCTTCCCTGATCTTCTCAGCTTAGCAGCTGAAGACTGACACTGCCTGATTGCCTCAGAAGCCTACAGGACCATCACAGATGCTCTAGGTAACTCTCACAGTGGAAGGTAAGTCCGTCCCCTTCTTAATCAATACGGAGGCTACCCACTCCACATTACCTTCTTTTCAAGGGCCTGTTTCCCTTGCCTCCATAACTGTTGTAGGTATTGGCGGCCAGGCTTCTAAACCTCTTAAAACTCCCCAACTTTGGTGCCAACTTAGACAATACTCTTTTAAGCACTCCTTTTAATTATCCCCACCTGCCCAGTTCCCTTATTAGGCCGAGACACTTCAACTAAATTATCTGCTTCCCTGACTATTCCTGGGCTACAGCCACACCTCATTGCTGCCTTTTCCCCCAGTTCAAAGCCTCCTTCACATCATCCCCTTCTATCTCCCCACCTTAACCCATAAGTATAGGACACCTCTACTCCCTCCTTGGTGACAAATGATGCACCCCTTACCATCCCATTAAAACCTAATCACCCTTACCCCACTCAATACCAATATCCCATCCCACACCATGCTTTAAAAGGATTAAAGACTGTTATCACTCGCCTGCTACAGCATGGCCTTTTAAAGCCTGTAAACTCCCCTTACAATTCCCCTATTTTACTGTTCTAAATCCAGACAAGGCTTACAGGTTAGTTCAGGATCTGCAACTTATCAACCAAATTGTTTTGCCTATCCACCCAATGGTGCCAAACCCATATACTCTCCTATCCTCAATACCTCCCTCCACAACCCATTATTCTGTTCTGGATCTCAAACATGCTTTCTTTACTATTCCTTTGCACCCTTCATCCCAGCCTCTCTTCGCTTTCACTTGGACTGACCCTGACACCCATCAGGCTCAGCAAATTACCTGGGCTGTACTGCCACAAGGCTTCACAGACAGCTCCCATTACTTCAGTCAAGCCCAAATTTCTTCCTTATCTGTTACCTATCTCAGCATAATTCTCATAAAAACACACGTGCTCTCCCTGCCGATCATGTCCCACTGATCTCTCAAACCCCAACACCTTCTAAAAAACAACAACTCCTTTCCTTCCTAGGCGTGGTTGGATACTTTAGATATCTGGTTTTGCCATCCTAACAAAACCATTATATAAACTCACAAAAGGAAACCTAGCTGACCCCATAGATCCTAATTCCTTTCCCCACTTCTCTTTCCATTCCTTGAAGACAGCTTTAGAGACTGCCCCCACCCCAGCTCTCCCTGACTCATCCCAACCCTTTTCATTACCCACAGCCGAAGTGCAGGGCTATGCAGTCAGAACTCTTACACAAGGACTGGGACCGTGCCCTGTAGCCTTTTTATCCAAACAACTTGACCTTACTGTTTTAGCCTAGCCCTCAAGTCTGCGTGCGGCAGCCGCCGCTGCCCTAATACTTTTAGAGTCCCTCAAAATCACAAACTATGCTCAACTCACTCTCTACAGTTCTCATAACTTCCAAAATCTGTTTTCTTCCTCACACCTCACACATATACTTTCTGCTCCCCGACTCCTTCAGCTGTACTCACTCTTTGTTGAGTCTCCCACAATTACCATTGTTCCTGGCCCAGACTTCAATCCAGCCTCCCACATTATTCCTGATACCACACCTGACCCTCCTGACTGTATCTCTCTGATACATCTGACATTCACCCCCATTTTCCCATATTTCCTTCTTTCCTGTTCCTCACCCTGATCACACTTGGTTTATTGATGGCAGTTCCACCAGGCCTAATTGCCACACACCAGCAAAGGTAGGCTATGCTATAGTACAAGCCACTAGCCCGCCTCTTATAACCTCTCATTTCCTTTCCATTGTGTAAATCTATCCTCAAGGAAATAACTTCTCAGTGTTCTATCTGCTATTCTACTACTCTTCAGGGATTATTCAGGCCCCCTCCCTTCCCTACACATCAAGCTCGGGGATTTGCCCCTGCCCAGGACTGGCAAATTAGCTTTACTCAACATGCCCTGAGTCAGGAAACTAAAATACCTCTTGGTCTAGGTAGACACTTTCACTGGATAGGTAGAGGCCTTTCCCACAGGGTCTGAGAAGGCCACCACGGTCATTTCTTCCCTTCTGTCAGACATAATTCCTCAGTTTGGCCTTCCCACCTCTATACAGTCCGATAGCAGACCGGCCTTTATTAGTCAAATCACCCAAGTAGTTTCTCAGGTTCTTAGTATTCAGTAAACTAATGGTCTTTTTAAAACACACCTCACCATGCTCAGCCATCAATTAAAAGAGACTGGACAATACTTTTACCACTTGCCCTTCTCAGAATTCAGGCCTGTCCTCAGAATGCTACAAGGTACAGCCCATTTGAGCTCCTGTATAGACGCTCCTTTTTATTAGGCCCCAGTCTCATTCCAGACACCAGACCAACTTGGACTGAGCCCCCCAAAAAAAAACTTGTCATCCCTACTATCTTCTGTCTAGTCATACTCCTATTCACCTTTCTCAACTACTCATAAATGCCCTGCTTTTGTTTACACTGCCGGTTTACACTGTTTCTCCAAGCCATCACAGCTGGTATCTCCTGGTGCTATCCCCAAACCACCACTCTTAACTCCCTCTTAAAGTAAATAAATAATCTTTGCTGGCAGGGCTATGCTGAACCTCCTTAGACACTCTCTAATTGGATGTTCTAGGTCCTCCGAATTCTTAGTCCTTTACTACCTGTTTTTCTCATTGTCTTATTCCGTTCTTTTTTCAATTCATACGAAACCATATCCAGGCCATCACCAATAATTCTATACAACAAATGTTTCTTCTAACAACCCCACAATATCACCCCTTACCACAAAATCTTCCTTCAGCTTAATCTCTCCCAGTCTAGGTTCCCACACCACCCCTAATCCCGCTCGAAGCAGCCCTGAGAAACATCGCCTGTTATCTCTCCAAAGCACCCCCAAAAATTTTCGCCACCCCAACACTTCAACACTATTTTAATTTTTCTTATTAATATAAGAAGACAGGAATGTCAGGCCTCTGAGCCCCAGCTAAGCCATCATATCCCCTGTGACCTGCACGTATACATGCAAATGGCCTGAAGTAACTGAAGAATCACAAAAGAAGTGAAATTTAAATGGCCTGTTCCTGCCTTAACTGATGACATTCCACCACAAAACAAGTGAAAATGGCCAGTCCTTGCCTTAACTGATGACATTACCTTGTGAAATTCCTTCTCCTGGCTCATCCTGGCTCAAAAAGCTCCCCCAATGACCACCTTGTGACCCCCACTCCTGCCCACCAGAGAACAACCCCTCTTTGACTGTAATTTCCTTTACCTATGCAAATCTTATAAAATGGCCCCACCCCTGTCTCCCTTCACTGACACTCTTGTCGGACTCAGCCCGCCTGCACCCAGGTGAAATAAACAGCCTTGTTGCTCACACAAAGCCTGTTCAGCGGTCTTTTCACGTGGACGCGAGTGAAAAAAAGAACTCTTTAAGAGATTAAAAAAACAACTCTCAACTTTTAGTCTACTTCTTCACTAGGTAAGTCCCCATCCCCTTGCAACAATCCTGGAGCTTTTCCTCCTAACCTGTGAGCAGCCATGTTGGATAATAATATTAGGGTAATGATTTTCATGATGTTTTCCCCTTAAGCATCATAGAACATGAAATGTCAAAAAAAATGCTCATGGCACACAGCAATGGAATTTTAAGACCCATCTTGAATACTTTTGCTTTTAAGATTCAAGGTGATGTTACAAAATCTTAATGATGGGACACCAACATGAGAATTAGATTAAACAATGGAATAAAATTATCAGTGCTTATCAAAGGACACAACAGTTCTTATTAACCCAACTTGCAGACAATCCAAGAATTACATGTCTTTAAAGACTATTTTTAGTGTCGTTATTTTGAGCACGTCTATTATTCTGGAAATAATTCAAACTAAATATTGAAATTTTATCATGAAGCTTTGAAGATTGATTTTCTCCATCGTGTCCTATAACTGCCCTTTTGCCCCTTTCCAACTCACCTGGAGAACACCTCTCACACCGCCATTGTGATCAGGCCCCAATAATTTCTGCTAACTTGCTGACTCACAGCTCCCTTGCATATGCATAATAATTTTGCTTCAAAAGTATCTCTCTTTTCACTATGCTAAACTTGAAAAAACATAGCCTGACTATTTCAATCAAACACATCATTAAGAAGCTAGAATATGAATGAGATTTTTAATAGATAATGAAAAATGTGGGTGACCAATAAAAAGCCACACACATCCAAATACACATAAGAATTACAAAAAGTTGTGCTCTGATGGAAGAGTAAGATGAATAGAAACCTCAGTCACTAAAGTATTCCAAATACTCTCAATTCTAGGAGGAGTATAGTTCAATGCAAATCTTTCTACAACCACTTCAAAGAGCCTCTAAATTCTTTCCTTGTGCTGGAATGCTCTAATGATGGCTAAAAAAACCAAGTTGGAGCTTACTTAATCACCTCCCTGGTCAAAAAGGGAATAAAATAAAGCAGACCTCAAATGTCCCCAGGGCTTCTTTTGGCACCTTTTGTTCAATTTGGGCAAGTTTCTTCAAGAATAGGCCAAATGTAGAATTAATCATCATTTTCTTAGTCTGTGAAATACATTGTTCATGCTAATCTATCTTGTAACTAGTGCTGTGTGCATGGCTTTCCTTCCTTCTGCTCTAAGCTCCCAGTCGTTTACCTGTCTGTCCTCACTCAAGTGTCACGGTAAAGTGTTTCCTTCAGTCCTTGCTAAGCCAGGAACCCCATGTTCTGTTGTTGTGGAGAGAGATCACTAATAGAGATACGACCTGGACAAAAGCATTTTTGCCTTAATCAAGATAAATATTGTAATGAGAACATTAAAGCAAACACATTGCTGGCAATCTGCTAGAGCTGGGAGACTGTAGTGGATTTTATTTTTGTTGTAATGGTTTCTACCATAATGAAATTTAATACATTACCGGGAAAAAGCCATGCCCTGTGGTAGGGAGCTGCTTATATTTCGAAACACGTTAGCGTGAAGCTACAGCCAGATCTAATAATAGAAATGAACTTACCTAAAGATGTATTGATTTTTATATTAGGTCATGTTGAGAATTTACAAAGAACATCTAGTCCATGAAACAAAAATCCTCCAGAGAACAGCATTGATTACAAGAAGTGTAATATTAGAAAAGTGGAAATCCTCTCCTCCCAGAATGGTGCACATTCATAAAGTGCACTATGTAGTTTAGAAAAGGTCATCTTTCAGATAAATGATAAATTTGATAAAATTCAACAGATTTAATCATCCTTTGAGACTCGATCAAAACAATAATGAAGAAATGAATGTAAGAAAATATCCATCTCACTCATATAATTTGCTTATTGAAAATAGGGTTAATTTATTCTAACTTCTGAACTTACAAACATTATTTCTATTATCATGTACCTGTTCAATAAAATTTCTCACAAAATAAATTCCTATCTGTTTAGTACATACTCCAATTATTAGATGGCTTCAAAAATCAGGAAATTCTCTCAGACAAAATACCTGATAAGAGACAGAGAATTAAGACAGTATCTCATTATATGCTTTATAAAACCCAGAGAACCTCTTTTAGATGCAAAAGCATAAAGAGGGAGGGTTAATTTTTTAGGCTCACATTTGACAATGGAAATCAGCATTCATTCAATAAACCTATTTTATATATGCGTGCATATACACAAAAAAACTTTGCAAACATTTCTTCAGAGTAGTGTATTTTAGTACATTTCTGTGTTTTCATTATTCTAATGTGCGTTGGTCACTCACACTTTTTATCATATTCTTAACATATTTTGTTTTCAAATATTAGGTTACAGTGTTTATTTCTTTGAGAGTATGTCTCTCAAGTATTCTTTAATCTATAAGGATTTCTGGTACTCCTTATTCTTTTTTTCCCAATGTTAAATTGGTATAAGACTTGACTCACCTTTTTCTATTGCTCTGTTTTAAGTAAAATAAGTTTTCATGTCCTTTTAGAAAAGAGTGATGAGCCCTTTCAGCATTTCCAACTTTGTGGCTCTAAAGCGCCCTCTGTGGAGCCCTACTTTCTGAGACCTGCTTCCTCTGCTTCCCTTTTTCATTTCTACAGAGTTCAAGCAAACTACAACCTGTGGACTAAATATGAACCTTGGGCCTGTTTCACATTGCTCACAAGTTAAGAATATTTTTTAGGCTTTTCAAGAGTTAAAAATAAAAGAGAAGGAAAGAAGAGAGAGAGGGAGAAAAGAGATACAGGAGACCATATGTGGACCCCAATAGAGCTTGCAAATTTACTTTATGGACCTTTACTGAAAAAGTTTGCCAACTCCTGACTCCTGGACCAACATTTTCCTTTGAGCTTGCTGTCACTATCCTGGTCAGTATGAATTCTAGTCCAAAAAGTGTCTCCTATTTCAAAGCTTTGACCTGGAAGAGAGCGTCTGTTTTATAGTATAAGAGTTTCTGATTTATAGTATGAGAGTTCTTAGGATCCATATCTTACTGTGGTCTCCATGAACCAACCAGCAAATTAGATCCTGAGATCTAATTTGAGTGCTATTTGAGATCCAGCTTTGAGTGCTATTCTCAGAAAACTGCCATACTTTCTAGTTGGTTTTCTTCCTCTGTATTTGCATAATAGAAACACTTAGGGAGAATCAAAATGTAAGCTACTGCCTCCATCTTCCCAAAATGTCAACTTGATGTCTTTCCTTTAAACTGAAGGATGAAGAAGACTTGGAAAGATGGGGAACATTTCTGCATTCTCATTATATAAACTGGAATGTAATTTTTTTAAAGGAGCAAGTCTATGTTCAATAAATGCTTAGTAGCTTGATTTATTGCTTCTTTCTCTCTCATCTGCAAATATTCAATTACTTTTTAAATATGTTAATAAAACTGAGCAAATAATTACATTTCAATTTATATACCAATCTACAGAACAAAGAAGTTCCCCTCAGAGAAAGTAGAGTACTTCTAATGGGTTAATTCTATATCTCCTTTGATTAATAAAGCAGCCCATAGAGAGTTTACGGCCTTTTACTTTCTTTGTTTCAGAATTACTTCCCATGTATGAAGCATAATGAGAACCTCCATAATTAAATATATTCTATGAGAATTCATCCACAAATAACTCTTTAAAATTTCAAGGAAAATATATAAAATAACTCTGAGGAGACCCCTGAGAACAATCAAGATCAGAAAGAAACTACTGGAAAGCATTTAACTCTTTCTTGAAAGAACCAGAGAATTATGATGGTTCAGAGAAGAGACCATTACTTCCAGGGTGATTGTCTAGAGAGAGTGGCATTTTAGGCAGCTTTTGAAAATGAAAAGCTTTGAATTTTGATTGTTTGACATGTTTGTATAGGACATTCTAATACATAAGGTCATGTTAATAAATGTTCACAAATCAGATAAAAGAACAGCTTGCAAGTTCAGACACTGTATTTTATACAATTATTCCTTGGCCAAGGCTTCTGCAATTTGATTTTAAAGTTTTAAGTTAAAAACAATGAATTTTATATTCAGTCACAACTAAACCTCAATATATTAACATTATTAAAACCAAAGAATCAAGTCTTAACCACCAGCATATCCAAGAAATTCCTCCTGATTTACTATTTAGACATAAAAAAGAAACAAAAGCATACAAAGACATGAAACTTACCCAGGCTACAATTCATGCACCACTTCTCAAGGGACAAGAAACTGAACTGTTATTGAGCATCTTCCATTTTATCAAGCTTACTGAGAAAGTAATTAATGTGTATCATTGTTTCATGTATGTCTACTCTATGCAAAAAACTATTCTAGATACTGTAGAAAACGTTTCCCTTCTTGAAGTTTGCATAGTAGTAAGGGAAACATACATGTTAGCTCAGGGAGGCATGAATGAGATCTCTGCATTTATCAGTCCAATGTCATAAATATCCCTGGCTATTCAGAAACAGAAAACATTTTCTCTTCCCCCTGTCCGATTTGCATTCCTTTCTTCAGAATTCCCATAGTAGTACTGTTCATCTATTACGGCACTTCTTAAACTATATTATAATTATATATTTGACTTGCTTTGATAACATAGCAAGATATTACAGGCAAAGAATCAGCCATCACCATGTTTTGCCTCTCAGAACTTTGGAAGTACATGAATTCCATCATTCAATAAAGAATTTATTTATTTATTTATTTATTTATTTATTTATTTATTTATTATTTTCTTTTTTTGAGACGGAGGAGACAGAATCTCGCTCTGTCATCCAGGCTGGAGTGCAGTGGCGTGATCGCGGCTCACTGCAACCTCTGTCTCCCGAGTTCAAGCGATTTTGCCTCAGCCTCCTGCGTAGATGGGATTACAGGGGTGCACCACTGCACCCAGCTAATTTTTGTTTTTTTAGTATAGACAGGGTTTCACCATGTTGGCCAGGCTGGTCTCGAACTCCTGACCTTGTGATCCACCCGCTTCAGCCTCCCAAAGTGCTGGGATTACAGGTGTGAGCCACTGTGCCCGGCCAATAAATACTTTATTAAAGAAGGAATAATGAAATGAATGCTAACTTTAAAATAAATAATTTTCACACTTTAAAAAGGAGACAAAAATTTAAAGCAACCTTGGTAAATAATCTTAAAATATGACATTTGATTAGTTGTAGCAAGTGGAGGGAAGTAAGGGGAAGCAGTTGACTAGTACCAACAGGCAAATAAATAAATACAAACAGATAAAATAAATAATTTCTATAAGTCCTTATTTAACAAAAGAGAACCATCATAACCATAGAAATTACAGAGCTATAGAGTAGAATGGCACCCTAAAAGATCAATTCTTTTATCTTCTCAATCTGACCTTAATGGTCCTCTCTTAAGGCATTTTAAACGTCGAAATTATTTTTAAACATATATACTGCCAAAGGTGACCTATAGTTTATTTTGGTATTATACATTAAAGTTCAATTACATATTTGTTTTTTTTTTTTCATAGTCTCGCCATTTCCCCATTATAGAAATAAGAATCTTTCATATATGGGAATATTTTTTTTAATAAAGGTCCCATGTCCTCCTTAAAATTAAAAATAATCATAAAGTTTATGAATTTTTCCCACTTCTCTTTAATCATTTCTATAGCGCAGAGATAGGTGGATGCAGAAGCTATAGTCAAATATGCCAATTCTAAATCCTGTGTTCTTCCATCCACTTTTCAACAAATCCACTTCTCTCAAAGCAATCCCAGCTACAACAGATGAGGCCTGTGGGCCCATTCTGTACAAAGTTCATTCAGCAGTGATTAAGGCCCTACTTATTTTAGTAAAAGATCTCCTGAAAGACCCACAAAGTTTACCCTTTCAATCTTAGCCAAATTTTAGTGAATAAAAATAACACGTATTCAATTGTCGTAAAGACTCACCACCTCTTGGAAAGAGATTTCTGTATTCAGCCTGTGCTTTCCTTCAAAACTGCATTACCTGTTAATAGTATTATCATTAAATGAAGAGTCAATCAGCTCAGTTCCTGCATTTGTAAGAGGGGCTTTCGAACTAAATGATTTGTTAGTTTGTTTCCAGCAATAGAAATTCTTGATCACATTATTTTTTCTCCATAGAATCAGAATCTCTCAGAAAAATGTTTACTAATTTAAAATTTTAAATATATTAATGAAATATTGTTCTATTCCAGGAGTAACAGCTCCTAAGATTTAGCTTATAAGATAAAAGTACATGGAAACATTTTAGCAATGTGTTGAATAACACTGAATTCTTATTAATCTAACCTATTATTGTCTAGATAATAGTTGTAGTTATGTAAGCGATTATGATAGCTTTTATAATGCTGATTATTAGGGATAATTATGTTATTGTTGTTAAAACAAACTGATGCCAATATATTAACCAAGGGTTAAATAAGAATATTATATAGGCGGGCGGATCGCGAGGTCAGGAGATCCAGACCATCCTGGCTAACACGGTGAAACCGCGTCTCCACTAAAAATACAAAAAATTAGCCAGGCGTGGTGGCGAGCGCCTGTAGTCCCAGCTACCCAGGTGGCTGAGGCAGGAGAATGGCGCGAACCCGGGAGGCAGAGCTTGCAGTGAGCCGAAATCGTGCCACTGCACTCCAGCCTGAGCAACAGAGGGAGACTCTCTCTCAAAAGAAAAAAAAAAAAAAATTATATCAATGGATGGTATTTACATGTTTGTAGAAAGGGTAAGAGTACTACAGGAATCCACAAAAAGATGAGATGTCTGACGGGAGATGTTTATTAGTATTTATCATCAAGTAACAGGCCTCCAGAGATAGAGTGACCTGCTCAGATCCCAGCCTCTGCAGAATCAGATAAGGAACTTTGAACACACCGGAAAGTAACTTCCCATCTAGGTTGTTATAACACACCTAAATGGACAATCTATCTTCTAAAACAGCACATTGTATATATGATGGGTTCACAACATTTCCACATATGACAGACTTGTACATGCCTCCTGTATTATAAAAAGACAGTACTTAAAATCTGCAATGTCCAAAGGAGCATCCTATTGGCACCTACCTGAGGTGACTTACTATTTTATCCAGATTGCAGAGTCTACTTTGTTAAACTAACACAAAACTAAATGAGAAACCATGTGGACGGTGCTGCTGGCAGGGGTTGGGCAGGGGGGTAATCTGGAATTTGGAGATAAATAATTCTCTTTACATTGCAATTTTTTGTCCTTGAAGTGATTTCCTCAAACTTTTCTCTTTGAGGTTGCATGCTGTAAAAAACAAAAAAGAGAACAATAATAAAGTTTTGTTTTCTTTAATTTGACACACTCCTTCATGTACCATTAAAGGTGTTGGCTTTTCAAGGTGCTTGTATTTAGTAAAATTGGATGCTATCTGTAGTATTATTATGTTTCCATCTGAGTAAAATATAATAATAACTAAAAATTTTACAGGTAAAATATGCAATGAAAAATTACATTCAATTATCTTTCTAAATGTGAAAATGAAGATGGAACCCCCTAAAAATATTTATTTTCAAAGAATGATCTTCCATTTTTCTAATTGAAATGATCAAGTGAGGAAAATGGTTTCATAGAAACTAGCTTTTCCCTGTTAAGGTGATGATCTAGCAGCTCACAGTTTTCTAGGCAGTAAGACTTCACATATCCACGTAGAACTCAGAAATCTGGCACTGTGAAATACCAGAATCACAGTAATCCCAGGAGACAAAAAACAGAAATGTAGGCACTGCATATACTTTTAAAAAGAAACCTGACTTCTCACATTCTTTACAGAGAAGGTCTTAAACCTTTGCAGGATGATGATTTATACCTCCTTTACTATGAAGCTAGTGAGGTTGATTAGGTGATTGAAGCAATTACTCTTGCTAAAATAATAACATGCTGAATGCTGATAAAATGTCAAAGGACACTGACCAAAACAGTGACTATCATAATTTTCTGATTCTAAAAAAGCAGGCTTAATAAAGTTTGTTTCATCCTTTGATTCAGTTAACTATGTATTGCTCACAGATCACGAAGTTAAATATTCTGTCATTTACTGATGAAAAGATGAAGTTCAACTAAGTTCAAATGAGGAATTTATTCAAGAAGGAAGTTCAGGGTCAGAGTAGATTCAGCTAAATGCCTCATATTTTTATATCTAAAACAAAGTATAATAACAGATTACAAATATTAGCATAAAAATAAAAGTGACATTGTTTTCATGAACATACATAGAAAGAAAGAAATATAAAACATGGGGGAAAAAAGTTACCTACTTTCTAAAAGAAATCAAAATGATGCTGTATTAGTCAAGGTTTTCTTAGAGGGACAGAACTAATAGGCTAGATACATAGATAGATAGATAGATAGATAGATAGATAGATAAGATACATTAGATAGATAGATAAGGGAGTTTATTAAGTATTTACGATCACAAACCCACAATAGGCTGTCTACAAGCTGAGGAGCAAAGAGAGCCAGTCTGAGTCCCAAAACTGAAGAATTTGGAGTCCGATGTTCAAGGGCAGGAAGCATCCAGCACAGGAGAAAGGCGTAGGCTGGGAGGCTAGGCCCATCTCTCCTTTCCACGTTTTTCTGCCTGCTTTATATTCGCTGGCAGCTGACTAGATTGTGCCCAGCAGATTACGGGTGGGTCTGCCTTCCTCAGCCCACTGACTCAAATGTGAATCTCTTTTGGCAACACACTCACAGACACACCCAGGATCAATACTTTGTATCCCCTTCAATCTAATCAAATTGACACTTAGTATTAACCATCACAGATGGTTTCCAGTATTAGCTGGGGAATACTAGAATTTTTTAGAGCTGGAATATAAGCTTACTTATCAAATCCTCTCTTGAAATTTTAATTATTTATTACATTTCATGTTTCAAATGAATGTCAAGAAGTTATTTTAAGTAAATGTGAATCCCAAAGTGAATTAAAATATAAATTCCAAAGTGAATAAAAATAAACTCCTATAGCACAGTAACTTATTTTTCTAAATTAAGAACTCTCAAAAGCAGAATTTTAAATCATTTGCCCCAATCTTCAAACATAGAAAAATACCATATTAAAACATCCTTCTTTCAAACTGTTTTCTGTCAAGTTATGATATAATACATGTCATCATTTACTTGCCAATGTTGGGCAAATATTTAACACTAAAATTATTTTGTAGCATGCCACGGTCATCCCAAATATAATTCTTATTCCTGAGGACTTTATCATATAACAGAAGACAACCTTCTTCAGCTACATATACTTTTGACCCAAACCCACTCCCTCACATCTGGCATATCCTATCTCTGCCTTTCCAAATATTATAGATGCATTCTCTTGCAAGTATGCTTCCTTGCCTTTTTCATCTAAAATAAAACCCTCCCGCATGTTGAAATACTTGGCATAAACTCTCTTTTTACCTTAGTTGAATGCTGGCTCTCCCCTGAATACACCATTCTCTCTACAAAAAGTTCTATAGGTATGAAAGCTTCTATAGTCAAGTAATCTAGGTTCTGTTCTATCCCTACACAAGGAGTATATAGAGACTTTGAGAGGAAAAAGTAAAGGGAATTGATCATGCCATTATTCAAACTGTAGGCACACTCCTCACCACTTGTAATTCACAATGTGGTGGATGATGATGATGATGATGATAACTGAACAAAGAGAAAAGGAGATACTTTTCCTCTACATGACCTTAATATTGCTTCACCCATCATTCCCCCAAAAAGAATACACAGTAGTTCCCAATGATAGATGAAGCTGTTCTTCATTGAAATCTATACAGAGTCCAAGTGTGGGAGTCAGATTAGCAAAAACAACCCGAGCCAGATAACTGGCCATCATGTACCACACACTCTCCAGGAATCCCGATCATGTCCTGAGACAATGATGAGATCCCACTTCCCCTTCAGTGTCTTATAAATCATTGCCTTTTTCCTATTGTTTGTGTTCTATTTCAAATACCTGCTACACTAATCATAGCCATTGTGTTTGTCTTAGCAAAAACATCGATAATCTGTAGCAAAATGCACAGCATTTTGTATCTGCATGATGATCTAAAAGATTAGTTCATACCAATTAAAGCATTTATTTTCCCTTTTCGTGGAACAAATATATAGATTCAAATACAGATGGTTATGTAACTTGCAAAGACTATCAGTGAATGAATAAAGGGAAGAATTTCTCATCTTTCTGACACTTAACTCACATATAGCCCACTCATGTCATAACTAAAGCAATCTTTGGGATAGTGAACTGGTTGGAGAAGAACCAGACTTGAAATATAACAAACCCAGGAGAGGAAACCCAAGACAGGAAGCTGGAGGCAGTATGGTGTCGGCTAATGCCATGGTCAATCATCTGCTAGGTTCAGTTTTAGCCAGGTCAGCTAGATGGAGGAAAAATGTGAAGCAGAAAGTTGCTTATTATAGAGGTGCAAGTTGACTAAAACCAGAGTAATGCTAGTCAATAATTACTACATTTTCCCCCAACTTCTCCCCAACCAGACACACATACACTCACATCTAATAGCAAATGGCTATCTGGCATGAAGGTCTTTGGCCACAAGACAACAGGCAGAGTCCAGCAAATGTAGCCTGGGAAAGAGCTCTAAAAACACTCTGAAAATCTTCACTTTGCTTCCCTAGGTCTCAATGATGTCTTCCCCAAAGGATTAATTAAGGTTCTCCTTTCAGATCCAAGAACCCTTCTAGGTTACCAAGAAATATTCTCTTTTTCTCAGACCAAAAACAAATCTTTTAAAGTATTTAAAACTAGGAAAAGGGAAAAAAGGTTATTTTCAATCTTTGTAAATGTCTATTTGCGTTCACATTTTGTCTCTCTTCTCTAAAGTTCTTTGTAACATGTGCTAAAAGTAAACCAACTGGCAAAAAATATATATATATTTAATCTATAGAACAAAGGAAAAGCCGATTGAGGAATGTTGCCCGCTTCCACCTCTGAAACATAGTAAGCTACCGACTCTTGTTATATATTGTCAGCTATGCCACTGCATTTACAAGAGGAGAAATGGGACATGCTCTAAAGGCAGAAGGATTTAGACTAGACATTTGTATTTATACAGCACTATTGATAAACCATTAGGCTTCTTTGTAAAAATGATTTACATCAAGTCAGTGCCAGAAATTGTCATCATCAAGGATTGCATGCAGCTGGCTCTTGTCCCTAAATTGCCCTTGTTCCACATTTGCTTTCTTTGTCTTTTTGTTTTATTTTAACCCTATAAGTTAGTTTTGACCTGTCCTCTGCCTAAAACCCCATGATCACCCCATCGTCTTTCACCACCTGAAGACCGAAGCCCTGTCCTGAACCCACCCAGCAAAGGAGACCTACGCCTACAGACAGATCAATTCTATGAATGATAATCACCGTCCACTTGGCTCTCTGTATCCCCTGCTTTCTTGTTTACTCACTATGGACTTAACTGGAAATGACTTTTTTCTGCCTTGAAAATTAGACTGCAACTCTCCTCAAAAATTGAGCCCCCCAATTCACCACCCCCTTACTGTCAACTGCAACTTAGTCACGTCTCCTATGTCAGTTCTTCCCCAGAGAATAGGTTCTGTGCTACCACCTAGCTCCCTTCTACTGTATCCTGCTGTAGAAAAAAAAAAAAAAAAAAAAAAAAAAAAAAAAACATCATTATTTGAGCATGAGTCATCCCAAGACATGGCACTGTGGTAGGCAACAATTCTAAAGATGTCTCCCACAAGATCCCCATCCTCTAGTTATTCAAAATGAATCTAGGCACTGTTAGCAGATACAATTAAGGTTACTGTAAGAATGCAGAAATCTGAAGTGTTTTTCCTATTATCATTCACTCATTCAATACTTCCGACACCAATGCGACGGGGCAAGGGGCGGGGGGACTTCCCACATACACCAAGCAATTCCACAGATGAATCTCCAGCAGACACTAGCTGGGTGTCCTCTAAATCAATTCTGACACTATCTACCTGGAAGCAACATGAGATCTCACAGGTTGAGGACTCAGTCCCATAAGACTGCCGCTACCTTTCATGCCGATCACAAGCCTCAGGTTGTTTTACCTTTGCTTCTGACGAACTAGCTTCCCACAACTGCTTTCTTGGATTCTATTAATATACTACAGCAACTGACAGTACTCTGGGACACAAATACACTGGTTTATTATAAAGAATATTTCAAATAATATTGTAATATTATAATATGCTATTGCAATATTATATAATATAAAATTACAATAATATCAAATAGAATATGACAAAGAATATGATGAACAGCCAGATGCAGGGGATGCATAAGGTGAGGCATTTGGGAAGGGGCACGGAGCTTCCATGCCCTCCATGGGTGCACCACCCTCCCAAATCCTCCAAATGCTCAGCTATCCCCAAGCCATCAGAACTCAGTCCTTTGGAGTTTTCAATGGAAGTTTCATTACATAGGTGCGATTGATTAAACCACTGACCATTAGTGATCAATTTATCCTTTATCTTCTCTTCCAACCTGGAGGTTGGGGATGGGATTAAAGTTCCAACCCCATAGTCATGGCTTGGTCTTTCTTATGACCAGCCCCAGTCATGAGGCAATCTAGATGGCCCCAGCCACCAGGCGTCTCATTAGCATAAAAAGGACACTCTTACTACTCTGGAGGATTCTAAGGATTTTAGGAGCTGTATGCCAGGAAATAGGACAAAGACCAAATATGTATTTCACAACATCACAGTTACTAATCACCTTAAATAGGGAGCTTATCCTGGATTATCTGGTAGGCTCAGTGAAATTCCATGGTCCTTTAAAATCAGAAAAGAAAGGCAGAGAATCAGTTTAAAGAGATGGAGCAATGGGGAAAGAGGAAGAAAAGAGAAAGTCAGAACAAATCTAATCCCAAGAAGGATTTGATTTCAAGTTGTTGCTGGTTCTGAGATACAGGCGCCCTCATGCAAGGGCCTAAGAAGGGCCTCTAGGAGATAAGAGCAAACCCCAGCGACAACCAGCAAGGAAATGGAGACCTTAGTCCTAAAACCAGGGAACTAGACTCTGTCAACAACCTGAAAGAACCTAGAAGCCAGTTCTTCCCCAGATAACAGTCCAGACCACTGACATCTTGATCCCAGCCTTGTGAGAGCTGGAACAAAGAAATCTGTTAAGCAATCCTGGCCATGTGGCCTATACAACTGTGAGATCATAAATTTGTGTTGTCACTAATGTGGTAATTTGTTATGGCGGCAATAGGAAACTATTACAGATAAAATTTACTCATATAATTTTTTGTGAAAAAGAACTATTTCTTATAATTCTTGCCACTATTATACTACTAGAAGCTTTTTTTAAAATCAAGCATGTTATAATTCATTAGACATTTATTGATAATCTCCTATATCCTAAGGTCTTCAGCAGATAGAGTACCTTATCTATGAATCTATCCTGTGTGAAAGATAAACTGACCTCTATAGGATAAGGTGTAAACAATTTAACAGAGCATACACAGTGTTCAATCATCTGGCTTCTGCCTATCCTTCTCCACTTGTCCTCTAAGACCCAGCTAGACATAAAACCAGCTGCTTTTTAAGCCCTTGATTTCCTTTCATGCCATTGAAACTTGGAACTTGCAGTTTCATACCTCAAGTATGGCTTTTTCCTCTGTCTAAAACACAGCATCCCTAGATATCCAGACGGCTCTCTCATTCCCCTTCTTCTAGTCTTTGCCATATTTTGCTCTTTAAAAGACCCCTACTCTTGAGCACTCTATTGAACATTGAGAACTACCACCATTTTTGCATTCTTAATCACCCTTGTTTCTGCACAATTTCTGTTCTATAACATTTAGCAACTTCTAATGTTGCTAAATTCTAATGTTGCAACTCCTATATTTTTTATTTACTATACTTGATGAATATATTATATTTGTTAGGTGTTGTCACTCTATTTCCCTATTAAACATAATCTTCACAAGAAAGTGAGTTTCATTGATTTGGTCTGAATCCCCAGCGCTCAGAACAGTGCTTGGCTCAGAGTAAATAGATACATTATCAATATCAGTAAAGCATTGAATTAATCTTATCAAGACCACATATTTTTTCAAAAGTTATTCATAAGATAGAGTCTGATAGAACACAGAGGGTGTCTGTGTAAAGTGGAGGTCTAAAAAGTCCACAATTTACCTTGCTCAGCTCAGGAAGTGGGCCTAGGATTTTGAAATTATCAGGTGTCTCTTATATACAATCTTCTTGGACTGGTCTGGAAATACAGAAAGTATTGCTCAATAGGTATTGGTGAAATGAGGTCAATCTTGTATTTATAAAATCTTATAAAATCTTACCAAAAATCAACACCTTTCAAATTCCTAAAAGAAAATAGGACAGTTTATAAGTCTCACTCATAAATTCCTTTCCCCAACTCTCCCTTTATGTTTTGAAAAGTCATAAAAATTATGCTTAATTGAATGAAATATTTATTACTTCTCTACTGCCATTCCATTGGCTCCCACTTCCTTTCTGAAAAAACTTTCAGTTCGTGACTTAACATTTTTGTCTTTTTTACTGAAACCATTTTTACCTTGGTGTTCATACGCCAGAAATGCAGAGATGAAAAGTAGTAAAAATTAGAGAAAACCTTCTCATTGTTAGAAATACAAGTTGTTCACTTTGAGATTATTATTTAACATTTTCTAACTGCTGATTGATTATTCTAAGTTGCACCAAGAAGAAAACAGCTTGCAAATAGCTGTTAAGCACTTACAAAGCCACACGTTGCTCCTCTAACGTGCGCCAAGGCCACAAATTGATATTTATAAAACTTCAAAAGTGTAAGGACTTTTTCTGGAATATGTGGCTGAAAAGTACCAACACTGTCTGTGACAAGGAGCTAGTGTGCTTACCGGTAAAGAAATTCTAGGTCATGCTGGCATCGAACAACATGCTTAAACTTGTCCATTTAGTAGTCTACAGTTTGCCAACTTTATAAAGGAAAGGTTTATTAAGGAAAAAATTTCAGCTGCTCCTTCTTTAGCTTTCTGTATGTTGTCCAAAGCAGTTTTGCCAAAGCCAAAAGTTTAAGGGCTGGGCTCAATTTCTCCATTTTAAACAGAGACCACAAATAAAACTGTCAACCAGTAAGAATAAATGTAGTGAGCTTTTTGCTCAAACTAGTAGACTTCACTTGGTTAGCAATGCCAGAGCAAATATGTCCACAGGGCCCATTCAATGACTGACAAATTTTGACTTGATCCCAACAACAGCAAGTGGAAAAAAATCAGTCCTCAAATCACCTCATTGTGGTTTTGCATGTTTTAAGTTATGCCTGCTGCTGCAACCTAAATAACAGCTATTTCAGACATGTTTTCATCCTAAAAATCCTAAAATGAATCTAATCACATAATTTCCCATCTAACAGCACAATAAGCAAACATAACCAATTTTCCTATAAAAAGCTGGAAGCACAGCAGATAAGCAAAGATAGTTTGAAATCCAACATATTTAGGCATGAGGAAAGAAAAACAGCAATTTATTTCAAAAATGCATGAAAAATGATTTTAAAAAGCTTCAAATTCACCCAACAAATTTCATTTCTAAAGGTAATCTTAACAGTCTGAAAAATGAATATTAGATACTTCAAAGGATACTCATAGTAGAACAATTGCTGTGATTACAAAAGCATCTGATTTTTTGCCTAAGATAGTAGTTGTCAACCCTGAGCATTAGAATTATCACTGCCACATAGGCCCTTACACAGACCAATTAAACTAGCATTTCTGGGAGTGAGGTCCAGATGGTTCTAAAGCCCAGAGCTGTAAATTGAGGTCTACAAGAAAAGGGAAGGTAATGAGAATTGTGAGACAATGTTTTCTAAACTTGCTTGATAATAATCAGTGTCTCTCAGAATGCTTCCTAACACATGCCCAACCTACTGATGCACCAATCTCAGAGAAAAGCCATAGAAATGTATTGTTAAACCAAAAATTTTAAAATAACTAAAAGAGTGTAATGTATTGTTTACAACACAAAAGATAAATGCTTGAGGTGATGGATACATCATTCACTCTGATGTGATTATTACACATTGTATGCGTGTATCAAAACATCCCATATACCCCATAAATATATATACCTACTATGTGCTCACAAAAATTAAAAAAAAAAAAGAAACTCAATAATACTTATCATCAGGAACCTGATCTGGGAGGATAATGTCACTATATAAAGGCTTTAGCAAAGATCTGTGGAAAACACCTGGAAAAAAATACCATTTAATGTGAACTGCAAGGTTTAAGGTCTGCATTAATCAAAGTAAATTGTAGGACAATCTGAAGTCTCTCCTAAAATTCTCAATGCATCAACAGAAATTCAAAAAAGGTCAAGAGGACAAGGGAGTGGTCAGAGACACAGGGGCTACTCAATGTTGGAGGATGGGGCAGAGATTTTTTTTTTTTTTTTTTTGAGACAGAGTTTCGCTCTTGTTGCCCAGGCTGGAGTGCAATGGCGCGATCTCAGCTCACTGCAACCTCCCGCCTCCTGTGTTCAAGCAATTCTCCTGCCTCAGCCTCCAGAGTAGCTAGGATTACAAGCGCCCGCCGCCACGCCCAGCTAATTTTTGTATTTTTAGTAGAGATGGGATTTCACCATATTGGCCAGGCTGGTCTCAAACTCCTGACCTCAGGTGATCCACCCACCTCGGCCTCTCAAAGTGCTGGGATTACAGACGTGAGCCACTGCAACTGGCCGGGGCAGAGATTTTATGGGAAGAACTAGTTTGGAGCAAATCTCCTTGTGCCTTCTTCTTGTCTTCCTTTACAGTCACTCTTCACATCAAATGGCGATTTCTGTTCATTGTCTTTCGTTGTGTTGACCAGGGCCTGAAGCATTTCTTCAATAGCAGTTACCTCCAACCTCACAAAGCCTGATGATACACATGGTTTGCCTTGTTAATATTATATAAAACATAGTCCTTGTAAGTATCAGTTTAAGTGGCTTCATTTTATTCAATGTGTTTACTCTGGACTGTTTTACTATTTCCTTTTTGTAACATTGGGTATAAAAGTATTCTTTTAGCATTCTTCTAACATGCTATAACACAAAGAGGGCAAAGGCAGGCTTTTCCACTGTGCCATTAAATGGCCTGCATAATTTGCCCCATGAGTTCCCAGGATGTTAGTGGTAATGCCCAGTGGGGCAATGAAGCCTGGTGGGCACAGCAACATTCCATCACAATCTGGTGGGATGTGGTAGCACCAGTAGGATATGGTGACACCAAGGACTACGTGGCAGGGAACACAAAAGAACGTACTGAGAACTAATGAAGTAACGATTAGACTATTCTCAGACATAACTTTGTCACCATTTGAACAGGACTTGAAGTTCTATCCAGAAGGTGAAGGCAAAAGCCAGAAAAATCAGAGAGGTTACCACACTCACATCTGCACCCACAAGTAAACGACTTTTGAAGATAACTGAATTTAATGAAAGTTTGATTTTTGTTTTCTAAGAAGGATATAAAATAACACATACACTACAATTCCAGTTTTGTTAGAGGAGATTAGGTGCCTACTTTTAAACTTTAATAATATAGAAGGCATGGTTGATAGTGGTTGTCTCTAGGTAATAGGATTATAAGTGATTTTTAGGGATTTTTATTTTGCCTAATTTCATTTTCTAAATATTCTACAATGAATATTTATTTTTACAATGTCACAATATTAAAGTTATAAAAAATTTGTGATTGTTCAAAATTAATTACTAGGTATTTGTGATTTCATAAAGCCTCATCATCTAAGGTAATTTACTGGTTTAAGCCTTTCTCATAGCAACAGCTTGTTAAGGAAATAAGTATGCATTTATGGGACTCAAGTTATACCCCCACCTAATATGATAGCACAATAATGAAGTATTCGTGATCAGAATACAAGAAAAAGGGTAGATTTTTCATTGTTATTGTTAAGTAGAAAGACTTTTCTATAATAATTATCCACTATATGGGTTAGTATTTTTTCACTGTAACTTTATTTTGTTAATCTAGCCTGTTTTATGATGTATGGCCATTGTCAACATCATTTACTGTGAATAAACACAAGAATCAAGCTCATTAGTTTTGGGACCCAAATCTTAGTCCCACCTCAACTGGCCAACACATTCACCATCATAGGGAAGGGAAGGGAATATGTTGAGAACATTTGTTTTTAGTCAAAAATCATACCTTTTAAAAGCAGAGTAAAAAATCTATGGTTCTATTCAATATTTCTTTTTCAAAAACAAAACAAAACAAAATCTCATAATATGTTCCACCACAATCAATCTTCGCATATTAAATATAATGGATTACCTTTTCGAGCTTAGTTAAAAACAGCTCATGTATTTCAGTGAGTAACTATTAACAAGAGTCCAAAATACTCAACAACTTGTTACATGTAAGAATCACATGGGGCCGTGTGCGGTGGCTCACGCCTGTAATCCCAGCACTTTGGGAGGCCGAGGCGGGTGGATCACGAGGTCAGGAGATCGAGACCATCCTGGCTAACACGGTTGAAACCCCGTCTATACTAAAAATACAAAAAATTAGCAGGGCGAGGTGGCAGGCGCCTGTAGTCCCAGCTACTCGGGACGCTGAGGCAGGAGAATGGTGTGAACCCGGGAGGCGGAGCTTGCAGTGAGCCGAGATGGAGCCACTGCACTCCAGCCTGGGCGACAGAGCGAGACTCCGTCTCAAAAAAAAAAAAAAAAAAAAAAAAAGAATCACATGTAAGAAATGCCATATCTTGGAAATTTTCATTGTAATATATATTTTCTCTTCATCAAGCAAACACTGAAGTTTTTATAGTATTCACAACCCAAAGTGATTTAAGGGAGAAAAATAAGGTGCCTGAATCACTGTACCATCAACAGAAACCATCTGTCATGACGCTCAAACCCTAAGTCAAGTGTTGGGTGGCAGAATGATAAGGTAGAGAATTTACCTGCATAGCATCATGAATTAATAATTATAATTTTTTTTCCTCTTCTTTCTTTCTGATAGGGTACACTCTGAAGGGGTGTGCCTTCATTTCAAAGCCAGTAGGATAGCAGTGTTCATTGACTTAATTGCCTGGCAAAAATTTAATGTAGCTAATTTTATTATACAGAGACATATATAAAGACAGAACTAAAATGTTACCATTCAAAGCAATAAACCTAAAATATATAGCATACATTTCATTATTCTGGTGACGAGTGCCTAATTTATACATATATTAGCAGCATATTTTTCTGGCCTCATTAATTCCGAAGAGGAGTTTTCAAGATGGCAGTCAAGAATATCACCACTCTCTGACAGCAAAAACCATCTTCATCATCACTGTCATATTCCTTATCATCATCATAATATTCACTATCATGATCATCCTAGATACAGCAAATAATCTATAACCAGGAGCCACCGTCTGGAATCTTGCCATTGCCTTAAGCCACAGCCATGGCACTCTCCTGCCATGTAAAGTTAGCATTTTAAGGACTAACCTCCAAAATGAAACATAAAATTAAAGTGGAAATCAGCTAAGATGTTTAAATTATTTTATGAATTTATCTTAAATCATAAGACTACAATAAAAGACGTATAGTTTACATATGTGCTTTTTTAATGCTTATTGAGAAGAAAAATGTCAGTCTGCAGCTCCTTCTGAGTATCTGTGAATATTGTCATTATTGGTCTACTATTACTAAGTAGCTGCTCGTCTGAAAACAACTTAAAACTATGGAGTTGGACGTATAAAATGTTGGCAGTAAGATAAATATCACATCTAGCATTGAGAATAAAAATGGGTAAGTATAACAACAGAGAAAAAAATGTGAAGCGATTTGCTGGAACTCAGTCACAAGCAATACAAAATAGGTGGAAAATAACTGTTGCCAACAGAACTGAATGTTCTGTAGTTATAAGAAATTTTATTGAGCTGTAGTTTTAAGCAAAGCCTGTGGCAAAATATGTGCCCAGGAGGCATGTTCCAAAAGAGATGGGCACTTGAATAGTGACTATAGTGGCAGGTATTTGGAGAAGAAGTACAGCTGAAATCCAAAACATAACACTCATCTATGAAAATCGGCCTTTATAACCTGATCTTAACATACACATTACACTTACCTCTCAAACCATGCTCATCATTAAAAAAATAGAATATATATATATATATATATATATATATATATATGAGTGTGTGTGTGTGCGTGTGTGTGTGTGTGTGTGTGTGTGTATCAGGATATATTTAAGGGGCTAGGCTACAGCTGTGTTGAACATTGCTTAAACACTAATATTAAACTAATCTTTGTTATAAGAACTCACGGGGAAGAGTCTCCCAAGAACATACAGATAGAGGATCAATTGAAGTATAGTAAATGACTAAAACACAAAATAGTGAGATAATTAAACAACAGTCAATAAAAAGGAACTAGACTTCCTTTTGATTCAGGGATACTAAATGAAAACCCAGAATCCATAAGTGAAAACAGATAAAGAAGCAGATAAAGAACAGAATACTCCCCACGTGCTAGCAAAGTTCAGGAGGTAAAACAGAGAGAGAGAGAGAGACAGAGACAGAGACATCCAAAAGGAAGATCTGCTTACTGATATCAGCAAATAAACAGCTTACTTGAAATTCCTATAAATTGTAAGCTATAGTTCTGTAATATTTCCGTTCTTTATTGTTTTGAGGTTTAATTTTATTAAATTTATATAGATGTGCAATTATCATCACAATCCAGTTTTGGAACCATTCTATTAACCCAAAATTGTCCCTCATGCCAGAATACAATTAATCCATGCTCTTGCCTTAGTTCCAGGCTGAAACCAATCTGATTCTGTCTCTATAGTTTTGCTTTTTCTGGAATTTCAGAAAAATGAAATTACACAGTAAGTAGTCTTTTGTGCTCAGCTTCTTTCACTAAGCATATTGTTTTTGAGGTTGTTGTATGTATTCCTTTTTATTGGCAAATAATGAAATACCACTGTATTGATATATTACATTTTATTTATCCATACAATAATTGTTGGACATTTGGGTTTTTTTATTTGATGGATAGTATGAAGAAATGCTGCTATAATATTGAAGGAAGCTAGAATATGAAAAATAGTTGAGCTGAAGACAAGATGCAGGGGGATCTCTTAGCCTTCCCTCTGTTAGCCTAAATGTTGGGCAGAAAGTTACAACGATAAAAGGTCTTTCTATTCTCTCCCCCTTTCCTACCTAAGGACAGAATGTAAATTTTCCTTTACTGCAGACAATGCTTACAGGCTCAGAGAGGGGCACCAGAGGAATCTGCAAACAGACTTAACTTCGTTAGTTTCCCCATAAATCCATTTACCCACTCTCTCCAATCTTTGGAAGCCTGGGACTGCTTTTCTTTCCTTACTTAATGTTTTCATATCTTCTTTGGTAAAATATCTACTCAAATATTTTACCAAGGATTTTTATTGGGTGTTTTATTATATTATTGAGTTGTAAAAGTTCAGATATAATTTTTCCAAAACTGTCACTTTTCTTATTCCTTCCTTAATGGTATAATTTAAAGATCAAAAGTTTTTAATTTTGTTCAAGACCAAGCTATCAAATTTTTTATTATGAATTATATTCCTGATGTTATATCTAGGAAGTCTTTGGTTAACTCAAGGTCATGAAGATTTTCTCCTGTGTTTTAATCTAGAGGTAGAATAGTTTTAGCTATGGTATTTAAGTCTGTGGTACAACACCATATATTAAAAAGACCAGACTTTCCCAGTTTAATTATCTTGGCATATTTGTCAAAAATCAATTGATACACATAATATTGTTAAGATGGAAATACTCTAAAAGTTCATCTACAGATTCAACACAATCCCTACCAACATCCCAGCTATTTTTCTTTTTATAATTTGACAAGCTGATCATAAAATTCATGTGGAACTGCATGGAATCCAGAATATATAAAATAATCTTGAAAAAGAATAGAGTTGGAAAAAATCACATTTTCTAATTTTAAAACTTTCTACAAAGCTACACTAATCATAACACTACAGTACTGGCTTCAAGATTCACATAAAAGTCAATGGAATTAAATTGAGAATCAAGAAATAAACTCTTACATTTATGGTCAGTTGATTCCAACAAGGGTGTCAATAACATTCAATAGAGAAAGGAAAGTATTTTCAACAAATGGTGCTGGGACACCTGGATATCCACATGCAAGATACACAGAGTTGAAATTTTTTTACACCATACATAAAAAATAACTTAAAACAGACAATAGACCTAGGTTTAAAAATAAAAACTATAAAACTCTTAGAAGAAGTCATAGGATGCATCATGATTTTGGATTAGTCGAAACCTAATTAGAGATACAATGCCAAAAGCCCAAGAGATAGAGGACAAATCAGATAAACTGGACTTTATAACAATTAAAACCTTTTGTGCTGCACACTACATCATTAAGAGAGTAAAAAGACAACCTACAGAATGAAATGAAATATTTGCAAATCATATATATGATAAGAGAATTAAGTTCAACATATATAAAGAAGTTTTATAACTCAATAATAAAAAGACAAGTACCCCAAGCAAAAAATGGGCAAAGGATTAAACAGACAATTTTCCAAAGAAGATATACTAATGACCAATAAGCACATGAAAAAATGCTAAACATAATAAGCCATTAGATATATGCAAATCAAAAGCATAATGAGATACATTTCACACTAACTAGAATAGCCATTAATATAATAAAAAAGACAGATAATAATATTTATTAAGATGTGGAGAAGCAGGAACACTCGGAAACTGCTAGTTGGAATGTAAAATGGTACAGCCAATTGTTTGGCAGTTCCTTGAAATGTAAAATATAGAGTTCCCATATGACCCAGTAATTTTACTCATAGGTATATATCCAAGAGAAATAAAAACATGTCCACACAAATGTTCACAGCAGAATTATTTGTAAGAGCCAAAATACAGAAACAACTCAATGTCTATCAGCTTATAAATGGATAAAAAGATATAGTATATCCATGATGTATTAGTCAGGGTTCTTTAGAGGAACAGAACTAATAGGACATATATATATATATATATATGAGTTTATTAAGTATTAACTCACATGATCATAATGTCCCACAGTAGGCCATCTGCAAGCTGAGGAGCAAGGACATCCAGTTCAAGTCCCAAAACTGAAGAACCTGGAGTCCTACATTCAAGGGCAGGAAGCATCCAGCACAGGAGAAAGATGTAGGCTGGCAGACTAGGCCAGTCTAGTCTTTTCAAGTTTTTCTACCTGTTTTATATTCTAGCCACACTGGCAGCTGATTAGATGGTGCCCACCCAGATTAAGGGTGGATCTGCCTTTTTCCCAGCTCACTGACACAAATGATAATCTCCTTTGGCACCTCTCTCGCAGACATACCCAGGATCAATACTTTGCATCCTTCAATCCAATCGAGTTGACACTTAGTATTAACCACCACACATGCAATGGAACATTATTCAGTCATAAAAAGGGAAATATTGTAAAACATGGATGAACCTTGAAAATATCATGCTAAGTTAAAGCAGCTAGTGACAAGGACTGCATATTGTTTGATTCTGTTTATATTACATTTCCAAAACAGATAAACTAGAGAAAGATAGTATATGAGTGGTTACCTAGGTCTGAGGGGATTGTGGGTAGGGAATGGGAAATGACTACTGGTCAGTTCAGGGTTTCTTTGGGGGACAATAAAAATGTTCTAAAATTGACTGTGGTGATGGTGCACAACTCTATGACTACACGAAAATATATGTAATTGTACACTTTAAAGGGGCAAACTGTATATTACATGAATTATATCTCCTTGAAACTGTTCTTTAAAAAGTAAAAAACAAAATCAATGGGCTCAAGTTGATCCATAGGTTAATGTAATTTCTATCAAAATCTCAGTAATGCCTTTTGTAGACATAGACAAGCTTATTCTAAAATTTATATGGGGCCAGGCATGGCAGCTCACACCTGTAATTCCAATGCTTTGGGAGGCTGAGGCAGTCAGATCACCTGAGGTCAGGAGTTCAAGATCAGGCTGGCCAACATGGCAAAACCTGGTCTCTACTAAAAATACAAGTATTAGCCAGGCGTGGTGATGGGCACCTGTAATTCTAGCTACTCAGAAGGCTGAGACAGAAGAATCGCTTAAACCCAGGAGGCGGAGGTTGCAGTGAACCAAGATTACTCCATGGCACTCCAACATGTGTGAAGCAAGACTCCATCTCAAAAAAAAAAAAGAATTATATGGACAGGCACATGCAGCCTAGAATAGCTAAAACAATAATAAGAAAGGAATAAAATATGATGAGTAAGTCTACCTGATATTAATGCCTACCGTATAGCTATAGTAATCAAGAGAGTGTATAATATTGGTTGAGAGATAAAGAGGAATACAAAAGAGAATCCAGAAATAGACTCACACAAATACGCCCAACTGACTTTATGAAAAGGTGCAAAAACAATTCAATGGAGGAAGCATTTTTGACAATGGTGCTAGAACATTGGGCAGCCATAGGAAAAAAAATTAAACTTTATCTTAAATCTCACACCTTATACAAAGATTAAGTTAAAATGGATCAGGAACTTAAATGTAAAATTATAGAACTTTCATAAAATAAAAGAAAATCTTTAGGATCCAGAATTAGACAAAGAGTTCTTAGACTTGATACCAAAAGAATGATCCATAAATAGAAAAATTAAGAAATTGGGGTGACTGACTACAAGCAGCTAATGTGTACAGCTCTCATGGAGAGGAACAGAAGGGGCAAGTAAGTAAAATACAGAATCTTGAACTGAGACATTCAGGTACTCACATTGGGACTAATCAAGGAAATGACTACACCTACAGAGAGTGGAGAAAAGCAAGGCAGGACAATGGCCCACCTGAGAGTGACACAAAACCAAGGGGACCTCCCCCACCCAGGGAGGTGGTGGGTGAATGTGCATCCTCAGGAACCCATGTTTCTCCAATGGATCTTTGCAACTGTCCGGTCTGGAGAGCCCCTCATGAACCCAAGCCTTCAGTCGGACACGCAGAGCTACATGGAGTCTCAACAGAGCAGCCACTCAGGCATGTGAAGAGACCCAGGAGCTTTAGATACTCTGGTTTTCCATGCTTCCCAGCTAAACTAGTGGCAACTTCACCAAAGCAGGATGGTAGACCCCCATACATGCTCTCAAGATAGAGGCTGAATCCAGGGGGCTGAGTAGCAACAGCCTGCAGGGCCCACTTCCATGGGACCTCACAGGGTAAGACCCATTGGCTTGGAATTCCAGCCAGGCACCAGAATCGTTCCCAAGACACATAATCATCAGATTCTCTCCAAGGTCAAAGTGGAAGAAAAAATGTTAAAGGAAGCTAGAGAGAAAGTACAGGTCACCTACAAAGGGAAGTCCATCAGACTAACACTGGACCTCTCAGCTGAAACCCTACAAGCCAGAAGAGACAGGGGGCCAATATCCAACATTCTTAAAATAAATTCCAACCCAGAATTTTATATCCAGCCAAACTAAGCTTCATAAGCAAATGAGAAGTAAGATCATTTTCAGGCAAGCAAATGCTGAGGGACTTTGTTAGCACCAGACCTGCCTTACAAGAACTCCTGAAGGAAGCACCTATGGAAAGGAAAGACCATTACCAGCCACTACAAAAACACACTGAAGTACACTGACCAGTGACACTATAAAGAAACCACATAAACAAGTCTTCAAAATAAACGGCTAATATTACGATGACAGGATCAAATCCACACATATCAATAGTTACCTTAAATGTAAATGGGCTAAATGCCCCCAGTTAAAAGACACAGAGTGGCAAGTTGGAGAAAGAACCAAGACCCATTGATATGCTGTCTTCAAGAGACCTATCTCATATGCAATGACACACATAGGCTCAAAATTTAAAAAATGGAGAAAAATCTACCAAGCAAATGGAAAATTTAAAAAGCAGGGGTTGAAATCCTAGTTTCTGTCAAAACAGACTTTAAATCAACAAAATAAGAAAAGATAAAGAAGGGCATTACATAATGGTAAAGAGTTCAATTTAACAACAAAATAAATCTAACTACTCTAAATATATATTCACCCAAAATGGGAGCACCCAGATTCACAAAGCAAGGTCATAAAGACCTTCGAAGAAATGTAGATTCCCACACAATAATCGTGGGAGACATGAACATATGCAGAAGATTGAAACTGGACCCTTATTTACACCATATACAAAAATAAACTCAAGATGGTTTAAAAGATGTAAAGGTAAATCCCAAAGCTATAAAAACCCTGCAAGATAACCTTGGCAATACCATTCTGGACATAGGAATCAGCAATGATTTCATGACGAATACACCAAAAGAAATTACCACAACAGAAAAAATTGACAAATGGGATCTAATTAAATTACAGAGCTTCTTCAGAGCAAAGGAAACTCTCAAGAGAGTGGACAGACAACATACAGAATGGGAAAAAGTTTTTGCAAACTGCATCTGACAAAGGTCTAATACCCGGCCTCTATAGGAAACTTAAACAAATTTACAAGAAAAAACAAACAAACAACCCCATTAAAAAGTGGGCAAAGGATATGAACAGACACTTTTCAAAAGAAGACAAAACGTGCAATCAGCAATCATATGAAAAAAAAGCTCAGCTTCACTGATCATTAGAGAAATGCACAGCAAAACCACAATGAGATACTACCCCACATCAGTCAGAATGACTATTTTTAATAAAGCAAGTTCTTAGAGACCTACAAAGAGGCTTAGACTCCCACACAATAATAGTGGGAGACTTTAACACCCCACTGTCAATATTAGATCAAGGAGACAGAAAATTGACAAGGTTATTCAGGACTTGAACACAGCTCTGGACCAAGTGTGTACAATAGACATCTACAGAACTCTCCACCCCAAATCAACAGAATATACATTCTTTTCAGCACCACATCGCACTTATTCTAAAACTGACCACATAATTGAAAGTAAAACACTCCTCAGCAAATATAAAAGAATAGAAATCATAACAAACATCATCTCAAACCACAGTGAGATCAAATTGGAACTCAGGATTAAGAAACTCAAAACCGCACAAATACATGGAAACTGAACAACCTGCTTTTGAATGACTACGGGGTAAATAATGAAATTAAGGCAGAAATAAATAAGTTCTTTGAAACCAATGAGAACAAAGACATAACATGCCAGAATCTCTGGGACACAGCTAAAGCAGCGTTCAGGAGGAAATTTATAGTACTAAATGCCCACAGGAGAAAGCAGGAAAGATCTAAAATTGACACCCTAACATCACAACTAAAAGAACTAGAGAAGGAAGAGCAAACACATTCAAAAGCTGGCAGAAGACAAGAAATAACCAGGATCAGAGCAGAACTGAAGGAGATAGAGACACAAAAAACCCTTCAAAAAAATCAATGAATCCAGGAGCTGGTTTTTTGAAAAGATCAACAAAATAGATAGACCCCTAGCCAGACTAACAAAGAAGAAAAGAGAGAAGAATCAAATAGACACAATAAAAAATAATGAAGGGGACATCACCACTGACCCCACAGAAACACAAACCACCATCAGAGAATACTATAAACACCTCTATGAAAATAAACTAGAAAATCTAGAAGAAATGGATAAATTCCTGGACACATACACCCTCCCAAGACTAAACAAGGAAGAAGTTGAATCCCTGAATAGACAAATAACAAGTTCTGAAATTGAGGCAGTAATTAATAACCTACCAACCAAAAAATGCCCAGGACCAGATTGATTCACAGCCAAATTCTACCAGAGGTACAAAGAGGAAATGGTACCATTCCTTCTGAAACTATTCCAAACAATAGAAAAAGAGAGACTCCTCTCTAACTCATTTTATGAGGCCAGCATCATCCTGATACCCAAACTGGGCAGAGACACAACAAAAAAAGAAAATTTCAGGCCAATATCTCTGATGAACATTGACGCAAAAATTCTCAATAAAATACTGGCAAACCAAATCCAGCAGCACATCAGAAAGTTTATCCACCACGATCAAGTTGGCTTCATCCCTGGGATGCAAAGGTGGTTTGACATATGCAAATCCTTGGGATGCAAGGCTGGTTCAACATATGCAAATTGAAACTGGACCCCTTAGAGACCTAAACAGAACCAATGACAAAAACCACATGATTATCTCAATAGATGCAGAAAATACCTTCGACAAAATTCAACACTCCTTCATGCTAAAAACACTCAATAAACTAGGTATTGATGGAACATATCTCAAAATAATAAGAGCTATCTATGACAAACTCACAGCCAATATCATACTGAATGGGCAAAAGTTGGAAGCATTCCCTTTGAAAAGCAGCACAAGACAAGGATGCCCTCTCTCACCACTCCCATTCAACATAGTAATGGAAGTTCTGGCCAGGGCAATCAGGCAAGAGAAAGAAATGAAGGTATTCAAATAGGAGGAGAGGGAGTCAAATTATCTCTGTTTGCAGATGACATGATTGTATAGTTTAAAAACCCCATTGTCTCAGCGCAAAAACTCATTAAGCTGATAATCAATTTCAGCAAAGTCTCAGAATATAAAATCAATGTGCAAAAATCACAAGAATTCCTATATGCCAATAATAGACAAACAGAGCCAAATCATGAGTGAACTCCCATTGACAATTGCTACAAAGAGAATAAAATACCTAGGAATCCAACTTATAAGGGATGTGAAGGACCTCTTCAAGGAGAACTACAAACCACTGCTCAAGGAAATAAGAGAGGACACAAGCAAATGGAAAAACATTCCATGCTCAAGGATAGGAAGAATCAATATCATGAAAATGGCCATACTGCCCAAAGTAATTTATAGATTCAATGCTATCCCCATTAAGCTACCATTGACTTTCTTCACAGAATTAGAAAAACTACTTTAAATTTCATATGGAGCCAAAAAATAGCCCGAATAGCCAAGACAATTCTAAGCAAAAAGAACAAAGCAGGAGGCAACACACTACCTGACTTCAAACTATACTACAAGGCTACAGTAACCAAAACAGCATGGTACTGGTACCAAAACAGACATATAGACCAATGGAACAGAACAGAGGCCTCAGAAATAATGCCACACATCTACACTCATTTGATCTTTGACAAACCTGACAAAAACAAGCAATGGGGAAAGGATTCCCTATTTAATAAATGGTTTTGGGAAAACTGGCTAGCCATATGCAGAAAGCTGAAACTGGACCCCTTTCTTACACCTTATACAAAAACTAACTCAAGATGGATTAAAGCCTTAAATGTAAGACCTAAAACCAGAAAAACCCTAGAAGAAAACCTAGGCAATACCATTCAGGACATAGGCATGGGCAAAGACTTCATTACTAAAACACCAAAAGCAATGGCAACAAAAGACAAATGAGATCTAATTAAACTAAAGAGCTTCTGCACAGCAAAAATACTGTCACCAGAGTGAACAGGCAACCTACAGAATGGGAGAACATTTTTGCAGTAGAAAAATATGGTACATGTACACTATGGAATATTATGCAGCCACAAAAGAGAACAAAGTCATTTCCTTTGCAGAAACATGGATGGAGCTGGAGGCCATTGTCCTTAGCAAACTAACACAGGAACAGAAAACCAAATACTGAATGTTCTAACTTATAAGTGGGAGCTAAATGATGAGAACACATGGATGCATAGTGGAGAACAACACACAGTGGGGTCTATTGGAGGGTGAAGGGTGAAAGGAGGAAGAAGATCACGAGAAATAACTAATGTGTACTGGGCTTAATACCTGGGTGATGAAATAAACTGTGCAACAAATCCCCATGACACAACTTTACCTATGTAACAAACTTGCACATGTATCCCTGAACTTAAAAATGAAAGATAAAAACAAAATTAGACCAAATTGTAATTAAAAACATTTCCTATGTTAAGAAACTTTGTTAGAACGAAAAGACAAGCTACAGTTGGGCAAAAGTATTTGCAAACTGCTTATCCAATAAAGGTTTAGTATCTAGGATATATAAACAACTCTCAAACTCAACAGTAACAAAACAACCCAATCAGAAAACAGATAACAGATATGAATATATAGATACGTATGTATATCCCATGTAGAGAGAGCAAATAAGTATAGGAAAACATCATTAGCAATTAGGGAAATAAAAATTAAAATCAAAGTGAAATATCAGTACATACCTCTCAGAATGACTAAAATAAAAAATGGTGACATCAAATATTAACAAGCATGCGAAGAAGCAGGATCACTCATACATTGCTGATGGGAATGTAAAAAACACACAAACACTCTTTAAAACAGTTTGGCAGTTGTTAATGGAACTAAACCTGTAACCAACATAGGATCCAGGAATTGTACTTTTGGAATCTGAGTAAAGGATAGTACAAAAAGCTGACTTAGAGGAATAATGATAATGGGACAGAGGCTGCCTTTGTCAACCATACCCATTCTTCCTTTATTCTTTAACTTTAGTTCAGTCTAAATAGTTTTTATTTGAATGATTTGGACAAAAATAGATGGATACAAGAGTGGGGAAGAAGAGGAGTGAAGTTTATCTTAAATTGTAAAGTGAATTTCAGAAAATGTCTGCTTTGCACAGCACTTAAACTCTGACAGTTCAGCAAATAAAATATTACATATGGAAAAAATTGAATTGCAATGCCATGAATGTGTATAAAGATGTTATTGTTTATAAAATCAATACTTTACGCTAGAATTTTCTTTGAAAAGATGCATGAGTTTACAGTTACAAGACTTCAATTGCCTAGGATATTTATTGCACATGAGTCTTTAGTTACTGAAATCTGCTAGTATCCATATAAAACATGACTTTATTAGTTACTACAATTATCTGGTGTATTCTAATCTTATTAGCAGGGATTCTACTAGGAAGACATATTTTAATGATATTTTTCTGGAAAGGAAATCTTTTGGGACACAGTGCTGCTTTCTAAATTGCTACCCACACGTGAGAGAACCCTAGTTTTAAAATCCAATAGGCAAAGTTATGGTAAGTGACTCATATTTGGTTGAGATAACATTTCTTACTTTGATGTTTCTTCATTTATATTGTTCCTGAGCTTTAGTTTCAGAACAATACACATTTCTTTTGCATGTTTTTGTAGTATTCATTCTAAATAGGTTAGTTCTGTAAACAAGTTCTAGTGCCTTTACTGGTTTTATAAAAATACTTTCCTAACAATACAGTTTGAGGGTTGAAAATAATTGTGGAGAAATTTTAATATGCTCTTCCATTTATTTATGAAAAAAACTTTTTTTAATAATTGAGACAAAAGAAAACAGGGTAACCACTAATCACCCCCTTATCCATTTGTTATCTCCTTTATCTGCATAGATATTTATTAATTACTTGTGATTACATGTTTTCTTTTTCACCACATTCTCAAAGCCATAAGAGACACATTAACACACACTCTTTTCTCTTACACACCCTTTTCTCTTTGCAAACTGACCATGTAAAGCTGATGACTCTTTATGTTTAGTAAACGCCACAAGATTTGCTCATCTTTGAACACTTGGAGTGGAAGGGGTTACTTTCAAGTGTGTTTTCAAAGGCAGCAGGGCTGAAAGGGCTAACCTGCAGCCTGATGAGGAAAGCACTAAGTATCCCACTGTCATCTTGACTCTGATGACCCCTTCATTTCACTTCCCTAAGCTGCAAAAACACAGAGAGCTATGTTACCCTTGCTTACCCGGCGACATGAAAAGGAAATTTTGCAACAAAAACAAGTTGGAGGTCAGACGTGGCAGTGAAGTCTTGTGGAAAGAGGTGATTTGAGAATCGGAGGACCGGTTTTCCACTAATCAGGACTATGTAACTACAAACAAGTCACACTTTCATTTCTTTATTACAAAATAGCCATAATGACCATAAAAAGTGTGCATGTTTTAAAAAAGGAATACTTCTAAGAGTCCTCTAAAATCTAAATAAAGACTGAATTAATTTAATGTATTACTATAATTACCAAATAACAGAATAAAAAGGACTGACTTCAAAACTTGTTTTTTAAAATTTGAATAAGAGCTAAATAATCTTTTATTTATTGTCAAGGCAAGTTTCTTTTAGTCAAAGAAGTTTTTAGGTTTTGCTAAAACAAACAACCAAACAAAACACATGCACACACACAAACAGATGACCAAAAACACAAATAAAAGAACTTCTTAAAGTACATCAGATCTTAGATATCGAATAAGTTTTTAAAAAAAGATTGTGATAACACATTGAAGGAATAAAAACCCAGTGCATTTAATTCTGTCAAATGGTTTTAAAAAGAGAGAAAATGTTTACTCAGATATGACTGGAACTTCACAAAAGATAAACATAGAACATGATATCAAGCCAAATGATATCAAGTTATACCCTATGAATTAAGTTTTGTGAAAAGAGAGAAGGGCCTTGGGAAAATTTGTTTATCATGGAAATAAGGACATGCAAACTGTTTTGTTCATGCTAAGTTCCTGCCATGAGTATTTAAAGTTTGCAGTAAAGTGTTGAAACTGTGAGATATAAATAAGAGATGAAACTTTTTAAATATGCCACTAAAGAAAATGTAACACTTATTTTTAACCCTAAAATATTTATTAAGTAGTATTAAATTCCTTTGTTATTTTCAAACTCATATTTTCGATGGCTCTTTAACAAATCAGCTATTTAAAACATATAGCCTTATATGTGCTGGCAATTCCAACAGATAACACATAAATTCCAGCAGATAAGGTTAGAAATACAACACAAACACTTTCAAATTACCTTCCTCTTTTCTTGATCAAAGACTATAAAATGTCATATATTTACTGACCATTCCTTTTCAATATTGATAATATAATCAGAAATAGTTTCTTGTTTTATTTTCATAAATACTTAAAGAAGACATTGAGGCTTTAACATTTTTAATTTGGATGATATTTACATCGTACAAGTATATGACACAAAAGCGTTTTCAGGTAGAGTTTAAGTAACTTGAAATCAAAGCTGAGCTGAAAGGGAAGTGACTCTCAGTTTTGCCCACACTATCTAAAGGCTGATATTGTTCTCTTTTCCTAGCTGAACTGTTTGCTCTTTCATAGAAAATGGAACTATGCAGAAATTGCATTTTAAAATGTGTATTGCAACTTTATAAAGGGAGGATAGGACAGAAAACCACCACGGGAAGAAAAAACTATAATAGAGAATCGGAATGCAAAAACCCAGAAAAAAAATCTCAGTACTTAAACATTATAATACATCTTTTATCACAGTAATTATATAAACTAAAATTAGAATCTAATTTTTGCCTAGTTATACCTTATAATATAAGACACATTATAATTGAATTTATGCCATGGTTAAGTGCTATTCTACCTTACACTACATCATGTATACTATTGCGAAGCACTTCTTCCCAATGTTAACTGATTGTGAAAGGAATAAAAGTCTTCAGCAATCTAGGCATGCAGTCTTTCTCAATTGAGTGAGTTAAATGGTACCTGGAAAATGGTTTGATACGGTATCAAAATGCGAGATATAAAAAGATGGCTTCTATCTGTGAGGTTTTTATTATGCCATTGAATTAATAAAGACTTTAAAGAATGAATCAGACTTTAAAACTCATCTATTCAAGGATCTGTAGAGACAAAAGTCATGGTTATTTCTAACCAAAATTAACTAAAGCATTATTTCTATTACTTTTCTGTTACACTCACTGGTGTCAAGAAAGGAAGGAAACTCATATTTCTGACATCTGCCAGATTATAGGGACTTTCAAATGTTTCTCACTGAGTCCTTTAAACAATCTTAAGAACAAGGTTTTGTTATTTTTATTTTACAAATGAGGAAACAGATACACAAGCAATTTTCCTAAGTAAATCACAGGGCAGTTATTCAAATTCATTTAGTTTAAGAAAATTTTATGGCAAAAATGCAGAGAAAGTGTGACGGAAATAAAATTATAAAATTATAAAAATTTTATGTAATTTTTTCAAAATCTGTGAGTCATTTTCAGAATATAAACCACACTGCCTAAATAAGGGTCAGTAGTTGATTTACTCTTCATAATCTATACATCTGACAAAGGACTAATATCCAGAATCTACGACAAACTCAAACAAATCAATAAGAATAAAACAATCCCATCAAAAAGTGGGCTAAGGACATGAATAGACAATTCTCAAAAGAAGATAAACTAACGGTCAACAAACATTTGAAAAAATGCTCAACTTCACTAATGATCAGGGAGATGCAAATCAAAACCACAAAGTGATACCACTGTATTCCTGCAAAAAAGTCATAGTCAAAAAATTATCGTACTCCTGCAAAAATGGCCATAATCAAAAAATAGAAAAATAGGAGATGTTGGCGTGGGTGCAGTGATGAGGGAACACTTCTACACTGCTGGTGGGATTGTAAGCTAGTATAGCCACCACAGAAAACAGTGTGGAGATTTCTTAAAGAACTAAAAATAGAACTACCATTTGATCCAGCAATCCCACTACTGGGTATCTACCCAGAGGAAAAGAAGCCATTATTTGAAAAATATACTTGCACACTCATGTTTATAGCAACACAATTCACAAATGCAAAATCGTGGAACCAACCCAAGTGCCTATTGATCAAGGAGTGGGTAAAGAAACTGTGGAATACTACTCAGCCATAAAAAGGAATGAATTAATAGCATTTGCAATGACCTGGTTGAGATTGGAGACTATTATTCTAAGTGAGGTAACTCAAGAATGGAAAACCAAAGATCATATGTTGTCAATGATATGTGGGAGCTAAGCTATGAGGACACAAAGGCATAAAAATGATATAATGGACTTCGGGAACTTGGGGGGAAGAGTGGGAGGGGAGCAAGGGATAAAAGACAACAAATATGATGCAGTGTATACTGCTTGGATGATGGGTGCACCAGGATCTCATGAATCTCCACTGAAGAACTTACTCATGTAGCCAAATATACCCGTACCCCAATAACTTATGGAAAATAAAATAATAAAATAAAATAGTTGATTTACCAAGCAATTGGTCTATTTCAGAGTCACCTCAATACAAGGAAAAACTGACCATCAAATATGGATAACTACCTTTTGAAATGATGGTCTATATTGTTCTATGTATAATTGACACTAATGCAATCTACATGAGTTTTTCATCAGAGACTCTGTGTGCTCTGAATATTGTTTTTAGATTGTTAACTGTTTTATTATCATATTGATCATGATCTAAAAATCATCAGTTGCATAAGCACCAATACTGGTTTCTGGTCTGTATTTCTTTATATGGAAGCTCTAATGATACCACCTTACTTGTGTAAGCTCATGAGAAAACAGATACCCATATAATACTTAACTGATGCATTCACACAAAGTAAAAGCCAAATTATATCAAGTTATACCATATGAATTAAGTTTTCTGAAAAGAGAGAAGGGCCTTGGGAGAATCTGTTTATCATGGAAATGAAGACATGTTAAATATTTTTTTAATATACTGTAGGAGTTAGAATTATACTCTCATAACAAGCAACATTTTAGTTTCAGGAAAAGAAATCGTCTGTCACTTTTAAGTTAATTTTATATGAATATCATTGGCTTTGTCATATTGTTTCCATTTAATTTCCAGCCAAATTTTGGATTTCATAATTATAGAAGAACTGTAAGAATGTATGCCTCCCTTGATTACTGTACATAAATAGCATCATGAAAACAACATTATAAATCAATTCTCAGAGATTGTGAATGTATTTCTTTCTTTAAAGAGATGTAACTATTTTTAAAAAAGATTAGTCACATTGATCTAAACTATATTCTTCCAGGACTGTGAACCTGGTAATTGGCTGCATTTTAATCAAAAGAGATTTCTTTGGTAAATATTTTTGCCTAGAGATCACCTATTATTGTACAGCCTGGGAGCTAAGAATGGCATTTCCATTAAATGGTTTTACATTAAGACTATTAGACTTTAGGTGAGAACATTTGCTCAAAGAGTGAAGAACACTGGGAGCAATATCAATTCTGAGTTTAAAAACAATGTAAATGACTTTGAGTGACTTTCTTTGGCTCTTGATGAATGGGCAAAGACTATGAACACCGTCCAGTCCTTGTTCACTGGATGAGTCATGCTGACTTTGAGGTGACTAAAGAACAGCCTATACAAATAGTCTATGTGGAACAAATACTGGCAATGATATTTTCAAATAATTTGAGAAAACATTAACTTGGTACAAACTGAAGCAGAATCTGCAAATTTTACCCACTAACATTGGTAAAAATATATGTGGAGAAAGAAAATTTTACAAAGCTTGTGAAAATGTATAGTACTTAAAGACTCTGGATGTGTACTGTGTTAGTCAACAGCCAGTAATTTGCAGAAGATGTTGAAGTCAATCCTATGTTACTGACTAGTAGTTTCAATTGTGAACTTCATTTGCTTTCATAGCCATCATCGGTTCTGTGAACTTTTGTCACAAACAGGAACCGAATATCCCGATTTCCCTACCACACATCAGTTTGATAATTTCATGGTGGTAAAGTTTTATTGTGAATTTTTGAGGTGAGGATTGAGATTGAAATATTTCTAAATGAGGAGGACCACCCTTAACCACCATTAGCAAATACTGGATGCTTTGGAGAGTAGCTTTTGCTGCAGACTTCATAGTGTGTCTTAATGAATTCAATCTAAAATTACAGTGTTTCTATGAAACACTTATAGTGTGGTACAATTATTTTAATAACAACTAACTTTGTTTGAATCACGAATAATGTCCAGCTGTTTTTTACATTTACCAAAAGTAAAAAAAAAAAAAAAAGTGAGACCTCCATGCACACAAAAATTTGCAACATGTATAACTTCCAAACTGAATCTACATTTCCAGGAGTGTTTTTCTGACCTTAAATATCTGTGCAAAGGTAATTTCCATACTTCCAACTCCAGCTGTACAATTGAGGAATTTCCATATCATCTTCAATTGGAAGTAATTATAATGACATGCTAAAAGGTAAATATTAAGAGAAGAATCTAATAGAATTTTTTGAATGCATTCCAAATGATGAATATGCTCAATTAAAATAATGTTTGTGGATTGACATCTGTATTTGGTAGTAACTATCTGTCTGAAAAGATCTTTCCAAAGATGAAATACATAAAATGTCATTACATATCTGCATTAACAGATGAACATTTGCAATCAATTTTCAAGGCAGAAACACTAACATCAAAACTCAGTTAAGTGAAGTGGTGGCTCCCCTAACAAAAAAACTCAATTCCTCCCATTAGTAAACTTACATTACAAAATTGTTTGCTAAATCATTATTATATTTTAAATTTCATCAATGAAATAATTCATAAATATTTTTATTTAGTGTTATATAAGTGCTTTTATAATATCCTAGATTTTTTCCCTTGGCCTATAAGTCTAAAATATTTATGATCTGGCCTTTTACAGAAAGTTTGGTGACCCCTGTTTTTGTCTCTTTGTATTGTTTTTCTGGCCTGTATTATATCCATATTGAAAACTTTAGAAGTATGTGATTAATAGAATCACATTTTTATTCTCAAGCAAATTGTCGTAGCATGATGTTCATCTTTGAAAATATAGTCTGGTGACCCATAGACCTATCTAAACTTATTTCAGAGCTGAAGAAGAAGGATCATGGATTGAGCTGCTCGAAACCAAATAAATGAAAGACCTACTATGGATTTTGTTTGTTTCATAAAGAGTGGTAGGAAAAAAAAAGAACTGGGAAAAGTGAATAAAAATAGTCTAATGATATTATGAATTTAAAGAAATTTGCCTGGGTGCATGAAGGAAAGGATAAACGTTTAAAAAGAAACAGTACGATAGTAAAGGGATTTAAATCAAATTGTTAACAATAAGGAAGTTAGAATACTGACAATATGACTTTGAAAGGCTTTAGAGCTTACATAGTTTGAAAATAAAATCTATAATAACAAATATTCTAGAACTTGTTTTAAACCTGTTTAACCACTGACTGAAACCTCACTTTAATGATCAGTCCTTTGTAATCAGCACAAAACAAGCTGCTAATGTTAAAGATAACTTTTTCCTGCCTCTGTCATCAGTATATCCCAAAACAAACCCTTCAAAAATCTCTATCTAAGCTCAACAATTTACTTTATTCATCAAAATTATTATTGAGCATTATGGTTCTCCCTTAATTAAGCAATAATTATAGCTGATTGTTTTTGGATAGTAATATTAAGTGACAATCTTATTTGATAGTCTTGAAGGTATCACTGGATTCTTTTGGAAAGTGTTACCTTCTTTATTCCTACTGCTAAAATTAAAATGTGAGAGGAGAAAGATAATTTAAAGAAAACAATATTAAACAAAAAAGATCCTGGAATTGCTGCATATGAATATCCAGAGGACAAATGATGATAAAATGAAGAAAAGGCTTCCAGGTAAAGACCAAAGCTAGGACACCCTCAATAAAATATGGTCAAAAGACAAGGCCAAAGTATAACTGTAAAATTCTTTATTAAGACCTTAGGAAGCCTAAGGATTATGACTTGAAGAACCATTCAGTCAGATAACAGGAAGTCTAAAAATCTTAAGGGCATTGTCCTTCAGCAATCTCACCAGAAGCTCAAGGTAGAGAATGGCCTAATTCAAAGAGATTTTTGGATGTGGCTTTTATCTAATGAACAAAATATTTAAGATGTTTATTGACAAACACTGCTTGTGTGGACTGAAAGACACAGAAACAGTACAAAGCGAATAGAGGCTTTTGGACTCCCAGACTTCTACAAGCAGAAAGCAGGCAGAAAAAACTACTCTGCTGAAAATATGAGAAACCTTTTACTGCATAGGAAGGATGATTCCGAAGGCCAACCAAGAGCCAAGAATGTGGATCTAAGAGCTATGGCATATTATTCCCAGGCCTTGAGTCTTAAGTAGCAGTCAACTACTGCCATGCTGGATTTTAGAAATTCTATAACTAGTAATCCCTATATGCCTCCAATTTCACCTTTTTTTGAACAGGAGGATCAATAGCAAATATTCTGTGCCTTTCCAGCCACAGTATGTTTGGTACATTTGGCTCACGTAACTTCTCTTTAGTTCAGATAAAGAGGAACTGTACAAGAGGAGCTGTTCTTAAGGAGTAACATCTTAAGGGACACATCCACACTTAGATCTGATTTATATAGTGACATTCTGGACTTTGAGCTAATGTTGCAATGGATGAAACGTTTGGGAGGCTTTAGCAGGGCACAACTGTATTTTGCATATGGTGAGGATGTGGCTCTTTGGGAACCAAAAGATAGTTGTTTGTAGCCAACCTCCAATATGACTTCTAAAGATCTCATTCTCTGGTACTTACATTCTTGTGTAGGACTCTTCCACATTTTATAGAGCTAACCAGGGAAACAAAATAGCCACTGATATCTCATTCTAAGAAGAAAATAAAGACACATCAACCTAGAATTCTCTATACAAAAGTATATTTCAAAAATAAATACAAAATTAAATATTTCAGACAATAAAAGTTTAGGGAATTCATTGCCAGCAGATACACACAATGAGAATTATTAGAGGAACTACTTCAGGCAGAGGGAAAATAATATCAGATGAAAACTAGAATTTATACAAAGGAATAAAAGCTGCCAAAAATGCTAAAGATGTAGATAATTACAATTTATTTTCTTTTACTATTTTAAAAATGTCTTTAAAAGATAATTATCAACTATGATCCAGTAATCCCAGTTCTAGGTATTTATCCATAGGAATTGAAAGAAGGATCTTGAAGGGATATTTGCATACCCACATTTATTGAAGCATTATCCACAAAGGTCAAGAGGTATAAGCAACTCAAATGTCAATCAATGAATGAATGAACAAATAAAATGTTATATATATATATATATATATATATATACACACACATACATATATATATACACATACATATATATACACACATACATATATATACACATACATATATATACATACATATATATATACATACATATATATACATACATATATATACATACATATATATATACACATACATATATATATACACATACATATATATATACACATATATATATACATACATATATATATATTCACACACAATGGGATATTATTCAGTCTTTCAAAGGAAAGAAGTCCTGTCACATGCTACAACATGGATGAACCTTAAGGACGTTATGCAAAGTGAAGTAAGCCAGCCATGGTAAATACTGTATGATTCCACTCATATGAGATATCTAAAATAGTCAAATGTATAGAAATTAAAATTAGAATGGTCATTGCCATGGGCTAAAGGGAGAGGAAAATCAGGAGTTGTTGTTTAAGGGTATAGAGTTTCAGTTTTGCAAGATAAAAACATTCTGGATATTCTTTGCACAACAATGTGATATATGTAACATTACTGACTTGTACACTTAAAAATGGTTAACACAGAATATTTTTATGTGTATTTTATCACAATTAAAATTGTTTAAAAGATAATTGACTGGTTAAAGCAAAAATAGTAATAATGTATTATGAAGTACTTATCACAAAAACACTTCAGGAAAAATTTAATAACGTGAGCAAAATTCAAACATTGAAAACTATAAAACTATGACGTGAGAAATTAAAGATTTCCTAAATAATAAGTGGAGCTATATAGCATGTTTGTGTATAAGAAGAATAAATCTTGTTAAACATCAATTCTCCTCAAATTAATACACAGATCCAACATAATCCCAAATAGAAAATAACTTGAGGTGGAAAGCAGAAATTGAAAAGACTCAAAAGTTAGTATTAAAATGTAAAAGGCATAGAATAGCCAAACCAATTTTTTTAAATGAAACAAAATTGAAAGAGTTTTATACCTGATTTCAGAACTTATAATACACTACCATAGTTAGAATGTTGAACTGAAAGAACAGATAAATAGAAAGTCTAAAAATAGATTCATATATCATATAATCAATTGATTTTCAAGAAATATACCAAGGTGTGATGGTTAATATTGTCAACTTGATTGGATTGAAGGATGCAAAGAATTCTTCCTGGGTGTGTCTGTGAGGGTGTTGCCAAAGGAGAATAACACTTGAGTTAGTGGATTGGGAGAGGCAGACCCACCCTCAATCTGGGTGGGCACCATCTAATCAGCTGCCAGCGCAGCTAGAATAAACTAGGCAGAAGAACTTGGAAGGATGTGACTTGCTGAGTCTTCTGGACTTCATCTTTCTCCTGTGCTGGATGCTTCCTGCCTTTGAACATCAGACTGCAAGTTCTTCAGCCTTTGGACTCTTGGACTTACACCAGTGGTTTGCCAAGGGCTCTTGGGCCTTCAGCCACAGACTGAAGGCTATACTGTCAGCTTCCCTACTTTTGAGGTTTTGGGACTTGGACTGTCTTTCCTGCACCTCAGCTTGCAGATGGCCTATTGTGGGACTTCACCTTGTGATTATGTGAGTCAGTACTCCTTAATAAACTCCCCTTCATATGTACATCTATCCTATTAGTTCTGTCCCTCTAGAGAACCCTGACTAATGCATATGGTAATTCAACATGGAAAGGATAGTTCTTTCAATAAACAGGGCCGAAACAACTGGATATCAGTTTTGGACAAATTATTCTCAATGTTCATCTCATACCATGCAGGAAAATGAACTTAAAATGGATCACAGACATAAACGTAAAAAGACTGCATCAGATTTGAAAGCATTTTCTCCTAGAAAGATACAATTATAAAAATAAATATGAAAGCCACAGGCTAGGAGAAAAAAATCTGCAATACATATATCCAGCAAATCACATGCATCCAGAATATATAAAGAACATTTATAATTCAATAGTAAAGTAAAATATTTTAAAAGGTAAAAATTTGAAAAGATACTTCACAAATAAATATATATAAATGGCCTAATAAACCCATAAAAAAATACTCAACATGATTAATCATCAAAATGATGCAAATTGAAACTCTAATGAGCTAGCCCTATACAACCTATAAAATTGATTAATAAGACAGATGCTATGGCCTGAATGTTTGTATTTGAACTGTATGATTCCATTCACATGAGATTATATAATTAGCAAAACAAATCTACAGTGACAGAAAGCAAGTTAGTGACTACCTGGTATTGGGGTGGGTGGGGAGGAATTAACTGCAAAGGAACAGAAGGGAACTTTTGTGGATGATGTTCTATATCTTGATAAGATTGGTGTTTGTACAGGTATATATTTTTGTCAAAACTTACAAGCCAAGAGAGTGTTTGTCTCATTTTGAAAACAAGATGGTATATTCTCATGGAGAATTAATAAATATAATAATTTCAGGTGGAAGAAAGGCTGAAGTAGGAGTAAGAGGTGGTAATTTGAGGCTACAAATAGAACACACATTAATATATTCCCATATTTAATTCTCACATTAATCCTAAGAATTAAGTAGTTCAATATTGCTATTGTACAGATAAGGAAACTGGAGCACAGAAAAATATTGTAACTCACCCCAAATCACAAAGTTATTACATAATATGCCTAAGAATCAGTCTTGAGTGGAAGTGGGGAGCCTTTTATCCTTATCCATTATGAAATAAGGAACATCTGTACATCAAGGTCTATAACTACTTTATGCAATTTCAAGGATGTTTATGGCAGCTAAATTTCTTAAAAACTAATAAAGACATTTAGAAGACTAGTGTATTCAAAGCAGTAAATCATAAGAGATCCTTAATTGCTTTTGCAATATGATTTAAATAATAAGTAGATACGTGTGGTGGATGCAAAACTCAGTATAAAAATTCAGATGTGCACATAATACAATTTTATTTTTCTATACTTAGTTTGTTTTCTATTACCAGCTTCCAAGCAGTTAGATCACAACAATTTGATATCCATTGAATGGCCTTACCATTGGGTTTCAAATGCTGGGGTGGGTGAGAGGAGCAGGGCATCTGGCCCTCATGTCATAATCTGTACTTGCATCTCCTGAGATCTGCTGAGAAATCCACCATTCATTTTGGTCTGTAGATTTCTGTCCAAACAGGTCACTGCTAAGTCATTGGTCCCCCATTCACAGGGTTTCTTCAGGTACACTCTCTCAGTGCTGACTCCCATGAGATCATCCTCCCGTTCCTCATCACACAGCCAGAGACTTACAAGATGAGGCTATCTATAATCTCTCGCTGTTTCCTTACTCCTCTTAGTTTCAGGGCATATTCGTACTTCTCAGGTATCATGCTGGGATGTGAGGAAAGCGTGTTATCTTAAGTTTGGCAGAGATCGTTGCCCAAATCGTTTAGCAGAGATAGTTGTCCATCTAAATCCATTTTGTCTTTTTCCTGGACAAAGATACCATATTTCCTTGTTGGGAGGTGTGGACAGGTAACTGAGTTTTAGCCAATGAGATATGAGCAGAAATAACTGGTACCACTTCCAGGCCTGGCCCCACACCCCGACCCACACTACTCTGTGTTATTTCCCCTTCTGTTGTCATGACACAGACAAGAAAAGCCCTCGAGGTTGCAGAGACACAAGCTGTACAAGCTGGAAAGGACCTTGCTTCCTGAATGATTTAGAAAGCCATCTTCTGGAACACCCAATAGGACTGATGCTGATCAAGAAATAAACTTCTCTTTTTTGTCTAGCCATTACTAGATTGGGTCTGTTATTATGGGCTAGTGTATAGTATAAGTAATATACAGACCCATCTGATTAAGTATGTTAAACAATGGTTTCTATTCTGTAAGACTGATGCCTGCATGGGCTGTACACAGGAAAGGAAATGAGGCACTCCTTCTGTTACAATCCTCTAAACCTATCTGGAGTGTCTGAATGATCCCTCATGCGGGAGAGGTGAAGTTTCCCTTCTCTAAGGGACTCCCACTATTTATTCACTTGTTGCTTCACCATCTTACTCATCTCTTTTCTTCAGCTCCAGGAAACTTTATTACTTTGATAGACAGGCAGACAGTTTTGTGTTACTCATAAAATACTCTTTAAAAAAAACATGTGGAAGAGACTAAAATGCCAGTAATTTAATATTTGGGAAATAAGTAAGGATATAAGTAATATTGTAGTTGATTAATTGGGTGAAAAGCAAAGAGTACAAAGAAAAGCAACGATGAGGGAATCTCTCTCATCTTCTAATATTTCATAATATTACCCCATGACTTTTACAGTTGTTTGTCAACTGGACCAAATATCCAAGAGCTGTGTTATCTCTTAGGGTCTCAGTAAGCAGCTTGAGTCCTATCTAGTATTTTAGGGACTGTGATGCTTGAAAATGACCATTATTTTTTATAATGAGGCATTTAGTCAATGCACAAATGCTACTGAATACCTACTATGTGCGAATCACTGATACAGGTGTTAAAATGTAATGAGATACCAATTATCTCTATTTTCTTCCAAAATGCAAATACTCAATGGAGGTAACCCTCGTCCTTCAAGCATGACCCCTACTGAGATGGTAAAACTAGACAGAGACCATTGCAAGCTTCTGAAGTTGTTCACAAATGTTCTCATGAAGTTCCCGATGTGCCCCAACTCATATGTGAAAAGATAAGTGTAGTTCTCCTTGCATTGCTACTAGAAATAAATTAATATCATGAGCCTTTCCAGTCCAGATCTTGACTTAAGATACTTTCCCTTATCTCAGCACCCTTTGCAGAGAGTATTCACAAGGTTTTGTGATATAGGACACAGATAGTGAATGAAATTGCCTCGAACTCTTTCAGGGCCTGCCTCACTTTTTAAAGTGGAGCAAAAAAGCACATATTGAAACTATAGACTTGGCACATGGTTGAATAAACTATAGTTTCCTGATTGAATATGCGGAGTAAATTCCAACACTGATCCAAGGTAGTATGTTGGGTGTTAAGTTTTGTAAAATAAGTATTTACTGGTTTCTCTGTCATGATTTTATCTTGTTTTTAAACATCAATCTTATTTCCCAAAGTCTCACCCCAGCTGGGTAAATTGAGAGAGCATGAAATGAATATCAGGTATGATTCTAATGTAACAAATATGGGAATTGTGACTTTGATGCCAGAACATCGGAAAGTTGAAGGATAGGGGATTTTTAGATTTCTTGAAAATGTCCTTCTAAAAACAACTTAATTTTCATGGATTGGAATTTTTTTTTTTTTTTTTTTTTTGAGATAGAGTCTTGCTCTGATGCTCAGGCTGGAGTTGGGTGGCATGATCTCAGCTCACTGCAACCTCCGCCTCCCGGGCTCAAGCAATTCTCCTGCCTCAGCCTCCGGAGTAGCTGGGATTACAGGTGTGCACCACCATGCCTGGGTAATTTTTGTATTTTTAGTAGAGACAAGGTTTTGCCATGTTGGCCAGGCTGGTCTTGAACTCCTGACCCCAGGTGATCCTCCCACCTCAGCCTCCCAAAGTGCTGGGATTAAAGGCATAAGCCACTGCACCTGGCTGGATTGGGATATTTTGAGGCTACAAGCAGTGGGCTAACAAAATCTCAGAGCTCGGCCGGGCGCGGTGGCTCACGCCTGTAATCCCAGCACTTTGGGAGGCTGAGGTGGGTGGATCACGAGGTCAGGAGATCAAGACCGTCCTGGCTAACATGGTGAAACCCCATCTCTACTAAAAATACAAGAAAAAAAAGGTAGCCGGGCGTGGTGGCGCGCTCCTGTAGTCCCAGCTACTCAGGAGGCTGAGAAAGGAGAATCACTTGAACCTGGGAGGCGGAGGTTGCAGTGAGCCAAGATCACACCACTGTGCTCCAGCCTGGGTGACAGAGTGAGACTCCGTCTCAAAAAAAAAAAAGAAAAAAAAATCTCAGAGCTCACAAGTCTAGTCAAACCACAAAATTCTGTCTTGAATGAAATTTCTGGTGACACCAAGCTTTACATTGCTTTTGCCTGAAACCATAATGAGAGAAGCCAAGTTTGCGCATGGGTAGAGAAAAAAGAAAATAAACAAATGAAGTTTGTTTATCACACAACCATAAAAGCAGGCAGTCACACTGCAAGCCAGATCCACCCAGGACTTATGCAAAAATGCTGGAGAAAGATTCGGTGAGCCACAGTCAATCGTTCAGCCAGTTTGTCCCCAAAGATTTGGGCATTCATGTCCTATCATCCTGTTTCCAGACCAAGCTGAGGGTCGGGCTGCTGTTTTTCAGGGCCCAATAACAAGATGCAGATGAAATGGGGAGGAAGAGTTTTTATTTCTGTAACCAGTTACAGGGAGAAGGCCTGGAAATGATCGCCAGACCAACTCAAAATTACAAAGCTTTTCAGAGCTTATATACCTTCTAAGCTATATGTCTACGTGTAAGTGTGCATTCATCTAAAGACATAAGTGATTAACTTCTTTTCATCTATAACTAAGGTCTGAGGCCTGAAGACCTGCTTCTAGAGCCTCAGTAAATTTAGTCTAAATGGGTCCAGGTGCTGGGGTGATTACCTTTATCTTGTCTCCTGCTAAATCACGGAGGTTTGGGGAGTTTCTTCAGACCCCCAGTAAAACGTGTTTAAACCTAAATGGGTACTGTTAGGAATTCCTTCATTATTTTGTCACGCTTTAAGGCCCAGGAAAGGTCTGGGAAAAACTCTTAATGGGCTTTTGTTACATTCCAGCCTTTGTATAAGGGCACTGGCTTTTTTAGCTTTTAATATTTAACTTAACCACTCAGTCAGTGCTGAAACAGTTGTCACGGAGGCCTGCGTTAGTGAAACCTGGCCTGCCACAATCCTGGGGGATAGCATGGGGTAAGTCTGCATATTTGAGGACAGTGTGGCCGAGGTTGGAAAATACTGTTGTGGGAACATGCTGTTATCATTGCCAAAGTGCAGTTTAACCAGATTCAGTCAAATCAATGGCCATCCCCCTCCCCCTTTTTTGTTTTGTCTTTGCCTTTTTTGGTACCTTTCTTCCATCCTATTCCCATATAGCTAAAGCTTTATTTTCTTTTATTATTTCTACTATGGATCACTGAAAACTCTTTCTCAGTTTAGAAACATGGAGAGGCACTTTTCCTTATTTCTCCCACTAAGTAAAGCTAAATATCTTCAACACCATATATAAATCAAAATAAGAAGGCTCTCAAAGGCAGAGAGAGGACAGACTAGCTAAGGACTATGGACCCAAAGAATGGTGCTATGGTGAGACACCTGAGTCTCATATATTATATAGATCCGCCTCATATTTTCCAGATTGGAAACTGAAGATGCCAGCAATCAGGAAATGCTAATGGTCACAAACAGTAGAGCTCTACAAAAGCCTGTTTTTCTCCACCAAAAGGATAAGAAAAAAGGAAACTAAAAAATAACAGCTCACATCCAAACAAATAGGCCAGAAAAAACTGTGGTCTCACCCCCTCTTAGATCAACAAATGTGGAGTAGGAAGACTAGATTTCCACTCTGACCCAGCTGCTCAGGCACTCTGCACACTCCACTCCTGCTGGGTGGTCAGAGAAGGCTGTGTGGGAATTTGGGAAGTTCATCTCCATCAAACATAAGAAACCCCACCCCACTCTGCAGGTGTCAGCAAAGAGCACATGGGGAGCCTGGACTTACACCCTCATGCTGTGGCACTAAAGCATCTTCCCCTCCACCCTTTAGTGGCGTCAGAGGAGGCCTAGTGGAGAGTCCAAACTCTCCCCGCTGCCCGCAGAAGGGTGAGGCCACTTCCACTCCTGCCCTGTGGTGTCAGTGGAAGCTGTGAAGAAAGCAATAAGAAGGCATTCCAGCCAGGCAGGTGTCAGCAAAGGTTGAATAGGAAGCCTAAATTCTCAACCCTACTCAGAAGTAATGAGGTACCCCCTCCCTGCCACCTCCCTCCAGCATGGTGTCTACAGAGGCCTAGTGGGGAACCTGGATTTGGTTTTCACATGGCAGTGATGAAGAGATCCTGTCACATCCCCTGCCAGCCTCAGAGGAACCTGTGGAACAGAGTTATATAAGATCCAGTCTCACAACGTACCACACAAAATGTCCAGGATACAGTCACAAATGAATCCTTTTACCAAGAACCAGAAAAATCTCAACTTGAACGATGTAAAAAACAATCAATAGATGCCAAGAACAAACTGGCACAGATGGAGTTATCTGACAAAGAATTTAATAGTCGTTATTATGTATCAGATTTACTATAAACGTTGGTGAAGTGGGACAGCTCAATATAGCTAATGAATTATAATTCCCATTTAATGAAATGTATTTATGCAAATGGTCACCCAGCACCAACCACTAAGAAGTTAATGACAGCAGGCCAGATGCAGTGCTCACACCTGTAATCCCAGCAATTTGGGAGGCCGAGTTAGGTGAATCACTTGGGATCAGGAGTTAGAAGACCAGCCTGGCCAACATAGTAAAACCCTGTCTCCACTATAAATACAAAAATTAGCCAAGCATGGTGGTACACGCTCATAATCCCAGCTACTCAGGCAGCTGAAGTGGGAGAATCATTTGAACCTGTGAGGCGGAAGTTGCAGTGAGCCAAGATAGCACCAATGCACTCCAGCCTGGGCAACAGAGTGAGACTCCATCTCAAAAAAAAAAAAAAGTTAATGACAGCAATTAATAATGGCTTTTTACAACATGAGACTGGAATGTAGGTTAAAAACTTAAGAATTAGGGTCAAAAATGTATGTGTTCTACTCCATGTATACCAATTATTGTCAGCTGTGTTATGGATTGGGGTTCATTTGTCCACAATCATTTGCATATTTTCTTTCACCATCCCTTACAATCCCTGTACATACATCCCATAATCATTTACAAGTGCCTATATACCTAATTGCTTGTAAATCAGGATTATTCAAATATTGTCAAACATAATTATGAATATTATTTGTGAGAATGGAACCCTTAAAGACAAGTGCCCATCAAACTTTAAGTTAAATAGTTAATTAATTTTCTAGTTGCTCTGAACTACCTTTCTTCCTTAATGAGTTCTTAGTATCTAGTTATTTGAAAAACAAGCCCAAAAAGGTTTTATTGAATTTGATCATTTTTAATATACCATCTCACTTTAAATACTGTTTCTTTTCTCTCTCTTTTTTAGTCAATTTTTATTGAGTCTTTATTTATGAGATAATGGCATGATTCAAAAGCAATATAAGCCTTTTTATAGAATATTTTTCCCTGTGAGATAAGACTATAAAAGTTCTTGTAAACCTTTCTCTCTTAAAAGCAACAATTGAAAGACTCCATTGAGATTTCAAAACCATTGAATATCTGAAATTGTGTGGCCATTTGCCTTAACATGATTTTTTCGTCTGGTTTTTATTTTCAAGAGAAAAAAAATTGTGGATGACTAACTTTTCCATTAAATCAAATGTAAAAGGATAAATGTGTCACTTTCCACCTTTATTGGTTTTATTTGAAGGTATCTGAATCTCAGGGATGAATGTTGTTAGGCAAAAGGGATTTTCTAATTTTAATATTTAAATAAAGGAAGACAGGAAGCTTTTTTCTCTTAAATGGCAGTTCTAACATTCTTGTATTTGTAAGAAATTATTGTCTTATAAAGCAAATAAAACTGACTATGTTATGAATAAGAGTTCTTGAAAATTGACCAAAACACGGAAAATGAAACTTTTCTACCATGGACTCTGTAGTATTACCGAGTTATATGAGGTAGAGTACACAAATTATAATTCTTTCCAAATTAGTAAACCTCAAAAATGTAGGAAGCAGAAAACTACTTGCAAGCAAAATGAAACCAGTATTTACAGTAATTAAGAGATGAGGAATTTGGGAGGGGACTAATTTTTAGAGGGGGATCTATATTACTTAATTAAATAACAACTCTACTCCAGAAAACTTAAAAAGCAGTTTCTACAATAGAGTTACAGAGTGGCCCATGCTCCACCCTGTGGTATCTGAAATATCCACTCTTTCAGCTACACAGTTTAGGCAGGTGTATCAGATGCAAACACTTCAGCCTTACTCATGCTCTATTTTCTTTTCTGCTTAAATTACAAATTGGTTGTGCATGATTGGAAAATATGGTAATGATATTTGGAAACTCCCAAGCCTTTTAAAATTAAATTCGGGATATGCTGGAACCTTATGTTAGAAGGTAAACTCTAGAAATCTTAGCACAAAAATAAACTCAATTTTATAAAACATTCATTCTGATGATAGGATTTCATCATATTTCTGTGGAATACACTGGGAAATAGCAAGCCATTACTTCAATTTCATTCCTCTTTGATTGGTTCTACAGCCACTGCAAAACAAACTCTGGACAATAAAGATTCAGAACATTACAAGTGTAATATGAAATGACGGTATTTCTGCAGAAATGCCTAAGGGGTGACAGCTATCTGAAGTTCTAATAACGTTCAGGCCCACTTGGGAAAGAGTTAGTTTTCCTCTAGATGACATCTAGAAGCTGTTATTTTATAGTAAACTCCTACAGTCACAGAGAGTTATAAATAGTATTTTGAATTGGTCTCTCTGATGAGCTCTGTGATATCACTTCAACAGCTGTTAAGAATGATTTTACAAAGAGAATTTTTTAAACGTTATAAAAGTTATATAACATTAGAAAAAGTAGAGTCAAAACAGAAATACTTCTAGAGTAGATTTACATAGCACTTTACAATTTACAATGTATTGTAGATGCAACCTCAACACATGGTATGTTTATTTCTATCCAATCAGGTTAAATGGAATACAACTCCGTGTCTTGGATGATTCAGCAATACACCAAAATCAGCTTGGCTTGAACCATGCAAATACTACCCCAACTCAATTTTTAAGAAACCACAGACATTCCCCCTAGGGAATGAACTGTTTATGACCAGGCAGTATCTTTTATTTAAAAAAAAATTCTCCAATAGAGCATATTCACAGGCTAAAACTGAGAATTCTGACACTTTCACTGCATAAATGCACTTAAATATTTCAAAGGAATATTCCAAAAACTAAACATTAACTAGATTCTTGTTTATGAAGTTTAAACAACTATATGAAGCCATATGTAAAATTTTACTGTTTTCCCTTGTTGGATAAATCTGTGAATTCCAAGTCTTGCAAGACCCCTTGTTTTCACTTAGGAAAAAAAAAAGCAATTCTACTTACTTTGTTCAGTTACCAGTTTATTGCCTTGCAGCTCCAAATCCATCCTCCATTGCTCTGCCTGTGATACTGGAGCTAAACCTTATAAATATTTCTCCTCTGTCAGATGCCCAATGTTCGTGTTGTCAGCAGATGGCTCTAGGAAACACTGAAGGAAAACAGGGCTTGTTTCCAGTGTTTTTCTCTGCTTGCTCCTGTGGTACACAGCATATAGCAGGGCACGGAAAATGCAGTAGGGCCACCCTCCAGTGAGCTCTGCTGCATGGCACCTTTGCATGGGCAGCTTCCCCTGGCATTTCAGAGGGCAGCCTCCCTTCAAGCAGCTTACTAGCAAATTCCATGAAGCAACTGCCCCTGTGGATAGTTTCCCAAGCATCCCAGAAGACAACTTCTTAGCAATTTCTGCTGGCAATATTCCTCAGAGAACTTTTCCACTAATCAATGGGCCATGGCCGTGACCCCAGCCTCTCAAATGGCAGAGAAGGGTACTTACTCCAGATTTGTTTCTTCCTTTGATGCTCTTGCCTTAGGCCCACAGGTAATGGCTGTTTCCTATATCTACAATTCCACTATTGTTTAGAGTTCTTTTTTCACTTGGTTGGTAACGTAGGTAGGTTATAGTTATTAATTTTTATATTAAACTTTCTCTGTTAAAATTACAATGTGGGTCTTGTATCCTAATTGATCCCAGAATGATATACATCTTCAAGCAGTTTTAAATTCAATAATAATTAATGGTACGCATATAAATTTGTTTCAAAATAATGACATAAAAATGTAGGAAATCCAAAATATTACTTTAACAAAATAAAGTCCCACAATCTTTCTTGAAGTAGACATTATTTTTAACGTATCCATTTATGGCAATATAAATATACCATCTTATACAATACATGTATCTAATCTCTACTGTTTGGAAGGAAATTTCCTGTACTGAAAATACTGTGAAATATCCACACAGGTATTGATAAATTAAAATGCCAAGTGAAAATGAGATCAATTTGTGTACTTTTAAATAGAAGTAATTTGAATACATGTTAAATTACATAATTCAAAGCAGAATGAATTTACCGGAATGAAAAGCCACTCCTTATCATCAATATGGACATTTTAAAAAGCACATAGGTCAAAATAACTAGATAATTTTCAGAGATATTAAGGTATTTCCATTACCTAAATAAATATGTAGGTCAACACTTCTTTTTATAAATTATCCATTTAACTGTGCTATTCCTTCCTCTCTTCCAAGTGGAAAATTCCCTCGAGATATCAGAACTTACTTTCATCACTTCCTGTAGATTTAAGATTATTTAGTTGCAAACAACAGACATTTATGATGTCTGTATTAGTCAGTTTTCACATTGCTATAAATAACTACCTGAGACTGGGTAATTTATAAAGAAAAGAGGTTTAATTTACTCAGTTCCATAGGCTGTGCAGGAAGCATGGCTGGGGAGGCCTCAGGAAACTTACAATCATGGCATGGAGGAAGGGCAAAGGGGAAGCAAGCACGACTTCACATGGTGGCAGGAGAGAGAGAGAAGGGAAAGTGCTACACACTTTTAAATAACCAGATCTCATGAGAACTCACTCACTATCACAGGAACAGCAAGAGGGAAATCAAGTCCCATGATACAATTGCCTCCCACCATGCCTCCTGTCCAACACTGAAGATAACAATTCAACATGAGATTTGGGTGGTGATATGGTTTGGCTGTGTCCCCACCCAAATCTCATCTTGAATTCCCACGTGTTGTGGGAACAACCTGGTGAGGTAATTGAATCATGAAGGCAGGTCTTTCCCATGCTGTTATCGTGAGAGTGACTAAGTCTCATGAGATCTGATGGTTTTAAAAATGGAAGTTTCCCTACACAAGCTCTTTTTTTTGCCTTCTGCCATCCACATAAGGTGTGACTTGCTCTTCCTTGCCTTCCAACATGATTGTTAGGCCTCCCCAGCCATGTGGAACTGTAAGTCTAATAAACCTCTTTCTTTTGTAAATTGCCCAGTCTCAGATATGTTTTTATCAGCAGCATGAAACTGGATTAATACAGTAAATTGGTACCAGTAGAGTGGGGTATTGCTGAAAAGGTACTTAAAAATGTGGAAGCAACTTTGGACCTGGGTAACAGGCAGAGGTTGGAACAGTTTGGAGGGCTCAGAAGTACACAGGAAAACATGGGAAACTTTGAACTCCCTAGAGACTTGTTGAATGGCTTTGACCAAAACGTTGATAATCATATGGACAATGAAATCTAGGCTGAGGTGGTCTCAGATGTAAATGAGGAACTTACTGGGAACTGGAGCAAAAGTGACTCTTGTTATGATTTAGCAGAGACTGGTGGCATTTTGCCCCTGCCCTAGAAATTTGTGGAACTTTGAACTTGAGAGAGATGATTTAGGGTATCTAGCAGAAGAAATGTCTAAGCAGAAGCATTCAAGATGTGACTTGGGTGCTTTTAAAGGCATTCATTTTTATAATAGAAGCAGAGCATAAAAGTTTGAAAAATTCACAGCCTGACAATATGATAGAAAAGAAAATCTCATTTTCTGAGGAGAAATTCAAGCCGTCTGCAGAAATTTGCATATATGACAAGGAGCTGAATATTAATCCTCAAGATGATAAGGAAAATGTCTCCACGGCATGTCAGAAGTCTTCATGGCAGCCCTTCCCATCACAGGCCCAGAGACCTAGGAGGAAAATAAGGTTTGAAAGGCCAGGCCCAGGGTCCCCATGTTGTGTGTAGTCTAGGGACTTGGTGCCCTGAATCCCAGCAGCTCTAGCTGTGACTAAAAGGGGCCAAGTTACGGCTTGGGCTGTGGCATCAGAGATTGGAAGCCCCAAGCCTTGGCAGCTTCCATGTGGTGTTGAGACTATGGGTGCACAGAAGTCAAGAACTGAGGTTTGAGAACCTCCACCTAGAATTTAAAAGATGTATGGAAATACCTGGATGCCCAGGCAGAAGTTTGCTGCAGGGGCAGGGTCCTCATGGAGAACTTCTGTTAGGGCAGTGCAGAAGGGAAATGTGGGATCAGAACCCCTACACAGAGTCCCTATTTAGGCACCACTTAGTGGAGCTGTGAGAAAAGGGCCACCATCCTCCAGACCCCAGAATGGTAGATCCACTGCCAGCTTTCACTGTGCACCCGGTAAAGCCAAAGACACTCAATGCCAGCCCATGAAAGCAGCCAGGAAGGGGTGCATACCCTGCAAAGCCACAGGGGCAGAGCTGCCCAAGTCCAAGGGAGCCCATCTCTTGCATCAGCGTGACCTGGATGTGAGACATGGAGTCAAAGGATATGATTTTGGAGCTTTAAGATTTTACTGTCCCGCTGAATTTTGGACTTGCATGTGGCCTGCAGCCCCTTTGTTTTGGCTATTTTCTCCCAATTGGAATGGCTCTATTTACCCAATGCCTGTACCCTCATAATATCTAGGAAGTAACTAACTTGCTTTTGATTTTACAACCTCATAAGTGGAAGGGGCTTTCCTTGTCTCAGATGAGACATTGGACTGTGGACTTTTGAGTTAATGCTGAAATGAGTTAAGACTTTGGGAAACTGTTGGGAAGGCATGATTGGTTTTGAAATGTGAGGACATGAGATTTGGGAGGGGCTGGGGCGGAACGATATGGTTTGGCTCTGTGTCCCCACCCAAATCTCATCTCGAATTCCCATGTGTTGTGGAAGGGACCTGGTAGGAGGTAATTAAATCATGGGGGCAGGTCTTTCCCATGCTGTTCTTTTGATAGTGAATACGTCTTATGAGATCTGATGGTTTTAGAAATGGGAGTTTCCCTGAGCAAACTTTCTTTTTTTTTTGCCTGCTGTCATCCATGCAAGACGTGACTTGTTCCTCCTTGCCTTCTGCCATGATTCTGAGGCCTCCCCAGCCACATGGAACTGTGAGTCCAATTAAACCTCTTTCTTTTGTAAATTGCCCAGTCTCAGGTGTGACTTTATCAGCAGCATGAAAATGGACTAATACAGGTGGAGACACAGAGCCAAACCATATCAATGTCCAACCTAAGCAAGTATAAAATTTGTTTTATTCATAGGTTCTGATGATTGGGGGAAAATTTTTAAGTAAAATTTTTAAAGAAAAAAACTAGAAAAAAATTTATTTTGATGCTATTGGGCAGCATACACGATTGACAGAAAGTCTAGAGAACTTCAGGAAAAATCTGGATCAAGAGTTGTTCTAGAGTTCCAGGCAGCAGGCACAACTTGATCATCCTGCAAAAGATAACTGCAGAAAGTAATGACATCCAAACACTCTCTGTCTTTACCACTCTTCTGCTTAAAAGTCAAAGTCCTTGGAAGGTAAGCCCAATATCTGAAGCTTAGGTCATATACCTATTCCTTGCTTAGAGAAGACAAGAGCACTGTAGTTTTAATCTAAAAAATTGGGAGAGTTAACTAACCCAATAGAAATCAGGATGATATTAGCTGGAGTGGGGTGAAAAGATATAGGGTGATCAAAAAATCTTGTCACCACGAAAATATTTTAGGTCAAGTCTCTCATTCCTTAAGCACCACTGATAACAGGTAAGGCACACAGAAGGAATACACACAAACAGTAATTGATTGTAATGGGTGAAATTCTGATAAACATAGTCTCTTGTGTATCTATGTTAAAAGAGGACTGTGGAAACACCAAAGCAGATTCTGAAAAGGCAGACCATCTTTGTATGTTTTCCAGTGCTTTTCTCACCGTGAACTAATATCAATCTTTATCTCATCAGACCAAAAGTATCAGAGATGATAATGTGGTATCCACTGCTAAAAAGTCCTTTTCCCCTTCCAAGAAGGAAAAAGAAGATCTACTGATTGCTTAACTGTCCTTAGGACCACTCAAAAACATGCTCAAATGATCATGAAGAGTCACTGTCAGTCATTCATTTCCTATGGCTCTGTAACAAATGATCACAAACTTGGTGACTTCAAATAACAAAAATGTTTTCTCTCATAGTCTGGAGTCAGAAGTTCAACATCAGTTTCCTTGGCTGAAATCAAGGTGTTGGCAAGGCTGTGTTCCCTCCAGAGGCTCTGGAAGACCATTCCTTATCTCATCCAGTTTGGGTGGTAAATGGCATACTTTTGCTGCATCCAAATCCTATAATCTCTGCATCCATCTTCACGTGGCCTTCTCCTTTTCTGTCTTCTCTTCTGTCTCAAATTTCTTTCTGCCTTTCACTTTTAAGGGTACTTGTGATTGCATCTAAAGTCCACTCAGCTAATCCAGGCTAATCTCCAATGTCAAGATCCTTAATCACATCTGTAGAGTTGCTTTTTACTTATGGAGTAACATTTATAGGTCCCAGGAATTAGGATGTCATATCTTTGGGTGACCATTATTCAGCCTACTACACTGAACATCATCCAGAGAGCTTGGACTGTTTTTCTGGATATAAGAAGGGAATGAGAATTTGCATTATTTTCCTTGAGTAGAGGGCAAATGTGTTCTATGGCTGAAAATAAAAGGATTGGCTATAGAGCAGCTGCCCAACCAGGTTGTACATTTCCCTAGCCCCATTAGCTCCCAGAGGTAGCCATGTGACTAGTGTTTGTCTAATGAAAGGTGAGTGAAAATGATTGGTGTATGTCACATTGGGCCAAATAATTTAAGAGGCTAGTGTGCTTTCCCAACAGTCTCTTTTCCCTTGTGCTGGCTGTATTAATAATATGAAAAGGAAATCATAGAGATACAACAAAATGGATGAAACTGTCAACCCAAATAACAACCAGAAATAAAGACTTTCTTTAAAAAATAATATTTGGGAAAAGGCATTGCAATGGAAATAAGAGTCCCATGATAAACTATGTGTACATTCAAGGAAGTAAAAACTATGGATGACAGAGATTTAGAATAGCCATAGTTAAAAATCTGATGGAAGTGAAGCAGTAGACAAGGAAATTCGGTTATTTTGTGGCATTCAATATAATAACCAGAATTATGACTAATGACATACTAGATTTTTAAGAATATTATATAATTTTATGATCGTCATATCAATAACATACCTGTAAATGTAATTAAAAGATCTAACATCACTTATCATTTGACTTTCTTTATACAATTACTAAATAAACCTAATCACTTAATATCTGTACAAGATGAGAGATATGTCCATTGATCCTCTCTAGGGGCCCAACTGAAATATTCCAAAGTAATTTTAAGGCAGAAAGACTTAATTTAGTTATTTTAATACATAGAAACCCTGTCAAAGATTACAAAAGGTTTAAAACACACCCTATCAAGAGAATATAACAGGTATCTGTAAAATTATAGTCATTTTTTTACCCAAAGTGATAATGAAATACTTTAAAAGCAATACGGAAAGTTATACAGATGTTAAAAAAAAAAAGACTTAAACTTTTTAAAGCTCAGTTTTCTTAACTAATCAAAAAACTCAACAAAGAGAACATGAAACATAGGAAATTATCTGATAAAACTGCAAAGTCTTTGTTTTTTAGGCCGTTTACCACAAAGATAAAAAAAAGTTTCTCCAGTGTTATTGTTTCCCTTCCTGGGAAGCTAATTTAAATAAGTTAGAAGTCAAAGCTGATTAAAAGGTACTTGAATTTCATCACACAGGAAAAGCACGTATTCAAGATTATGAGTGTATACCATATTTTATGGGAAAAAACAAGTAACACCTTAAGCAGAGAAAGTCATGGTTCTTAGTAAAATAAGAGGAAATTTCCTGGTTACATAGAATGACCCAGAATTTCATATCCAGCCAAACTAAGCTTCATAAGTGAAGGAGAAATAAAATCCTTTACAGACAAGCAAATGCTGAGAGATTTTGTCACCACCAGGCCTGCCTTACAAGAGCTCCTGAAGGAAGCACTACACATGGAAAATAACAACCGGTACCAGCCACTACAAAAACATGCCAAATTGTAAAGAGCATCGATGCTACAAAGAAACTGCATCAACTAACTGGCAAAATAACCAGCTAATATCATAATGACAGGATCAAATTCACACATAACAATATTAACCTTAAATGTAAATGGGCTAAATGCCCCAATTAAAAGACACAGACTGACAAATTAGATAAACAGTCAAGACCCATCAGTGTGTTGTATTCAGGAGACCCATCTCACGTGCAGAGACTCATATAGGCCCAAGATAAAGGGATGGAGGAAGATCTACCAAGCAAATGGAAAGAAAAAAAAAAAGCAAGGTTTGCAATCCTAGTCTCTGATAAAACAGACATTAAACCCACAAAGATCAAAAGAGACAAAGAAGACGATTACGTAATGGTAAAGGGATCAATTCAACAAGAAGAGTTAACTATCCTAAATACATATGTACCAAATGCAGGAGCACCCAGATTCATAAAGCAAGTCCTTAGAGACCTACAAAGAGGCTTAGAGTCCCACACAATAATAATGGGACACTTTAACACCTCATTGTCAATATTAGACAGACCAACGAAACAGAAGGTTAACAAGGATATCCAGGATTTGAACTCAGCTCTGCAGCAAGCAGACCTAATAGACATCTACAGAACTCTCCACCCCAAATCAACAGAATATACATTCTTCTCAGCACCACAATGCACTTATTCTAAAATTGACCACATAATTGGAAGTAAAACACTCTTCAGCAAATGTAAAAGAACAGAAATCACAACAAACTGTCTCTCAGACCACAATGCAATCAAATTAGAATTCAGGATTCAGAAACTCACTCAAAACCTCACAACTACATGGAAACTGAACAACCTGCTCCTGAATGACTACTGGGTAAATAACAAAATGAAAGCAGAAATAAATAAGTTATGGGGGCTGGAGTCAAGATGGCCGAATAGGAACAGCTCCGGTCTACAGTTCCCAGTGTGAGTGACGCAGAAGATGGGTGATTTCTGCATTTCCATCTGAGGTACGGGGTTCATCTCACTAGGGAGTGCCAGACAGTGGGCTCAGGACAGTGGGTGCAGTGCACCATGCGCAAGCTGAAGCAGGGCGAGGCATTGCCTCACTCGGGAAGCACAAGGGGTCGGGGAGTTCCCTTTCCTAGTCGAAGAAAGAGGTGACAGATGGCACCTGGAAAATCAGGTCACTCCCACCCCAATACTGCGCTTTTCCAACAGGTTTAAAAAATGGCACACCAGGAGATTGTATCCCGCACCTGGCTCAGAGGGTCCTATGCCCAGGGAGTCTCGCTGATTGCTAGAACAGCAGTCTGAGATCAAACTGCAAGGTGGCAGCGAGGCTGGGGGAGGGGTGCCTGCCATTGCCCAGGCTTGCTTAGGTAAACAAAGCAGCCAGGAAGCTCGAACTGGGTGGAGCCCACCACAGCTCAAGGAGGCCTGCCTGCCTCAGTAGGCACCACCTCTGGGGGCAGGGCACAGACAAACAAAAAGACAGCAGTAACCTCTGCAGACTTAAATGTCCCTGTCTGACAGCTTTGAAGAGAGCAGTGGTTCTCCCAGCATGCAGCTGGAGATCTGAGAACGGGCAGACTGCCTCCTCAAGTGGGTCCCTGACCCCAGACCCCTGAGCAGCCTAACTGGGAGGCACCCCCCAGTAGGGGCAGACTGACGTCTCACACTGCCGGGTACTCCTCTGAGACAAAACTTCCAGAGGAATGATCAGACAGCAGCATTCGCGGTTCACGAAAATCCACTGTTCTGCAGCCACCACTGCTGGTACCCAGGCAAACAGGGTCTGGAGTGGACCTCTAGCAAACTCCAACAGACCTGCAACTGAGGGTCCTGTCTGTTAGAAGGAAAACTAACAAACAGAAAGGACATCCACACCAAAAACCCATCTGTACATCACCATCATCAAAGACCAAAAGTAGATAAAACCACCAAGATGGGGAAAAAACAGAACAGAAAAACTGGAAACTCTAAAAAGCAGAGTGCCTCTCCTCCTCCAAAGGAACGCAGCTCCTCACCAGCAACGGAACAAAGCTGGACGGAGAATGACTTCGATGAGTTGAGAGAAGAAGGCTTCAGATGATCAAACTACTCCAAGCTACAGGAGGAAATTCAAACCAAAGGCAAAGAAGTTGAAAACTGAAAAAAATTAAGACGAATGTATAACTAGAATAACCAATACAGAGAAGTGCTTAAAGGAGCTGATGGAGCTGAAAGCCAAGGCTCAAGAACTACGTGAAGAATGCAGAAGCCTCAGGAGCCGATGCAATCAACTGGAAGAAAGTGTATCAGTGATGGAAGATGAAATGAATGAAATGAAGCGAGAAGGGAAGTTTAGAGAAAAAAGAATAAAAAGAAATGAACAAAGCCTCCAAGAAATATGGGACTATGTGAAAAGACCAAATCTACGTCTGACTGGTGTACATGAAAGTGACGGGGAGAATGGAACCAAGTTGGAAAACACTCTGCAGGATATTATCCAGGAGAACTTCCCCAATCTAGCAAGGCAGGCCAACATTCAGATTCAGGAAATACAGAGAACGCCACAAAGATACTCCTCGAGAAGAGCAACTCCAAGACACATAATTGTCAGATTCACCAAAGTTGAAATGAAGGAAAAAATGTTAAGGGCAGCCAGAGAGAAAGGTTGGGTTACCCATAAAGGGAAGCCCATCAGACTAACAGTGGATCTCTCGGCAGAAACTCTACAAGCCAGAAGAGAGTGGGGGCCAATATTCAACATTCTTAAAGAAAAGAATTTTCAACCCAGAATTTCATATCCAGCCAAACTAAGCTTCATAAGTGAAGGAGAAATAAAATCCTTTACAGACAAGCAAATGCTGACAGATTTTGTCACCACCAGGCCTGCCCTACAAGAGCTCCTGAAGGAAGCACTAAACATGGAAAGGAAAAACCGGTACCAGCCACTGCAAAATCATGTCAAATTGTAAAGACCATCGAGGCTAGGAAGAAACTGCATCAACCAACTGGCAAAATAACCAGCTAATATCATAATGACAGGATCAAATTCACACATAATAATATTAACTTTAAATGTAAATGGACTAAATGCTCCAATTAAAAGACACAGACTGGCAAATTGGATAAAGAGGCAAGACCCATCAGTGTGCTGTATTCAGGAACCCATCTCACGTGCAGAGACACACATAGGCTCAAAATAAAAGGATGGAGGAAGATCTACCAAGCAAATGGAAAACAGAAAAAGGCAGGGGTTGCAATCCTAGTCTCTGATAAAACAGACTTTAAACCAACAAAGATCCTAAAAGACAAAGAAGGCCATTACATAATCGTAAAGGGATTAATTCAACAAGAAGAGCTAACTATCCTAAATACATATGCACCCAGTACAGGAGCACCCAGATTCATAAAGCAAGTCCGGAGTGACCTACAAAGAGACTTAGACTCCCACACATTAATAATCGGAGACTTTAACACCCCACTGTCAACATTAGACAGATCAACGAGACAGAAAGTTAACAAGGATACCCAGGAACTGAACTCAGCTCTGCACCAAGCAGACCTAATAGACATCTACAGAACTCTCCACCCCAAATCAACAGAATATACATTTTTTTCAGCACCACACCACACCTATTCCAAAATTGACCACATAGTTGGTAGTAAAGCTCTTCTCAGCAAATGTAAAAGAACAGAAATTATAACAAACTATCTCTCAGACCACAGTGCAATCAAACTAGAACTCAGGATTAAGAAACTCACTCAAAACCACTCAACTACATGGAAACTGAACAACCTGCTCCTGAATGACTACTGGGTACATAACGAAATGAAGGCAGAAATAAAGATGTTCTTTGAAACCAACGAGAACAAAGACACAACATACCAGAATCTCTGGGACACATTCAAAGTAGTGTGTACAGGGAAATTTATAGCACTAAATGCCCACAAGAGAAAGCAGGAAAGATCCAAAATTGACACCCTAACATCACAATTAAAAGAACTAGAGAAGCAAGAGCAAACACATTCAAAAGCTAGCAGAAGGCAAGAAATAACTAAAATCCGAGCAGAACTGAAGGAAATAGAGACACAAAAAACCCTTCAAAAATTAATGAATCCAGGAGCTGGTTTTTTGAAAGGATCAACAAAATTGATAGACCACTAGCAAGACTAATAAAGAAGAAAAGAGAGAAGAACCAAATAGACGCAATAAAAAATGATAAAGGGGATATCACTACCGATCCCACAGAAATACAAACTACCATCAGAGAATACTATAAACACCTCTACGCAAATAAACTAGAATATCTAGAAGAAATGGATAAATTCCTTGACACATACACCCTCCCAAGACTAAACCAGGAAGAAGTTGACTCTCTGAATAGGCCAATAACAGGCTCTGAAATTGTGGCAATAATCAATAGCTTACCAACCAAAAAGAGTCCAGGACCAGATGGATTCACAGCCGAATTCTACCAGAGGTACAAGGAGGAACTGGCACCATTCCTTCTGAAACTATTCCAATCCATAGAAAAAGAGGGAATCCTCCCTAACTCATTTTATGAGGCCAGCTTCATCCTGATACCAAAGCCGGGCAGAGACACAACCAAAAAAGAGAATTTTAGACCAATATCTTTGATGAACATTGATGCAAAAATCCTCAATAAAATACTGGCAAACCGAATCCAGCAGCACGTCAAAAAGCTTGTCCACCATGATTAAGTGGGCTTCATCCCTGGCATGCAAGGCTGGTTCAATATACGCAAATCAATAAATGTAATCCAGCATAGAAACAGAACCAAAGACAAAAACCACATGATTATCTCAATACATGCAGAAAAGGGCTTTGACAAAATTCAACAACCCTTCATGCTAAAAACTCTCAATAAATTAGGTATTGATGGGACATATCTCAAAATAATAAGAGCTATGTATGACAAACCCACAGCCAATATCATACTGAATGGGCAAAAACTGGAAGCATTCCCTTTGAAAACTGGCACAAGACAGGGATGCCCTCTCTCACCGCTCCTATTCAACATAGTGTTGGAAGTTCTGGCCAGGGCAATTAGGCAGGAGAAGGAAATAAAGGGTACTCAATTAGGAAAAGAGGAAGTCAAATTGTCCCTGTTTGCAGATGACATGATTGTATATCTAGAAAACCTCATTGTCTCAGCCCAAAATCTCCTTAAGCTATAAGCAACTTCAGCAAAGTCTCAGGATACAAAATCAATGTACAAAAATCACAAGCATTCTTATACACCAACAACAGACAAACAGAGAGCCAAATCATGAGTGAACTCCCATTCACAATTGCTTCAAAGAGAATAAAATACCTAGGAATCCAACTTACAAGGGATGGGAAGGACCTCTTCAAGGAGAACTACAAACCACTGCTCAATGAAATAAAAGAGGATACAAACAAATGGAAGAACATCCCATGCTCATGGGTAGGAAGGATCAATATCATGAAAATGGCCATACTGCCCAAGGTAATTTATAGATTCAATGCCATCCCCATCAAGCTACCAATGACTTTCTTCACAGAATTGGAAAAAACTACTTTCAAGTTCATATGGAACCAAAAAAGAGCCCGCATCGCCAAGTCAATCCTAAGCCAAAAGAACAAAGCTGGAGGCATCACGCTACCTGACTTCAAACTATACTACAAGGCTACAGTAGCCAAAACAGCATGGTACTGGTATCAAAACAGAGATATAGACCAATGGAACAGAACAGAGCCCTCAGAAATAACACCACATATCTACAACTATCTGATCTTTGATAAACCTGAGAAAAACAAGCAATGGGGAAAGGATTCCCTATTTAATAAATGGTGCTGGGAAAACTGGCTAGCCATATGTAGAAAGCTGAAACTGGATCCCTTCCTTACACCTTATACAAAAACTAATTCAAGATGGACTAAAGACTTAAACGTTAGACCTAAAACCATAAAAACCCTAGAAGAAAACCTAGGCATTACCATTCAGGACATAGGCATGGGCAAGGACTTCATGTCTAAAACACCAAAAGCAGTGGCAACAAAAGCCAAAATTGACAAATGGGATGTAATTAAACTCAAGAGCTTCTGCACAGCAAAAGAAACTACCATCAGAGTGAACAGGCAACCTACAAAATGGGAGAAAATTTTCACAACCTACTCATCTGACAAAGGGCTAATATCCAGAAACTACAATGAACTCAAACAAATTTACAAGAAAAAAACAAACAACCCCATCAAAAAGTGGGTGAAGGATATGAACAGACACTTCTCAAAAGAAGACATTTATGCAGCCAAAAGACACATGAAAAAATGCTCATCATCACTGGCCATCAGAGAAATGCAAATCAAAACCACAATGAGATACCACCTCACACCAGTTAGAATGGCAATCATTAAAAAGTCAGGAAACAACAGGTGCTGGACAGGATGTGCAGAAATAGGAACACTTTTACACTGTTGGTGGGACTGTAAACTAGTTCAACCCTTGTGGAAGTCAGTGTGGCGATTCCTCAGGGATCTAGAAGTAGAAATACCATTTGACCCAGCCATCCCATTACTGGGTATATACCCAAAGGACTATAAATCATGCTGCTATAAAGACACATGCACACGTATGTTTATTGCGGCACTATTCACGATAGCAAAGACTTGGAACCAACCCAAATGTCCAACAATGATAGACTGGATTAAGAAAATGTGGCACATATACACCATGGAATACTATGCAGCCATAAAAAATGAGAAGTTCATGTCCTTTGTAGGGACATGGATGAAATTGGAAATCATCATTCTCAGTAAACTATCGCAAGAACAAAAAACCAAACACCGCATATTCTCACTCATAGGTGGGAATTGAACAATGAGAACACATGGACACAGGAAGGGGAACATCACACTCTGGGGACTGTTGTGGGGTGGGGGGACGGGGGAGGGATAGCATTAGGAGATATACCTAATGCTAAATGATGAGTTAATGGGTGCAGCACACCAGCATGGCACATGTATACATATGTAACTAACCTGCACATTGTACACATGTACCCTAAAACTTAAAGTATAATAATAATAAAATTAAAAACAAAAACAAAAACAAAAAACAGATGCAGCCTCATAGAAACGAAACACTATTTTCACCTAAACGTATTAAAAATATGTTAAGCCATAAAAAAAAAGAAAGAAATAAGTTATTTGAAACAAATGAGAACAAAGACACAACGTTCTAGAATCTCTGGGACACATTTAAAACAAAGTGTAGAGGGGAATTTATAGCACTAAATGTCCACAAGAGAAAGCAAAAAAGATCTAAAATCCACACCCTAACACCACAATTAAAAGAACTAGAGAAGCAAGAGCAAACAAATTCAAAAGCTAGCAGAAGGCAAAAAATAACTAAGATCAGAGCAGAACTGAAGGAGGTAGAGACACAAAAAAAAAACCTTCAAAAAAATCAACGAATCCAGGAGCTGGTTTTTTGAAAAGATCAACAAAATATACCACTAGCAAGATTAATAAGGAAGAAAAGAGAGAAGAATCAAATAGACATAATAAAAAATGATAAAGGGGATATCACCACTAATCCCACAGAAATACAAACTACCATCAGAGAATACTATAAATACCTCTATGAAAGAAACTAGAAAATCTAGAAAAAATGGATAAATTCCTGGACACATACACCCTCCCAAGACTAAATCAGGAAGAAGTTGAATCTCTGAATAGACCAATAACAGGTTCTGAAATTGAGGCAATAATTAATAGCCTACCAACCAAAAAAAGTCCAGGACCAGATGGATTCACAGCCGAATTCTACAAGAGGCACAAAGAGGAGCTGGTACCATTCCTTCTGAAACTATTCCAATCAATAGAAAAAGAAGGAACCCTCTCTAACTTATTTTGAGGCCAACATCATCCCGATACCAAAGCCTGGCAGAGAAACAACAAAAAAAAAGAATTTTAGACCAATATCCCTGATGAATATTGATGTGAAAATCCTCAGTAAAATACTGGCAAGCCGAATCCCGCAGCACATCAAAAAGCTTATCCACCATGATCAAGTCGGCTTCATCTCTGGGATGCAAATCTTGTTTAACATAAGCAAATCAATAAATGTAATCCATCGCATAAACAGAACCAATGACAAAAACCACATGATTATCTCAATAGATGCAGAAAATACCTTCGACAAAATTCAACAGCTCTTCATACTAAAAACTCTCAATAAACTAGGTATTGATGGAATGTATCTCAAAATAATAAGAGCTATTTATGACAGACCCACAGCCAATATCATACTGAATGGGCAAAAACTGGAAGCATTCCCTTTGAAAACCGGCACAAGACAAGGATGCCCTCTCTCACCACTCCTATTCAACATATTAATGGAAGCTCTGGCCAGGGCAATCAGGCAAGAGAAAGAAATGATGCGTATTCAGGTAGGAAAAGAAGAAGTCAAATTGTCCCTGTTTGCAGATGACATGATTGTATATTTAGAAAATCCCATCGTCTCAGCCCCAAATCTCCTTAAGCTGATAAGGAACTTCAGCAAAGTCTCAGAATACAAAATCAATGTGCAAAAATCACAAGCATTCCTGTACACCAATAACAGACAGAGAACCAAATCATGAGTGAACTCGCATTCACGATTGCTACAAAGAGAATAAAATACCTAGGAATCCAACTTACAAGGGATGTGAAAGACCTCTTCAAGGAGAACTACAAACCACTCCTCAACAAAATAAAAGAGGACAAAAACAAATGGAAGAACATTCCATGCTCATGGATAGGAAGCCTCAATATCATGAAAATGGCCATACTGCCCAAGGTGATTTATAGATTCAATGCCATCCCCATCAAGCTACCAATGACTTTCTTCACAGAATTGGAAAAAACTACTCTAAAATGCATATGGAACCAAAAAAGAGGCTGCATTGCCAAGACAATCCTAAGCAAAAAGAACAAAGCTGGAGGCATCATGCTACCTGACTTCAAACTATACTACAAGGCTACATTTTAAAAAAACAGCATGGTACTGGTACCAAAACAGATATATAGACCAATGGAACAGAACAGAGGCCTCAGAAGTAACACCACATATCTACAACCATCTGATCTTTGACAAACCTGACAAAAACAAGCAGTGGGGAAAGGATTCCCTATTTAATAAATGGTGTTGAGAAAACTGGCTAGCCATATGCAGAAAGCTGAAACTGGATCCCTTCCTTATACCTTATAGAAAAATTAATTCAAGATGGATTAAAGACCTAAATGTAAGACCTAAAACCATAAAAACCCTAGAAGAAAACCTAAGCAATACCATTCAGGACATAGGCATGGTCAAAGACTTCATGACTGAAACACCAAAAGCAATGGCAACAAAAGCCAAAATAGACAAGTAAAATCTAATTAAACTAAAGACCTTCTGCACAGCAAAAGAAACTATCATCAGAGTGAACAGGAAACCTACAGAATGGGAGAAAATTTTTGCAGTCTACCCACTTGGCAAAGGGCTAATATCCAGAATCCACAAAGAACTTAAACAAATTTACAAGAAAAAATCAAACAACCCCATCAAAAAAGTGGGCAAAGGATATCAACAGACACATCTCAAAAGAAGACATTTATGCAGCCAACAGACACATGAAAAAATGCTCATCATCACAGGTCGTCAGAGAAATGCAAATCAAAACCACAATGAGATACCATCTCACACCAGTTAGAATGGCAATCATTAAAAAGTCAGGTAACAACAGATGCTGGAGAGGATGTGGAGAAATAGGAACTCTTTTACACTGTTGATGGGCGTGTAAATTAGTTCAACCATTGTGGAAGACAGTGTGGTGATTCCTCAAGGATCTAGAACTAGAAATACCATTTGACCCAGTAATCCCATTACTGGGTATATACCCAAAGGATTACAAATCATTTTACTATAAAGACACATGCACACGTATGTTTATTGCGGACTATTCACAATAGCAAAGACGACTTGGAACCAACCCAAATATCCATCAATGATAGGCTGGATTAAGAAAATGCGGCACATATACACCATGGAATACTATGCAGCCATAAAGAAGGATGAGTTCATGTCCTTTGCAGGGATATGGATGAAGCTGGAAATCATCATTCTCAGCAAACTATCACAAGGACAGAAAACCAAACACCACACGTTCTCAATCATAGGTGGGAATTGAACAACGAGAACACATGGACACAGGGTGGGGAATATCACACACCTGGGCCTGCCGGAGGGATGGAGGGCTGGGAGAGGGATGGCATTAGGAGAAATACCTAATGTAAATGACGAGTTGATGGGTGCAGCAAGCCAACATTGCACATGTATACCTATGTAACAAACCTGCACGTTGTGCACATGTACCCTAGAACTTAAAGTATAATAAAAAAATAAAAGTACAAAAAAAAGAAAAGAATGATTCAGACAAGAAAAGTTAAATATGCAGAATTAAATTTTACTTGGGGAAAACGTTTCTCTAAATTGTAAAGCTGCCATGCAGAGGATGATTGAAAATTTAAAAAAATAGGCCTGGCACGGTTGCTCACGCCTGTAATCCCAACATTTTGGGAGGCCGAGGCAGATCACTGGAGGTCAGGAGTTCGACACCAGCCTGACCAACATGGTGAAACTCCATCTCTACTAAAAATACAAAAATTATCTGGGCTTGGTGGCACACGCTTGTAATCCTAGCTACTTGGGAGGCTGAGGCAGGAGAATCGCTTCAACCTGGGAGGCAAAGGTCGCAGTGAGCTGAGATTGTGCCATTGCACTCCAGCCTTGGTGACAAAAGCAAAACTCCATCTCAAAAAAAAAAAAAAAAAAAAAAGAAAATTTAAAGAAACAGATCTCAAATAAAATCAAAACCTTTTGTAAATTTTATTACAAGCAAATAAATATTTTATGAAATCTTTGTTGTTCTAATATAGAGACCAAATGTTTAGTTTTAAATCAGCATGTACATTTACCAAAGCTTAATCTTTAAAAAGACAAATAATTTTTTAAATTATAGTCAAATTGATCACATGCAAAATTTTGTTTGCAAATTTATTTTTCACAAAATTTTTTATTACTTAGACATTTCACAGCATGCTTAGACCTTTTGTTGTGTCCTGTATTTTATTTTTCTTAAAATAACCAGTCATTTTAGTTGGGGACAAAAATTTATCATAGAAGATTTTTTTCATGCAAAAATTTTCAACCTTTTTTATTCTTTATCAAAAACAAATCTTTTTATGTATAGCTATTTAAACATCTCTCTCACTTATTTACTGTTTTTTTATTGTTTTTATTTTTTCCTAATTCCATAGTTTGCAACAACCTTTAGGGACTGCTGAATTTAGATACAACTATTTTTCAACAAAAAACATATATCTGTCTTTTTATAATGTTTTAAACAAAAACATTTTAGTTTTTGTTACATTTTGTATGCAGAATTATATATTAATTATAATTTTTAATTCTCAGTAATTCTAATTTTAGTAAAAACATAAGAACAAAGAAATTTGAATTGCTTATTACATGTCAATAATTTATATATCAGAACCACTTTATAACTTTAGAAACATGTTTATTATAACATACTTTTCATGTTAATTGACCCAAATATAGCCTTTTATAACATTTAAGAAGCCAAGGACACAGTTATATTTATGTTCAGTAATTTATATTTAACATTTTATTGATTTGAAAATGACCCAGACATTTAATGAGTATCTAACATTTAATTTAACATAAATTTAAGATATTTAATTACATAAAGTTATTTATAAACGTTTAAGAAATTTAATGTCTAATTTTTTATTTTTATTAACTATACCTAGATTACTTATAAAAACTGAGATATTAGACAAAATTAGTCATAATTTTAAGCACTTTGACAGCCTGTGAATATCAAGTGTTTTCCTAAGTAAGAAAGTTAAATATATGGGTATTTTGTCAATAACTCAGAAGACACAGTTGTTTTAACTAAACCAACAATATTAATATTATTACACAAAGATTATTCTGTTTTTAGGCTATGTTTATAGTTAAACCAGTTAAATCATTTATATCTAACAGAGACAAATATAAAACTGTCTGGCCATAAAAACCAGGCAAAAATGTATGCTGACAATTTTGAAGACATTTCTATTTGTATTTTATTATCAAATTTAAAACCAGATTATTATCAAAGATTTATTAAGTCGCAGGAACTAAAAGTCATTCTGCTTAACAGCTATTTATTTCATGAGTACTTATTTATCTAGGCCAATGTGAATAAAATTTCTTAAGGGATTTCTAACCAACTTTGCTAGATTTTACCTTGTAGACACAACTTAAAACGTGCATAAACACACACATAAATACACACACAAATAAAGATAGCTTTCATTATAGAATTTTAGTCATGAGACAGTATAACCTGGTAATACAACTTCACTAGTTTATACAAGGATGCTTGGATCCAAGTTAAATTTCTGACAAAATGAGACTTGTTCACATGACAACATTTTATTTGTTCCAATAGGTAATCTGATGAAAACTGTGGACCAAAATTTTGAATAAAGTATAGCAGTTTGAAATAAGCTCCTTTTACCCCTTTTTCCATTTTTAGTTTTTAAAAAGTTTAGAGTTAAATATTCAAATATTTACATTTTAGCTAAGATTGGCTGAATTGTAGAATAAAAAGAAAGTCTGCAAATAGCCTTGAATTTTTCAGTAACAAATTGCTATTTTGTTTGCAAGTTTGGTTTGCTTGACTAGTCAAAGCAGGTGGGGAAACATTTTAGAGATACCTTATATTACTGCTCAAGATATTGGGCTGAAGATTTTGACTTGTCTTTTGTGATAGTCCTTGTTAGGCATTTGTGTGTAAGAACACTCACTCCATGGCCTTCCCTGGCTCTATTTGTCAGAGTTTTTAACACCAGAGACTTCATTTTGATTCTAACAATTGTATAAAACAGTCCGTCAATAATTACATGGAGAAAAGGTATCTGTAAACATATCCAAACAGGACAAATACAAAGAAACATATATCTAGAAACATTTTGGTGAAAATGGAAACATTGAAGAAATATAATAGTTATCCCTTATCCAGAGCTTTACTTTCCACAGTTTCAGTTACCCACAGCCAAAAACAGTCTGAAAATATTAAATGGAGAATTCCAGAAATAATTCATAAGATTCCAACTGTGTACTCTTCTGAGTAGCATGATGAAATTCATATCATCTGCCTGTGTCTCACTCTGAACATGAATCATCCCTTTGTCCGGGGTAACTATACTGCATCACCCACCTACTAGTCAATTAGCAGCCATCTTGCTTATCAGACTGACTGTCGTTTTATCCCAGTGCTTGTGTTCAAGTAACCTCACTTGGCTCTACCTTATTTGGCAAGATTAGTGATGCTGGGCCGGGCAAGGCGGCTCAGGCCTGTAATCCCAGCACTTTGGGAGGCCGAGGTGGGCGGATCACGAGGTCAGGAGATCGAGACCATGGTGAAAACCCATCTCTACTAAAATTACACACACAAAAAAAAATTAGCCGGGCATGGTGGCAGGCGCCTGTAGTCCCAGCTACTTGGGAGGCTGAGGCAGGAGAATGGCGTGAACCCAGGAGGCAGAGCTTGCAGTGAGCCGAGATCACGCCACTGCACTCCAGCCTGGGCAACAGAGCGAGACTCTGTCTCAAAAAAAAAAAAAAAAAAAAAGATTAATGATGCTGGCATTTTAGACATGAAAAGAGAAGCTGTAAGTGCTTCCTTCAAGTGAAAAGTGAAAGTTCTTAACGTAAAGGAAAAAAATTGTATGTTGAGGGCTCTAACATGTCTGGTTAAGAAAGAATCTTTTATCTGTGGATTGTGAAGAAAGAAAAGTCATGCTATTTTTGCTCTCACATCTCAAACAAAAAACTACAACCACACTGCATGATAAGTGTTTAGTTATGGAAAAAGGAATTAAATTTGCAGGTGGAAGAAAAGATGATCAGAAGTGTGTTCTGATGGACAGCAACTGAGTGCTGTACTGTCTGCAGTTTAAGGCATTCACTTAGGGTCTTGGAACATATCCCCACCATGGATAACAAGGAACTACCGTAAAGAGGATCTTAAAATCATTACAAAAGACAGACCATCTATAAAGGCATAATAGGTAATTAATGATGGATTGATGATTGACAGATGACAGAATTTAGCCGAGTGTGGTGGTGAACCTACTATTGTCCCAGCTACTTGCGAGGCTGAGGCAGGAGAATCACTTGAACCCCAGAAGCAGAGGTTGCAGTGAGCCAAGATCACACCATTGGCGACACCCTGACTCAAAAAAAAAAAAAAAGGAATGTCAAGAGTAACAAAGGAAGCAAGAGGAGAGTGGAAAGCTCTTAAAGTGTTGAGAGAAAATACATATCCCAAGAATTGTGTATATAGCCAAACTCTATTTCTAGAACAAGAGTGAAGTAAAGGCATTTTCAGAAACCAAACCTTTGAAAGTTTATCATCTCAACTAAATGAACTTCAGAGGTACATCAGAAAAGAAAATTTAGTACAGGAAGACAGCTGGGACATAAGAAATACTGAACAAATAAAATAATAAATGGGCCAGGCACTGTGACTCACACCTGTAATCCCAGCACTTTGGGAGGCCAAGGCAGGGAGATCACTTCAGCCCAGGAGTTTTCAGACCAGCCTGGGCAACATGGAAAAATCCAATCTTTACAAAAAAACACTTTAAAAATTAGCCAGGCATGGTGGCGTGTGCCTATAGTCCCAGCTACTACGGAGGCTGAGGTGGGAGGGTCACCTGAGCCAAAGGAAGTCAAGGCTGCAGTGAGCCGTGAACATACCAGTGAACATACCAGTTCACTCCAGCCTGAGTGACAGAGTGGGACCCTGTCTCAGGTAAAATAAAATACATATATAAATATAAAACAAGTTGCTTGTATAAGTTAATAATAGTAATATCTAATTTTGGATGTTAAAAAAATAAGGGAACTAAAATACTGGATGGCTAGAGTACATATGTTGCAATACTGTTGTATTTGAGGCAACAGCCAGTTATTAAATGTAAGCATACATTTTTAAGTTAGATTCTACCTCGGGCTACAATTAAGACTTGGTTGAGGATGTCAATTAAATGAGATGTCCAAGAACACAATCTTTTGTTATAAAATATATTTATTTTCATTCAACAAGCTAAGTAATCAATCAATTAAGCAAACAAGCTATGACAGCTGATAGGGATGGGATGTCCTACCTTATGCTATTATTTGGTCATTCTGTTTCCTTAGGTTGTTGTTTATTCCCAGCTGACCCTTTGTTCGCAAGAATTCTCTATCCCATCCTGTGTTAGGCGGTCACAGTAACTTCACTTAACTATTTCCAGCAAGATCAGTGTACTCCAGAAAGAGGCAGAGACTATAATGTTGTTCTTGTCCAGGGAATGGCAGGCTAGGCATTACATGCCAACTAGAGATGGGAGCATATTTGATATGTCTTACATTCAATTTTTTTATTGTTGTTTTTGAGAGACTAGTTCTCACTATGTTGTCCAGGCTGGTCTTGAACCGTTGGCCTCAAGTGATTCTCCCACCTTGGCCTTCCAAAGTTTTGGGATTATAGGCACAGACCACTGCACCCAGTCTATCTTACATTCTATTGGTTCATATTTACATCAAACTTATTATCGCCTTTAGATTTAAAGTAAATATTTGTAGAACAGATGTTACATGTTTAGAAATTAAGTTTCTAACAGGTATTTATCAGTATCAACTTTTTTCGCAACTCTAGAGATTAACCAGTCAGAAAGATTCTACTAATGATGGAGGAAGATCCTATCAGAGCACTCACTCACTTATCAGGAAGCAACTTTAAAATTTAGACATAATACCAAAAGGCACTGAAGAAGGAATGAAAGCAGACAGGCTCAGATGAGGATACACCCTCCAGGCAGGGCAGTGGAGTGGTAAACATTAAGCACCTCTATTTTTTCATGACTTTTTAGCCTAGGGTTAATTAGTCTTTGAGGCCACCCAGCAATGTGGGAAGTAATTGTGAAAAATCCCACTGTGTTTCTACCTGAGGAACCAGAAAACTGGTTCGAGAAAAATACCACTGAAGTAGGAAAAAAAAAAAAAAAAAACCTGAAAGGGAAGAAGCCAGAGAAAAAACTCCATATCCACATCTCTAACTCCTGAACACATGATAATGGCTCCCTCCTCTCGAGTTTTCTTCAGCACAATCTCCAGCCCTTCAGCTTCTGTGCTCTAATCTCTGTCTTCTCAAGCTAACAAGGCCACCACACTCTGCTTGTGTTCCTTTCTGTGAGAGAGTAAGGGCTTAGGTCTGTCCTGGTCGGGCCACAGACATACCCACGTGTATGGTCTTGTAGATCCCCCGGTATATATCAGAGGTTTTGATAAGCCCCATATGGACATCTCATTCTCCAATTAGGTAGTTTTCTAATGCCTTCAAATTGATAAATGCACTTTATTTTGTACACCTGTGTCTTTGTTGTTTTTCAGAGTATTACTCTGAAATAACTGATTATACCATTTCCAGAAATAAAAACTCCACTCAAAATTTTCCTTTGATGTTTTCTGGCCAGTCTCTTATTTGCCCTAACTAGTATTGCCAGCTCAGTCGGCTAGGTGTTAAATAACTGCTGCTGTTTTTGTTTTGTTTTGTTTTTTGTTTGTTGGTTTTCACAAATGCCCTGGACATAGTATTAGCGGTGGAAGTTATCCGGGTTACCAGTGGCGAATACGTATGAGTCTGCAGCAACCTCAATTCTTGTCTTCTCAGAACAAAGATTTGACTGAGGGGCATAAGGCAGAAAAAGGACACCAACGCAAGTTTTAGAGCAGGAGAGGAAGTTTATCAAAAAGCTTTAGAGCAGGAATGAAAAAAAAAGAAAGGACACTTGGAAGAGGTCCAAGCAGGCATCTTGGAGGTCAAGTGCCCTGTTTGACCTTGAACCTAAGATTTTATACGGTGGCCCACTTCCAGTGTCTTTCACCGGCTTTCCCTTGATTTTTCCGTTAGGGTAAGCTGCCTGCGTGCACAGTTCCAGGCTTGCGCTTGGGAGGCGAGCATGCGCAGTGTGTCCTACTGTAACAGGACCTTTCCCACTGAACATGTTCTGAGTCAGTTCAATAAAGATAAACACTGTGAATTGGACTTTCCTTGTGAACTGACAGACGAGTCAAAAAGTAACAATTATCTGGAGATGAAGCTTTTGGGGAAGCACCAAATCCATTTTGACTCCATCAGTGGTTGCTAGACTGAAAGGATCTTTATCTCCATGGTTTTCAGAGCTACCATATAGTTGGGAGAGGGGACTGCAAATAAGGCAAATTAAAATCCCACAAAGCTTGCTCTTCTTACTTAGATTTAGTAACTTTTCTTGAATAAACATTCATCAGATTTTCACGAGCCTTTGGTTAATTTCCAGAGTTCTGAAGAAGTTGATTTTGATAATTTTTCCAGTGTTTTATGAAAAAAAAGATTTTCAGAGGTCCTTACGCTATCATTCCAGAAATGTTTCTTCTCCCATAGACTATTTTGCCCTTCATTCTTCCTTGCACCTCTGTCGTTTAAGATCACTTTCCTGCACCCTGAAGATTAATATCCTTTAATACTTCCTTTGGTGTGAATCTTCTGATGACAAAATCTTTTTTCAGATATTTTTGTCTAAACGTGGCTTTCATTTCACTCCCTTTTCAAAGAGTATATTTTCTTTATATTAAATTATGTACTTAATTTTTTTTCAGCAGTCTGAATATATCATTTCTGTCTTCTAGAGTTTATTGTAAGAAAGCAGCTACCTGTCTTATTTGGCTTCTGAGATACTCTGCCTTTTGTTCTCTGATTGCTTTTCAGATTTTCTCACGTTTGTTGTTCACTGCAGTTTATATTGTGCCTGGACGTGATTTTCTTTCTATTTATGCTTAGTGTTTGTAGTGCCTTTCAAATCTGTCTTTATCTCTGTCATTAGTTTTAAAGTGATTTTTTTTTTTTTTTTTTTTTTTTTTTTTTTTTTTTGAGACGGAGTCTCGCTCTGTCGCCCAGGCTGGAGTGCAGTAGTGCGATCTCGGCTCACTGCAAACTCCGCCTCCCGGGTTCACGCCATTCTCCTGCCTCAGCCTCCTGAGTAGCTGGGACTACAGGCGCCCGCCACCACGCCCGGCTAATTTTTTTGTATCTTCAGTAGAGACAGGGTTTCACCGTGTCAGCCAGGATGGTCTCGATCTCCTGACCTCGTGATCCACCTGCCTCGGCCTCCCAAAGTGCTGGGATTACAGGCATGAGCCGCCGTGCTGGCCAAAAGATTCTTAACAATTACTTCTTCAAGTGTTGTTTTTCATTTACTCTCGCCTCTATTCCTCTTTTGGTATTCCAATTAAATGTATGTTTGCCTTTTTTGTTAAATCCCATGCTTTTTATAACCTTTCCTGTATTTAAAAAAAAACGTATTGTGTATGTTTTTGTTTCAATCAGAACATTTATTCTCAACTGTCTTGTAATCCACTACTGCTCACTGCAGTTGTGTCTACTCTACAATGAAATCCATTCACTATGGTTTTAGTAACTGTAATTTTTAGTTCCTCAAGGTCCATTTGATTCTTTATTTTACAGTGATCTGATAAAGTTTTTGTCTGGCCATTTAGTTCTTTGAACCTATTTATCACACTTATTTTAAAGTTGACTTTTGATCTGGATCTCCAATGCATCTTTTTATAAATGACTGTCATTTTTAATTCAAAGTCATGCCTTCTCTTGCACTAGTGTTTGTTGTCTGTTTTGCTTGAATGTGTAGGGTTTGAAGAGACCATACTGGGGTCTGGATGATGTATCTTTGCCCACAGAGGATATAGTTTTCTTTAAATTTTTAATTTTAATTTTTGTGGCTACATAGTAGGTGTATATGTTTATGGGTTACATGAGATCTTTTGACACATGCATGCAATGTATAATAATGACATCAGGGTAAATGGGTTATCCATCACCTCAAGCATTTATCCTCTGTGTTACAAACAATCCAGTTATACACTTTTAATTATTTTAAAATATACAATTACATTATTTTTGACTACAGTCACCCCGTTGGGCTAGCAAATACTAGTTCTTATTTATTCTATTTTTTTTTATACACATTAACCCTCCCCACTTCACCAACCCCACCTTCCTTAATACCCTTCCCAACATCTGGTAACCATCCTTCTACTCTATCTCCATGAGTTCATTTTTTTTTTTTATATTTATCTCCCACAAATAAGTGAGAACATGTGAAGTTTTTCTTTCTGAGACTGGTTTATTTCATTTAGCATAATGACCTCCAGTTCCATCCATGTTGTTGTAAATGACAGGATCTCATTCTTTTTAAGTGGCCAAATAATACTCCATTATGTATATGTACCATATTTTCTTTATCCATTCATCTGTTGATGAACATTTAGGTGGATTCCAAATCTTGGCTATTGTGAATAATACTGCCATAAATATGAGAGTGCAGATAACTCTTCAATATATGATTTCTTTTATTTTGGGTTATGTGGGATTGCTGCATTGTATGGTAGCTCTATTTTTAGTTGTTTGAGGAATCTCCAAACTGTTTTCCATAGTAGTACTAATTTACATTCCTATCGTGTACAGGTTTCCCTTTTCTCCACATCCTCGTCAACTTTTGTTATTGTCTGATTTTTTGATACAAGCCATTTTAACTGAGGTGAGAAGACATCTCTCATTGTAGTTTTGAGTTGCACTTTAGCTGATGATTGATGATGTTGAGCACATTTTTATATTTATTATTTCCATGTCTTCTTTTGAGTGACGTCTATTCAAATCTTTTGCCCATTTTTTGATTGGATTTTTAGACTTTTTTTCCTAAAGAGTTATTTGAACTTCTTATGGATTCTGGCTATTAATCCCTTTTCAGAAGGGTAGTTTGCAAGTATTTTCTTACATTCTGTAGGCTGTCTCTTCACTTTGTTGATTGCATCTTTTGCTGTGCAGAAGATTTTTAACTTGACCTGATTGTATTTGTATATTTTTGCTTTGATTGCCTGTGCTTATGGGGTATTTCTCAAGAAGTTTTGCCCAAACCAATGTTTTGGAGAGTTTTCCTCATGTTTTCTTATAGAAATTACATAGTTTGAGATCTTAGATTTAAGTCTTTAATCCATTTTGATTTTTATACATGGTGACAGATAGAGGTCTAGTTTCATTCTTCTTCATATAGATACCCAGTTTTTTCAGCACCATTTATTGAAGAGACTTTCCCCAATGAATGTTCTTAGCACCTTTATCAAAAATGAGTTCACTGTAGATGTATAGATTTATCTCTGGGTTCTCTCTTATGTTCCATTGGTTTATGTGTCTGTTTTTATGCCAGTTCCATGCTGTTTGGTTACTATAGCTCCATAACATAATTTAAGTCAGGTAATGTGATTCCTCCAGTTTTGTTCTTTTTGCTCAGGATAGCTTGGGCTATTCTGGGTCTTTTGTGGCTCCATATAAATATCATGATTTTTTTCTTCTATTTCTGTGAAGAACATCATTGGTATTTTGATAGGGATTGCTTTAAGTCTGTAGATTCCTTTGGGTAATATGAACATTTAACAATATTGATTCTTCCAATCCATCAACATGAAGTATCTTTCCATTTTTTTGCATCCTCTTCAATTTCTTGCATAATGTTTTATAGTTTTCATTGTAGAAATCTTTCACTACTTTGGTTAATTCCCAGGTATTTTATTTTATTTGTAGCTATTGTAAATGAGATTATTTTCTTGAATTTTTTTTCAGATTGTTTGCTGCTGGCATATAGAAAAGCCACTGATTTTTCTATGGTGATTTTGTATCCTGCAATTTTACTGAATTTATCAGTTCTAATAGTTTTTTGGTGGAGTCTTCAGGATTTCCTAAATATAAGATCATATTATTTTCAAACAAGAATAGTTTGACTTCTTCCTTTCCAATTTTGATGTCCTTTATTTCATTCCCTTGTCTGATTGTTCTAGCTAGGACTTCCAGTACTATGTGTAATAACAGTGGTGAAAGTGGGCATCCTCATCTTGTTCCCAATCTTAGAGGACAGGTTTTTCAGTTTCACCCCATTCAATATGATAAGAGCTATGAGTCTGTCATATATGCCTTTTATTATGTTGAGGTATGTTCCTTCTATAGCCAGTTGTTTGAGAGTTTTTTTAAATCATGAAGAGATGTTGAAGTTTATCAAATGCTTTTTCCACATCAGTTGAAATGACCATATAGTTTTTGTTTTCTATTCTGTTGATATGATGTATCACATTAATTTATTTGCATGTGTTGAGCCATTCTTGCATCCCTTGGATAAATCCAACCTGGACATAATGAATTATCTATAATATGTTGTTAAATTTGGTTTGCTAGTATTTTATTGAGGATTTTTGCATCAATATTCATCAGTGATATTGGCCTATAGTTGTCTTTTTTGATGTTATTGTCTGGTTTTGATATCAGGGTTATTACTGACCTTGTAGAATAAGTTTGGAAGTATTCCCTCCTCCTGTATTTTTTTGGAATAGCTTGAGTAGGATTGATCGTTCTTTAAATGTTTTGAAGGATTCAGCAGGGAAGCCACTGAATCCCAGGCTTTTCTTTGCTGGGAGACTTTTTATTATGGCTTTTGTTTTTACTTGTTATTGGTCTCTTTAGATTTTGGATTTTCTCATGGTTCAATCTTGGTAGGTTGTATGTGTCTAGGAATTTGTCCATTTATTTTATGTTTTCCAATTTATTGGCATAAGTTACTCATAGTAGCCACTAATGATCCTTTAAATTTCTGTGCTATCAGTTGTAATGTCTCCTTGTATATCTCTGATTTTATTTATTTGAATCTTTTATTCTTAGTCTAGCTAAAGGTTTGCCAATTTTGTTGACCTTTTTAAAAACTTTTTTGTTTAATTGATCCTTTGTGTTTTTTTAATTTCAAATTTATTTCTGCTCTGATCTTTATTATTTTTCTTCTACTCATTTTGGGTTTGGTTTGCTGTTGCTTTTCTAGTTCTTCAAGATGGATCGTTAAGTTGTTTATTTCAAGTTTTTCTTCTTTTTCGATGTAGGCACATATGCTTCCTTCTTAATTTCTTCAATTTCCTTCTTAATTTTTTTCATTGACCCACTGTTCATTCAGAAGCATATTGCTTAATTTCCATGTATTTGTGTAGTTTCCAAAATTTCTGTTGTTATTAATTTCTAGTTCTATCCCATCATGGTCAGAGAAGATGCTTGATGTTATTTCTTTTTTTAATGCTTTCAGACTTGTTTTGTCTAAATTGTAAGAATTTATGAACACAAAGAAGAAAACAATAGACTCTGGGGTATACTTGAGAGGGGAGGGTGGAAGGAGGGAGAGGAACAGAAAAGAGAAATATTGGATCCTGAGCTTAATACCTGGGTGATGTAATAATATGTACAACCCCCATGACACATGTTTATCGATGTAACAAATCTTCACATGTACCTCCAAACCCAAAATACAAATTTTTTAAAAAAGATTTGTTTTGTGACCTAACCTATGGTCTATCCTTGAGAATAATATATGTGCCAAAGAGAAGAATGTGTATTCTGCAGCCATTGGATAAAATATTCTGTAAATATCTATTAGGTCCATTTGGCCTACAGTACAAATTAAATCTGATGCATTTTTGCTGATTTTCTGTTTGGATTCTCTGTTCAATATTGAGAGTGGAGTGTTGGTAAGTCTCCAGCTATTACTGTATTGGAGTCTATCGCTCTCTTTACCTCTACTCGCTTAATGTATCTGGGTGCTCCAGCATTAGGTACATATATATTTAAAATTGTGATATCCTCTTGCTGAATTGACCCGTTTTTCATTATACAGTGACAATCTTTGTCTCTCCTTATCGCTTTTGTCTTGAAATCTAATTGTCTGAGAGAAGTATAGTGACTCCTGCTCTTTTTTGGTTTGCATTGTCATGGAATATCTTTTTCCATTCTTTTATTTTCAGTATATGTGTATCTTTAGAGATGAAGTTTCTTGTAGGCAATGGATCATGGAATCTTTTTTTAAAAAAATACATTTAGCCACTTTTGATTGGAAACTTTATTTATATTCAATGTTATTATTGATAAGTAAGGACTTACTCCTTCCATGCTGTTATTTGTTTTCTGGTTGTTTTGTGGTCTTCCCTTCCTTTTCTTCCTTCCTGTCTTCCTTTTAGTGAAGGTGATTTTCTCTAGTAGTATAATTTAATTTCTTGTTTTTTTATGCGTGTGTATCCATTATGTTTTTTGATTTGAGATAACCGTGAAGCTTGCAAATATTAATACTATTTTATAACCTATTATCTTAAGCTGGTAACAACTTAACACTGTTAAGTTTATGTTATGTAACAACATAAACAAACAGGAAAAAGGAAAATAAAAACTCTACAACTGAATTTCGTCTCCCCACTTTTAAATTTTTTGTTGTTTCTAATTATATCTTATTGTACTATGTTTTGGAAATTGTTGTAGTTATTATTTTTGATTGATTCATCTTTTGGTCTTTCTACTTAAGAGTGGTTTACACACCACAGTTACAGTGTTATAATATTCTGTGTTTTTCTGTGTACTTGCTATTACCAGTGAATTTTATACTTTCACATGATTTCTTGTTGCTCATTAATGTCTTTTTCTTTCTGAAGTTCTCCCTTTAGCATTTCTTGTAGGATAGGCCTAGTGTGAATGAAATCCCTCAGCTTTTGTTTGTCTGTGAAAGTCTTTATTTCTCCTGCATGTTTACAGGATATTTTTGCTGGATGTATTACTCTAAGGTAAGAGAATTTTTCCTTCAGCACTTTACAAATATCATGCTACTGTCTCCTGAAAAGTCTGCTGGCAGATGTACTGAAGCTTCTTTAAATGTTATTTATTTCTTTTCTCTTGCTGCTTTTAGAATGCTTTCTTTTTCCCTGATCTTTCGAAGTTTGATTTATTAAATTCCTTGAAGTAGTCTTCTTCGGGTTAAATCAGCTTGATTTTCTATAACTTTCTTGTACTTGGATATTGATATATTCCTCTAGGTTTGAAAAGCTCTCTACTATCCCTTTGAATAAACTTTCTACCCTTATCTCTTTCTCTATCACCTCTTTAAGGCCAATAACTCTTAGATTTGCCCTTTTGGGGCTATTTCTAGATCCTGTAGGTGTGCTTCGTTGTTTTTCTTTTTTCTTTTGCTTCCTCTGTGTATTTTCAAATAGCTTCTCTTCAAGCTCACTTTCTTCTGCTTAATCAATTCGCTATTACAAGACTAATGCATTCTTCAGTATGCCAATTGTATTTCTCAACTCCAGTATTTCTGCTTGATTCCTTTTAATTATTTCAGTCTCTGTTGAATTTGATAGAATTCTGAATTCCTTCTCTGTGTGATCTTGAATTTCTTTAAGCTTCCTCAACACAGCTATTTTGAATTATCTGTCCAAAAGGTCACATATCTGTTTCTCCAGAATTGATCCCTGGTGCCTGATTTAGTTCATCTGGCAAGGTTGTTTTCCTGGACGGTCTTTACGGTTATGCATGCTCATCTGTGTCTGAGCATTGAAGAGTTAGGTATTTATTATAGTCTTCATAGTCTGGGCTTGTTGTTTACCCATTTTTCTTGTGAAGGCTTTCCAGACATTCAAAAGGACTTGGGTGTTGTGACCTAATTCATATCTGCATTAGGGGGCACCCCAAGCCCAGTAATGCTGTGGTTCTTGCAGACTTGTAGATGTAGCACTTTGGTGGTCTTGGAAAAGATCTGGTAGAATTCTCTGAATTACTAGACAGCGACTCTTGTCCTCTTATTTTCTCACAAAGAGTCTTTCTCCATTCTGAGCCACCTGGAGGTGAGGTGACACAAGCACCCCTGTCGCCACTACTATTGGGACTGCCCTGGGTTAGACCTGAAGGCAGCACAGCACTGTGTCTCATGCAAGGTCCACTGTAACCACGACCTGGCTACTGCCTATGTTCACTCAAGTCCCTGGGGCTCTACAAATCAGGTGATGGCAAAGCCAGCCAGGCATGTGTCCTTCCCTTTAGGGCAGTGAGCTCCCTAGGCCTCGGGCATGTCCAGAGGTGCCATCCAGAAGCCAGGGACTGGAGTCAAAAATCTGAGACATCTACCTGGAATTCTATTTTACTGCAGCTGAGCTGGCACTCAAACAATGAGATGCAGTTCTTCTCACTCTTCCCTATCTTTTCACGGGCAGGTCCAAACATTCTGTCCAAAAGCCAAGGCCTAAATCAGAGATCTCCAAGAGCCCATTTGGTGCACTACTCCCTTGTGGCCAAGCTGGTACCTGAAGCCACCAAGTCTCAGAGTCTCACCCAAGGCCCACAGCATACTACGTGGGTATTACTGCTGGTTATTCAGGGCCCAAGCATTCTTCAGTTAGTAGGTGATGAATCCTGCCAAGACTGGGCTCTTCCCTTCAAGGCAACAGACTCCCTTCTGATCTGTGTCTGGAAATGTCACCCAGGAGCTAGGGCCTGGAAATGAGGGTTCATGTCTCTAACTAGTGCCCTATCCTATTGTGGCTGAGCTGGTATCCAAGATGCAGGAGAAAGCTCTCCTTACTACAGCCCCACACCCTTCTCCTCAAGTGGAAGGAAGGGGTTTTTGGAGTCACAAGCTGTGCTGCCTGGGGTTTGGGGGGTGGTGGCACAAGCTCTCCCTTAGCCATCCTGGCTGGTGTCTCAGTAAGTTACATGCCCCCCTCCACCGCCAAGTCCAGTGGTTCTGAGGCCAGTTCAGCACCTGGATTCACCTAGACCAGACTGCCTTTCAAGTTAATTTAGGGCACCAGAGCACTTTAGCTTGTGGCAGCGAGTCTTGCCAGAACTCAAGTTCTGACCACCAGATGGGCAATTTCTCTCTGGCTAGGGCTGGTTTAAATATTTCCAACATAGGTGGGCATCAGCCAAGTTCAGCCTAGTTTCACTTTCTACTCAAAACAATTTACATCATTCCATTAAAAATCAACCCGTGGAGAGTACAGATCTTCAGATTCTTGACTACTGAAGTATCACAAGCATTAAATTAGCAAAACAATAGATTTCACACTGAAGTCACCTAATCTCTGGAGTACAGGGAGAGTCAAGGAGAATTATTTAAACTTACATAGCATCACATTTATTCAATATGTATTTACCAAACACTACTATATATAGGCATTTCGGTGATTACAAAACAAAAAACAAAAGAACCTACTAATTTGCGGGCCACACACTCAAAAGGCTTATGACCCAGCTGGGAAGACATTAAAAACATGGAATGTTTCATGGAATGTTGAGAGTCATCCTTGCATAGAGGCCACACTACTATCTGAGTTGTAACTATCTGAGCACATGTTGTATTGTGAAAGTAAACATATAAAGATTACTAAAATGTAAGGTAGAAAAATTAGAACTACTTACAACTCAACTAGAAATAGCCAAAATTCCAAAAAGGTGAATTATTTATGATGTAGAGAGTTTTTGAAAAGTGTAGCCAAAAATAGAAAATATTTTGAGTGTAAATAAGGTTACAATAATTATAATGACAGATCCTGGTTTGACTTCCAAGACAAGTACGGTTTTTTTTTTTTCATATGTCTAAGATATGAGAGTAAAAAAAGATCATGAGAAAATATTTCTGTAAACATTGTGGCCATCTTGTTCTTTTGACTAGGTAGTTTTGTATCATTCTAGAGAATAAAAGAATAAAACTGTCAGTACATATTTTCTAGTAAAAATGTGAATTGAAGAAACATATAAGGAATTAAGTTGTTTATAACAGTGTCATCTCATAATAAAACCAAAACACTTTTAAAATGCAAGTACATATACTTAAGTAAACACATTTGCACTTTCTTTTTCCACTTTATTAAATAAATAAAAAAAAATCCCTAAATACAGTATTATGACACCACCTACTGGGAATTTAGAAGACAGCAATCAAGTTATCTAAGTATAACTATCTTTTTTTCAACTGCAAGCAAAATATATCAATAAAGTGATCAAAAGAATGGCCAATATATACACACTGGTGACAGCATAGAGACATTTAACAAAATTATTAGTCAATTTTCATGTTAGGGAAGCCTCTAGCTTAACCATTTATCTTTGCTATTTTGAGTACTATTAGGTGAACTAGTTTGGATTAATAAAATTAATAGATATGTTTATTAAACAAAACACTCATTTACTAACCTATAATGAGAGACAGTTGCTTGCAAGATGAATTTCGTTCTGTTTTTGCATCGGTATACCTAAGAAACCTAATCACAGTAAATTATTTGGGTAAGTGTATGCAAGAGGTTCGTCCTCCACAAGCCGAGATTAGATCAATCAGCATCTGTGGACAGAATTAGGAAAGTTAGGATTGGGTAGAGAGAGAAGTACAACTATGATGATCAATGGCATGGTCAACCCAGTGAAGGACTCTAGGGCATACGTGGCCCTGCATTGGGCCAAAGTGGCTTGACCACTTATTCATGCATCCATGGGCCCAAGATGTGGGAGACCGCAGGAAAAGTAAGCCCTCTAGTGACCCTCTGCAGCTGAGGTAGACCCTGAAGGATGTGCCAGCAGGAAACGCTCCCTTGAACGGGGATCTGGGAGATTCCTCTCCCAAACCAACTCACCATGAAATTAGAGAGAGGCTCTAAAGATAATTTAGGCCCCATTTTTGGGATGATTAATTTGATAAACATGATTATATTTATCATGCTATTTCTGTCAATTCTTTTACACCATCCACATCTGAAATAATTTTTTTTTTTTTTGGTAAATTTCTACAAATGTTTATATTTACCTTTTGGTCACAGCTTATATATATCAAATAAAATAAAATATTATGTTCCTCAAAGCCAACACTTAACAATTAAACTCACAAAGGATTTAATTTTGTTACTGCCAGGTTCCTGGGATCACTACAAACCTGGAGCCATTTGAAAGTACTCATTTTGAGATGTTTCAGATAATCTATGCAATGTCAACTCTAGCCTCAAACACACATAACCAAATACTCAGCTTGTATGAATTGCTCCCTTCATCTAGAGTAAATTATAAAAAAACGCAAGTTGTTTTCTTGTCTTTTTTGGGGGAGAAAGTTTTCTCCCTTTTTCCTGATAATTTTGCCTTTTGCATGGGCCCTAGGCTCTTTTTTTTTTTTTCCCCTGCTTACTCACCAGAATTATGTTTCATGGCCTAACGATCCAATCTATACTGGGAGGACAAGTTGTTAAATTTTAAAATGTAAAATTGTGAAGAAAGTTATTTAGGATGAAAATTAAAATTACAAAAATATGACAAATACCAATAAATATCATTAAATCCAGTAGTCTCTGTAATTTTATTCATTTTGGGCCACACCCCTTCACATATTAATAATTTTGTAAAATTTCCTATGGGGAGACTGGAAAAGTAATTTATTCCTCCTTTTAGATCAGTTGGTCAAAATGATTTCAGGTTTCCTTGATTCTTGGCCACTAAGAATATTGTTTCCTTCCTTCTTAGTCTGAGGAATGCATGAAAACTGTTTCAATATTAATACTTTTTTCAATCCTGTGTCTTGTTAACGGGAGTGTTTTCCAGCTGTATGATGCATGCTTCTGGGAAAAGAAGTCCCCACTGAACTCTTGAAGCCACTCTGACGAGCCTTGGTCCCCATCATTCGGAAATAACCCTTGTCAAGATTGCCTACTCATCTATCCTCATTTTACTCTGAAGCACTTCACACAGGTGCCTACTTCTTATGCTTGGAAGAATTCTCCTGAGAGACACAGACTTTCCTACTTCATTCAATATTCGTCTCTATTTCCTTTGCAGATTTTCCCTCCAACATAGAACCTTTCAGTGCTCCTCAGAACTCGTCGTAGGCCCTTCTCTTCGTTATCATTTCATTACATGGTATCATGAATTTCCTTGGCTATAAATGCATCTCAGAGCTGATGATTTATATTTGTATTTAACTTTATATCTCCAAGGGACAATCCTACTCTAAATCCCAAGTGTATAACTTCAATTGCAAACTTACAGATTACAAAATCGAATATTAGAAGCAAGTATAGCCACTCCCAAATGTCCCTTTCAAACCATACATCTTTCCTCCCTCCTACAAGTAATGATTAATCTAACTTACATGGCAATCCTTCTGTCTTTTTCGTTTTACTATACATGAGTGCATTCTTGTATGTTTTGGGTTTACCTAAGGTTTTTTGGAACATTAAATAAATTACACTATATGTGCTTTTGTCTTATTTCATTCAATACTATTTCACTCCTGTTGATACATGCACCGTGGTTTGCTCTCTATTGCAGTACAGTATTCCATTATATGAATATAGTGCAATATGTGCTTACTGTTGATGGATATTTGTTTCCAGTTTTTGCTAATACAAACTACGCTTCCAGGAACATTTTGTACATGTAAAATGATACGCATGTATCTAGATATCTTTAGAAAAAATACTTAGGAATTGCTGAATATACTCATAACTTCAGATTTTTAAAGTAATCCAAAGTGGTTGGACTGAATTACACACACACCAGTATAATGAGTGTTCCCACTACTACAGATACATCTTCACCAACATTTGCTAGTGAGGATGGCTAAATGTTTTTTTTCAGTTTTACATGTGTTTGGTGTTATCTCCTTGTGGCCTTAACTTGCATTTTCCTGGCTGCTAATAAGACTGAACACCATTCCACGTTGATTAGTTTTTCGTTGTTTTTTTTTTTTTTTTTTTTTTTGGTAAAGTGCTTGTTCAAGCCTTTTTTGTTTTAATTATCAGGCATGTTTGTATTGATTTAAATGTATGTGTGGTAGGTTTTTTTTTTTTTTTAATCTGCTTTGTAGCTCCTCACATCTTCGAAACCTGCCAAACTCTTTCAAAAGTATTGCAGTTATTTAGCTGCATCCACTTGTATTTTATGGGTTATGAACATGCCTTGTCATCAGTTCTTTTGAACATGATGTCTATGGGTTTTTCTTTAGCCTATTTGCTCCATTTTTTATGAAACTATCTGGGGACACTTCAGAAAGCATGTCATAATTATTTTTCCCAAGCCCCAAGTCCATTGTTTTATGAAATTTTGTTATTAGTGCATTGTCATCTTGCCTTGCATGCTGCAAATATCTTCTCCCACTAACCTGCCATCTTTCCACCATCTTTGGGGAATCTTAATGGACAGAATATTTAATGTGGTTAAATTTGTCAAAAATTTCCACCATGTTTAATTTGTGTGTGTGTGTGTGTGTGTGTGTGTGTGTGTGTGTGTGTGTGTGTATGAAGAGACCCATTGTTATTCCAAGATTTAAAGATACTCTCCTATGGTATCTTCTATGAGAATTATAGATTTCTGAGATTTAACCATCATGGAACAGTTGGTATCTGAATAACTTTCCTGCCATTAATAATCAAAGTTGGGTAAAAATATATGAAGCAATTCTTTTCAGTGTCTGGACAATGGATAGCACAAGGCTGCAATACTTGAGAGCAGTAAAGCACACCCGGTAAACTTTCTTCCTGGAGACATTTTCAAACTATGCGGCAAGGGAAGTACAACCCACGCATAAAGCAGTTGTCTTAGAGGGTGGTATTTCCACACTGACGGAGATGCCTACCTTCCACACTGTCACCCTTAATTTTCCTGAGAAATTAGCTAATTGCCAAGAAATCATACGACTACCATGAAAAATGATTTCCATCCATTTTTAAGATGATCAATAATTCAGTCTTTGCTAGTCCAAATTCCAAGTTAATTCTATGTGTTATTCTTGAAGTGTGAGTACAGGGACAGATATAATCAGTATTTTATTTCCCTACAAGCCTCCAAAAGAAGGGCTAGGCAAAAAATTTAGCCATTTTTCACTTAAAATATTTATGCTAACATAAATGTTACATAGACATGTCACTTTTCAATTACATTTTTAATTTCTGAAGTGGTAAATATTAGCAGACATACCTGCCAACATAAAAGTTCTCTGAGGCCCTTACTAATTTGTGTGAAGAGGTTCTGAGATTTAAAAAATGAAAATATTCAATTAGAAAACATTTTTGTAAAGGGGGAGAAAAAAGGAGCACATTCATAAATACAAGAACATTAAAACACATTAAGATACCTGACTAAAGAAAAATAATCTAAAAACTTTACTGAGGGGCATATGAACCTAATAGGACAAACAATATTCTTTATGAATAAGAATATTAATATTGAAAAGGTGCCACAATTTATGTGACCCATGCAATGTCGTATGTATCTATGTATCCTGTATTATAATCAGAATACCAATAGAACCTGTATTTGAAGGAAGATTAAATAATTCTACAGTTTATCTGTAAAAGAGTATGGAATTATGAAAGAGATAAGGGTGTATGTGTTGGGAAGTAATACTTGACCTATTAGGTATGAAACCTTGTATTAGTTATAAAACAAATATTTTAAATATATAGTCAAACAAGAAGCAACAATAATTAAATCAGTGAAAGTAGCTGAACAGACAAAATAGAACTGAATAGTATTTGTAAATATCAAACATAAATATGATTATCTAGTGGAAGTTACATTTTAGATCAATGAGGAAGAGCAGGAATTATTTTATAAATGGTATTATGACAACCAGATAATACTGACAGAAAATGTTGACTATTTCACTACTTTAATGTAACTGTCAACTGCATTAAAGACTGATCTAAAAATGAAATCATAAAAATATCAGGAGAAACATGAGTATTTTTATAACCCTGACCAGAGAAAATTCTAAACATTATACCTAAGGCAGAAATAGTAGAGCACCACTACGTAAGCATGGTTATAATGCAATAATAAATAAACTAATTGTAAAAATATTTGCAACGTGTATAATAATGATTCCTAATATGAGCTACTGCCAAGTTACAGACATAAACACCCAAAAGAAAAAGTGTAAAGGATGTAAACAGGTAGTTAACTATACAAGAAATACAAATAGTCAATTAACATATTGGAATATGCTCTCACTAAAAATTTTGAAATGCGAAGAACACACTTTTGGCTATCAAACAAATTAAAGGTCAATAATATTCTGTTATTGAATGTATGAAAGAACAGTCTCATGTACTATTGGTGGCAGTGTAAACTGTAACATCTTTGGTGAAGGGCAGTTTGAAAAATGTAGCTCAAAATTTTAAATCTACATATTCAGTGACCCAGACAGAAATTATACCTTGAGAAATTTTAGTGGAAAGACAAAGTGCATAAAGTATATAGAGACATATGTAGCAGCCTATGCTCTATGTCCACAGGTAAATAGTAATGGAGCATTCTCCTTATAATCAAATACTATACAGCAGGAGAGAGGTAGATGAATACACACTTTCTTGGAAACATCTGCATTTATAAACTTTTTATGATATTGTGATGTGTGTACATGCATATGCACAGAAAGATGTCCACAGGCACGAACACAAAAATGTCAACAGTCCCTAAGTCTGGATTTATAGATGAATTTGGGTGAATTATTACTTTTGTCTTATTATCTAAGTTTTATTTTATATACATACCACCTGATAGATTGTGTGGCATGTGGTAGGCACTCAATAAATGAATGGATGGACATGAACACCTGACTATAATATGCAGATTCATCCACTGTCAATTTTAAAAGTTAAGCACTATATAGCAGCATTACAGTCTCGTTTAACAGAAAAGAGTAACAAGATTTCAATTCGAACTAGTACACTTATTCTTGAGGGCCCAGAATTTCTCTACAAATTCCTGAGTATCTGGCGTTTTAGGGACTAATACCTTTAGATAAAAATGAGTCTTTGAAGGAAACCAGTGTGCTGGTTCTTCATCTATTGTTTCTCAGCTCCAATTCCACCCTTCTGTCCTCTGCTCTGTGTGCTGAGGCCGGGACTCTGCAAACTACACTTCTCTGACCCCTCTGACTGCTGCTTATTAGGTTCTGCCAGTAGGAAGTACTACAGGGAAGTTGGCAGGAAGATGAAAAAAGATCTAGTTCATCTCTGATGGCTAGTCCTATCAGCTTTGTAATAACGGCAGCAAATTCCAGCCTTCAACTACTTCGAAACTTCTAGAACTGTCGTTACTTTACCCCTCAGAATTACCATGAGCAGGTAGGTGGTAAGCCTCCTCAGGGGTCTGAGCACTAATGCCATGATGACCCTTTTTGGAGCTTTAAGGCTCTGGCAGCCCCAATTTTTTCCCATTTGTTTTCTTACCCTTAGGACTAGTAGCTGCATCCTACAGTTGTGATCCCCGGGTTACTCTCTAATGCCTCTGTACTCACATCTCCTCTGTTGAAATATGTAGTGTCGGCTTTCCTGATTGGACACATGCTGGTAGTGGTGCTCTCTGCAGAGCAGACATAGTAAAGTCATCAATTGCAGGATCAAGATAGAGAGACATAAATGCTGAAGGCCAATCTATTAAGGTTAGCATTTGGGAGGTGTCTGAATGTTAAAAGGATGTTAATACAGAAAGACATCCACATCAGCAAAGGTCTGCTGGGGCAGCTCTGTCCAATGAAACTTCCTATGATAATCGAAATGTTCTAAAATGTTGTCCAATATAGTAGTCAACAGTAACATGTGGCTATGAGCATTTGAAATATAGCTAGTATTACTAATTAACAGAATGTTCAATTTTATTTAAATTTAAATGGCTAACGAAAACTGTATCAGTGCAGGTCTAGGGTGACTGGAGGGTCAGAAAACCTGCAAGACTGCACCTCTAAGTTGCTAGTTATTTTAACAGGTGCTAGGATTACAAAAACAAGAGATACAATCTCCTGTTAAGAGCTCAGTCCAGCAGTGGAAGACAGACATGTAAAACAAACCACTTTAAAAGATTATTCTGTCAACAGTGTGAAGATGAATTTCAGGGGCAAAATCAAAGACAGTGCTACTCAGGGACAAATCTAACAGTCAAACTAAGAGATGACGGACCTCATCAGCCATAGTACTAAGGAGTATTAAAAAATCTGACATGCTGACACTTGGTAATCAATGGGAGGTAAAAGTAGAATTGAGAATAATTCATTTTGGGATTATTACATCATTTCATCAAGGGAGTATGAGACAATCAGATTTGGGAAAAAGTGATGAATTCAGATGTGCCAAGTCGAAAGTGTCTGCGAAACATCCAGGTATATGTGATGAAAAGACAACTGCAAATATGTATTGGTTTAGAACTCACATGGGTATGATTAGAAAACAATGACCTGTGATTCATGGAGGCAGAATAAGAAGACAAACTAACAGACACAACCAGAAAAAGTGAAAAGCATGAGGAAGGGGCCAAGTACCAAACCTTGAGCACAACTTTAAGAAGTAGGGAGAAAAAAAAAAACACTAGGAATGCAGGTAGAGGATGGAAGCTAAAGATCCTCAAAACCAGAACAGGAGTAAACAATACTGACAAACTATAAAAAGGGCTCACAATTATTGAATACTTAATGTGGCAGACAGTTTCTAAACGTTTTATATCTGGAAACCCATTTAATCTTTTAAAAAATCCTCTAAGGTGTGTTATGTCATAATGCCCATTTTATAGATGAAGAATCTGAGGCACGGAAAAGTTAAATCACTCATTCAAGGTCAACACACAGCGAATAAACGGCAGAGCCAGAATCTGAATCCAGGTAGTTTGGTTCCAGAACCTGCACTGTTAACCATTCATAAGAGAAAAATCCAGTAGGGACTGAAAAATATTTTCATGCAGCTTTGGCTAGAGCACGTCAAAAGTGGGCATGGTCTATGGCTGAGGGAACATCAGCAATCTGAAGACCCCTGCCCTTTCATGTGACATACAGTACTGTAAAAAGCAAATTCCTCCACACTACTTTAGCTAGGCTCAATCACATAGTAGGGCCACAGGCAAATCTTAAATTAAAATTGGAAAAACAACTATCTAAACTCCAATTCTCACATTTGAAGCCCTGTAATACACATGAGAGATAACATCTGGACACTTTAAAGAAAAAAAAGTTCCTCATATGCTTTTGACGAACTAGGTTAGGAATATGGGTCTAGGTCAGGTGCAGTAGCTTGCACCTGTAATCGCAGGGGTATGGGAGGCGGAGGTGGCAGGATCACTTGAGTCCAGAAGTTTGAGACTAGCCTGGACAACATAGTGAGACCTCATCTCTACAAAAAATTAAAAAATTAGCCAAGCACAGTGGCTTGCACATATAGTCCCAGCTACTTCAGAGGCTGAAGTGGGAGGATTGTTTGAGCCAGAGAGTTGGAGGTTGCAATGAGAGGAGACTGCACCACTGCACTCCAGCCTGGGAAACAGAGCGAGACCCTGTTTCAAAAAACTAAAAATACACACAAAAACTCCACAAAATAAAAACAACAGAAGAATACTGGTCTAGCTCTACATTACTGAAAAAATAAGGAGCTGTTTGCTACAGGGCAAACATGTTGTATGAGATAGTCTCGGGGGAAAAAGTGAGCTTTCTGGATTACTGCTGGAGAAGAGCAAACACACTCCCAAAATAGTGGACACTTGTTGAAATTTGTAAGCTCATTTCATAGTATATTCTGATTCTATTTCTATTTTCTAAATAATATTGGGTTATCAATGTTTATCCCTTCATTACAAGCTGGTTAACAACTAATTTAGATAGGAGGCACAAAAGTTGAAAGGAGGATCATACCTAACATCTCCAGTTTTCTTCGTTAGGCAAAGAAAAGATCATCCAGCGTTACAGAAGCTGGCACTGAATAGGAGAGGCTGAGGATGGGAGTGAAGGTCTGAAATACCCACTGAGAACTGTACATGGAAGGAATAAGAATATCTGAAATCTTGGTGTGCATGTGTGCAGTTTCTCCAATCACGTTTCGTTTATTTTTATTCTATTATTATCACTGCTATGTTATTTCACTTTATTATATTTTAAGTCACTCCTACAAAGCTAATTAGAAAAAGAAGAAACTGAAGGTTGGAAAGTACAAGGGGAAGACAGGGGAAAGGATGTGTAAAATAGATGAAATTTAATTTTTGTAAAAACAATGACCGTCTCCCCCCTTCCACCACCACCCCCTAAAAAAACCACCACCCTTTAGGTGTATATGCTGCATAAGGTTATCCAAACATGGAAAAGTATGTGGCTACGGTGGTTAGTGGTCATTAACTCTAGGCTGGGAGTGGTATGGAAGACGAAAAAGGGACATGTGATCAGTAAGAATAAAAACACTAGCAAAACAGAAATATATTCATGGTATAATGTCAGGTGAAACTGATGAAATAAACATGAGTAAACATGGAAATAAAAGTTTGTTCAGTAAGAACACTGAGCTGATTAGATGAATGCATTATAAGCAATTTCTAACTCGGATTGCTATACTTTCAATATAGTTTTTAGAAAAAGTAAAATAAAGCTTACGTAAGAACGGAACTACAGATATTTGCACTGTATCTTGAGGCTAAAGAGAAGACATTAACAACCATATTCTTGTTTCTGGAAAGCAGGTATATAAACTGGGCTGTCACATACTATTTTTTTTACTAAATTGTCCCCCAGATTCATAAATTGAAGCCCTAACCCCCTAACATGACTGTGTTTGGAGACAGGGCCCTTAAAGAGATAATTAAGGTTAAGTGAGTTCATAAGGATGGGGCTCAAATCCAATGTGACTGGGGTCCTTATAAGAACTGGAAGAGAGGCCAGGGATGCAGCACACAGAAAAGGCTAGGTGAGGACACAGAGAAAAGGCTAGGTGAGGACACAGAGAGAAGGTGGTGGTCTGCAGGCCAAGGAGAGAGGCCTTAGGGGAAATCAAATCCACCAACAGCTTGATCTTAGACTTCCAGCTTCCAGAACCAGAAGAAAAATTTCTGTTGTTTAAGGCACCAAGCCTGTGTTATTTTGTTATGGCATATCTTAGCAGACTAATATATATATTTTGGATGAAGTTATCATGGGCACAACAAATGGTATTTAATGTTATTTACAATGTAAATTTTTAAAAATTCAAACAAGAGTATTCCCATTTACCATCCACCTCCACTTCCCCAAGCATCCACATTTTTATTCGCTGGGAGAATGACAGGACCCAGAGGCATAACTCGACAAGTTTAAATCATAAAATAAAGATGCTGAACTTTTGGAGAATCAGATACCTATCTTATTCTCAATTACATGTAATTGAGCAAAAAAAAAAAAAAAAAAATTAGATACTTCCTTGAAATCCCAAGTGAAGGAAACACAAAAAAGCTTCCAACAGAGCACAAGTGAATGAAAATTAAACAGCATCAATTTACAGTGCACAAATGCTACCAATAGTTTCATTTAGTGCAGTGGCTCTGAAACTAGTAAACATCAAAATTATCTGAAGGACTTGTTGTAACACAGGTTACGTGAAGAGTTTCTGAACTGGCAGCTCTGAGGTGGGACTCAAAAATTTTCAATTCTAACATGTTCCCAAGCTGCTGAAGCTGTCTACTGATCTGGAGAACACACACTGAGAACTACTAAAGTGTATGGTCATTGTTGTATCATAATGGATGTGAAACGTATTAGAGGGGTCCCTACATGTTCATTCATGCGTACTGGTCTCCTGAGATGTCTGAAGTTCTATCTATATGAATTCTACCCTGAATTATTTCAAAACGTAACTTTTTTGGGGTAGGAAGGAATAACATAGTAACCAAAATAAGAGTCATTTAAATCAAATGAAATCTGCTATGGACTACAGTTCTATGAGGTTCAAATTCCGAAGTTATTAGCTATAAGTTATATTTAACATGGTAAATTATATAAAGAAATTTCAAATACAACATACCAGCATCTCTGGGACACAGCTAAAGCAGTGTTAAGAGGGAAATTTATAGCACTAAATGACAATATCAAAAAGCTGGAAAGATCTCAACAACCTAATATCCCAACTAAAGTAACTAGAAAACCAAGGGCAAACAAACCCCAAAGCTTAGCAGAAAACAAGAAATAACCAATATCAGAGCTGAACTAAAGATAGAGACCCCCCCAAAAAAAAGCCCTTCAAAAAAAAATCAAAATCACACAATCCAGGAGCTAATTTTTTTTTTTTTTTGAGACAGAGTCTCGCTCTGTCACCCAGACTGGAGTGCAGTGGCACGATCCCAGCTCACTGCAAGCTCTGCCTCCCGAGTTCATGCCGTTCTCCCGCCTCAGCCTCCCGAGTAGCTGGGATTACAGGCACCCGCCACCATGCCCGGCTAATTTTTTTTTTTTTTTTTTTGTATTTTTAGTAGAGACAGGGCTTCACTGTGTTAGCCAGGATGATCTCAATCTCCTGACCTCGTGATCTACCCGCCTTGGCCTCCCAAAGTGCTGGGATTACAGGCGTGAGCCACTAGGAGACCACTAGACTAATGAAGAAAAGAGAGAAGATTCAAATAAACACAATCAGAAATAAGTGGGCTCTTACCACTAACCCCATAGAAAGACAAGTCAGATAATATTATGAACACCTCTATTCACATAAATTAGAAAATCTAGAAAAAAATCATACATTCCTGGACATATACACCCTCTCAAGGCTGAAACAGGAAGAAATTGAATCCCTGAACAGACCAATAATGAGTTCTGAAACTAAGGCAGTAGTAACAGCCTACCAACCAAGGAAAGTCCAAGACCAGGCAGATTCCCAGATGAATTCCACCAGAGGTACAAAGAAGGGTCAGTTGCTATCACTGCTCCTGAAACGATTTCAAAAGATTGAAAAGGAGGGACTCCTCCCTAACTCATTCTATGAGGGCAGCATCAGCCTGATACCAAAACCTAGCAGACATACAACGTCAACAACAACAACAAAAACTTCAGGCCAATATCCCTGATGAACACTGATGCAAAAATCCTAAACAAAATACTGGCAAACTGAATACAGTAGCACATCAAAAAGCTTATCCACCACGATCAAGTAGGCTTCATTCCTGGGATACAAGGTTGGTTCAACATACAAAAATCAATAAATGAGATTCATTGCATAAACAGAACTACAGACGAAAACCACATGATTACCTCAATAGATGTGGAAAAGGCCTCTGATAAAATTCAATATCACTTCATGTTAAAAATTCTCAATAAACTAGGTATTAAATGAACATACTGCAAAATAATAAAAGCCACCTATGACAAACCCTCAGCCAGCATCACATTGAATGGGCAAAAGCTGAAAGCACTTCCCTTGAAAACCTGTAAAAGACAAGGCTGTCTCTCTCACCACTCTTATTCCCCATAGTATTGGAAGCTCTGACAAGAGCAATCAGGCAAGAGAAATAAATAAAGGTATTCAAATAGGAAGACGGAAATCAAACTATCTTTGTCTGCAGATGACATGATCCTGTATCTAGAAAATCCCATCTCAGCCCAAAAGCTTCTTAAGCTGATAAGCAACTTCAACAAAATCTCAGGATACAAAATCAATGTGCACTAAGTGCTAGCATTCCCATACACCAAAAACAGGCAAGCCAAGAGTCAAATCACAAGTGAACTCCCATTCGCAACTGCCACAAAAAGAATACAATACCTAGGAATACAGCTAATAAGGGACGTGAAGGAGCTCTTCAAGAACTATAAACCACTGCTCAAGGAAATCAGAGAGGACACAAACAAATGGAAAATAAAATTCATGCTCATGGATAGGAAGAATCAATATTGTAGAAATATCCATACTGCCCAAAGCAATTTATAGATTCAGTGCTATTCCCATTAAACTACCAATAACATTATTCACAGAATTAGAAAAAACTTTTAAAATTCATATGGAACCAAACAAAACAAAACGAAACAAAAAACCAAACCTGAGTAGCCAAGGCAATCCTAAGCAAAATGAACAAAGCTGGAGGCATCACACTACCCAAATTCAAACTACAGTACAAGGCAACAGTAACCAAAACAGCATGGTGCTGTTACAAGAACAGACACATAGAGACCAATGGAACAGAATAGAGAACTCGGAAATAAGACCACACACCTACCTATAGCCATCTGATCTTCTACAAACCTGACAAAAACAAATAATGGGAAAAATATTTCTTATTTAATAAATGGTGCTAGGAGAACTGACTAGCCATATGCAGAAAACTGAAACTGGACACCTTCCTTACACCATATACAAAAATCAACTCAAGATGGATTAAAGACTTAAATTTAAAACTCAAAACTATAAAAACGCTAGAAGAAAACCTAGGCAATACCATTCAGGACATAGGAATGGGCAAAGATTGCATGACGAAGTGTCAAAAGCAATTGCAACAAAAGCAAAAACTGACACACGGGATCTGATTAAACTAAAGAACTTCTGCATGGCAAAACTAACAACAGAGTAAAAAAGACAACCTACAGAATGGGAGACAATTTTTACAATCTGTGCATATGACAAAGGTCTCATATGCAGCATCTATAAAGAACTTATGATATTGACAAGAAAAAAGAAAACCCATTAAAAAGTGGGCAAACGACATGAACAGACACTTCTCAAAAGAAGACATACATGAGGCCAACAAGTATATGAAAAAAAGCTCAGTATCACTGATCATTAGAGAAATGCAAATCAAAACCACAATGAGACACCACCTCACACCAGTCAGAATGGCTATTATTAAAAGTCATAAAAACAACAGATGGTAGCGAGGTTATGGAGAAAAAGGAACACTTTTACACTGTTGGTGGAAGTGTAAATTAGTTCAACCATTGTGAAAGACTGTGATGGTTCCTCAAAGACCTAAAGAGAGAAATACCATTTGAGCCAGCAAACCCGTAACTGGATATATGCTCAAAGGAATGCAAATTGTTCTCTTATAAAAACATGCACGTGTATGTTCACTGCAGCACTATTCACAATAGCAAAGGCATGGAATCTAACCTAAATGCCAGTCAGTGATAGACTGGATAAAGAAAACGTACATATACGCCATGGAATACTATGCAGTCATAAAAAGGAATGGGATCATGTCCTTTGCAGGGACACAGATGAAGCTGGAGATCATTATCCTGAACAAACTAACATAGGAACAGAAAACCAACTACTGCATGTTCTCATAAGCGGGAGCTAAACGATAAGAACATATTGGACTCAATGGTGGAAGGAACAACACACACTGGTGTCTGGCAGAGGGTGGGGGCTGGGAGGAGGAAGAGGATCAGTTAGAATAGCTAGTGGATGCTGGGGTTAATACCTGGGTGATGGGATGATTTGTGCAGCAAACCACCATGACACACATGTACCTCTGTAAGAAACCTGCATGTCCTGCACATGGACCCCTGAACTTAAAAGTTGGAAATTTAAAAAAAAAAAAAAAAAGAAATTTCAATGATCTAAACCTTACAATTAGATTAAAAACCAATATTAAAATAAGTTGTTTCTGTAGGTCTTGAAAAAGGTCACTTTTCTTTAAATAAGTTATTTCAAATTCATTACTAGGAATAAATAATCTGGTTTTTAAGTACATAGTAAATACAATTATAATACTTACCTTCAGCACAAGAGTGACATGATTCTCTGGATGTGACTTTGAAGGAATAATTTCCATATAGTGTTTGGGCACTTTGTATCTCAGCAGTCAATTATACACAAACACAAACAACTTTACCACTGTGGTAGAATGTCATAAAATATTAAGGATACTTTCTTTACAAAAGCTGTGATGACACATATGAAGTTTCTAAACTTTTAACAGGACTGGAAAACCAATGCAGAAATCTGCTCAGTAGACAACTTAAAATCTAAACCCAAACATATTTTGATAGATACAATATGCAAAATCTAACTTTACAACAGGAATAGTACTAATTCCTTGTCATTAACACCTTACTAGTACATTAATACCTTTACAAACAGCATCATATAATAGCATAATATTTCATCTTACTCCTCCATCCAGGATCTTTTGTGAGAGGCACTAATAAAGAACACTAGTTTTGGCGACGCTGTATCAAACATACACATAGTATAATGGTCTATTTTACTATGTTCACAAAACATCATTTATAAAGAAATTTTTATGAATTCAAAAATAGGTTGTTAGTAACATGATTACCTTTAAAGTATGGATTTTGATTTTCATTCACAATATTAATTCATTAATCTTAAACAGTAGTTTCATCTACAAAATGTTCTACAGCTTTTTCCTTTTTGAAAAGGAATAAAGGCAGTTAAGATACTCATAACTTCTAGTTAAACAACATCAATTTTGTTTCACAGTATTAATTAGTAGAGAACATTTTCAATTAAAGTGATATACAATTTACAAAAATAGAATGATTTATATATTGCAAAACATTGTCCTCCATTATGAAGAATATATATATACATGTGTGTATGTGTATATATGTGTATATATAAATATTTCTTTTAAATTTTACAATAGCCCTTATTCAAGTACTTTGGGATTCTCTTGAAATAATCACCTTGCTGTATATTGTAAATACATTTAAAAAGTAAGATTAATCTAAGAAAAGGATAAAAGTTTCAGTGTAGTTTGACTTAAAAAAAATCAACCACTTACTTGAGTAAAAACCTGACTGAATTCAAAACAGGTTCCGGTGCCATACTAAGTTCAAGAACTTTGTTAAAAATATAGATAAATTTAAGTGTCAAAGACTTAAACATTTTCCAATTTGCTAGCATTAGAGCAGAATTAAAAGATTGTATTAATCTATTAACTATCCAATCTTAATCCCCAGACAAAATTCATTTATCTAGTATTACTAATACACTAATATACAATATACCTGCTTACAAACACATAGGTAGCCATAAATAAAACTTTATTCTTTATTTCATTTACAAGCTACCAAATATTATGTATCGTACACAGTGCTGAACACTTAAATGGCTGTAGTCATGGAAGGATCCAGACTGAATGGAAAGCTGTTGAGAAAGAAAAGATAAAAGCAAAGTAATACTGCAACAGGAAGGTGGCAAAAGCATAGTTTTGCCATAATAAAATCAATTAGATTTGTGATTATACATCAGTTCCGGTTAAAATGTCTGAGCGCCATGCGATTTTCAGCTTTATTGTCTGCAGTCTGACTAAAGTCTGTATAGTCATTTTGTCTTTTGCAGTTATTAAAATAAAAAAAAGTTAAAAACTATAGCAGCAACAAGCAAACCCTGTGACAGGAAGGCAAGGGTTAAGAACTAAAAAGAGTTTATACAGTGTGTTCAGGGAAAGTGTGCAGTTTATCTTCCATCAGCAGGAGTTCGACTGAGGGACAACATGATTCGGGCAAATCGCTCACAGAGTTCATGCGTGGAATATGAAGGTAACTTCGGTGGCTCATGGAAACTTTTAATCTCCATAGAACAATCAAGCAGTTTTGGCAAAAAATCTGTCAGCTTTTCTTGGAGGTGTGCTGCAAATACAAACAATTAAATCTAACTAAAGATAGAAATTATTACACGATCATTGTCAACATGATTTACTAATATTAACTTACTCTAATAGGTAAGATAATTGCCATTTTGGGGAGACAAAAACATAAATGGCAACTGCAATGCACACAGCTTAGTTCATCAATATGGAAAAAGAGTAATCATGTGAATGTGAAAATATTAATACTTAATATTGTATTTAATATAAAAAATGGCAAGAATAAATAACATCTAATTCTAACTGCATTTAATCCGGACATCTCAGGTGCCTACTACCATTGTTTAAACTTACGTTCCATTTCTTGACCAAGGTAGGAACACCATCGATTTCTCATATCTTCTACAGCTAGTATATCCTTTTCTTCCATTTCATCCACCAGTAATAATGGCAAAAATGGGACAATAAACTCATTCATGATAATCAAACCATTGTTTACTTCTCGATCCTCTCCAGATTCGAAGAGTTCTGCGGCTTGCTCATTTAATTTCTTAATGCAATGCAGGAAAAAAAAAAGAATAGGTTTTTGTTTCCTTTTTAAATTAAGGATCTGTAAGTATTAATAAGGAAGACAACATAAATATGTTCACAAACAGTATTAGAACAAACGGTATTTAGAGAAAACAATCTCAACCTATCTAGAACTGAAAATCTCTCTTTAGAAAAAGCTATGCATATGGCAACAACAGAAACAAAAGCAACAGCGGTGGAGAAAACATTATTGTGTTTTTCAGTCATGTTTGGCTTATGCCGATCATCAACACAGGGGCCATTTTTTCTTCTCTAGAGATTAACTTCCCCAAATTATAAAATTGTATAAGCACTCAAAATAGTTTTAAAAATAAAGAAATTCAGAATCCATATTAATTTTTGAAAAACTCATCTCCATTAATGGCAACTGAATATATACTATTGTATTCCTTGATACAGAAATATAAAGGTAATCAATTCACTTTTCCCTTCAAAAACTTCCTACAGAGTCAACACCACGTGCCAGAAATTTCTGCAGATGCAGGGGCACTCAAGTGATTAATACAGAAAACTCTCATGGAGCTTACAATTTGGTACAAGGATTGGCAAACTTTTTCTGTGAAGGGCCAGACGAGGACTATTATAGGCTTTGAAGGCCATGAAGTTTCTGTTGCAACTATTCAACTCTGCCATTGTAGTACAAAGACAATAATACCCAATATATAAATGAATGTGCATGGCTATGTTTCAATAAAACTTATCTATAAAAACAAGTGGTAGGTGGAGCACAAGCCATAGTGTGCTGATCACTGATCTAGTAGAACAGAGAAATCCATGCAATAAGAAACATAAGAGATAAATACAGGTATAAGACCTATAATATTTAAGGGTTCTTATTTAAAATCTTATGTTTACAGCATGATAAACATGACTTTTAAGCTGAATTTCAAATAAAAAAAGTTATATATTTAGATTTACACCACATAATTCTTATGCAATTTATTTTGATTTTGGAAAGATGGTTGTGCTATTAAGTCCAACTTGGCCATGAATCAATTACCCAATTGATATGGTTAGGCTTTGTGTCTCCACCCAAATCTTATCTTGAATTGTAACCCCCAGGTGTTGAGGAAGAGACCTGGTGGGAGGTGATCAGATCATAGGGACAGTTTCCCCAGTGCTGTTCTTGTGACAGGGAGTGAGTCTCATGAGATCTGATGGTTTCATAAGCATCTGGCATTTCCTCTGCTTGCACTTCTCTCTCCTGCCACCATGTGATGAAGGTCCTTGCTTCCCCTTCACCTTCCGCCATCATTTTAAGTTTCCTGAGGCCTCCCCAACCATGTGGAACTGTGAGTCAGTTAAACCTCTTTCCTTTATAAATTACCCAGTCTTGTGTAGTATCTTTATAGCAGTGTGAGAACGGACTAATACACCAATCGTGAACAGATTAGCTAAATCTGTTAGCTTCACTTTCTTTATATTAATAATAGGGTATTTTATCTTCCAACCATAGGGGTTAAGAGAATAAAATGAGATAAATCTTCAAGTATTTACTACAATTTTTGGAAGTATGCATTAAATGATATATAAAATTTAATGACAAGTTTAATGTTAAGTTCACTGAATCAAAGAATGTCCTGGAAATCTCTTAAATAAAACATGTTCAAAGCCAACCTTGTTCCTCCTATTAGACTCCCTAATATTAAACGAAAAACTAGTAAGTTTGGCAGCTTTGACTCTTCCATTTCCTTCTTCCCACTCACCCAACAGCTATGACATGCCGATTTCATTTCCTTCACCATCATACCTACCGTACTACATGAGTTGAGGTCCTCACTCTCCGTCCCTTGACTTTCCCCTCTAAGGTTCTTGACTTCAATCTACTTCTTTCCTGTTCATCCTCTAGAATGCTATTATTATTACCAGAATTATTTTCTGAAAACAAACCTCATTATGCCAAACCTAATCAAACTTACACTGGTGCAAACTCATTTGAATGTCATCTAAGTTTCTTCATCATCTGACATCGACAAGTATTGTCAGCTTCATCACTTCCACCTTACCCCACTTCCTCATAACCTGGATAGCCACAGTGAATTTATCTTGATTTTCTGTTGTGTACTGGAATATTCTCCCTTCTCTATCATGAATAAAACTTCTATTTATCCATCAAGATCCAGACGAGGTTTACCTTGTCTCTTAAGGTTCTTCCCAAATATTTCAGGCATATCATTGTGCATATTTCTCATAATGGCACTTATTCCAGAACAAACAATTATGTCTCCTACCAGACTGAGTTTTCTGAGGACAGGAAGTACATCTTACTCATGTTTGTATCCCTCAGAACCTGACACTTTGTAAATATACAACGTGAAAAAATCTGAAAGGAACACTAAAGTAATCTTGACGAGGTTTCATTTCAATTCCTATGTAAAACAAATAACCAAATGTGGCTGGGTTACTACAAAAAATGATGAGAAACATTATACCATTTTTTGAAGGTTTCAGAGGAACCATCAGGTTTTGGTTCTATGTATGTTTAAAGTCAGCTATACTATTCTTGTACCTGAAAATTCAATTTTTTAAGTTAAACAAATTACTCTAATACATTCTATGTATATTCTTGTTTTTTTGAGACAGAGTCTTGCTCTGTCACCTGGTTGCCAGGATGGAATGCAGTGGCGCGATCTTGGCTCAAGGCAACCTCCACTTCCCAGGTTCATGCGATTCCCCTGCCTCAGCCTCCTGAGTAGTTGAGACTACAGGCGCACACCACCATATCCAGCTAATTTTTGTGTTTGTGTATTTTAGTCGAGATGGGGTTTCACCACGTTGGCCAGGATGGTCTCGATCTCCTGACTTTGTGATCCACCAGCCTCAGCCTTCCAAAGTGCTAGGATTACAGGCATGAGCTGCTGCGCCAGCCTGCATATTCTTATAGACTTACATAAAACATTTTTTAAGGCTTATCTATGCATCCCTTCCTCTCCCACCAAAAAAAGGAGTGGTAGTGTGATGACGAAATCTAAATACAGAAATGTAAACAAACTGATGCTATTTTAAGAACATTTCTCATTTATCACCTATAGTACTTGGGATTCATAAAGAGAAAAGAATAAAGTACTGAGTGTACTTTTCCATCTGAAGGGACTAGAACCAGTTTATAGACATCATCATGTTCTTATCCCCTCAGAGTTTATGGAGTCAATCACTTATATATGAGTCTGGAAAACTTGCCCAATGTCAGACAAAATGATAAGATCATACTATATGCATTCAACTTACTAGCAAACATTCTCTTCTATAATGTGATATCAATTCTTCATCATGTCCTCTGTATAAGCCTTTAGACAAGAGTTCTTTGTTATTCTGATAAGCACAGATGAGGAACAGCAAGGAATCTATATAACTTGAAAATTAAAAAGAAACATATAACATTAGTATTTCACCTTTGTAGAAACAAAGTCAGCTATAATTATGAAACATTTTAAGTATATGCTTAAGTTTTGATAATCTACATTATAATAAAAAATATCATCTGACGCAGTGTATGCTTGAGAGCGCCTTTTTAGCAACAGCAACATCTGAAACCCAGAGATAGTTATCTTAAAAGTAAAAAAAGAAGAGCTATAAATTAAGAAAAAATCTGGGAAAAGAGGCAATAACTGATAAAGTCAGATAGTTCTGTTTTCCTTGGTATTTATTTTCCTGATGTCTTCCATTTAAACTCAAAATTGGAGCTAATGTGAAAGCCAACAATCTAATTGTTTAACGCAATGTCACATTTATATGAAGTAAATGATCACAAACATCATTTGGTTTGTTCAATGACAACTTAGACAGGTTCTTTTCTATGTGCAGACAGTTTTAGTTACTGAGAAAAATGTAAAAAAAAAATAGAAATAAGAATATCTAAAGGAAATAGAGGAAGTGGACAATGAAAGATTTCTTCTAAATCTGGGAAACCTAGTGGAATAAAGCAAAAACAAAAAGCCTGCAAACATAAAAAAGCTGATAGAGGCCGGGTGCGGCGGCTCACACCTGTAATCCCAGCACTTTGGGAGGCTGAGGCAGACGGACCACCTGACGTAGGGAGTTCGAGACCAGCCTGACCAACATGGAGAAACCCCGCCTCTACTAAAAATACAAGATTAGCCGGGCATGGTGACACATGCCTGTAGTCCCAGCTACTCGGCAGGCTGAGGTAGCAGAATCCCGGGAGGTGGAGGGTGAGGTGAGCTGAGATCACGCCACTGCACTCCAGCCTGGGCAACAAGAGCAAAACTCCGTCTCAAAAAAAAAAGAAGTGATAGAATTAGGCATATGTGTTATATTAATGTAAGTCTAGATATTATGAAATTCAAATTAGGTTTTAAAAAGGGAAGAAAAGGGGCCAGGCACAGTCGCTCATGCCTGTAATCCCAATACTTTGGGAGGTGGTGGTGACAGGATCAGCTGAGGCCAGAAGTTCAAGACCTGCCTGGCCAACATAGTTGACACCCCCATCTCTACAAAAACATTAAAAAAAAAAAAATTAGCTGGGCATCGTGGTACATGCCTGTAGTACCAGCTACTCAGGAGGCTGAGGAGGAAGGACTTCTTGAGCTGAGAAGGTAAGAGGTTGTAGTGAGCCATGATCATACCACTGCATTCCAGCCTGCGCAACAGAGCAAGACCCCAACTCAAAAATACAAAACAAAACAAAAATGGAAGAAAAAAATATTTAATAAAGAATTACTTTTACCTCAAAACTATCCTTCTAACATGTCAAAATAAAAACTATATCTAGCCAAGTATTTGTATAACTGAAATAAAAAATATTATTTTAAAATATTTCCTTTGCGTCAGTTTTTCATTAATATATTTTTTCACAGATTAATATGGAAAAATATATTTTAAAAAATGAAATATTGTAAAGAAACACAATTTTAAACTCTAGACGCTCCTGCCAATAATTACTGTTTATTACTTAATTCATGTACTTAGATACAAAATAAATCCATTCCACATCCCAAATGTTAAATGTAAAATTATTTAAAAATTAATGTATACATTCATGGCAAATCAAATTACACACCTGAAGGTGTCATGATAAATAGGTCTATTTTATACATTTTTTGAAAACGGCTTTCTAGGAATTTGTTTTTGAGATTAAGTATAACATTTTATTTTGAAATGATATTAGGTTAATAAACATATTCTCAGTTAAAGATGTTATTTATGAAAAACGAAGGAAGTGATAATATTAAAAGTTGTTTTACAACATTAAGTTGTAGTAGTTCGTTAATTAATAAGTAACTAGCACATCTATCTTTTCCTTTATAGCTACTGAGTTTCCTGTTAAGAAGATCTCTCCTGAATGACACTGACATCTGGCTTTCTAGACCTGAGTCACCTCTTTGAGAATTGCTCTGAAACCATGACCTTGTTCCAATTCTCTACTGAGGTACGCAAAATGTTCCATATGTTATCAAACTTTAAAGTGCTTACGAATGTATATTCAAATAAATTTAGAATAAGATTTAGCAGTCCAATTACCATATTCTTATCTAAGATAAAATAAGATCATGTAGCCTGGTACACTCTATAAAATTATGGTTCTTGCAACCATGATTTCACTTCACTGTTCTCAGGACTCACAAGGGTCCATCAGTATTTCATTCAAGCCTTTAAATGTTTACATTTTCATTAAAAACAATTTTGACAGAATCTTTTGGCAATATTTTACAAACAGCTAGCTACAATAACTGCTATATTTAAAGATTTAAAGTAAAAAAAAAAAAAAAAAAAAAAAAAACAGTATTTCTTTCTTTTTTTTTTTGAGACAGTGTCTCGCTCTGTCGCCCAGGCTGGAGTGCAGTGGCGCGATCTTGGCTCACCACAACCTCCGCCTCCCGGGTTCAAGTGATTCTCCTGCCTCAGCCTCCTGAGTAGCTGGGATCACAGTCGCACACACACCAATATTTCTTTAAAAGATATTCCACAAGTAATATCTGTCACCATTATTGATTTTCTAGTTAATCCTTCTAATTTGGTAAGTATTTACTATACTAGAATATTAACTTTCTGAATAAGTATGTATTTGAAAACTGACAAGCAAATTGTAATATTTAAACATATTTCCAAGTTATATCTCAAATTCCTTTAATGTATGTTAACTGGGAACAACTAATACAGAAGCTATCCGGATAGGTACAAAGTGACAGTTTCATCTTTTTAATTCTTATTGAGATAAATGAATACATTTTGTACTTACATGATTTCATTAAATTATACAAGAATACGAGGTCTCTATTTTAATTTTTCTTCTCCTAGTTAGCTGTGTGACCTTGACAAAGTTACTACATCTCTGTGAAGTCTGATTTCTTTATCTGTAACACTGAAATGCCTTTTTATATCTCACTCTATTGAATTATACGATCACATTATTTTTCTCAAATCAGCACAAATATAAATTCTAATAGTACATTTGAATATTCCTATTAAAGAAATAAAATCTTGATTGACATAACTCATAAATTGGAGGTATTGATCAAAGTAAGTTTTCTACATCAATGACTAAAGTGAAATTATCTTATAAATAGCACAATGACTAGGACTTTAAATAATTTGTACTTAAGTACTTAAGACAAATTGTTAAGTAAAACATTAATTTTTCCTTTTGTGTGATAACTAAAAATTTTGATAACTATTAATATAAAAATGAAAGTACTGTCCTCTAGAATAGTACTGTCCAATAGAAATTTCTGTGATTATGGAAATGTTCTGTGCTGGCTAAAAATAGAGGCCACTAACCACATGAGGCTACTGAACTACTGAAACGTGGCCGGTGTAACCGATGAACTGAACTTTGGTTTTAAAAGTTTTAGTTATTTAAGTTTTGTCAGGTGGCCGCTATGTTGGACAGCATAGCTCCAGAATTAAACACTGATCTTTGTTTCTTTTTTTGAAAAAGAAGCATCATTACCTAAGTGGGAGCTTCTTAAATTTCATAAAACAAAAAAGAAAGGAAAAATTCAATATCCCTTTTACTTGGCTGCAATATACACTGCATTGAAAATAAAGCATTTTCTCAAAAAACAATCACTAGGGAAGTTAATGTTCAACAACACGCATTAAGAAATATGTGGAGAAATACATGCAAACTAGTAAATAACCTAAAATGTAAGTAAAGCAAAATGTATCCTTTCTTCTTAATAACAATTAAAATAATAGTATAATTAAATAAGTAGATATTCCTTTAAGACCATCCTTAATTTAAATGAAAATTAATCCAAAATTTGTTTAAAGTCACAGTACACAAAAATTTTCTACAGCTACACTTTTTACAGAACCTGAAAGTTCACAAAGACAGACTGCAAACACTATCTCTGACTTGATATCAAGATCAGACTCAGCTTCAAGGGTAGTGTTTGAGAGCTAATAAACACAGACACTAATGCCAACCTTACGGAGTTTTAAATGGAAAATATATTTTATGTGGGGTATATGGGAAGTCTCTATATCAACTGTGTAATTTTTCTGTAAATTTAAAACTGATCTAAAATAAAACATTTATTAAAAATACAGAGTATGAATAAAATCTTTTCCATGGATGAGGTCACACCTGAATAGAATTAAGTGCAAAAATTATGCTCTTTTCATATTTGTCCACTTTGCCTTACCTTTCTCTTTGAAAATTTTCTAGCCCAATTATGAGATACATAGTTGTTTCCCTGAATTTCCTATAATCCTGATGCCACTCCTGTAGGTGAAAGAAAATATTAAAAATGTTCAGAGTAAGATTTAAAAAGTACTATGAAACTGTACAAAAAGTAATGCACTGTTTCGCTACTATCTGAATTAATAGAAATAAAGAGTTCAAAATGAAGATACATCAGAACTAAAACAAGACTTTACTTTCTGGCACACAAGACTATTTATTAATACAACATTAAATCTAAAAATTATTAGGCATGGATATGAAATGTTTTAAACAATAAAGATTTTACTAGCAGATAACAGAAATATAAAGGCAGGATAATCAATCAGGTCATCTCAAAAATTCATCAGTATAAAATCATATTATTGAACTATTATTATATCTACATCAACTGATGGAAGAAAATGAAATATTACGCTGAGTATGAATCAAAGCTTGGACACATACTTAATACATAATTTTAAGAAACTAAAAAAAGTTAGATTTATTTAACCTTTTAACTTCGCAAATATGTGGTAAATTTGACTTTAAGTGTGTAGGCGAATAGTTTATTTACATGAGATATGGTAAAAGAATAACTGCAGTTCACATTTCAATGCCCCTCCCCACCCCCAAAACAACTATAGGGCATGTAATAGGACTAAATAATTCTAAGGTGATACCAAAGTCAAGATTTTCTTAGCTTACTTTATAATAATTGACTCAAGAAAAATAACTGAAATTCAATGTAGGATAAATTGGAAAGTGAATACTGATAACAAAAGTGTTAAGGCTTTTATATAAACATTATAAACAAAAATAAGAAACATAGTTATTAGCCAACGATATTCTCCTTGAATATAAACTTTTTTTTTTTTTTTTGGAGACAGGGTCTCACTCAGTTGCCCAGTCTGCAGTGCAGTGGCACGATCACGGCTAACTGCAGACTTGACCTTCTGGGCTCCAGCAATCCTCCTACCTCTGTCTCCCAAGTAGCTTGAATTACAGGTGCATGCTCCCAGTTCCAGTTAATTACTTAATCTGTTTTGTATAGACAGGGTCTTGCTATGTTGGCCAGGCCGGTCTCAAATTCCTGGCCTCAAACAACTCCCTGTGCCTTGATTTCCAAAAGTGCTGGGATTATAAGCATGAGCCACCACATCCAGTCTTAATTTTAATTTTCAAGACATAATTTTCATGCTATTAGTAGATCTTCATAACAAATAAAGGTAAAATTTGTCCTGCAAGTATGAAGTTAGCTTTTCTGGGGAAGGTATTCAAACTGTCATTCCTTGTTGTCATTAGAATCACCTTAGAAGTTGTGAGTAGGCAAACTTTTTCTGTAAAAGGCCAGATAATATTTTAGACTTTGCAAGCCTCATCTTCTTCAGTTACTCAACTCTGTAACTGCAGTGTGAAAGTATCCACAGACAATATGTATACAAATGGCCATGTTCCAATAAAAGTTTATTTACAAAAACAGGTGGTAAGCTGGTCTGCAGGCTATGGTTTACTGAACCCTGAACTTAGAGCAAGACAAAGATAGGAGGAATATGCAGAATCTAAAAACAAGTCATTTAAATACTTGTATGATTTAACAGCCCTGCAGTTAGAATATGAGAAGATTTTATGAAAAAAAACATAATGAGTCCAATCTGTTGAAGCAAACTGAAGGAAGCATTGCAGAATCAAGTCACAATTAAAAATCAAGTTCCATGAACACGAATCTTGGGGACAAGGGAAGAGCTCTCAATCAATGTGGAGGGCACAGATTTGGAGTCATTATTAGCTAAAAGATGACTTGACTTGCTCCTCAGGGTCAAGAGAAAACAAATTTTGAATTTCTCTGGCTCTAGATTACATATCCTGGTCAAAAATATCTGGTCAGTGAGTGCCTCTTATGGATAAATGAATGTCTTTGGGCTTCTACCTATGTTGACTTCTAAACAGCTTTACACAGGAGTCTTTCACAATTGAAATGAATTTTTGCATATGGAATAAAGAAGAAATCAAATTTTATTTATTTCCCAGAACCATTTATTAAAAAGTCTTTATACTGTTCACTAACTTGCTTGTCAGAGATGGGAGGTGGACTGGGATCTTTGCATTTCCGTAACATTTTTCAGTTGGCTTATCAAGCTCCATAAAACATCTTGCTGGAATTTTCATACAGCCTGCACTGAATTTATAAAGCATTTGGGGGAAAAGTGATATCTATATATTAATAATATCAAGTTTTCCAAATACCATATGTATGCCCATTTATTTAGGTCTTTGTTAATGTCTCCCAATAAGTTTTATAATTTTCCCCACAGAAGTCACACGCACCTTTTGTTAAATTTATTTCTATATACTCCATAGTTTCAGATACTATTGTAAATGGTCTCACTTTTATACTTTCTCATACTTTTTTTACTGGCAAAAGGGAATAAAATTGATGTCTGACACAAGTTTGCATGCTGCAAAGCTGTCTTACTAGTTCTAATACATCAGTTGTAGATTTTATTTGAATTTCAAGGTAAAAAAAACTACAAATAATGATGTCTTTGTTTCTTCTTTTCCAGTATTTTACTTTTCGCTTATTTTCATTGCCTTGCTTTTGACAACAAAAATTTTAAGCTTTCAGTGCTCACAATTCTATATATTTGCTGCAGTTTTATTATTTCCTATTTTTGTTTTTAGAGACACTCTTTAGTGAATTAAGGTAGTTACCTTATACGCCAAACTAGCTAAGGTTTTCATCAATAATGAGTGTTTTCTCTCTCTTTCCTCTTCCCTGTTTGTGTAGTGAATTACACTAATTATTTAGGGAATCTAAAGTACCATAATTAAGTTTGTAAATGGAACTAAATATTAAGCAAAGGCACCCAAGAAAACAACTTAAAATTTACTAGACTTATAAATTAAAAAAAAGACAATGCATAAGATTAAATTTAAAAATGTGAAGAAATACTAGGTGTATGAATTCATCAATTAAAATAAAGAATATTTTAAAGCCAAAGTTGACAAAAAATAATTTTGTGCACAAAAAAATCCCACAAGCACATGTACAAGTACCTATGTAAGTGCTCTCTCACACACAACACTGTCTCATGACAAACATATATGGCATATAGGGACTAAAATGAATTAACTTCCCCAAAATATATCTGATGAATCAAAGTGAAGGAAAAAATACAGCCCACAGGGTACAGTTGCACAGTGTAGTGCAACAGTTAAGAATGTAGGTTCTATTAGCCAAGCTGTAAACTTGTGGCTGTGAAAACCTTAGGCAGGTTACTTCACTGCTCTATGCCTTATTTTCTCGTGTGTCAAATGGGAATAAGAACACTACCTATCTTACAGTGTTACTGTCTGAATTAAATCAGTTAATATATGTAAAGGGCTTAGACAAATGCCTGGCATATAGTAGGGTCTTGATAAATATTACTTGTTGGTATTATGTAACAGCAATTTCTAAGTTGATTTCAAAATTAACAATGCATTTGTTATTCTGTTTTTAAGCTAGAAAAGTTCATTTAAAAAGTACTTGAGAATTAGTATTGAAATAAAAAACCAAAAATCTTCCTTTTTTGATTTTAAACTTTTTGGTCTACATGCTATCATATCATGTTAATCCTAAAATCACATATAAAATTATTAATTACTTGAGCATTGACTTGGAAACTTAATTTTTTTACTCATCATTCATAACAAATTCAACTTCAGTTGGGCTGAAACGAAAGGAATATCAGTGAATTACAGAATCCCTAAATCTGTAGTTTAACCTCTAAGAAAGCACATTACCTCATATTCCTCCAAGTTTACTTCTTCAGGTTTTATCATTTCCAGTTTGGCTTGAGCAACTTTCATTATGTTGTGACACCTTAAAAAAAAACACATACATATGAGCGTGTGTGTATGTGTGTGTATATATATATATATATATTTGTAAATCAAAAGCAAAATCCATAAACACTGAGCAAAAACAGCAGTACTTTTGTATAGAAACAACTCCTAAATAACCTTAAGTGAAAAACATTTTTGGGACCAATGTTGGGGAATTACAAAGAAGACAGGAGCAATAATTCTAATTCAAATTTACTGTGTTGTATTGATATATGGCTTTTAAATTACATTCTAATTAACACAGTTTGCATAGGAAAAAAATGAAACTTTTAAAAAATAATGTGCATCTATTAAGCAAGCTCAAGAGACACTGCATCTTCTTTTCCCCCCACATGGTATTATTTATTCTTAAATACTAAAGAGTCTAAAACGTGCCTATCATCTCAGGTAAAAATGGAAACATCCCACTGGATTTTATGATCAGAATCAGTGATAAAGAAATCCTCACGAAATGTATTTATTCACATGTGCATAACTCTGTCTTTCAAGCACAAGTCAGGTTATCAAAACAGATTAACTAGTTATAGTCAGAGAACTGCAAAAGACTGAAAAGTCAATGTGATTACTCCATTAATATCTTCTCCAAATTAAACAGCATAGATCCAATGGAACTCAGTACACTGATAGCACAGATAACGAGGGTCACAACAACCCTGTTTCTGAACTCTCTGCAGTCGCATGTATCAAAATAAATGATGTCCACACTGCTACTAATATAAACAGTAGTGGCCAACATTCACTGAGCATTCAACCACCTATCAGATATTGTTCACAACTATTTATTTGTATTATGCACAGAATCCTACATTTCACGGCACATATCTAATAAGGTAGGATCAATCCAGATGCTTTGCCTCCCCTCATATTCTTTGCTATACACTTTTAACTCAGTATTTTTGAGACACTCATAAAAGGATGATCATTTCAGAATTAAAATTACAATGAACTGCAACAGCATAAATGTTTTTATATATGAAAATAACTTTCAATACTCTAAAATTTCACATGGGCCCTGAAATTATTTTCTAGTGTCACTCATTCTAATTAAATTGTGATTTTTAACATTAGTAGTTTAATAGGACTTTCTGAATAATTCTTTATAAAACTACTAATATAATCTAGAGAAAACATTCTCTGGAAATATTCTATAGAATATTTTCTATATTCTACAGAAATTCTACAGAAATTTCTATAGAATATTTTCTCTTTCCAGAGAAAATATGTCTGCGTGAATCTAATTTAACCCTTCTAAGCCTCCTCTTTATGTCAAAGAATGTTTAATTATTTTATCTGCAAGACTGAAAACTTTTCTCCAGTGATTCTCTAATAAGGGTGACTTTGCTCCCCTAGGAGTTATTTGGCAATACCTGGAGATATTTTGGTATGCCACAACTTGGGAGCTGCTACTGTCATCTAACGAAGAGATGAGGGATATTATTAAATATCCTACAATCATAGGACAGCCCCAACAACAAAGATTTATCTAATTTAAACTGTCTATATAGTACAGAGGTTGAGAAGCCCATTTTTGTTTCTAAAATATTGAGTGTAATAAGTGCAGTGATTACTTGATTCACAATTAAAATTTATTAAAATGATCTAAGTTATTTTCAGTTCAAACTTCAAAAGGCCACAGACTCCAGCAACTAGTCACATTGAGTTCAAATTTTGTTACGTATTTATTAAAATATGTGCCCATGCATATATAAAATAAATACTCAAAAAATTATCCTGGGAATCTGCAGGAAAAAAAAAAAGAACGATTTGAGCATATGAATTTTATACTTTCAAATTACCTTTCATCAAAACTCAAATTTCTATCTCCAAATTGTTCTAGTAATGTTTTCTCAATAATTTTCTTTGGTGCCTGGTTCTGGATAAAGTAGACCACTACATGATGTAAACGATAATCGGTTTCTGGTGGGGTGTCTTCTTGGGCCAACTTAACCAACCTTGCATATTCCAACTTAATTGCCTGGAAAATGCAATGAAAATGATAATTTTGGTTAATTATTTGAACACCAAAAAATCCTTCAATATTATGAGTTTAATTCTTCTTGCATTTAAATCTTTTTTTTTTTTTTGGCTTTTAAAGTATCACAAACAAGGCAGTACAACTAAGAACACAGTCCCATGTTCCATAGACTCAAGGAATTTTCTGAATAACTGACCACAAAGGCCCTTCTTTTAAAAAAAAAAAAAAAAAAAAAAGAAGTCTCCCACTCTCCCCCAGGATGGATTGCAGTGGCGTGATCTCGGCTCACTGCAACCTCCACCTCTCAGGTTCAAGTGAATCTCCTGCCTCAGCCTCCCAAGTAGCTGGGATTACAGGCGCCCACCACCACGCCCAGCTAAATTTTTTGTATTTTTAGTAGAGATGGGGTTTCACTATGTTGGCCAGGCTGGTCTCAAACTCCTGACCTCATAATCCGCCCGCCTTGGCCTCCCAAAGTGCTGGGATTACAGGCGTGAGCCACGTGCCTGGCCACAAAGGCCCTTCTTTATCCCTTCACTATATAAACGTTCTTTTTGCTTCCACACATGAAAGCGGTAAAATATGTCTAAACTTACAATGTGAGTAATTCTGTAAAATTTATCAGAGCCTAGTCAAAGTCTATTCACAGACATCATAAGATGGAGATGGTAAGTTTTCCCGTTCTGTTTTACCTTTCTAAGCATCAGTTTGAACACTAAAATTCTAGAGTTGATATATAGCTCCCAACAATACTCAAATCTGAAAGAAAATTGTTCTTAAATGCATAGTCGTATTATTGCAATTAACTTTTAGCTGAATAGCCCACAAATAAGGAATGCAACATCAAGCCCCGGGGTTATAATTATCACAAAAAGAAGTATTTATTGCTCCAACAGTACGTACATTTTATTAATGTAAGAATAATAATGATAATATATTATCACTATTATTACCTTAAGGTTTAAACTTAGTTTTTCTTTATAAACAAAAATACCTCATAATATACAAATAATAATGGGAAATAACAAATACTAATGCATGTTTTAATATACAAGCAAAATCTAGAAAATATCTGACCATATAGAAATATGTATAGATTTACACATATTGTACATATTGCTATGTACAAGAGGACCATATGATTAAGATAAAGCTTTTTATATTCATTTATATTATACTTATATGTAAATTCTAGCTCTAATAAGCATAAACATTTTGGGCTTCAGGCAAGATTACAAAAAATCCATTCAATTAAAAAGTTTTTTTAATTTAAAAAATGCATGCCTTTCTTAAGTAATTCTTTGACGTCTAGATGTTATGATCTATATGGTTGTATTGTACAGATGGGAGAAAAAATAACTGATAAACATTAAATGAAATATTCTAGTTATGTAATATCATACTCATTAAAAAGGAAGGCTAATATGTTCTTTCTATGCAGCATAAGATTATAAATAGAATAAGAGAACAAATTATTTTAAAATACTTTTCCCTTGAAAAAACTGACTTTTTTTTTTTTGAGGATATACATGTCATTCCAAAGTCTTATGTGAATAAATAACAGCCATAAATATCAACTGTATTTTAATATTTAAGATTATCAACGCTTACTGTGTGCCTAGGTAGCACACATAAGCTTCTCTTAGAGCTCTTTAAAAATCTTCCTATTATCCAAATTCGGAAAAAAAAAAAAAAACGGGGAAGGGGGGAGACCAAACATAATAATCAAAGTAGGAAGAATTTGAGAATAAATCTAAAACATTAACAATTCAATTACTGTTCTTGTTGATATGAACCTTCGATAATGATTGTCACAGGCTACAGGTTGAGTATCCCTAATCTGAAATACCTGGGACCAGAAGTGTTTCCAATTTTAGATTTTTTTCAGATTTTGGAATGTTTGCATTATGCTGGTTGAGCATTCCGAATCCAAAAATCCAAAATCCATGATACTCCAATGAACATTTCCTTTGAGTATCATGTTGGCACTCAAAATGTTTTGGATTTTGCAATATTTCAGATTTTGAATTCTGGATTTGGGATACTCAACCTGTAATAGACTTTTAGAATATTCAAATATTTCGTATATCATACTTTAGTACAAAATAGCATGACCAAAATAAAACAAATTTGTACTGAGTCTCTTAAATTAATATTGCAGGTTTACATGCACGGAGTGATTCCACTAAATGGTCATCATTCCCCTACCTACTTTCAAAATAGAAGCTGTTTTAATAAATAGCAGATTTCTATTATAGAACTGAAATATATAACCTCTTATACTCTAAGATTATATGTTCACCTCTTGATTTTGCTGAATTTAAGACTCTCCTAATTTTCACAAGCAAATTGCCAAAGTCACAGTATTTTTCAGTATATAGGTGTTTAAACCAGCAGAGGTAGAAAGACACTTCTAAATTTCTAGGAGCTGTTTTTCAATCACACAAGAAAACATTTTTACCACCATAAATGCAATTCTTAACTATTTTTTATACACTTCCTTCTTAAGAAATTACCTTCTAAATTTCTAGAAGCTGTTTTTCAAACATACAAAAAAACATTTTCACTAGCATAAATGCATTCCTTAACTATTTTTTACACACTTCCTTAAGAAATTTTTGGCTTTTAAAATATACTGGAATCATATTTATTCAAATTCTCAACAGATGTTCCATGCTAGTATATTTAGCAGAGTTCTACACAATCTGCCATTATGAGTAAATTAACATTATATTTGTCTCATACTACCTCCTCAGAATCCTGTTCTAGAATTATATTTGCCCATATTTTTTGGCGGTCTATGCTAATTATTTTAAGTTAATTATCACAGACACTGCAATGAAATCACCACGCATGTGCAAAATGAAATGTGATACTAGTCATTAGATGACAGAACTGCTATTTAATTTTTTTAACTTTTTTAACTTTTTCACTAGACCTTTAATCAGGCTTAATGCCATTTATTCAATCTTATTTCCTATCATCCTGCAACAAGGATCTCCCTCCTATCTAGGTTAGGCTTGTCTCCTCACAAATGCACACATGCCTTTGTTTCTTAAGTTCTCCATATGTGTGATATCCTTTCTTGTTCATTCCCCATCTACCTACAGATGACCCATCAGCAAAATTAGTTTAAGTCATGCTTTTGAGACCTTGTTCAGTTCTAAAGATGCAAATAATTTCTACCTAGACTTTTTTCTACTTTTCTAAGTAATACTGTAAAACCATATTCTAAATTTATAACTTCTTATGGACTTAATTTTTTATGTAAACTCTCTCTCTCTCTCTCTCTATATATATATATATATATATATGAAGATACCAAATATATATATATGTGAGTATGTGGATACCAAAAATATAAACATTTATATTCTGGAGGCAGTTAAATCTAATGGGAAACTGATGAGATTAAAATTCAAAAAGCTAGATACATCATTTATAATTAATTGTGACATAGAATAAGGCACATAATCTTCTAAGTCTGATTGCTCTTATCTCTAAAATAAAGTTGGTTAAGAGAGTTTATGTGTATTTTAAAATGCTTATGGGCTATTTTTTAAAAACTGACAGTGCCAAGAAATGAAGAAAACTTACTTCAAATTCCAGAGGACTGAAATAATATTGGCCATATTCTTTGACCACACTGTAATACAAATAGGAATTATAAATAGAGATATCTTCCAACCTAAATACTTAGAAAATTTAAAATATGGCTCTAAATTATTCTTGAGCCAAAGAAATAAAAAACTATACTAATATGGGAATATCAGATATCAAAACCTATTGGGCTGTTAGTCAAAAAAATTTCCAGGCCAGGCACAGTGGCTCACACCTGTAATCCCAGCACTTTGGGAGGCCAAGGTGGGCAGATCACCTGAAGTCAGGAGTTCAAGACCAGCCTGGCCAACACAGTGAAACCCTGTCTCTACTAAAAAATAGGAAAAATTAGCCAGGCATGGTGATGGGCGCCTGTAATCCCAGCTACTCGGGAGGCTGAGGCAGGACAATTGCTTGAACCCAGGAGGCAGAGGTTGTGGTGAGCTGAGATCATGCCATTGCACTCCAGCCTGGGAAACAGTGTGAGACTCCGTCTCAAACAAACAAACAAAATTAGCTGGGTATGGTGGCGGGAGCCTGTAATCCCAGCTGCTTGGGAGCTGAGGCAGGAGAATCACTTGAACCCGGGAGGCAAAGGTTGCAGTGAGCCGATACTGTGCCATTGCATTCTAGCCTAGGCGACAGAGCGAGACGCCATCCAAAAAAAAAAAAAAAATATAGATATATATATATATATACATATATATATCCAATTTAAATATAGAAAAGATTTCAAGAATTTAGAAAAATAAAATATAAAGTAGGAGAAATAAAATATAATGTAACAATTTGATAGTCAAAGGCTTTTTCTTTCCAAAAAGTTGGATGGAAGACCAAAAAGGGGAAGAAAACTCATCGGTAGAAATAAGAAAGGTGATAATACAGAAAAAATGTTTTAAAATTTCTTGAAGAATAACACATATAACTTTGTTAATAGACTACAGTATCCCAACAGATAATAATCTAGAAAAATATAAACTACCAGAACTGCTTTCAGAGGCAGAAAAACTGAACAGACTCTGTAAAACTTAAAAGTTTGCCCTAGAAATCTGGTAACACGAAAGATATCAAGCCCACGATGTTTTCGAGCTGGGCTGTTATGTCAAATCTTCAAGGATCAGATAATTTCTGTGATATCTAAACTGCCACAGAGCCAGAAAAACAAGAGAAAGCGGCCGGGCGCAGTGGCTCACGCCTGTAATCCCAGCACTTTGGGAGGCCGAGATGGGCAGATCACGAGGTCAGAAGATTGAGACCACCCTGGCTAACACGGTGAAACCCCATTTCTACTAAAAATACAAAAAAAACTTAGCCAGGCGTGGTGGCGGGAGCCTGTAGTCCCAGCTACTCAGGAGGCTGAGGCAGGAGAATGGCGTGAACCCGGGAGGCGGAGCCTGCAGTGAGCCAAGATGGCACCACTGCACTCCAGCCTGGGCGACAGAGCGAGACCCCGTCTCAAAAAAAAAAACACAAAACAAAACAAGAGAAAGCCTCCTTAATGGTTATAAAAGGCTATATAATATAGATATATTATATATATATAATTTGTATATCCAAAATTGACAAATATAAAGAAAGAAACTATAGATCAATTTTGTCTATGTACCCAGATGCCAACACCCACACCCACTTTTGGTAAACAAACAGTGTGGTGTACAAAAAATATATGAGATAACAAAAAGTGTTTACAATAATTTTTTTAAACATAGATCAAAGTTAACACCTTTACAATTATTAAGAATTAAGGGTTTACAAGTATTAAGAAGGAGAAATCTATTCAGCATCTTAATAGGTATATTATAAAATTTCTAAATTTCAATACCAATCAGTTTAGCTGGAAACCCTTATCTACTAATTTGAGAGTATTTTAAAATTCATAAAGCGGAACCAAAACTACACATTATACATAATACTAAAACACTGGAGACATTAAAATCAGAAACTAGACAAAGGCACCTACTACCATTATTTCAATATTGAGAATATGTAATAAAAATTTCTGATCACCGCAATAAAACCAGAAATGAAATAAGAAATAAAGATATAGAAAATAATTTTTGGGAGACAGTTTACTGAAATAATCAAGAAAATAAAATGAAAAACCATTAGAAAACAAAGAGTTCAATAAAGTTAACTAAATACAACATAAACATGTAAAATTAATTATCCCGTTACCTACCCTTTCAATAACCTGGTTAAAAAAAAAATGGAAGTAAATGACCCTATTCATAAAGGCAAAAAAAATTATGTAGGAATAAATTAAACAAAAGGACATAAGACTATTATGAAATAAAATTATAAAACCTCACTAAAGAACACAACAGAAGACAATAAAAGTGAAAAGGCGTATCATGTTCCTTTTGGGCAAGACTCAAAATACTAAAAAAAAAATTATCTGCTTCATGTTAAATTAATACATAAATACAATTCTAAAAGGATTTGGAAAGGAAGTGGCAATTGATTTTAAAAATCATCAGAAGAAAAATGAGGCTTGCCAAACTTCCTGTTTATAAAAGAACAAAAATTACTAAGTGTTCTTCTAACAAAATGTGAAAGTGTATTACAAACGATCTACAATAAGATCACTGGTATTCAGTGTATTGTCCAAAAACAGAAAACTAGATCAGTGGAATACAGAGACCCAGTTAGAGCTACTTATAAGTAGGGATTTAGTATATCATTAAGTATAAATCCCTGATAAGGGATTTAGTATAGGTATGATTTAGTATATGTGTCAAGTCAGCGTGAAAAGGAGGCATTAGTCAGTATTTTATGTTTAGACTATCTGGATATTTTACTATTCAGAGAAAACTAAAATCTTCTATCCTGTAATCAAAACAAAAAGTATTATAAAACCATGAAAGCAGCAGAATTAAAATTTTGCATAATTTTATAAGTGATCACAGGACCAAATCTATAAAAAGAGTTGCTGTATTTTATAAGATCTAAAAAATTATGTATAGTAAGACACAAAAAATAAATTTAAAAGACAAATTATAAACCACAAAATATAATTTGCAAATTACAGATGAATCAATTGTCTTAGAAGATCAATGTTCACTTAACTAAAAGAAACTCAGTGTAATAAACGTATAAAGATGAATGACAGTCAACATAAATACCAATTGCCAAAATATTTATGAAAAAAACTGACCCTCACAAAGATCAAAGAAATACATTTTGAAATATGAGATTACATTTTTAATGTCTTTTTTTAGGCAAATATCAATAGTAGAATAAATCAATATAACTACATGTAGGCAATTTGATAATACTAGTATTTAAAATTTGCAAGCACTTTGACTTGTCAACTCTGCTATGTTCACGCAAGTGTTCAATAATATATGCACAAAAATGTTCACGATATTGAAAATAACTCAAATATTCAGCAACAACAATGCTGATAAATTTAATAAGAATAGGTAACAACTTAGGTGTTCTTTATGTGACAGACACTGCCTGAAGAGTTCCACGTGAATTATCTCATTTAATTCTCAAGATAACTTCTCATATAAGTGAATAAACTGGTTCTGATAATTTAATAAATTGCCTGAGGTCACAATTATTAAATGATAATGTTAGGATTTAAACCTAGGACTATGGAGACCTTGCTGGTAACAGCTAGTAGGAGACAGTTTCCTAAATTAGAGTATGAGTAAGTTATCAGTGTGCTGACATACTGCTCCCATCAGCCTCTATGGTGGGTGGAAATGTATTAACTTTCTTCAAATTTGTTGTAACATGAATACCCTATTCTAGGAGAATATTTAAATAAATTTTGATAAACCCTAGGAAACAAAGGAAAAATACTGAGATAAATCTACAAATCCTGATATGAATAATTACATATACATGAAAAATAAACTCAAGAAAAAGAAGCAAATAGAGTATACTTCTGGCCGGGTGCGGTGGCTCACGCCTGTACTCCCAGCACTTTGGGAGGCCGAGGCAGGCGGATCACGAGGTCAGGAGATCGAGACCATCCTGGCTAACACGGTGAAACCCTGTCTCTACTAAAAATACAAAAAATTAGCCGGGCGTGGTAGCGGGCACCTGTAGTCCCAGCTACTTGGGAGGCTGAGGCAGGAGAATGGCGTGAACCCGGGAGGCGGAGCTTGCAGTGAGCCGAGACTGCGCCACTGCACTCCAGCCTGGGCGACAGAGCGAGACTCCGTCTCAAAAAAAAAAAGAAAAAAAAAGAAAGAGTATACTCCTACTTTTATTTAAATTATAAATACAGGATGAATGCCTGAATGTAAGCCAGTCTCATCTATCTCTCTAGGATATACAAGAAACAATGAATAGATGCTCACTGTGGAGTGAGAATTAGGAAGTGAGAGAAAAACATTTACATTCTACATTTTGGATTATGTATTACTAGTTTACAAGTCACTTTTTCTAAGAAGCCCTCTAGGTACTAGCTCTGTTTTCTTATTTTATGTTCTTTTTCCACATTACACTGGTTCTTTATCATACTAATAACTCTAATTAATGTTTCTTTCCCTAGCAGAAAATGAGGTTCATTAAGGTAGGAACTCAGTCCATCATTATCCCAGCTACATCCCTGGATTTAGGACAATGCCCTGCATATAAACAGGCAATACCTTTTTAGCATGTCCATCAACAGAAGGATAGAAAAAAATTATAGTCATACAACAAAATACCATGAGAGGGAAGAAATGACAACTGTATAACATGGATGAAGCTCCAAACACACTGTTGAGTAAAAGCAGTCAGACAAAAAAGGACCTAGAGTAAAAGATGCCAAGTGTATAAAGGCCAACAAGAAAACTAACGTATGTTGTTAGAAGTCCAGATAATGGCTACTTTTGGGTACGGACAGACTGTAGTGATGGGAAGGCGGAAAAAAGGTACTTCTGGAGTACTCCTGTTCTACCTCTTGGCCTAGTTGGTGGTCACATGGGTAAACACACACTGTGATAACCCAGAGTTGGAAGTACAAGTCTGAGAGCCTAAAGGCAGGATGTGTAACTGACTTGAAAGATGTGGCACTTAAAACTCAGGCTACAAATGTACACAACCAAGAGGAAAAGAGTCTTCTTTGGCTAAGCATGGAAATGTTGGACCGCTGTCTTGAATTTAACAAGATGCATGGAGAAGTATATTTTTTGCATTAACGATTTAGGCCTGCGTATACCTTTAGGGAACAAGATTTCATTAATACCATGTTGATAAATAATTCTTCCTCTTCACATTCCTTAAAGGCCATGTAAATAAGGAAAGTATCACTCAAAAAAAAATTCACCGAGTTGTACTTTTCAACATGTTTTATATTCTAATAAACATTTTTATATCTATTGAATAAACAAGGTGATTAAGAGACATTTCAAAAGCAAAAAAGGGTGATAAAGTTACGGCAAGTAGGGACACCATTATTATGAAGCAATGAAACAACTATTAAGAAAAAATTTTTATAATACAAAAGTATTACTTCAATAAAACCCTAAGGGTACTTTGATACCGACAAAATTTTTACAAAAAAAGAAATTTTAATGTCTTTTAAAATAAATGAAAAAACTTACACTAATCCCATAATTGTAATTATAATATGACCCTCCCACCTCTACACATATATACAAGCAACGAGTACTTTGAAAATATTTTGTTTTTATCTTCTGGCTTTTATTTTTGCTTATCATAGTAACTTTGTATTGCTTTCCTCTGAATTTCATTTTTACACAACAGAATCTTCTCTCCGTAAGCCACTATTATTTGGGGATTTTCTATAGTAGAAACTAGTTTTAACCATTAAAGTCAATTTGAAGAAGGACTCAAGTTAGTGTAGTGTAGCCCATTGCATTTTTTTTTCCAGATCAACTTTGCCTATTAACTTTTTCATACTGCATTCTTATTGGGTAGACGTTCACGTGGGATGATGGCCTGTGGTTGAAAGAGTTCCTATGACTGGGTTGGTAACTTCCTAATTCGGAGGTTAAACTTTAGCAAGTCCACTTACTCAGACCTAAGTTTCTTATAACAAGGCTGACAGTGGCATCACTATTCTTATCACTAGCAAACATTCAGAGTATTAAAAAGTTGGTCTAATCATAATACATAAGGAAATCCATATTCAGAAGTACCTAAACAGGCACAGAGTTAAAAAGCTTTCTTTCATAGCCAAAAAGCTAATGTAAAATAGACCCGACCAAGATTTTTTCAGGACGTGGCAGGACAGAAGAGATATTAAAAAAAAACAAAAACACGGCCGGGCGTGGTGGCTCACATCTGTAATCCCAGCACTTTGGGAGGCCGAAGAGGGCAGATCACAAGGTCAGGAGTTTGAGGCCAGCCTGGCCAATATGGTGAAACCCCGTCTCTACTAAAAATACAAAAATTACCTGGGTGTGGTGGCGGGCCCCTGTAGTCTCAGCTACTCAGGAGGCTGAGGCAGGAGAACTGCTCGAACCTGGGAGGCAGAGGTTGCAGTGAGCCAAGATCGCACCACTGCACTCCAGCCTGGGCGACAGAGTGAGACTTTGCCTCAAACAAAACAAAACAAAACAAAACAAACAACTTTTCCCTCAATTTATAATACACTAAGCACAAAAAAGAACAAAAATTTAAAAATACTATATCTAATTGAGGGGAAACAGGAAGACAGAAGCAGCAACCATATGTTAGATTCTATGGTGTGTACATATTTTATGAATTAATACTGAATGATGATGATGATTAGAATCAATCAAAAAAAGGAAGAATATTTAAACATGCCAATAACTATGGAATGAACCAAAAAAATGTGTTAAAAGATCTACCCCGCAAGAAGGCGCTAGGCTCGTATGATCTTACGAGTGAGTTCTAACTAACAGAACAGATCATTCCAACGCTAACACGGTTAAGTATTAAAAAAAACAGGAAAGCTCTCAAATTCATTTACCAAAGCTAACATAACCCTAATTGCAAACTTGATGAAGACAGCACAAAATAGAAAAACACCAAATTCATTTAATACAGAACGCAGAAAGCCCAAATAAAATGCTAATGAGTTAAACAGTAAGCATTTGAATTTAAAAAATAAAAATTTACTAAGAAAAGTATTTTAAGTAAGTAGTGGGAAAATTTATATAACTTTGGGTAAGAGTAGATCTTTTAATATGGCAAAAAAAATCCATAAAGTAGGAAAACGAACATACTATTTTAAAACCTGTTTAAGAAAAAGTACTCTAAACTAATTCAAATAGAAATGGTAGACTGGGAGAAAATATAGGACACATGTCCATAAAGAGGGTAAGATACAAGAAATGAGAATATATCTATAGCATGGAATACTGTGTGGGTGTACATGTGTGCATGTGTGTGTACATGTATGTGTACACGTGTGCGTGTACATGTGTGTACCTGTGTGTACACATGTGTACACATGTGTATGTGTGTATACAGACAGCTAGTAAAGATAATGTGATACTGTCTAAACTTTAAGCCCACAATAGATTTCTGAGTGATATAAGTTACAAAATATTATGAACAGTAAAATCTACATTAAAAAAATTTTAAGTCTCTGTATATGTGCATTGTTATAAACAAAAAGAAAAAAACAAGATACACAGTGCTAAGAATGGTTACAATAGGGCCATGGCAGTGGCAGAGACTGTCATTGTTAGTTTTATTTTAGACACCTCTATATTACTGAATACAACTGCATTTTGTATACATTACTTTCATTTTTTATACGAAAAAATTTTTAAGGTGACATATTATCAGCTAGAGTTGTGTCCAAATGCTTCTACCTTTACCAAAAACATGCATTAATTAGAAACAACTTGATGTATGTTTACATAAAGGGGTTACACTCATGTATTACTCAATCACAGATAGGTGCAAATGTACACAAACTTCAGAAATTTTATAAACATATACACACACTAAAGACATAAAAAGGTAGAAAGAGGGTTTTATGATAGTAATTATTAGGTTAAGCCAAACAAAACTGCTAATTTTGTTACTCCAAAATGGTACTGACAATTTCTAACAAATGAGTTAAAAAAATTCTATTAGCAAATAAAGGTCCTTGACACAGATATGGCACATTCATTTTTCTCATTTTTCATCTCCGACTATATGTGGACCAGAACTGGACACATAAGATAAGCTTCGTGATAATACTAACAACAATAACAGCTAAATTCTGAGCATTTACTATCAACCAGATACTACTTTAAAAGCGTAACATTGATACAATTTATTTAAAGCTCACAATGACTCAATAAAATAAATAGTTATTTAACACCTCGGGAAACTGAGATACAAAGATTGAATAATTTGCCCAAAATCAAAGCTAGAAAGCAGTCGGCCCAGGCAGTCTGGCTGCTAATATCAACATATAAACTACTTCCTTCCTAATGTACATTCCCACTATTCTTGTAAGTGTTTTTCCAGCAGAAAAAAAAAAGCAAGAAAGGGAGTATGATGATAGTAAGGAGAATGGTTAGTGAAATAGAAATTCTGTAGTAATTATTTTTAACATCTGACAAAGAGCACAGTTTCCTTATGCTATGAGTAAAACGTCAAATTCGACTCAATCTCCAAAGCAACTTGAAAACTTTTACCTCAGATTCACTGAAGTTTATTAACCACAGTATTTATTTAGATTATGTGCTGAGAGTTGCAATATAACATAACTTATTTAAGAAAATGCTCTGTCCCTCTTCCACAAACTTGATTCTTGCCCATGCTTTCTTGCTGTACTATCAAAATCATAGAGCAAACCAATAAAGAAAAATATATGAAATATGGAAAATACACAAAGGAAAGGATGCAAAGGGAATCCCCAGAATGATGGTGAAAGGAGATCTCAAGTTACTAGTTATGGATCAGGAGAAAAGAAAAACCAATACAGATTGGGGCAGGTCATAAAGCTCCAGAATAGATGTCCCAAGAAGATAAAACTGGTAAAGGCAGAATGAGAGGAGATTTAAACAAGCAGTGGACAGCTTTGAACTAAATCAGTAATACACATAAACTAAGCAAACCAAAAAACAAAACAACTAAGTTTAAGGAAAACAAAAGTTAAGGGAAAAACAGAAAGTAGTAATATTTATAATATAACTCAATCACATATAGCATACATAATAATATTACAAATGCAGAATTCTGATATAATCAAAATTACAAGATTTTACGTGTGTGTGTGTGTGTGTGTGTGTATGGGGGATAGGAGCTGTGTCTCTCAGTGTATGTATGCGACGCAGGAAAAGAAAGAGAGCTCATCATTCATATTCCACAGAAGCAAATTCAACAGGTAATGTGTAAACTGTGAATAAAAAACCCAAATATTCTATTTAAAGATATGAATTAATGCCAAACAGATTAAATAACTGAAAGTCATTATCCACTGGGGGCTTACTAACTGTTGTAATATATACAATTAGGTGATTATTTATATGCAGATATTAACTTAATAAAAATGAGATTTGCAATTCAACATAAGAAGACCCAATCTGGTCAGAAATGACAATGGCACTGTAAATCATAAATAACTTTTCCACAAGAAATAAATACTTTAGAGGACATATATTCAGTGTTTTTTTTTTAAGAAAAGAAAATGTAGACTATCTGGGCATAAGAAGGAATTTCTAATGGTAAAAATTAGGAAGCCAGTTAGAAACCTAGAAACTATAAAGAAATGTATTAAAACAGAAAACTATAAAAAATACATTTTTCTTCTTTTTTTAGAAGTAGATTTTCAACCTTTCTTATGGGATCATAATAGGGTGATCAACTTGTCCTGGGACCAGTTTGCTTAGAACTTTCCCAGTTTAGCACTTTAAATCCTGTAGTCCAGGAAATCCCTCAGTCCCGGGCATATCAGGAGAGTTAGTCACCCTAATCTTAGCAAACTCAAAAATGCTTATTGATAGGTCTACTACTATGTACAAGGCTTTTGTTTTGTACTGTATACTGAAAGAAACAGTGAAAAAAGAACCAGTTTTTGAAAGACCAAGTTGGATAATGGCAAAATACAGAAAATGAAAAATGTTAGATTTTTAATGTCAAAAAGAAAGAAATGCATAGTTCACTGTAGCAAACTGGACCTCAAAAAAGCTGCTTTTTAAAACCACTAAGAAGGGTTTGAAAAGAGTGAAAAAAAAAAAAACTTGAAGATTTTCAGTTAATGTAAATAAAATGACAAAACATACATGGTATTTTCATCTTTCAAATCTGTAAAAGGAAAAAATTGTAATCAAAACATTGTAAAGCTCTGATATTAGAGGGAAAAAGATGTGGGTAAATCATGGAATCGTGTTCAGCTTGATGTTCTCACATGTCTTGAACTGACTAGGTTATCAAAAATTAATTATGGGGAAACATAACAAAAATAATATAATAAATAAATCATTTTATAAACGAAAAAGCAATTTAGTACCTAATGATAATAAAATTAAAGAATATTATGATATTGACCAATAATATGAACAATGAAGATAAAATAAACTATTACCAGGGCAATTTACTCAGTTCTTATTATTGTTCATTAATGTCCTCATTCCCTTCAAATAAAAAATACAATTCAAATTTCTGCTGACAAATCAAAAGCACACTATTAGAGTGACTCAAATAAAAAGATTTTTTTCTTGAATTACCTGGATTAAGAGAAAAACAATCAGTATTAGGTTAATTAATACATAAAATAAAACCCTAGGATATCCGGTGGCCATAACTAAGATAGGAAAAGAGAAATTATACAGAAAACCAAACTGAATTCAAAGAAATAAAATATTTTAAGAAGTTTAATTTTGAAAAAGAAAAGACACGAAAATGAAAATGTTCATTGTACCTTAAAGAACCCTGCTTCAGGGCCACACCTGTCATATACACTCCTGGATTTACCTATCGCCATGATAATACCTTGCATGTTCGGTGTCATCATGATCTGCCACAGAAGATAGTTAACATTAAAAAAAGGTTTTTAAACTAAAATAATTTATTCACATGCAAGCTGAAACTCTTTTGTTTTCCATATTTATAAATCAAATGTTGCACTTTTAATACCAAATTTAATCCAATATGCATGTAAGCACCTTTTAAGATCATCCATACAGGGCACAGCTGGCTCATACGGAGCCTTTGTGCAAACTGCAAAAAGGCATCCTCTCTGAATTGGAGAATTTGAAAAAGGCACCCTGCTTCTAGACAAACAAATTAGAAAAATGTGCTATCCTCTGAGTGAACTATTTAGAAAAAGCAACATCCCTTTTTACCAATTAAAAAAGGTACCTCTTCCTCAAGCCTCAGAGAGCTCATCATGAACTCAATTTGCTTCCCACTTCTGCCCCTTGTCTAGTCATCCTTGCAGAACTGTACAACCTGCACATCCCTGAACAGCAGCCCTGTATCCATAACAACTCATTTTTAAAAGTTCCAATGCACATGCACTGTTAAACTGTCACTGCAATAAATTTTAAAAAACGACAAAACACACAACTCTGTCACATAAGCACTTGCAAAAAAGATAGTGTTAAATGATTAATCACAATTCAACTTTTTTAAATGAGAGAGGGCACATCCTAAAACAAGTACTTAACTGCTTAATCAATAAATTGATAGGTTTATTAAAAACATGCCAGTTCCCATAATTTTCAAGAGCCAGCATGTTTATAAAATAGTTAACTAGAACAATGTAGAGCCATTAAGTACAAATACTTAAGCATTTTTTTTGTTTTCATAATAGCTTATTATTTTTAGCTGTTTACATTTTAAAATATCTGCAAAGTGAAATTACTCAAAGCCCTATGAAGCTATCTTACAGAAATCAAGAGATTGCCTCCGTCACCTCTGATTCACTGAACCTATTACTCATTGTATTTACTTTGGATTATATACTGAGAATTGCAATATATCTAACACCTGCTTGAGAAAACTCTCTGACCAGTTTATCTCACAAATCTGCTTATTCTCTTTATGGCGTGTGATTTCTTACACTGGTACAGTGATATGTCTTTATGACACTTCTGACTTTGGTGATTAACTCTAGCATGATAGTAACATTGGAGTAAGTCAGAAAAAAAGTTACGTGAAAAAAAACTTAACATAAATGCAATTCTTATACAAACCCACAAAAACTAGAATCCAACAAGCATTTTTCCAAATCACCCCCCTCCCCCACTACCCAATAGTTACGGCCTCCTCTGTGTTCCTGTTCAAAAACAGCTTTACTGGCCGTTCCTCAAAAAGAGTAATATTAAGTGTCTCAAGAGAAAAGTGGAAAAGGGGAGAAAATCATCTGATAGAATAAGACAATAGATCATTTTCATCTGGATTCCAAAGAACTAAATCATGAAAAACAAAAATGCCTCCATACTGTTGGAAAACTAAGTAAATGAGAATTAACAGTGAAGAGATAAGAATAAACATGGAGGTCCTATTAACGGTAGGCACTCAGTAACGGTGATGACTTACTCCACTCACAGTCACATGGAGAGGCTGTAGAAGCAAAAATATCAATTATCCATCCTGCAATCATGCTGTGGGATTTTCTGGCAGGAGATAGTGGGAAAAGGATTATAAGTAATTCCAGTAAAACAAGAATGGAATATAAAAAATTATTTTTAAATGCAAAAAATTTTTGTACTAATTAAACAAATCTTATTGTAATCTGCCAACCTGGAAGTAAACTGGTACTATTTCTGCATAAAAGAATTAACTCCACAAACAGAAAATTCTTTTGACAAATTCCATAAGTTTTCTACTTAAATTTTCATTTGAAATTCAAAGTTCTGTTAATAATTGGTAAAGTAATTTTGGACTATGAGGGGGCAAAGCTGTATGTTATGTGGCAATAGACATTAAGTATGAGGGTGCAGGCATGCCCAAAGTATTTGTATTAAATAGCAAAAGTTAAGTAGCAATGGTGCAGAGGGCTGTAAAAGGTACCTCGTCATCATACCCCCCCTCCTTTGATTCAATCATAAATTTCCCTACATGAGGGATCGCCACCTCTACAACTCGCTGATTAGAAAGTGGTTGGCTTGTAGTATTTTCAGGTTTCTGCAGAAGGAAATCATTAATATAAACATTAGAAAAGAGAACAGTGGAGAACAATGGCATCCTTGCACAACTGTATAACCTGCACATCCCTAAGCAGCAGCCCTGTATCCATATGACTTATTTTTAAAAGTTCCAACGCACATGCACTATTAAACTGTTTAAGCACATACTCTTAAATCTTTTAAAAATACCTGCATTGACTTGGTATCAAATGAAACCACTTAAAACTGAACATCAGAAGCAAATGCATTCATCAAGTAGTAATACAAAATCTGCAGTTTTCCCTTTACATCCTCAAACTGGGTATTACCAATATCATTACATTTTTCCCTGAAAGTATTTAGAACTTTAAGTACTTAAGATAAAAAATAGTGGAGTTGTATTTTCTATTATTGTCTGTATAGCTGACAATTTTTTAAAAAGTCCAATAGCTCCCAAAAACCTTTCTTGATATCTCAACCAAAATAAGATATGACCTCCTCTAAACTCATCAGAATTTGTAGGGTTTTTTTCCTTATAATTTTATCCTTCTATTGTTTTTGGTAATCAATTGTGTATCCAGTTAATATCCATATTCTATTTTGTTTAACTTATTATATACAGCCTATGAGGCTCCAGTATATTTATATCTTAAGTGTTCAACAAACACCTGCTGAAAATAAGAAAAAGCTGTTGGAAGCTGATACCCATTTTTAACAACTCAATCAGATTTATTCCTTTTTTTCTTTTTATTGTTAACAAATTCTATGTATTTCAGTAATCTACACTAATACAGAAGTCAGTGTAAAATTCAGAAAATTTCATTCAAAACTTCATGACACTAATATGATTCATTCAAAATACCATACAGATGTTTACATACTTATTTATCTTATTCAACATATTTATAACTAGCATATCCACTATTTACCTATTAAAAAAGCCAAAAGTACTGAAGGTGCTTGAAAACAACTTAAGTAACTGAATTGCATAAGTTTTCATACACAAAGATAAACTTTTGTTTTGATATTACAAAAAACATTTTTATAACAGCAATTAAAGAGGTTTCATTTCCATTAGAAATATGGGTAAATTTTAGCAATGTGAACATTTCCTGGCTTCCTGGAAGCATATATAGAAAAAGAGTTTAACTGAACAATAAAACAAAACAAAACCAATAGCTGCAACTGGTACTGCCCCTTTTAAAATAAACACTATTTTTGGCATGGCGTGGTAGCTTAGACCTATAATCCCAGCAGTTTGGGAGGTCAAGATGGGCGTATCACTTGAGGTCAGTAGCTGGAGATCAGCCTAGCCAACATGGCGAAATCCGTCCCTACTAAATATACAAAGATTAGCCAGGCATGGTGGCACATGCCTGTAATCCCAGCTACTTGGGAAGCTGAGGCATGAGAATTGCTTGAACCTGGGAGGCGGAGGTTGCAGAGAGCTGAGACTGCACCACTGCACTCCAGCCTGGGTTACAGAGTAAGACTCTGTCTCAAAAAAAAAAAAAAAAAAAAAATATATATATATATATATATATATATATATATATATACACACACACACACACATATATCAAAATCCACAACTTATCCTTAATTTATCAAAATCCACAACTTTTCAACAGGAAATGATCAGCATGAACAGGTATCATGATCATGAGAGATAATATGCAGCTAAGCCAACACCAGGTATGTAACGGCTGTTCTATAAAATGACAGCTATGAGTCATTGTACTACTTTGTTGTGCTACTTTAAATTGTTTATATTTGAATAATTTTAACCTAATACTACTATCACACACATTCTACAGAGATGTGCTTGGTCCATGACATTTAATTAAGGATTTTTAATCTTTCTAGCATATAAGAGACGAACTGTGCTAGGTCTCTGTACACAAGAGTGAAATATAAACAGGTAAATTCAGAAATCTGTTCGGAGTTTGTGGTGATGATTTCTCACTAGCAAACCAATCCAAAACAATTCTATCTTAGGAAAAGAAAATATAAATTTGAAGCAAATGGTTATCACTTAGAATATTAATCCTTACAAAACAGATTCCCTTTGGGGGAAAAAAATTGCACTTAGGGAACATAAATGTTTTATAAACCTTTTCAGTTACTATTGAAGAATTTCAACAGCATAATGCTGATTAAATACATGGGTAAAAGCTGAAAGGGGGAAGAAACTTTGCCACATATAATAATTCTGTAGTATCATTTGCCAAATTTAGATATCCCAAAGTACCATAAAAATTTTCCATGTAAAGAATTTAAGGGCTCACTAGAGTAAAATACATGTTTATTTATCTTTTTCTATTGTTTTCAGGTCTTATATGAATACATTAACAAAGGCTAAACTTGAAAAGAGTTAAAAATAAGTTTCTCAGTTAATATGCTGCAAAAATAATTAAAATACGAAGATTTTTATGACTTGCCTGAAATCCATTAATTATATGACTTCTTAAAAAGTGGTCTCATAAGAAGGGTGACAAAAAAGCTATCTAAGTCCACGGCCACATTAATGTGCCTTTACCTTTTAAGCTAGTAATTCAACCATGGGAAATCTATTCTAAGGAAATAACCTGAAATATGAAAAAAGTTTTCATTTCTAGCATGGGAAATCTATTCTAAGGAAATAACCTGAAATATGAAAAAAGTTTTCATTTCTAGCAGCCTATTTATAATGTAAAAGTAGACACAAATATACGATTGAGTAGCAGATACATAAACAAGAAGTTAATTATTCAATGGAATAATACTCAGCCACTAAATGTTTTCACTGAGTTTACAACATGGGGAAATGGTTATAAAAGGTAAGTGATTAAAAGAAGGCAACACAAAATTTTGTATGCAACTCAACTATAAAAATAAATCCCAAATCTACATATTAAAATAAAAGTGAAATAAATACCAACATATTTACAATAATTAACTATGAGTAGTGAGTGGGACTATGCATGACTTTTTCTCAGGGTCTACTCTTCTATATTGAAAATATCCTAAGTATTCCATTTAAAATTAAAGACATTTTTCTAAAAAGCAGGGTGCCTAAACACTTGAAGACTTTCTCTAATTTCCATGATTCTACGCTTTCCAGGAAATTTTTCTTATATTAAAGTTGATTTTAATATATTGCATATTTGAAAAGCGGCTAGGACTGATGTAACAGAAGGAAACCAACAGTTACTCAGTGCCTACTACATGCCATGCCAGGCACTTACAAATAATGCTCTTGACTAATCCTACAATTACCTTCATTTTATGGAAAAGAAGACTGAGGTCTATCTGGAGAAATTTGGCAATTTATTCAAGGTTGCATTCATAATAAATAAAACTAATATTCCAAAATCCAGAAATGTTTAATCCCAAAGTCTGAAGATACTTTTCACCTGTGCAATTTAGCTTCTAGTGTACGCTAAGTTTAAATGAAAAAAACCGCTATGAAGTAGTTACCATGACGCTAAGCAACTGACTGTAAGATCAAGCCACGGTTAATGAATTCTCAGACTTGCTTCAGGATTTACATATGCAATGGGGCTAACTGTGGATGCCACTCCAGAAAACAATTAAATGAATAGACAAATAGTGTATTTGTCTATATCATATAGTCTCCCTGTCATCCTCCTTTCTGAAGTAAAGATGAGGTAGTAGGTTGCTACCTTATAAGACGATATCCATATTATGAAGCTGAGCAATCAAAATTTAGCTGACTTCTGCAAATTTAAATTCCATATGATTTTCCAAACTTAAAATCAGGATTCTACATTAAGCTAAGTAATGCTTTTGGTTTTCTAATACCAGCTTAAAAAGTGACACTCATTAATCATAATTTAGGCCTTTAACAAATAAAAGTTCTAATTAGCAGAGGCCTTGCAAATGCAGTTTTTGTCAGACAAAACTATTTCCCCTTGTACCTACTCCTCTGTTCTTTCTCCTTCCCTAGGTTTTCCTCTTACCATCACCCAAGAAGCAGACATCCCAGATCCACTAAACAAAGCATTTTCCAGGAAAAGCTTTAGAGTTAGTGATGTTCACATCAAATTCATTTAAAGCTTCTAAGGCATTTGCAAAATTTGGAATCATCAAATATCTATTTAAATTAATACATTTTAATAAGATGATATATTAATACATTTTCAAAATTGTTCAAACAAAAAATAATTTGTATTGTTATTTAGTTCATCAAAACAAAATTAACAGAGTACCATATCTCTTGAACATTTTGGCTAAAGGAAGTCTTATTATATATTTAAGGCCTCATTGCAATTAGCAGGTTATTGCTGGCACTGAATTCACTTACTAAGCAGAAAATTACGTGTTGTAAAATTATGATATGTCGTACTCTTTTTAGTTGTCAAGGGGAATCTTCAAATATTAAAAGGAACTACCACAAAATCTGCATTAGAGCTGCTTATGCTCACTAATAAAAGATAAATGACTACAGGAACTAAAAGGTTTAGTAGTAACAAATTCTTGAAATAGCTTCTCTCAGAATGCCATATTCACTGATAACACAGTATAACACCAAACATGCTCAATTTACCGCTATAAAAAGATGTAGTTGAAAACTACAATAGAGTAGCCTAATGACGTTTTTGCACAGGACGTTCTTAAAATATTCACAAACAGTTTTGCAACATCCTACTTATCCTTCTAATAATACTCTAATCTACAGTATCTAGTAGTTTTAAATAATACTCTAATCTACAGTATCTAGTAGTTTTATTGTTAAACACATTTCATGAAATTATGACAATTAGGTCTTAAATTCTCAACTATTCCCATGTAATCAGATTACAGATGGAGGAATGGGTGAGAGACAGGAGAAATACTGCTAAATTTTACACTTCTCTTTTTAAGTTCCAGATCAAATGGTCAATTTAATCTATGATTATGATTCATTAGAATTCTCTAGCAGAAAGACAGAAACTTAAGAGAAAAGTGTCTTTAAAATCACAGCTGAGGAAATCACAGCCTGGGCATGAGATGACTTGCCCATGGTCACTGATCATGCCCATGGCAGAGCCATCACTGGGCCCCGTCTCTCCTGACTCCCTGACAGGTCCCTCTCCACTATACTGGAGGAAATGTCGTGACCATGGCTATGTTCAGAGAGCCAAAAGAAAAGTTCTTACCGACTGCAAAACTGTTTCAGGACTTTTATCTTCATGCTCATGTGATGCCTTGGTAATTATTTGAATAGTTTCTTCTTTCAAGTGCTTTGAGAAATCACTTCTTGATGGCTGCTCTAGATATTCTGGGTCTCCTGCTGCTTGTGCTTCATGAGAAAAGAATCAATTATATATCTAATATAAACCACAGAGTCTATACTAAGATAAATCTTTTATTCATTTCTATGTCTGAAGTTATGTAAGAACCAATTTTAGTCTTCCATTCAAAGTAAAATATATCTTTCCACGTATAGCACTTCTTCCCAGAATTTATTAAAAAACAAAAACCCAGAACTAAGAGTACTCCAATAATTATGAAAGAAAGCTCTCATTATAGTTTATGGTAAGGAATTCACAGTAAATTTTTCTGCCATGAGAAATAACAAAAGCTCATTTTGGAAAATTGCCAGCATTTTACCAAAAGAATTTGGTTTGAACAGCAATCTTGGGCTGACTTTCCATAGAGTGCACAGGAGCTATTTTTCTCTGGCCACAGCATCTTCCTTCACACTTCCTGACAAAATCTTAACCCTGAATGAACCTAACCTTCCATCTTTTCTGTACTTGCCCCAGTAGCTGAGTGTTGTCAGAGGAAAGGCAAACTGGTACCAATAAAAATTCACGATATCTCCTATCCATCTTTTGAGTTCCAGACTTATATATCCAACAATGTACAATGAACATCCACTGGGTGTTCCCTAGATGAGACAAGCCCAAAATCCTTACATGACCTAAAGGGTTTATCTCAGTGAGTCTCTGACAAAGCAGCCAGTCTCTGTCTCCATGAAGCTCACAGTCATCTGTGGAGAACACCACTAACCAAATAATCATATATATAAATTTTGACAATATTATAACACTTTATATGGGAACAATGGCAGTGAAGTGATGTGAGCAATTTGGATGTGACCTAAAGTGACCTATTAAGCTGAATAATGAATGAGCTGTTTTTCCAGGTGGAAGAATGGAGAGTCCATGCAGTAAGCATGGACTACATTCAAAAAAAAGAATAATATGACTGGACTACAGTATGAGAGTGGAGAAATGGCAAGAGATGATGCAGGTATATAATATAGTACATAATATAATGGCAACATAGCAGTTTTTAAAAAATTATTCTGGGGATATTGTGAAGAACGAATTAGAGAGGAAAGTAAAACTAGAGATCGGTGAAGGTAATAGAAGGCAGTAGAGCAACATGAAAAAGAAATAAATGTGCTTTCTGATTAAGAGAGAGAGCAACAGGGGGACACAAAATTGGCTAGAATCAAGACATATTTTGGACACAAAGGTGTGGAGACTGCACATGAACACACCAAGTTTTTGACAGAGTTAACTAAGATCATGGAGGTAAAACTATGTGATAAGGAAAACCAGAGGTGAGGATGCTTACAATGTGTACAAAAAGGAAGGAGAGAAGTTAAAAGAAGTTTAATGTCCTCATTAAATCATTTCCTGATTTTGGACTGCAATAGCCTTTCAATGCCCATGAGTAATAGATAAAGAAAATCTTTGGCTACCATCAGCTTAGCAATACTTCTGCTTCTGGAAGACTTCATGATAGGTGGCTCATGCCAGCTGCTTTAGGGCTGGGAGAGAAACTCCTTGTTGATAAAACTTTTCCTTGTGTTTGGCACTCTTCCTCTCTTCACCATAGCAGATAATGTCAACGGTTAATAATTGGATGTGAACTTAAAGCAATAAATCCATCTGGTCTGACATTGGTCTAATGACCCACTGAAACCTAGAATCTTTGTAAAATTGGTTCTTAGGACCAAGAGTAATGTTATCTGATCAACACATGTCAAATCCACCTTAGGTCACCAGGGCCAAGGTTTCCTTCCATAAAGGAGTTTGAGTACAAAAACGTTATGAGTAACACTGAATGCTTCTGGCTAAATGTCATACAGAACAATTTTCTCTGGGGTTTGCCCTATGTATATACCTCCTAGGGAACTTAAGTGAGTGGTTTCGTTGTCACGGGAGTTGAACCTACAATATTTGACACCCTGGGAGATTGGAAACAAAAAATTCAAATTGCATTCCCAACATGTTTATTGAACCTGTGCCATTTTCAGTACTATATTAGGTATTAAAAATATAAAAAACAAAAAAGATTACATACTTCACTAATTTTAAGGAACTCTGAGTAAAATCTGATAAATATACATTCTATTATAATACAATGTGCTAAATTCAATAAAAGTTACGCACAAGGTTTTATAAAAGCACTGTGGACCCAATACACATACTTGAGATAATGCTGCCTGTTAAGAAACACTTTCTAGAAGAGGTGCTAACTTAGATGAGTCTTGAAGGATTTGTAGAGGATTATCTTGGAGAAAAGAATAGAAAAGATTCCAGGCAGAAGGAATAGCACATTGTAAGGTCTGATCAAAGATTCATAAAATCCCTGCTATATATGAGACTCTACACTGGAAGGCAAGCCAAAATATAAGTACAATAGAGAAGAACATAATACATTTGGTAGTAAGAAAAGGTTGGAATTAAGAGGGAAAAGACAATAGCTACTAGAGAAGTGCTCTCAGAGAAACTCACAAAGACTCTGGGATATGAGGAAGATCTTAAAGAATATGAAAAAATTCATGAACACTAAAGATAAAAGAACATTTTTAAGATGAAGGATACTTCATGAACATGCCATAATGACAGGAAAATTTCCTATATGCAATAGAAACGATGAGTAATCTGGTGTAGATGAAACACAGGCTACTCACAGGGAAGTGGTCTTAGAAGAATTACAAGGGAATCAGATTATAAAATAAAGTCCGTATAAAAAAACTGTCAAAGAAGACAAAAAAAGAGGTTTTGTCTTCAATTTATCAAACCAAAGAATAAAAATGTTTACTAGAACAAACAAGAAAAATGTGGAAAATTTAAAACTCTTTGCATTACTCAGAGATAAGCACTATTAATATTTCTGATACATTATTTCCAGACTGTACCTACCTACTCATATTTTTAAACAAAAAGAATTACTCTCTATTCAATGTAACATGTACTGGTTATATTGTGTTGTTCTGTATGGAAGGCTCACGCAACTAATACCCTACCATACACTTTAGTAATTTCTATTTCTGTGTTAGGAACAACAGCAGAACAAGTTCGGCTTTTACCATATAATACAATTGTTGTTCATCCTCTAACCCTATTAAAAACCCCATCACTAGTGGCCCACAGCTATAAATTCCCTAAATGCCATACAGAACAATTTTCTCTAGGGTTTTCCCTGTGTATATACCTCCCAGGGAACTTAGATGAGTGGTGTTGTAGTCACGGTAGGTAAACCCACAATGGTTTGAAACCCTGGGAGACTGGAAACAAACAAACAAAAAATTTAAATGCACTCATTTCACCATGAATGACCAGTTCTCTATGGAGGTAAATAATATCCTTATTCCTAAAGTCTCTCTCCAATCACTCATCTGTTCTATGGGTATTTCTCTAGGATTTTCAAATGACTGGCCTCCACAGAGTGATTTTCCGGCCATGCTTCTCTAGCTGTTATAGAAGACAACTCAACATTCTGAGGGAACTCTGAGTCTGCTCCTTTTGTCCATCTTCATGTTGAAACAGGCTATTGAGGAGGTTTGGGGGTGCTTTACTTATGCATATTTCCTGGTTATGGTCTTCAATCTTTTAAGAAGGTCAACTTTACCACCAATTGGCTTTCTATTAAAGAGTAAGGGTTGCTCTTAACTATAAAAATAAGACCAACATCTCTGATATCTTTCAGAAGTCTTTATTTTTTTGACTTACTAGTAAGTCAATACTTATTACGTTCACACTGAAGAAGATTTAAAGCGGACTGCTTGAGAGATACACAGTGCATCCATTTCTAGAAATGTATTTAAAAGTCCACAATACCCTGTAAGAGCCTACAAAGAGCCACGCTTAGGTGGTTGCATAGAATCGCTGGTGGAATTTTTGAAACTTCAGATTCCTGGGCCCCATTCCGAAGAAAGTCTGAGGGGTGTGGGGGAGAGAGGTTTAGAAACCAGAGTCAAACCATAAATTTATCCGGGACAAAGAGCTACATCCTCACCCCATGTATTTGGCCTGCCTCCTTATTGTGTGACTATTTTGTTTCTACTTTAAAATTTTATGTTCTCCTACACTGAGGATCACCCCTAAGAAATTCATTATTGGAAATCTCCATAGGGAATGAACTTATTAACAGAAAACTTTCAAGGAACATCTATCATATGTCGTTTATTATACTAGATGCTGGAGATATAAATAAGAACACCACCAGGCCTGGCATGGTGGCTTCATGCCTGTAATCCTAGCACTTTGGGAGGCTGAGGTGGGAGGACTGCCTGAGCTCAGGAATTTGAGTTCAAGACTGATCAACATGGTGAAGCCTTGTCTCTACTAAAATACAAAAAAATCAGCCCAGTGTGGTGGTATATGCCTGTAGTCTCAGCTACTCAGGAGGCTGAGGCACAAGAATTGCTTGAACCCGGCAGGCAGTGAGCTAAGATCATGCCACTGCACTTCAGCCTGGGCAACAAAGTGAAACTGTCTCAGAAAAAAAAAAAAGAATATCACCTAGTTCCTGCTTTCAAGGAATCTGAGAACACTGACGATACTGTTTATTCTACCAGGTCTTACTCTCAGGATCCAACCGTACTCTCCTGGAACATCAGCTTATTTTTAACTTGTAGACAGTGTAGAGAAGTTCCAGAGCCAACTCTGCCTGCTTCCTCTAGAGAAATTTATAAAACCTTACGCAATACACTTCATTCCAATCTTCACTAGTGTTTCCTTATTTTTTAAAGAAATCTGGGTGTGCTATATTGTAAGGACTTCAGATACTTCTTGGATAAGACAAGAGTAATATAAGTAAAATAGTAACTCGGACAACGCTCTTCTCTCCAGCATAATTTCTGTTTTATAAATACAGCCTAGAGCCATGCTGCTTAACCTCAGAATTATCTGAAGATCTCTTTAAGATAGCACTGTATCAGATCCTTTCTCCAGAGATTCTGACTCCAGTGTCTCTTAAGTGGCCTTAGGTAGGGTGTGCTGTTCACACTCAGAAAAAAAAACCCTACTCACTCTGATCCCCACACTGACAGCAAAGGATGGCTGGCTGAAAATCTCAACAACAGTATTCAGGTAAGTTTGCTCCCCTACTCACTCTGATCCACACACTGACAGCAAAGGATGGCTGGCTGAAAATCTCAACAACAGTATTCAGGTAAGTTTGCTCCCCTACTCACTCTGATCCACACACTGACAGCAAAGGATGGCTGGCTGAAAATCTCAACAACAGTATTCAGGTAAGTTTGCTCCCCTACTCACTCTGATCCACACACTGACAGCAAAGGATGGCTGGCTGAAAATCTCAACAACAGTATGCAGGTAAGTTTGCTCCCCTACTCACTCTGATCCACACACTGACAGCAAAGGATGGCTGGCTGAAAATCTCAACAACAGTATTCAGGTAAGTTTGCTCCCCTACTCACTCTGATCCACACACTGACAGCAAAGGATGGCTGGCTGAAAATCTCAACAACAGTATTCAGGTAAGTTTGCTCCCCTACTCACTCTGTTCCCTACACTGACAGCAAAGGATGGCTGGCTGAAAATCTCAACAACAGTATTCAGGTAAGTTTGCTCCCCTACTCATTCTGATCCACACACTGACAGCAAAGGATGGCTGGCTGAAAATCTCAACAACAGTATTCAGGTAAGTTTGCTCCCCTACTCACTCTGATCCACACACTGACAGCAAAGAATGGCTGGCTGAAAATCTCAACAACAGTATTCAGGTAAGTTTGCTCCCCTACTCATTCTGATCCCCACACTGACAGCAAAGAATGGCTGGCTGAAAATCTCAACAACAGTATTCAGGTAAGTTTGCTCCCCTACTCATTCTGATCCCCACACTGACAGCAAAGAATGGCTGGCTGAAAATCTCAACAACAGTATTCAGGTAAGTTTGCTCCCCTACTCATTCTGATCCCCACACTGACAGCAAAGAATGGCTGGCTGAAAATCTCAACAAAAGTATTCAGGTAAGTTTGCCTTTGCAGTAAGCAGATCTAGGGAAGCAGCATGAAATGAACCAAAAAATACTTTCCCATCATTTATTATCTCAGTAGGGAACGAATGGTGCTGGTGAACTGATACGCATGAATTTCTCGATCACATTTTAGCAGAAGAGGAACAAATACTAATTTGATTAATATAATATGAATTAGTACTCTTAATTGGAATATCACTCAGTAGAAATTGAATTTTATGAGGTCTTATGTTTCAGCTTTAACGAGAAGATTTTGCAGGGAGGAAAAAAATCATTCTGTTGGATTTTATGAACAAGATTTCCTTTTATTATTTCCACTAGTCACTGGTAATACTAGTGAACACCTGAGAGATTAAAATACAGATTTGCTTTGAGATCCTGGAAGTATTATACCAAATTAAATTACTTACTTTGAAAACCATGAGAAGAATCAGAAGAGGATGGCATGGACATTAAAATAAAATTTCCCTATTAATAATAGGGAATAAATGGTTCTAATGAAACATTAGTCTTATTCAATTATGATATGTGAAACTATCCTGCAACAGAGAACAAATTTCTTAATATAATCTCAAAGATAACAGTAATAGAAACCAATCTTTTAAACAACAATCTCACTCTGTAAATTTATGGACTTGGCATGTTCTACTTCTACTAATTCAAACCAAGTGCATATTTCCGTCAAGTCTATGGAGGATACAATGTTTCCTACAGAAGTAGTATTACCACTGCTTTCTAAATAACCCACGCTGAAAGGTAACTATAAAAGTTATCTAGGAATAGGAATTGACCATTTCCATCTCTTCATCTTTTATTCTGGTTCCTCCCAGAAATATATCAACATTCTAAGATTATTTTGCATGGTAAAAACAGACATGAAAATATATGTCCAATACCTAGTACTGCATTTTTTAAAAATTACAAAACACCATGTAAAGTGTATGGTCAGATGTATTGATCATGAAAATGGATGCAGTTATGCACACATGGTCTTTTCACAGAGAAAGAAAAAAGATGACAAATGTAAAATGAGGATGGGGCAAGGCTAGTCCTTAATAGATAGGAATATTAGTTGGAAATATGTATTCGTTTGACTAAGCAGAAATAAAATATGTTAACTCTGAAAATTTGGAGAGATGAGAAACAGACAGGATGAAGAGGAGGAGGATATATAGAACTTAATATTTTGGTATCACAAAATATAGGTGAGCCAAGAATAAAACTGGAGCTTAACCAATGAATGGAGGATTCACCTGTGTCTGGGAGCTTAGGTACCACAACTGCTTATAGTACACTATGCAGCCCCTTCCTCCCACTAATAACAAGAATAGTCACATGTGAATGGAATAAGTAAATGTTAAGGGAACAATAACACAGTAGCTCCATCTTGGGGCAGGTTCTGAGGAGTGATTTGGAAAGAATATGTACAGAATGCAAAGCATGAAATCACAAAGGGACAGAAATGTTTTAAAAATGAAAGGAACTATAATATAGTTACTACACTGTGATTTGAGCTTAGATACCTCTTGACATCTACTAAAAACTACATTGTTGTGGACCCACATAGCTTCACCTGCTCTACGCGGTAGCCTTGTACACGTGGGGGAAAAGTGCAGCCCTACATAATGGTAGAGTTCACCAGCCACTATAATGGTGGTATTCTCCATAGCACTGTAGTATCCAAATGTTGCTGTGATACCATTATCTTTTTAAAAAATGCTGAATTATCTGCCTCTCAGGATCAAAATCAACGACAATTATTTGATCTACATGAAAATAAGTTAAGTATCTGGACAGATTTGTGCATGCCTGCGACAGTCACAATACTACATTGTAGCACTGTAAAACAATCTTCTATTGAAGTAATAATTCCTTCTAAAGTTCAAATGATAATGCTGAAGCCCAACCAGGTAATGCTGCAAGGAAACCTCTGTCTGCGAAAGATGAAATTAAACAAACAAAAGCTGGAACTACTTCCTTAAAACACAAAACATGCAGATCTTGCAAAAAAAAAAAGTTATTCAATAATATCCACTAGCAGTTATAAAAAGAGACAAATGAGTTTGAGGAAAATATATGCGCTTAATTTATAGCTTCTCTGAGAAATAGCATTTTCTATACCAGAAAACATGTTGCCCTAAAACATATTTGCAACTCAGTGAAGAGTAATCTTTTAAGAAAATAAAAAGACAATATATTTTCAATTTTACTAGAAACTATTTTCTTAATTCCTATACAGTGTTTACTTTGACTTATTGATTTCATCAGCTAATAGTTCATTTCAGAATAATGTTTTTAAATATTTATATGTTTATGCATTTATATCTTTGGTTTACAGGTCTATACACTTACTTTTTACCTGTGATATACTAAATAGTTTTGGTCAATTTTCTCTTAATCTTAAGAATTCCGAAAAACATCAAATAGTTATTAATGGTAGTATTTTACTATTGCACAAAGTATATATGAATATACCGGTAGTATTATTTTGGCCAAATTTAAAATTACTACTCTTGATAGCTTTATTGAATTGATACTCTTGATAGCTTTATTGAATTGATACTCTTGATAGCTTTAGTGAATTGGTTTGGGTTTCTTGCTGATTTCACAGCTTTCTCTGCTACTTGCCAAGAAAATTCAAGCCCACCCAACACAGGCAGAGTAGGTAGAGGGAAAGTCAACAGAATTATCTCATTTATCTTGAAAAACATATAAATATATACAGTGGTGTCTGGCAAAAAGGTAAACTAAATTGTTAACTGTGATAATCTGAGTGATGGAATTTGAAATGATTTCTACTGATTTCCTCACACTTTAAGATAGCTAAAACTTTTTAATAATGAGCATATCTTATTATAAAAATAATATTGATAATCAAACACAACTTAATAAAAATGGACAAACCTGTTGTCACAGAAGTCTCTGACTCTCTCAATTTCTGAGACGCTAAAAGCTTTTCCTGCAAAGCTTTCTGGGCAAGTTGTGCATCCCATTCTTCTAGTTCTTTTTCAAATCGTTGGTTGTCTTCCTCAACAAAATCTCTCAAATCCGGTGGTAATGTTTCTATACCAACAAGGGGCTGCCCAGTTTCTTTATTAAACTCCTCTGCAAATCATATTTCAAAAACTAGTATAAAATTAAGAATTAAAGGGAAAATGCAAAGCTCAAAATAGACTGCATTTCAAATAGAATTTAAACTATGAATTATTACCACTCAGCCAATCATATTACTTAAGAATTACTATTGCTTAGCAAATAATTATTATCTACAAAACTTTTTAAAACTCAAACAAATGCTCAGAAAAACAATGATGAAAATATTTGATAATCCATCATAGGTAATGGTCTCAGATTTTTTTTTATCTTAAGAGTAGAAGTGACAGAAAATACAAAGCCAAAGCCAAGTTTTTTGTTGCTGTTGTTGTTTGTTTTTTTGAGACAGAGTGTCATGCTGTCACTCAGGCTGGAGTGCAGTGACACAATCTCGGCTCACTGCAACCTCCGCCTTCCGGGTTCAGACGATTCTCCCGCCTCAGCCTCCCGGGTAGCTGAGACTACAGGTGCCCACCACCAAGCCCGGCTAATTTTTTTGTATTTTTAGTAGAATGGGGTTTCACTGTGTTAGCCAGGATGGTCTCGATCTCCTGACCTCATGATCTGCCCACCTTGGCCTCCCAAAGTGCTGGGATTACAGGCATAAGCCACCGCGCCCGGCCATTTTTTTTTTTCTTTGCTACTCTAACAGTGATGTAATACTACTTCTGCCACTATTGGAAAATACCAGATGTTTGATCACTTAAAAAGTAAAACTTTTCACAAAATGTAAACAACTCATAATCATGTTAACCTTATTAGCTCAAAATAAAATGAAAATTGTTTGTCATATGAAGAAATTAAGTAGACTTAAATATGCAATTATGAAAATTAATATAGCAAGATCTTAAAAACAATAGAGTATTCAGAAGAATTACTGAACTTCTACTACACACACAGAAAAATAACTTCATTTTTTTAGTCAGAAGTGGACTGCCTAGCTGATTCTGAATGACTAAATATAAAAAGATTATTTTTATCAGTTTCAATAAACCTTTATTATTTTCTATATGCAAAGCATATATCAGAATATCAGCATTAAAAAGATTCAGACATAGTATGACATGATCTCTGGCTCTGAGCAGATAAGAGAGAAATGTGCAAGACAAGTCATCACACAGTTCCAATACACAACAGTAAATGCCCAGTAGACAGATGCCAGGACAGCATAAGGAGAGATACTTTTTGGCAGATCAAGAAATAGTTTGCAGGGGAAATGACACCTGAATTGAATCTTGACAGATAAACAAGAATTAGGCAAAAGAATTACTAGCAAAAAATAAAACATATACGAACATGCAAACATAAATGTGTGAAATGGTTTGATATGAGCAGATACAGCAAGAAGTTCAGTAAGGATATAAATTCAAAAGGAACACTGGTGATCAATGAAGGTGGGGAGATAATCAGAGGCCAAGAACAGAGGCCATATATGTTAGGCTAAGGAATTAAATATTAAATGTGAGTCAATCTGTGGAACAGTCACTAAAGCATTTTTAGCAAGGACGAAAAAGGTCATATTTACCTTTAATAGTTGACTTGGAATACAAAATATATACGAATTCTTAGCCCTGACGACATTACTTTTCAATTCAGTCTTGTCAAAACCCAGTAGCATTTCCTAACCACATCCTTCATCGTCTGAGTGAATTACACTTAACTAATCACACCACATACCAGAGCCACTTTTATGACTATTTAAAAATACACACCACCCTATATATTCTTACCTTGTATTAGGAACTGTGCCTTATCATTTATGTACATTAAACAGTATGCACTGGCATTTCTATAACCACCAAAAGAGTCCCTCACTAGCTCTTCCCATGATGATTTTGTCACAGCAATATCATTGTACTTCATCCATCTGCTTTCACGATGATCAAAAATATATGCCCAGTAGTGCCCAGCATTAGCTTGGCCTTCGTGAACTAAAACGGCATGTAATCGATAAGGAACCTAAATGTGAAAAAAAGAAGAGTTAAACTGCAATTATGTAGTTTACTATATACCACATTCCATGAAACCCACAAACAACCTGTTTGGAGAAAACCATAAGAGCATTTTTTTTTTTAAATGAGAGAGAACTGGCTGGGCTTAAAAGTTTGAAAAAAACTAAACTATAAAACTTTAAAAAGACGGAATCTGAATAAGCTAAAGATATGCAAAGTTGATAGATTAAAAAGATGATTTTTGAAAAACTAAAAATGTATTTATTGTGTACATACTCATTGGCCTAATTGTTTATTTGAATAAAAAGCTTATAGTGGGCAGTTTTACATATAGCAAATGTGTCTACATCTTCAGAATTCTAAATTGACGGTTAACAAAATAGATTATATGATATACACCAGAAGTTAAAATGTAATGGAGTCCTTAAGTTTCTTCCCAAATCTTAATATCCTTTAACAACCATAGATTTTCTCCCATAAGACTTTTTAAAGATGCTATAGCCTTTTGAAAAACTTTGGTAGATTTTACTGTAAAATAGTAAGGGTACACAACACATACGGTGTGAAAATACAACTGAATGGGGAAAACTTGTCATGAATTTTGTTATAAATTTGTTATAAAAGTTTCCCCATTCAGATGAACTGTCACATTGTACATATTGCAAGCCCTTATTATTTTACAATAAGATTTGCCAAAATTTTAAAACAAAACATGTAAAGAAAAATTAGATTAAGATAATGTAAAGGTAAATTAAAATATATGTAAATAATTTTGACAATGATTACTAGCTCAAAATTTCACTTACTTGTATCATAGATTTGTCAGAGTACATTAATTCAATTGTTCGATGGATTCTGGATATGCTTTCCTGCAAATCTAAGGATATAAGGTGTCATTTAATGATTAACAGCAAATGTGTTTCTACTTATAAGATAAGGACTAATGTTTTTCCTACAAACATGTTAGAGGAATAGGAAAATTTTCCTAAAACTTTTCTTAAAAAACATTACCATTTGAAATCTGTAGAAAATGAATTATAGTTATTCTTAATAAAAGACACAGTACAAATGCATACTTTAAAAACAACACAAATATGATTTATCTAGAAAATGTGCAGAGCCAATAAAAGTGAATTTTGTTCAAATCTATAAAGGAGAGTTTCAATGAAAATGAAAGCTAAGCTTCCTTACATATTGCTATAACACAAGTAAACTTAAGAACAAAGTAAAACATGTTCACCACATATCTTGTACACACACATAACTGAATAAAAATCGACTATAATCACCAGTGAAAATAAAATTATGGCACTCCCATGACAATTATTTCTACTTCTAGTAGAAAATAATCCTACAAAATTGTTCAGATAGGGATGTTCACAGTCATATTGTCCACAATAATTTTTAAAAAAGAGATAACCTAAATATCTGTCAATAAGGAAACGGTTAGATTGTAACCACATCATATTGTGAAGCTGCTGAACCAATCAGGAAGAAACCTTGAAAAACTATAAAAGAAACTGGCTAACTTTAGAGTGGGGAAAGACCTGTCTTAAGCCTGTCAGAAAACTAGTAACCTTATAGGAAAAGATAAGATCCTCCCTGCCCAACACTTTAAAAAATCTACATTATAAAAAGAAAACAAAACCAACATAAAATCAAATGAAAAACTGGGAAAATAATATCTGCAGCATATGTGATATTATAGGTAAAGTGTTAATATCCACAATACATTAAACTTTCTATTAAGTAATAAGAAAAATACAAATAGCTCAATACTTAAAAAATGGGCAAATGTCACAAACAAGAAATTTACAGAACAATATAAATATCCAACTTCACTCGAAGCTAAGGGAATGCAAATCAAAACACTAAAATACCAGTTTTTCAATTGTGAAAAACTACTAAAAAGTGTCCAGGGCTAGGGAGGATACTGGGAGACAGGCTCTCTCACACAGTGGGAATGCAAACTGGTTTAATGTTTTGGAGTGACAATTTTAAAACAGTCGTCAAAATTTAAAATATACACACTCTGAACCAGAAATGGTGGACATAAGGAAACAACAGATATTGGGGCCTACATTAGGGTGGAGGGTGGGAGCAGGGTGAGGATGGAAAAACCACCTATCAGGTACTGTGCTTATTACCTGCATGATGAAATAATCTTACACCAAACCCCCAAGACATGTAATTTACCTTTATAGCAAACCTGCACATGTACCCCTGAACATAAAAAAGAACATATCCTACTTACAGAAGTGTATAAATATGTATATCGAAGACCAGCACTATTTAGGAAATATCAATATGGGAATTAAATGAATTACATCATACCCGTGTGTTGGAATATTACACAATAGTTTACAAAATAATGCTAACTGCTAACATCAATATGGATGAAAGAAAGAAAAAAAATATCCTGAGGAAAACCTTCTTTCCTGATCCATAGTATTACATATAAAAATCTTAACAGCCAGGCATGGTGGCTCACGCCTGTAATCCCAGCACTTTGGGAGGCTGAGGTGGGCGGATAACAAGGTCAAGAGATTGAGACCACCCTGGCCAACATGGTGAAACCCCATCTCTACTAAAAATACAAAAATTAGTTGGGTGTGGTGGCACACAACTGTAATCCCAGCTACTTGGGAGGCTGAGGCAGGAGAATCGCTTGAACCTGGGAGGCAGAGGCTGGAGTGAGCCCGAGTTCATGCCACTGCACTCCAGCCTGGTGACAGAGCGAGACTCCGTCTCAAAAAAGCTCTTCAAACTTAAAATGGCCAAAAGAGAACTCATCATATTTCTCTTTCCTCCCCTGAGTGGGAACCTCTTTGCCCACTGCTTTACCTTTTTTCCAAAATACATTCTATTTGGTTATTCATACCATTATGAACTGAGAGAATCATTCGATTCGTCCCTCTCTCTTACCTCTAGCCAATGACCCACATCTGTCAGTTGTCTCCAAAGAGTATTTTAAGTACATTCACTTCTTCCCTCCCTCAATGCCACTACTTAGGTGTCAAAAGCTTCCTAGCTTCCACTCCTCTGAATGTAATCTTTTAAAAACAACCTGCCATGAGGAGTAGAAAATTACCCAACGCCTAATATAGTGCTTCATCAACACTATTTGCTTGATTAATGTTTGTTAATGAGTTCAAATATTTTTAAAAATTCCCTCTTATTTGAAAAATACTAAAGAAAATCTTGACAGCTACTAATGCTGTTAGTCACCATCATACCTTATGTACTTCTTACTAAATTAGGGCCATTCTTTTTCAAATATTGTCTATAAAGAGTTAAGTTGGTCATATAATATCCAACAATCAATATTGTTCAATATAATTCCAACCATGTCACATAGTTCATTTTTTTCAAAAATCAATAAATCAGCATAAAATTGGGGAATGATAATAGGGAATTATATTTTCACATTTAAGGAAAAAAATGTAATAAAATCTACCATAATCCATTTTTTTAAGTACACTTTAACAGCAGCAAAGTAGGAAAGAGAAAAGTTCAGAATAACTTATTCTGAAAAAAAAGAAAAAATAGAATAGAAAAGAATAAAAGAGAGTTCCTTCCAAGAAAGGACAGATGGCAACTTGACACACACACACACACACACACACACACACACACACACACGCACACGCACACAAGTGCACACACCCCACCCAGAGCACTGTCCTTATTTTTCTTATTTTGCTGCATGCCAGTAAAAACTCTGTTACAGACTAGTAATGGGATCATAGATACTCATAAATCTGTTAGAGCTATTAAAAATTAAAATTCACATTTCTAATTCTTAAGCCCAAAGAAAATTTTTTAATCACCGGAACTCCCTGTGCAAACTTAGATTTAGTACCTAATTGATATGTACAAACATTGATATTGTATGACATTTCTCCAATGGAGTAACTGTGAATACCAGTTTGATATAAATTTAGAGCAGCAAACTAGAAAATCAGGCCATCTGCTATGTCATTAATCAGCTAAGCAATCCAGGGAAAATCTTTTGGTCCCTGTGAACCTGATATTGAGATTATAAAAATGGGGAGCCAAACTAGTTTATCTTAAAACCCTTTCTGGAAAAGAAAAATGACTATAATATTTAAATATAAAATCCAGACGTGATTTCCCTTCTCAATATTAACATTACACATATCCATCTGAGGTGACAGTAACCATGCTATGAGACACTTCTTACCTCTGGTGTCATTTTCTATTTCTGTCCTCCAGCGATGTAAACAACTTTCCAGCACAGAAAGTTCTTCCTCCGTTATGTGCCTTGGTGCCGGATGCATGGGCAAATCTGGAGGTATCCGGGACTGAGTAAATGGTTTGTGTATTACTGATCTCGATGAAATGGCAGCAACTGATGAAGGTGATGTGCTTGGCAGTTCTGAAGATAGGGCTCCCTGTTGTTCTGTTGTGCTGTATCAAAGCATAGAGTATTTCTTATTAACCTTTCAAGCTGAAACTCTTGACAAAGATCGTGCCAAACCCACAGTATTAAATTGGCTTGTAATTCAAAAGAAAAAATCTTAAAGAAATATGTGGATTGATCTAACATCCAAATGAGATTTTTAATACATAAGAACTAAATTATTATAAGATGAAGTTGTAGCTTTAGAGTTAAAACAGCTTAATCATATTTATTTCTAAAAAACAAGAAAATCTTACGCATGGTGATATTATTTTCCCTGGCTTATCAGCTTACATTACAGAAACAAATTCTAATTTGATAGTACTATTTTTATGGATCATAAAATGCTGAATCTTATATATGTACATACCAAAACATGCTAAAGTATAATTCTGAACTGAAAAAAAATGTGATTAAAATTTTAATCCATAACCATAAAATCTACTGAAATAATAAAAAAACTCCCAGAGGACATACAGTCTTCTAAGTGAATCTACTCTTAGGAGTTCACTGAAGTAAATCAAAGCATACATTTTATAGAAACTGTCTTTAAAGGCAGCAGTTACATTATTGTGTAATAAAGGTAACAACTGTCTCTTGCATCAGGATTACTTTTTACCTTGGTAATGTCTGTGATGGTATGGAACCACTAGGTGGGGAACTAGCGTCAATATCGTCAACAGGAGAAGTGCAAACAGGTTTACTTGAGGCAAATTCCAATGCATACTGAAGAACATCTACCAAGGGGAATCGTTTGGGACCGGAACCATAGCTTAAATATCTGTTAATCATAAAATGTACAAATGCTTTTATTTCTATATACAGCATATTTGGGCCTTTATTATTATTATAAAACGTGATACGATACTTCAATAAAACTTCCTCAGCAATAAAATTCATTTGCTTTAAAACGAAGATGGTAAAACTGAATATACACTTAAGAAAAACATTAAAAGTTCCCCAAAGACAGGAAACCAAGGCCGATTGGGACTGAATGTGAGTATATACTGTTATAATCTGTAAATGCTGTTCTAAATTGTAACTCAATAGGAAGATGAAAACTGACATCTCCTGAGACTGTTTTTATTTTTAGATCTGGCATCTGGTCTCATGATCAAGACAGTGATGTGTACTATCCTCCTATCTTTTACCACTAATCATGTTTCAATATGATTATTCATACTTTTTAAGAATAAAAATCATTAAAATACAATATACTATTTGATGTAAGAAGTTTTAGACTACTAATTTGAAAATTCCTAAAATAGGGGAATGCAGAGCAGATTGGGGTTTGCAAACTGAAATGACTTGTGACATTTCAGCCTTTAGATTTCTGTCTGGCCTGTAGAACATTTCTCAGTCCAGATTCTGACGTCTTTTAGAAATGATCCAAATCAATAGACAACAGTGAGGCCATACTCATACATGGTACCATCCACTGGTATGGAATGGCATTCATTCCCTGTACACACAGATTGCTCTCTAGGCTCCCGGCACATACCATCTTACACCTGACACAATTTCCTCCTTTACGAAGCTGCTGAGAAGACTTGGTAGGCAGCTGAGTTTGTATCCTGTTTTAAGGAGAAAAACTCAGATACCATTCATTTTAATGAAAATCTCAAGAGTAATCTTTAGTTTCATGCAAAAAGGAAGGTCAAAACTATATTCATTTAACTTTGTATCTATTTTCAGCAGTAGGAACATTACCTGTTGACAATGAGATATTTAATTTTAAACACTAGAATAATTTTTTAAAGTCTACTATAGATTTTTAGTTTCAAGCAAAACTCAAAACTATTCACACAATATTAACTACTCCTAAAATTATAAATCACTCAAAGCAAATTTGAAATTAAAAATCTAGTCACCAAATACATGGTTTCTGATAATTATCTCCTAATTTCATAAAAGTTAAAATACCTTTCTAGCCTTTGTTGTAATACCGTGAGGTAATCTTTCAGTCTCTTGATCTCTTCCCTCTTAATTCTTGTTATTTCTCTGTTTCTGTGCATGTATCTATCAGAAAAAGGTAATCATTAGCATTTCCGAATATCATGAAAGTAGATGCAATATGGCCAGATGCCAGCGTACCCGGCCTACCACTCTGGGACGCCAAGGCGGGAGGATCACCTGAGGTCAGGAGTTCAAGACCAGCCTGGCCAACATGGTGAAATCTCGTCTCTACTAAAATACAAAAATTAGCCAGCCACGATGGTGGGTGTCTGTAATCCCAGCTACTCGGGAAGCTGAGACAGGAGAATCATTTGAACCCAGGAGATGGTGTTTGCAGTGAGCCAAGATCGCACCACTGCACTCCAGCCTGGGCGACAGAGCAAGACTCTGTCTCAAAACAAAAAAGAAGGAAAGACAGAAAGATAGACAGAAAGACAGACAGAAAAAAACAAAAGAAAGAAAGACAGGAAAACAGGAAGACAGAAAGACAGGAAGACAGAGAGACAGAAAGAAAGACAGAAAGATAGATAGATACAATATTAAGTACAGACATCACCACAAAGCATCAATTCATTCAAAATTGTATAAGATGTAAGGTAGATAATACAAAATGGTATTTTTTAAAATTCTGAATTTTAAGATTACAAAATTCATCTTTTTTAAATTTCCTTATAACATTATTCCCAAAAACTATACTTTTCTAATACAAAGTAAATTTCATCTACCTTGACAAATGGTATTAGGTATATTATGCAAAAGTAGAAATTAATTCTAAGAAAATTATGCAGAATTTTCCTCTAAACAATATTTTCTCCCTTACTAAACTGTTTCAAACTAAGTCATGCAGTATATCAAACCATACCTGTCCAAATATAAAACTTGGGGAAATTCTAATTTGTTGTGAATTTTTTCTGGTCTTCCCAATGCCTGATTAAATTCAAATCTTGACAATTCAAATGTTAACACAGGTGGTAATTCAGTAAACCAATGCTGAAAGGAAATAAAACAATAACAAAAACTTTAATACCACCTTTGTTTTCTTCACTGCAATCTTAGGCACAGGATGTGGGCACTGACATTGTTATATGTATCACCACAATGCGGACCTGACAAGTAACTGGGTACACAGTTTAGTTAAAACTCAACCTCTTTCTAAAAGTTTTCCACACCTCTTGAAAATTCCAAGAGTGGGTATAATATATGATCAGGAAAAAAAGAAATCTCACAACTATCCTTCGAAAATAATTCTTTACATTAGAATTTCTAGCCCAAAGAAAAAGACACTGGTTAAAACCATGACTTAGTAGCTCAAGTCTTCTCTGTCTTCTTCAACGTGATGTTGAATGGCACTTATACTTAACCAAAGCATCAAAATCCTGTGATAAAATAACTTATGAGAGGGAGTACTCAAAAAAAAATTTATATCATAAATCGTCACAACTCTCATACTAAAAATGAAAAAATGGTGTTTTCCTGTTTTAGCTTTAGCTCCTCTGCTGGATTTCATACTAATTTATGAAAAAGACATATCACTAACAAAAAGTTAATACTTAGAGTAATTTACTTAAAATCTTTTAAAATAACTAGTGTTTAAAGAATTGAATGTCTCATTGCTATGAGCCAAATTCTGATAATGAGTATAGCCGTAATTTCCTTCCCCTACCCCCAGCCCCTAATCCCCATACATGCTTTGGTAACTGTTCAATTAAGCATGAAATTCAACATTTTTAAAAGAAAATTATTTTCATATACAACCTCAAATTATACATAAGCATATGTATTTAAAGAGAAAGAAAGATTGTATGTAAATCAACAAAGAACAGAAGTATAAAATAGTTCTGAAGTGCTTATTATAAACTGCAATATGCGAAACTGCTGCATAATCTATTGTGTGTGATAATTTCAAGTGTCACAAAATGCCACCACACATCTGTCAATAAGTTAAGAATATACCAAATTTAAATTTGAACATCCAAAAAAAGCATGAATGGCACACATCTGGCAAACTGAATCTGAGGAGGATCTGGAAAGTTGCTACTTTTCTCTACAGCAAATAAAAGCAAATGGTATTCAATACTATTTCTCTTTCAAAATGCTATAATTACTTGAACTGAGATTTCCTGAGCTGGATGGTTATCTTTTACTGAAAGCTAAAGTTTAAGGAATTTGTTTTATATGGATAATACCTGAAACGGATTAAATAAAATTATGAAAAATATAAGAAACATCTCAAGTTTTAAAATTTGATTAGCAAAGTTTGCTTACTCATTTTGATCTCACATGGAACTGGCAAGAATTTTTGAGTTAGTTCTAATCCACATATAAAATTATTATTAAGAATTAAAACATTACCCCAGACACATCAGAAAGAACACTTTTGATTCTTTAGGATAATATTCTCTGCTCCATTTTATGATACTCAAACAAGAAAGTAGATTTCAAGAACTATCACTTTCATATTTTATTGCAATACTTTAAATGTCACCATTAAAATTAAATAGTTACATATTTTAATTCATGGAAATCTACAATGGCCACAAGAAATGAAATGACCCAAACTGGGGTACACTTTTCTGTAGACCATGAAAAGTCCAGGAAATATAAATAGCTTCCATACCTTACAAAAGGATGTTCAAAAATGTTATGTAATATGTCTCTGTTATGAATGCATTTTCCTCTATCAGCGATGGCAGGTTTTTCCTACTACAAGAGTGGAAGGATTTCACTTTCTCATTCTAAAGCTGATGGGGACAAGATGAGATAACCAGACATTCTGTAAATTCATGTTTTAAAATATTAATGGTATGTCTAGCTCTGCAATATTTGGATTGTAGTATAGCAGTACATAATTTGAATTTTAAATAATACGAAACATGAGAAATTTTTCTTTCAAAAAAATATTTCCATTCAACAAAAAACTATATCTACTTGTCTACAATCTAACTAGTATGCCATGCTTGTGAGACAGAGGTCATTCTCCATATCTCTAAACATATTATTATTTTACTAGATAATGAAACTACAGGAGGAATAGATTTCTGCAGTTAGTGAATAAAGAACTTACATAATCAGTATTGGCAGCACAAGTGCTTCTAAATTCATCACAATTCTAGAAATCTCACCTGTTAACAAAAGTAGTTCCTAAAGAGTATGTCATTTTTATGAGTTTTAATAGCTGGTTTTCTATTAAAGTGTATAAGATACCTTGCTTTTATGAGAGGATTACACAAATGTGGAGAGAAAAAAACAACAGAAAAAACACACCTATCACTTCAAATTCCCCACGGAATATCAAACCAAGCCAGGATGTAAACTATGCACAAGAAGCAAAAACTTTTTATTCCAGTTAAAAAATTAGCTCCAGTCATTTAATTGCCTTGACTCATTTGCCCTTTGATTTCAAAAGTTAAGTTCCCCATATAACCTCTACAGATGTCTAATATGGTACATGTCGATATTGTTTCTCTAATTTTGTTTTTAAAGCTTTGTAAAAACTCCTTCTAGCACTTTATTATAACTTGGTACAACTTTGTGAAGGGAAATTTGGCAGTGCCAACACATCTAAATGAGTATGCCCTGTGACCCAAAGATTCTACTTCTAACTATACTTCATTCCTAAGTGCGCAAGGGTATTTATACAAAGACATTCTTCAGAATAGTTCTTTTTCGAGTTACTGCCTTACAGGATAATTAAATCAATTTAATTTTATAAATACAGACTATGTGACACTATGTAGATTTTAAAAACACTGACGTAAAGCTCTACACTAACTTAGAAGCATGCTCATGATATACTGCTGAGTGAAAAATGCAACTTTCGGGGCAGTGTGGACAGATGCAAATACTTATATGTGCATAGCAATAGTCTAAAAGAACACACAGCACACACTGGTAGTAGTGAATACTCACACTACAAGTGAAGTATTTACTATCTGAAATTTTTTTCCTCCAACAGACAATCAAAAAATATCTCCATGTTTCCTGGAGAGTCTGACTCATCTACAAATTGCATACCATTTAAAAGTTAAAATGTATCATTTAAAAAATATTTAAGCAGTTATTTTGGATATAATCATGTTTAACTTATTCAGTTGTCTCTTAGTATATCATCCACAAAATTTAAACTCTTATAGCCAATTGGATGTTTTAGCTTGGAAGACTGGAGGTCTTCCTATATATTAGTTGGCCACAGCTATTTCAGCAAATAAGATGTTCTCTGGGCCAAAATAAAATCAACAATTTTTAATAGATTGAGGAAAAAGCTATTGTTATCAGGGATTATGCCAATTTAGAAATAGTCTGTAATGTTACTTACTGGCTTTTAGAGATTCAAGAATACTTTTTCTAAAGGATATAATAAGACTATAATTTAAATATGTTATTTTTTAAAAACTGATACTATACTTTAGTCAGTGACAGTCTCTTAAATCAAGCTGAATTATTATTGAAACTATAGCCTCCAGCAAATCTAGAAAAATGGTAGCAGGAATCACAGGCAATCAAATTTGCCACAGTAGTGGAGATTAGAAACTGCTAAAATAGAGAACCATCATAAATCATTATATTCCCTAGGCTAGATGAAAAAACCTAGGCAGAACATTTATATTGCAACATAGGGGCATTCAGAGTATAAAACCAATAAAAAGATGGAGGACAAATCTAAGATATTTTAAATAAACAATAAAATTTCAATTCTGTGTACAATAAAAATTTTTAAAAGCTGGGAATATGTGAGAAAGATTACCAATAAACCATAGTGTATTTCAGCTACTCTGATAATATAAAAACAAGTACCATCCCTGCCTTACTACCCCAATCATCCTTTCATTTAACAGCAAACAGATCGGATTTTAAGAGTCTGCTTTCTTATTCCATTGTGGGATACTGGTAAAGTCCCACTCTTAAGAGATCTGTTTCCCAATCAATAAAATAAGCTGAATTTAAACATTCTTATTTAGAGGTTTTTATCAGAATTACTTGTGCAGCTCTTGTGTCCATATACCACATCCCTATCGTAGACCCTGCCTGGATAACTTTGAAGTCTGGCTATTCTCTATTGAGAATCACTGAAATAGATGATCTACGATGTAGAGAGAAAGACTATTTCAAATACATCTCTTCCTCTTAACAGGAAAAGCATATTTTTGTTTGTTTATGTATGTGGGGGGGAAGAGGAAAAAAATGAGTATGCACTTGAAACAGGAAAGGGTTAACTGCATCTTTAAGAAAAAAAAATTAAAATTTAGACAAAAGCAATTTGTTCTCAAAAACACAAGAACAAAGTCTCCTTTTAGATAAACACAGAGACATCGTATCACTTAATATTTATTAAGCACCTATTCAGTATAAAGACCTCAGAAACTTGTTTGATAAGCACCAAGACATTTCATTCATTCACTCAATAAGTATTATGTATGCAGTTACCATATTACCACTAGGGATATAATAGTGAATGACACAGATAAAGACCTCTAGCCACATTCATGGAGTTTAACAGCTAGACAACTATCAGCAATTTCTTAACAGTAACTGATTGGGGAAGCACGTATGTCCTTTGCTTACTATTACAGTGCCAAAACTCCCTGACAGATGAATGCATGGATGAATGGCTACACAGATGCAGCTACAGAGATGGATAAAGAAACAGAGATGGCTGGAAAGAAAGAAACTAGTTGAGGTAGACATATAAGTTAACAATATTTTATAAAAATGATTTCTTCCTTGAGAAGGGAAGTTCTTCCATCTGACCTTATGCAATCACATAGCAATTTTACAAGAAAAGGAATCTGGGCATCGTGGACAAATTCCAATAACAGTTGATATAAGTAGCATATATCTGTTTTAAAATCCACTGTAATATCAGGATTTTTCTTCTTTATATCGAGGAACTAGCATGCTGCTAATGGCTGGTACCTTGATTGAAAGGTCTAAAAAGACTGAACAATGTCCTAAGATTTTAAAATTCTGAGATAAATTATTTAAGTGAGAATTTGACATAGATTATAGGCCATATTGACTGGACAGGTCTCCTGAATGTCTAAATTACCAATTAAATCCAAACATACTCTCTGAGTATTCTCTCTCAATTATTAGGTAGCTCTATAATTAGAACCTTACATTGTGCTATAGCATTGTAAGAAAGACCTAGGGAAGAAAGGGGACAATGAAAATGTTAAACTCACCTCTTGGCCTGATTTTCCTGAATTCTCTGAATGTAAAGACTCAATTTCTCCTTCAATCATTGCAGCTTCTAGGCACTCATGCAGATCTTTGAACCCATTGACCTGAAGTGGGTACTGACCAAACATTTCAGTGTTTTCAAATTTTTTACCTATAAGAAGGGAGAAAATTAATAATACTCAATATGGCCTTCTGGCTACTAAAATTAAGAGTACGTAAGGATTCTCACCTGAACCTGAAAATTGTAACACTGACTGATTTCATTCCTGAGAAGTGTTAGTGTTAATTTTCCTGTTGGTTTATACACATGTGCAAATGTACATTTATACCCAGCCATAGATATTACACATCCACATATATGTAATTATATACACACATATGTATGTATATTTTTTCTCGCAAGAAGCATTTTCTAAGGGCAAGATACTGTACTGAACACTGGGAATATATACAGCAGTGAACAAGAGAGATATGGTCCCTGAGCTGAGAAAATTCTCAGCCTCATTTAAAAAACATTATACCCATTAACTTCACATATATTTATAAACAAATAATTACAAATAATTATATTACAATTGTTATAAAAAGAAAGTTGTGATGAGACAGAATTATGTGAGAGGTATAAAAATGGGAGCTTAGTCTTGGAGGTGGTGGGGAGAGCAGGGAAGACCTCCATGGCAAAGGACATTTAAGCTCAGACTTGAATAATGAGTGGGAGTTAGCCATGCCAGAGTGCTGGGGGACTATAGAGTATTCTTGGCCATGGAACAGCATGATGAAGACTTTAAGGCAGTAAAGAAGTTGATATGTTTAGGAACTAACAGGAGGTTAGTGTAGCTTGGGGAACCAAGGGAGAGATTACAATGAAAAGTCAGGCAGTGAGTTAAAATCTACAAGGTCTTGTGGTCCTATTAAGAATTTTTTTCCCCACCACATTCTGGGTATAATGCAAAGTCACTGATACGGTTTGGCTGTGTCCCCACTCAAATCTCATCTTAAATTGTAGCTCCCATAATTCTCCTGTATTGTGGGAGGGATTCAGCAGGAGATAATTCAATCATGGGGGCGGTTTCCCCCATACCGTTCTCGTGGTAGTGAATATGCCTCATGAGATGTGATGGTTTTATAAGGGGTTTCCCCTTTGGCTTGGCTCTTGTTCTCTTCTCTTGTCTGCCACCAAGTGAGACATGCCCTTCACCTTCTGCCATGTTAGGCCTCCCCAGCCCATGATTGTTAGGCCTCCCCAGCCATGTAAAACTGTGAGTCCATTAAACCTCTTTCTTTTGCAAATTGCCCGGTCTCGGGTATGTCTTTATCAGCAGCATGTAAATGGACTAATACAGTCACTGAATGGTTAAATCTAAGAATAACAGGCTCAGGTTTATGTCTCTGAAACACCTTTAAAGTCCCTGTGTGAAGTGGGTGGTCATCTGTTAAAAGACTATTGCAGAATCTATCCAGAAATAAAGGTAGCATGGATGAAGGTTGTTAAAAGTAAAAATACAGAAAAGAGATAAAATTACATACATATACATTTATACATATATGCAAGGAAGGGCACCAACAGGACTTGACTGAGCAGGATAAGAGATAGGTAAGAAGGAAAATATCAAGAATAACAGAATTCTGGCATGAACAACTAGATGATGATAATGATTACTATTTTTTTTTTTTTGAACAACTAGATGATGATGATGATGACATTTTATTTTTTATTGAGACAGAGTCTCGCTCTGTCACCCAGTCTGGAGCTCAGTGGTGTGATCTCGGCTCACTGCAAACTCCGCCTCCTGAGTTCCAGCAATTCTCTTGCCTCAGCGTCTCTAGTAGCTGGGATTACAGGCGCCCACCACCACACCCGACTAATTTTTGTATTTTCAGTAGAGGTGGGGTTTCACCATGTTGGCCAGGCTGGTCTCGAACTCCTGACCTCAAGTGATCCACCTGCCTCAGCCTCCCAAAGTGCTGGGATTACAGGCATGAACCATCATGCCTGGCAGATTATGGACTGAAAATGGCACCACTTAAGTAAGAACACAGGATTTTTTTTTTCTTTAGTTTTGAGGTAGCAGTGGAAATCACTGGTTCATTATGATCCATGAGATTTCAATTTGAGAAGACAGTTGAATATGAATCTGTAACTAAGATTAACATTCTGGAATAAAGATAGAATTGCTGGCTTATTGACAGCAGGAAATTAAGGCACTGAATGAGATGCCTAGGGGATGGGACAGGAAGAAGAAATGGGCCTAAACAAAGTCCTAAGGTTCTGCTACCTTTATATGCAAAAAGAGACTATAAATACAACTTTTCTTAGAAGTACCCACTGAGGCAGGAAAAAAGCCACAAGAATATGGTGTTACAAAAGCCAGAGAAATGTGTTTTTAAGGAAAGAATAGGAAAAAGGAGGAAGAAGAGGTTAAGAGTCATCAGCATTAACAACTGGTAAGAATTCAATATGGAAAGTGTATTAGTCCATTATCACGCTGCTGATAAAGACACATCCCAAACTGGGAAGAAAAAGAGGATTAATTGGAACTACAGTTCCACATGGCTGGGAAGCCCTCAGAATCGTGGCGGGAGGCAAAAGGCACTTCTTACATGGCAGAGGCAAGAGAAGATGAGGAAGAAGCAAAAGTGGAAACCCATGATAAACTCATTAGATCTCATGAGATGTATTCAATATCATGAGAATAGCACAGGAAAGACTGCCCCACCATGATTCAGTTACCTCCGCCTGGGTCCCTCCCACAACATGTGGGAACTCTGGGAGATATAATTCAAGTTGAGATTTACATCAGGACACAGCTGAACCACATCATTCCAGCCCTAGCCCCTCCAAATCTCATGTCCTCACATTTCAAAACCAATCATGTCTTCCCAACAATCCCCCAAAGTCTTAGCTCATTTTAGCATTAACCCAAAAGTCCACAGTCCAAACCACATCTAAGACAAGGTTAAGTCCCTTCCGCCTACAAGCCTGTAATATCAAAAGCAAGCTAGTTACTCCCTATAAGAAGGGAGAAAATTAATGATCCTCAACATGGCCTTTTGGCTACTAAAATTAAGATTATGTAAGGATTCTCACCTGAACCTAAAAACTGTAACACTGACTGATTTTTTTCCTGAGAAGAGTTACAATTGGAGTACAGGTACTGGGTAAATACAGCCATTCCACATGGGAGAAACAGGCCAAAACAAAGGGGTTACAGTCTGAAATCCAACAGGGCAGTCAAATTTTAAGGCTCTGAAATGCTCTCCTTGGATGCCAGCTCTCACATCCAGGTCACACTGATGCAAGAGGTAGGTTCCCATGGTCCTGGGCAGCTCCGCCCCTGTGGCTTTGCAAGGTACAGCCTCCCTCCTGGCTGCTTTCACGGGTTGGTGTTGAGTGTCTGCAGCTTTTCCAGGTACACAATGCAAGCTATCAGTGGATCTAACATTCTGGGGTCTGGAGGACAGTGGCCTTCTTCTCACAGTTCCACTAGGTGGTGCCCCAGTAGGGACTCTCTGTGTGGGCTCCAACCCCACATTTCTCTTCCGTACTGCCCTAGCAGAGGTTGTCCATGAGGACCCCAACTCTGTAGCAAACTTCTGCCTGGACATCCAGGCATTTCTATACATCTTCTGAAATCTAGGTGGAGGTGCCCAAACCTCACTTCTTGACTTCTGTGCACCCGCAGGCTCAACACCACGTGGAAGGTGCCAAGGTTTGGGGCTTGCACCCTCTGAAACAATGGGCCGAGCTACACCTTGGCCCCTTCTAGCAAAAGCTGGAGCAGCTGAGACACAGGGCACCAAGTTCCTAGGCTGCACACAGCATGAGTACCACGGGCAGCCCACGAAACTATTTTTTCCTCCTAGGCTTCTCTGGGTCTATGATGGGAGGGGCTGCCAGGAAGACCTATAACATATCCTGGAGACATTTTCCCTATTGTCTTGGGGATTAACATTTGGCTCCTTGTTACTTAACACAAATTTCTGCAGCCACGACTTGAATTTCTCCTCAAAAAATGGGGTTTTCTGCTCTACTGGATCATCAGGCTGCAAATTTTCTGAACTTTTATGCTCTGTTTCCCTTTCAAAATGGAATGCTTTTAATAGCTCCCAAGTCATCTCTTGAATGCTTTGCTGCTTAGAAATTTCTTCCACCGATATCTTAAATCATCTCTCTCAAGTTCAAAGTTCCACAAATCTCTAGGGCAGAGGCAAAATGCCACCAGTCTCTTTGCTAAAACATAACAAGAGTCACCTTTGCTTCAGTTCCCAACAAGTTCCTCATCTCCATCTGAGACCACCTCAGCCTGGACCTTATTGTTCATATCACTATCAGCATTTTTGTCAAAGCCATTCAACAAATCTCTAGGAGGTTCCAAACTTTCCCACATTTTCCTATCTTCTTCTGAGCCCTTCAAACTGTTCCAACCTCTGCCTGTTACCTATCTCCAAAGTTGCTTCCACATTTTCAGGTATCTTTTCACCAACGTCCTACTCTACCGGACCCAATTTACTGTATTAGTCCATTCTCAAGCTGCTAATAAAGACATAGGCAAGGCTGGGAAGAAAAAGAGGTTTAATTGGACTTACAGTTCCACATGGCTGGGGAGGCCTCAGAATCATGGCAGGAGGCAAAAGGCACTTCTTACATGGCAGCAGCAAGAGGAAATGAGGTAGAAGTAAAAGTGGAAACCCCAGATAAATCTCAAGGGTTTATCCTGGGTTTCCACTTTTACTTCTACCTCATTTTCTCTTGTCGCCGCCATGGAAGAAGTGCCTTTAATAAATGATAAGTCTCAGGAGACTTATTCATTATCATAAGAATAGCACGAGAAAGACCAGCCCCCATAATTCAATTACCTCCCCCTGGGTCCCTCCCACAACACACGGAATTCTGCGAGATACAATCAAGTTGAGATTCGGTTTGGGACATGACCAAACTATATCAGAAACTGAAAGGGATCTAATGGATTTAACCACATGTAGAAAATCAATAACCTTAGCAAGATCCCTTTTAGACAAGTTCTGAAGCCAGAAACTAAACTGGGGCTAGGTTTAATAAATGGGGAGTAATCAGTTGAAACTAACTCCTCTCTTTAAAGGGGCTTAATTTTGAATAAGAATCAAGAGAGGGTATTAACTGAAAAAGAGTATGGGAGGGGATAACGTTTTTAATTTTTAAGGTTTGAGATACCAGACAATGTGTAAATATTGATGAGAAAGAAAGAGTGGGAGAAGCTCAAAAGCCAAGAAAAAACGAATGAAGTAAGGTCTGAGTAAAAGCATGAAGGGAGGGAATTCTGAGCACGTATAAAGAACAGTCTTTTGATATAAAACTGGGTAATTCCTTTATTATATGTAGGAGCAGGTAAAAATATAGTAGAGGTAGTGATAGATCTAGGTTATGGAGCCTGAGGCTCATATATTTGGGAATGTTGTGTTTTTAGAATATGATACAAAACTACAAATGTAAAATTAGATTCGGGGACTGGGCAAAACCTGTGATTAAGTTTCATTAATGTGACAGTAAATCTATGAAATCTGAGGTAAAGATTTTCTCAGAGAATGAAGAGATAAGTTAGATCTGAAATGAGTGGAAAAAACGAAAATATTTATTGCAGTAAATGAGAGAAAGAATGGTGATTACACAGAACAAGTTGGGTTATAGGATTGGGAGCACGGAAGCTCAGTATCACTCAAATTCATGATCCACTACAGTTAGCCCATTTCTGTGACTTTTTGCCAGCAATCTTCAGGTACTCAGTACAGACACAGAAAAGATGAACAGCTTAATGAAGGTTAGAGAACAGGGAGGGGGTGCCAGAAGGGAAGGGGGGAAAGAGAGTTTTAGGTTTTAGATGAAAAAGGAAGGAGTGAAGTACAGAGAAGGGCTGAGAGGGGACAATGAACTAGAAGTTCTCAAAAAGTTGAGGGACTTTTGCAGTGGGGGTACTTTGGCAAACAAACTAAAAATCATCCCTAATGAAGAACCATTGGTTTGAAAGAAAGTATTAGGAAGATCTATGTAAAAAGTGATAAGAAAGTACTCTGAAATAAATTACTTTTACTGAAGCAAACACATAGTTCAAGTGAAAACGTATTAAGGCCACCTTTATATAACACAATCACTAAAGCAACTTACTAATACCAAGTACAAAGACTTCAACACTGGATTGACAAATTAATTTTTTTTTTTTTTTTGAGACGGAGTCTCGCTCTGTCTCCCAGGCTGGAGTGCAGTGGCCCGATCTCAGCTCACTGCAAGCTCCGCCTCCTGGGTTCACGTCATTCTCCTGCCTCAGCCTCCTGAGTAGCTGGGACTACAGGCGCCTGCCACCACGCCTGGCTAATTTTTTTTTGTATTTTTAGTAGAGACAGGGTTTCACCGTGTTAGCCAGGATGGTCTTGATCTCCTGACCTCATGATCCACCAGCCTCGGGCTCCCGAAGTGCTGGGATTACAGGCATGAGCCACCGCACCCAGCCAACAAATTAAATATTTTAATAACAATCAATTTTAGGAATCAATATAATACAGGTAGAAATGCTCATGCAGGGTATTATAAACAGTGCCTAGTCATGACCTGATGAGACCTACTCGCTGCATCAGATAGTGTTCTACTTCAAATAAAATCAGAATGATTAAGATGAATGACCCAACGTAAATGTACTATGTAAAATATTCTACATATATATATAAACTTATATATATTAACTCATATATATGTGCATATATATATAAAACAACTTATATATAAGTTGTTACCACTTGAAACAAACAAAAACGTACGAACATGTCACTAAGACTTTTTAAAGGGCCAACATCTGAGTTAGTATTGTCTTTTTCTGAATCCCAAACCACCTACGTTCAAACAGAACTTCAGGGAATCCACTACTTAAGATCGTGAAGAAAAAGCATTTTTTCAAATTTTACACTTTAGCTGATCTGGAAAAAGATAACTTTCAAAAGTTGATGCATTGGGTGATGTGAGAAAAACAATTTTTCAAAAGTTTATGCTTTGGGACCTAATATTATTACATGAAGTTACATTTAAAGAGTCTCCTCCCTTGTTAGGGAACCCAAACAGAAACTACTTAGGCCAAATTTTAAGAAACAGGTATTTAGCTTAAATGGAGTAGTATCACTCTTCACTGATTTTTCAAAAGATAGAGTACAATCTTTTCCTGAAAACTAATATCTACATTTAAAATCACTGAAAAAGTGAGAACTCTATAATACCCTGACTATGCTAAGTTGCTAAATTCAGCTTTCAACATGAAAAAGAAAGTGAGCATCATATCAAGCCCAGTATTTAACTCCAATATTATCTTCAAAGGATCTATCAACCATCCCATTAATCCCTGTATTCCAACATAATTGTATCATGGAAGCCCTCTCACTGGAAAAAACATGAGGATAAAATAAAGTATTAATTAGTATGTGATAATGCACTCTGTACATTCCTTTTCCTTCATTCAATTCTGTGCTTTATGTGAATAACAGTAGCAATCCAACAAAAATTACTAGACAGAATATATCAAATTAAAAATAAAGTCCACTAAAAAAATAGTAACTATCGAGACGAATGAATGAATAATAATCTCTCTTCACTTGCAATAAAAAGTAAATGTATAACTCTACCTTCAAGTACTCCCACAGCCAGGAATCTGCCATAGAACAACTCTACCATGGGGTTCTTTGGCTTCTCTTCATCCCTAAAGTATGTTAAAAAATATAAATGTGATTACAATTTTCGGACCTATAAATAGAGAAAATATTAAAGAACTATAACATATGACAAGACAAAAACACTTATGTGGCTATCACGCACTTGCATTTAGCTCTGTTATTTACAGTGCCACGTTGCACAAGGTACTTATTCTTCCATTTCTTTACCTGTCAACTGCGGATAACTATGATAGCTGCACCCACAGGACTCTCATAGGAGTTAAAATGAGCTACTACGTGTATGAACTTGGAAGAGAAATTGACACAGTTTGTGCACAAAGTGCCTGCTCTTCCTATCATCATTACACATTTCAATCTCATACTCTGTGTAGTGCACGTTTATTTGGACATGGGAAGGAAGAAAAGCCACTTTTAATCAGAATACATTTCTACAAAATTTTGATAGGTTATTTCCTGTATTTACATGGAAGAGTCCAAAAAAATCCAAAAACAACAACCCTCACCAGGGAGGGAACGAGGTACCAGTTTTTCACCCAAAGTAGCTGAACAGCTACTTCATTCTTTTGTGAAGTTTCACACTGCTGGTAGAATTAGTCATCTACAAATTTTCCAAGTCATTTAATACCAAAATTCATTTTTTTCTTTTCTGCTTGGAGCAAACAAAAGTTGAAAATTTTAAATTGTCTTTTTATGGTTTGTGTGACCTAAAAAGACAAAGTTTATCCTTGCCTTACTGTATAGAAATGCGTTGTATCCACAATTGTGTACAGATTTTTCTGTATTAATTTGTGTTTATATTAATTGATTTGTGAAGTATTGTTTAAAAAGGGAGAGAGGGGATACCATCTCTCTTGATAAATGGGTCATCATTTAATCCTTAGAATAATGTTGATAAGTACTTCTCTTAATTCTTACAAGAACCCCAGTAGGTAGTATAGCAGTCTTTAATGCTACTGAAAAAAAATTCTGGCCCTTCACGTTCAGGTGCATGGTAAGATACACTGTCCTACTCACTTCTTAAAACTGTGATAAAATGTACATAACCCTTTAACTGTACAGTTCGGTAATGTTAAGTATATTCACACTGTTGTGCAACCAATGTCAGAATTCTTTTCCTCTTGCAAAACTGAAACTCTATATGCATTAAACAACTCCTCATCTCCCCCTCCCCCCAGCCTCTGGCAACCACCATTCTACTTTCTGTTGCTAAGAGTTTGATAACTCTTGATACCTCACATAAGTGATTTATAGTACCTGTCCTTTTGTGACTGGCTTCTTTCACGTGGCATAATATCTTCAAGGGGTCATGTTACACCATATGTCAGAACTTCTGTGCTTTTCAGGATAAATAATATTCCACTGTATGTATATACAGCACATTTTGTTTATCCATTCACCTATCAATGGACATTTGGTTTGCTTCCACCTTTCGGCTATTGTGAATAACGTTGCTATGAACACAGGTGTACAAATATCTCTTTGAAACCCTGCTTTCAATTCTTTTGGATATACACCAAGAAGCAGAATTGCTGGATCATATGGTGATTATATTTTTAATCTTTTAAGAAATCCCCATACTGTTTTCCACAGTGGCTGTACCATTTCATATCCTCACCAACACTGCACAAGGGTTTCAATTTCTCCACATCCTTGCCAACCCTCGTTATTTTCTTGGGTCAGTAGGGGTTGGGGGGGGTGTTTCGTTTTTTTTCGTAGCCGCCATCCTAATTAGTGTGAGATATTCCTACTCACTTTGAAGTTAGGCCACATAGCTCTGCCCAACAAAATGTTTGCAGAAGTGATGTGTGTCACCTCTGGGCAGAAACTTAGAGACACAGTATAATTTTCACTGCCAGCAAGATCCCAGAAACCTAGGTGACCTCGGGGCCCTGAGTGAACAGATAAAACAGAGCCACTTGCTCACATGCACTGCTACTTCATATCCCTGTCTTCATGCTTCTACGTAAAAGGATTTTGTCACAATTCACATTCCTGACATCTTTCTCCACCGCAAATTCATTCCTCGTCATGAAAAGTGATTATTGAATCTAAGAAAAGGAACTGGGCATGTAAGACTAGCTCTTCCAGGGATCACTTTTTAGATTTTTTTGGTTACACTATTATTTGTGCCTGCAAATTCTAAACAGCTTGTCAATAATACAGAAAATACTGGGATTCCCATAAGTCTGTCTTGATTTCTTATTTCTCTGTTGACATTTAATACATGCTATCTAATGAATTCCTAAAACCCCATTGCTAAACTTCACGGTAACTTACGTCTCCTCTTCAGCTTTCATTTGGAAGGCATCTTCTAACCAATCTAATAATTTGTGTGTAAACTCACTCACATCTTGCTGTGAAAAGAAAAAAGCCTGTTGATATTTGAGCCTACTAAAAAAAAAATACTAGATGTTGTAACATCAAACCTAGAGCCAGTTGTTGAAATATATAATTACCAACTCCTTACAAAGATAACAAGTGAAATGTTTCACACGAAATGCAAGAAACTTTTATAATTTAACCAGGATATAAGATATTTGAAAAAACAAGCATTATATGATAATCAATTATTGGGTTTCACTTTAAAATACACACACACACACACACACACACACAATCAAAAACCAAACTTACAAATGAGATTTTTAAAAAATAATCATTACTCCCCACCCAAAGAGCTCTGTAATGAATCTTTATAAAATGAAGAAATCATCTTAGCAAACAGTTCTTCGTTTTATAAAGAATTATGACTGGCTTCTCTCTTAGAAGGAAGACTAGTCTCTTTCCACAATTCACTTTTCTTAATTCAACTTACACACACAACTTTTTAAGCCATATCTACCTTTACTATCATTCAGAACCAGCCCATTTATCACCTTTCACCATGCCTTTGGTCTTTGCTCTCCCAACACGGAAAAACAGGAATAGGTTGTGGCAGTTGTGTTATCAACTACCATAATTCTTTCAATAACGTGAGTTGGAACACAGAAAATAATAAATAGAACATAAGGGAAAAACAATAAATCAACTCTACTGAGGCTGCTTACAGGCAGATGAATCAGTAGTAAGCAATTTGTCCTTACTTACCAAAATAGCCCCAAATACAAAACAAACTTACTATCATATATTTTTTCAGCCAGCAGTTTCTTAAAGAGCATGTAGGCCAACTTTATATTAACCTCAAAAAAATGTTGAAACTAAAGTCTGGGAAGCTTAAGTAAACTGCTCCAAAGCTGTAGAGTTAAATAGGACTAAACGCAACGCAAAAATCCAGCTGTAAACATTCATAACATCTGTGGCGGGTTGAATAGTAGCCTGCAAAAATATATGTCCACCTAGATCCTCAAAATGTGACACTATTTAGAATAATGGTCTTTGTCAATATAATTAAGGTAAGGATCTTGAGATGAGATCAGCCTGGATTAGGGCTGGGGCTAAATCCAATGGTGAGTGTTCTTGTAAGAAACAGAAAACCAGAAGACAGACAGACACATGAGGGAAAGCCACATGAAGAGGAAGACAGAGATTGGAGCTATGCTGCCTCAAGGCAAGGAACACCAACAGCCACCAGAGTACGGTGGAAGCAAAGGATTCTCCCTCAGAGCCAATGGAGGAAGTGTGGCCCTGCCAACACCTTTACTCTGGACCTCTGCCCTCTAGAACTATTAGAGAATAACCTTTTGTTTTTAACCACTCCATTTGTTGTAATTTGTTACGACTGTCCTTAGGAACTATTGTAACACCTTAAAACAACTTTTCATACTTTTGTATAACTTTAATTCACTTAAACATTACATCCAACAAAAAATAAGGTTTCCTAGCTAACACAATATTTTTCAGAAGTTAATCCCTATCTTTCTTAGAAATCAATCTAAAATTGACAATTATAAAATAAAACAATTAAAGGTATGATTAAAATTGACAGTATCAATTGGGGCCAAGTGTGGTGGCTCATGTCTATAATCCTAGCACTTTGGGAGGCCAAACCAGGAGGATAGCTTGAGCCCAGGAGTTCGAGACCAGGCTTGGCAACATAGGGAGATCCTGTCTCTATAAAAATAAAATAAAATTATTTGCCAGGCGCGGTGGCATGTGCCTGTGGTCTCAGCTACTTGGGAGACTGAGGTCTGGGGAAGGGTTGAGCCCAGGAGGCTGATGCTGCAGTGAGCCATTGTCATACCACTGTACTCTAGCCTAGGTGACAAAACAAAACTGTGTCTCAAAAAAAAACAAACACGGAAAAGAAAAAGAAAAAACTAACAGTATCACATACCAAAGGGTGTCTCAAAAGACTCCTGTGTACTTCAAAAGATGATGTATTTGAAATATTTAGGAAGAAGATACAATGAAAATATAAATTCACTTTTAAAAAAATCATGATGCTTACATTTACAGATTCACTAAATTACTCCTGTAGACTTCAAATTCAAGTGTTTAGGGAACAGAAGAGAATCAAACTTATCAACCTTAATTGATGCACATCTACTTTAAAAGGCCTCTAAAGAAAAAGAATCACTAATTTCAAAAGTTAGTCTACACTGCTAATCTGAAGCAAAAGCATTTATATTGTGGCCTTAACCGCCAGTTGTATCCATTTCAACTCTAACTCAAACTGAAAAGCCCACCTATGTACATACATGGCTCCAGACAAAGTCTATGCTGCCTCATCTTTAAATGTGAAAAGATACCCCAAAATCAACATGAATCTCTAGAAAAGAAAGAAAAAAAAAAAAGAAACCAGAAAAAAGACAAGGAAAAAGCCATCCAGAAGGAAAGATAAGTCAGAGAACAGAAGTAATCTTTTAAAAAATTTAATTGTATACTCAGAATCACTGGAAAAGATACTATGCATACTAAAGAAGAAAAAAAAAAGTAAAACACATTTAGAACCAGAAGGAATGCTGAATGCCCGAAAATGATGGTTTGGAATCAACTGTAAAATTATTTCTCTTTCTTTTGATTTGTGTTAGTGTTACCATGACAGAGCGAGTAAGAAACAAAGCTGAGTAGATACTAAGCCTAAAAGGCACTGGAGCATTGTTAGAATTTTTTTTAAAAATGCAACAACATATAAAAGAAACTCTGATGTGAGTGCCCTTTTTGTTCATTCACATTTGCCATACAAGGTAAATGTAAAGCAGAAACAAAAAGCACAAGGAAGATGGTGAGAGAATCTCAGACCTTCCTCTTCCAAACGCCCTCTCCATACATCACAAAACAGAGACACATCCAAGTATGTACTTTAAAAAACAACGCTGCAAGCTTAGTGGCTTTTTGAAACTTCTGCCATTACACATTGCCGCTATCTTTTTGAACACTTACTATTCTTTGCCACTGTATTTTTTCCTCTGTTTTCCTTCTTTAATTTCTCTGATTTTTCCAATTATATGTGAAAATACTGGTTTGTTTATAGATATTTTGTATTTTTTATAAGAAAATTACCAATATTCTTTTAAGGTAATGGATAAAAATCTACCACAATACACTATATAAAGAATAAAAGACAAAAGCAACAATAACAAAGATAACATCTTTCAAAAACCATTTCTGGGTAATTAAGGAAAAGTACTCCCTGCCAGCAAACACAGGAATATCAAAAGCATGTGTACTATAATGATCCTCTGTTATCACACATTTGTGAACATGTTTAATTATGTATTTGTAAATAATCTTAATTGTATCCATCGTTTTCATTTCAATCATAATATAAATTAAAACTTTATTTTAACACCTTCAAGATCACTTTTCTCTTAAAAGTCTCCCAAATGTTTTAAATGGTTCCAGGTTATTTTTAATAAAGCAGAATCATGCATCTCAAATAGTCTCATATTCTTGGGAAAGGTGCTTAATATTGTTCAGATTAAATACAAATGGTTAATGAACAAGTCAGTGCAACAGAACTACCTGCTGTGAGTCATTTGATTTGAAAGCATCCTTAAGAATTTCAACTGCTCTTGATGGATCAACATACTTCCTTTTGGTACCAACAAGAAGTGCAAATAGATACCTCAGCTCACGCATAAAAGGCAAATTCCGATGTTCCTATTGAAGGAAAAAAACAAAAACAAAAACACCTTAACTGAAGATTAAGAAAATTTTTACTAATAAATATTCATTTTAACAGTAACCAAAAATTAAACTAGCCAATATAGTTTAGGGATGAATTAGCACTCTATCATAATTGAAGAAAGTAGAGTGTTGGTGCCATCTAAGAGACTCAAAGAAGTCCAGCACAAAAAGGCAGAAGACCTAGGATAGGCTCACAATTTCAGCATGAATGCCACATATTCACAGCAAATCATGTCATTACTCAGCCAAGAATATCTTCCTCATTCAAGACTGCTTCTCATAATACTTCCCATTCAGCAAGGCCCAGCTGCTGCTGCTCAGAGCAATAATAACAGCCAACATTCAATGAGTGTTCACTACATGCCAGGCACTGTTCTAAGTGCTTGATCTCAATAAACCCATTTAGCAAAAATCTCCACTCCTCCATGAAGCCTTTCCAGACTCCTTCAAGTCAACGATACCTTCAAATTCCACATCTACTGAAATAAATGCCTTTCACTGAGCAATGAATCACCGACTGTCACTGTGGTGTGACAATCTTAATTATTAGACTAATATTAGAACCTCACCCGATTATTAGAAATTTAATATTTGTTTTTATATTTAATAAAAATTACTTATAAAATTATTTTATACTCATTTATTTTATATCTAAAGTTATCGAACATTATATTTAATATAATTCAATCACAATATTTAAATTTATTTAATTTTATTAATTTAATAATTAGACCAGATCCTAATAGGAGACTAATATATCACCCTCCTAATATTCCTCTGAAATCTTACTTTTGTTTCTCAATAAGACTATAAGATTCTCAAAGACAAGAATTTCTATATCTTTTCCCCAACTTTTTACTACACAAAGCATTCAATTCTTACTGGCTCATTAAAGCAAAATCTCCAGAAAGAAATTAAAACAACCCACATTACCAATCACTAACAATGTATTTTAAAACAAGAAGGAAATTTTAAAAAATAACATAATTCACATAACTTAGTGAAATGTTTCATGACAACAAACCAGGCAAGCCATTCTTATAATATTTAGTTCTTATAATAACAATTTTAACGGAAAAAATTTAGATATTAAACATGAAAATTTTCTTCCAAATTTACACAGTTGGCATTCTCAACACTGTAAAATTCTAGGGGTCTGGGATGGGGGTGTATCTTTACATAGTTGCTGCCCAAAATAGTATAACCCACATAGAAAGAATTGCTTCTAGAATAGATTCCAAAAAAGAGTCCTGAGAAATAGGTAAGAGGGAATAAAACTGGTTCCAAATATGCCCTCAGACATAGGTTTTAAAAGTATAAAGACTATGAGCTTTAATCCACAAAATTACTTTCAAAAGTACCCTTAATTTCCTGAGATCAGTTTCTTTATCACCGCACCTAAGTCAATGCAGTTTTTTGAGACATTCCCAGTAACAAAATTGGAAGTAATAATTTTTGGAAATTAGTGGAATTCTGCTGAGAAGCATATTTGAAAAGTAAATTGCTTCCTAGTTTCTAGAAGATTTTTACCATAAATGAGATTTTAGCTTTGGTCAAATCATTTTTCTTCATCCACAGAGATGATAATATGGTTTTCCTTCTTTAGTCTGTTGATATGGTGAAGTATACTGATTTATTTTTGAAAGCTAAACCAATTTTGTATTCCTGGATAAGCCCCACTTCTCTATGAGGTATTATCCTTTATATATAATTGCAGGATTTAATTTTTCAAAAATTTGCTACAATTCTTTGCTTCCAAATTCATGAGAAATATTGGTGTGTGGTTTGCTTTTCTTGAAATGTATTTTCCTACTTTTCATTTCAGGGTAATGCTTAGCTCACAAAATGAGTTGGGAAGTTTTACTTTTTAAGTATCTGTACAAATTTATAGGGAATTGTTATCATTTGTTCTTTAAATGCTTAATATAATTTACAAGTAAAACTATTTAGCTGCTGAATTTTTTGGTGGACAGGTTCCAGTTCCTTTAATATAATGTAGGGCTACCACAGGTTATCTATTTCTTCACTAGTGAGCTTTGATAGCTTGTGACTTTCAAGATACTTGTCTGCTGTTTATAATATTCCACTATTCTCCCTTTAGTGTCTACAGAGTATGTAGTGATGTTTCCCTTTTTCACTCCTTATATTTGTAATATATGTCTTCCCTCTTCTTTCTTGCTTAGTCTACCTAGAAGTTCATCAATTTCACCAATCTTCTCAAGAAGCAGTTTTTGGTTCCATAATTTTCTGTATTGTTTTTCTGATATTTGGTTCACAGATTTCTGCTATTACCTTTATTATTTCCTTACTTCTGCTTTGAGATTAACGTGCCCTTTATTCTCTAATGTCTTGATATGCAAGCTGCTATCATTAATTGAAAACCATTCTTCTTTTCTAATAAGATGTCTGGTAAGATGTCTCTTATAAGATATCTTCCACTAATCACTGTTTTAGCTTCATCCTCAAATTTTGATATGTCATGTTTTAATTTTCATTCAGCTTACAATATTCTGACATTACTCATTTGATTTGTTTTTTTGTCCCTTGGGATATTTAGAGGTGAATTACTTCATTTCCAACTATCTGGGGATTTTCTGTATATCTTTCTGTTGTTGATTTCTACCTTGATTTCTACCATTTTCATCAGAAAAGGTATTTTGTATGCTTTGAATCCTCTAAGATGCACTGAGACTTATAAATCCAGCTCCTGTTACTTCTTCATGACTAATGGCAGAAATCTCAGAATGCCCCTTTTATTTGTAAAATTCAAAATTCCTTCAGGTATTTGCTCCAGGAATACAGTATGGTACTCAACTAAACCCATTTCCTTCTGATGACATTCACTTTAAGTAGTGGAAAGTGATAAATTTCTTTATTTTGAAATATTTGTCCTAAATCAAGACTTTAAATAATATAACCTTCCAATTAATAAGGCTTTAGCTATTTACATGATGATTTCCACTAAATATTATACATGTGCATCTTTGTTTTCTCAACATTTAATATGCTTTGCCATCAGTCTGAAACATTTTAAACCAAATGTATATCTGTGTGAGGGGAGAGGGGATGATTACATCAAGGATCTATTATTATATTTCCAGGGACCTCACAATTCTCCTAGACACTGAAATTACCAACAGTTCAAAGAAACCTGAGTGTCTAAAATTAGTTTCAATTTCTACAAGCAATTGCCAAGTCTACTTAAAATACATACTAATTTCAAATACTAGATTTCTTTCAAATCTCACTCAATATGTATGTAATATTTGTGGCAAATTTTGCTAGCAAAAAATATCCTGTTTAAAAGTGCATACAAATGGCATCTCTGTGATGTGATCAAAGTAATCCCAAATGTATTCTGCAACTTAAGACAAAGTGTTCAAATTGAATGTAGCTGTAGACATGTCACGAGTTGGCGGTAAATTCATTATTAAATAAGTGACAAGTTACACTCACGCCTTTTTTAAAAACCTGCTGTCACCATCTCAAGTGAATATAGGACCATTCAGTGGCTGATAACTATCTATAAATCCATTTGCTTCAAAGATGTCAAGGTATAGTGTGTACTGCTGTCACTATACTAAATTAGAGTCACATTTGTGGAATAATCATATAAAATTGCACAGTATTCTAAGTAATTGTCTCAGAATGGAAGTGAGAAATTCTTTTATTTCCTTAAGCTAAAGGGACACCTGGAGAGGCTAACCCATTGCAAGAAACAAACTTCTCTAGAAAGGTGCTGAAGACTGGAATTACACATTTCTCTAGTATTCACAACTCGTTCTGATATATAAGCATAAATATAGCAACTGTTTTTTAAATAAGAATACAAACTAACATGGCCTCATTCAACTCTGTGAAGAACAAAAGAAATTAAAGCTCTGTAAAACATTAAAATCCAGGACCATAAATGGTCAAGATGCATATACATACATGCATACCTAACTAGAAATGATAATTCTCAACCATTTCACACAAATTATACATATACTTTGAGATATGAGAAGAGAGAAGAACTGTGATATTAACAAATTGCAATGACAGAGGCAATAGTTCAGAAAGTTCCATGTAAAAACCATAATGATTGAAAGGGTTTTCCTTAATTTTTCTGGAGACATAAGAGTTTGTCAGACGATCCTGACTCCCTTTTGAAAATGGGTTGTTTATCAGCCTGACACTCTACAGCCCAGAGATTATAACCTGAAAAGCTGGTTATAAATCAAGTTATCTTCCCACTAGCATGCATTATAAATGTTTCACGTGTTTACAGAAAAAGAAAAAGTGGTTTTAAAAATTAAACGCTAAAACGAAAACATAATTTAATATTTCATCACTCCTACTAAAAATAGGTCAAAAAAGTTCAGCAGTTTACTGAAACCTAAAACTAACTCCCTTGCCTTGGCAATAAGTCCACTTTAGGACTACAGATTGTTTATGACAAGATCAACCACTAAAGCCCTACACGCAACTATATCATCTCCATAAGTAATTTTTTCCATTAGGTATAAATTCTGTGTGCAAACTGGTTCTTTTTAAAATAAGTCTTTTTTTTTTTTTAATTTTTTTTATTGTTTAACTGACAATAGCTGACACCTAGTACTTACTATGTACCAAGCACTTTTAAGCCCCTTACATGTTTTACCTCATTTAATGCTCACAGCAACTCTATGAAATAATTACTATTATTATATATGATTTACAGATAGTAAATGGAACAGAGAGAAATCAAGTAACCAGCTCTAGGTCCCTAGCTAGAACCCACGCAATCTGGCCCTGGTGTGTGTGTTGTCACTTTATATTACCCATCTATGACAGTCACTTCCAAAATGAAAGATACAGATTTGTACTGCAAAGACATGAATGCAAAACGCATTTTTTAAAGGGCTGCACAAGACGATCAATTGAAAAGAAATTTCGATTTCCACAAAATTTTTTAGGAGACAACTGAGGAAAGACCTTAAATTGTAAACTATAGCCTATAAAGTTTACTGAAATTTGACAGTCCCCCCCAAAAAAATTACTAAAGCGACACCAAAAATTGGCATATTACTGTGACAGGTAAAGGAAAAAAGTCGTATTTATAATATATTAACAAAGGATAAGAACTTGCTATGGTAACTAAGATTAATGAATTGACATTCAAATTGACAGTTTCAGATTTGATGAGCCAAGTAAATGCCCAAAAATCAATCACATATAAGAGAACATATAGAGTATATATACTGCTTAAAAAAATCTTTTGAATTTTACCTTTTGGTTTCGGGGTAAATCTTGAGCATTTGATGGAGGCTTGTAATTCAGAACTAATCTTCTAAATTCCAAAAGATTAAATAATGACTGAAAAAGAACAACAATTTAACATAACCTGAGGGAAAATTCCATTAGCAGAATGTAAAAATGACTAGTCTTGGAGGTTTATTTTTTACAACTGTGTACTACTTATACTCAGAATCATTGCAACTGGCACAAGGAGGACATACTTCTGAGAAAAAGTCAAGTTTCTTTTATTTGACATACCATTCTTGATACTTGATAGTGCACAAGATTATATTTGGACAACTTTTTAAATATACTACTCATTATTAATAGCTCTTTTTATATGCACTTAAGCAGTTTCCTCAAAATAAAGAGTATGCAAATGTCAAGTCCAAAACTTTTTAGACCTGCTATGTTTACCATGAATTATCTAGATGTATCATTAATACTAGAAAAATGGAGTACAAATAAATTTACTCATCAGATCCTAGGTAATAGAGACACAAAGAAATTACATATTATCTCAATGCTCAAGGAAGTACACAATTTAGAAAGGAGACAGACATGTAATAGAAATGTCGTGACTTCAAGATGCAGTGATAATAATTACACAAGAATCTAATGGAGCATATGCAGGATGCCCATGGAAAGGCTTCCTGGAGTATGTTTTTTAAACTGTAGTTTGCAACCATTTACTATCATCATACTGAACATTTCTTTAAAATGAGATAAAATACAATGGAAAATATCACAATGTATCATACTCAGTAAATACATCAGAGTATTTTCTTGCAAAATTTTCATTGTAGATATTTTACACACTTGTGTATGTGTAAAATGTTTTATAATATACAGTATATTCCTTTCTTGGGTCACAGTTTATAAAGTTTGAAAATTACTATACAGGAAGTGATAATGTTTCAAATCTTAGAAAAGGTGAGTCAGCCAACTTGACAGAAGGTAAAGGTGGCACCACAAATCAATGAGGAAACAAGGTTTTGATCAACAGTTGGGTATTGAGAAAACTACATATAAAGAAATAGAGCCAGATTACATAGATCAATTAACAACCTAAATATGAAAGGTAAAACCATAAAGCTGGTAACAGAAACTGTAAAAAAAAATTTTATCTTGTGATCTAGAAAGATTTATTCAACAATATAAGCACATAAAATAAATCATCTATTCATTCATTTAACAAATATTTATGGAGCATCTACTATATGCCAGACACTAAGAAGGTAGTCTCTGCCCTTGTAGGGATTACAGTCTTGTGACTGCTTTTTAAAACAGTAAGAGTAGAAGTAATAAACCAGAAGGGATATGAATACATTAACAGTTGGCCAAGATCAGAACCTTGGGGAGAAAGCACCATTTAAAAATCACAGGAAAAAAGAAAAAGAGTTTTGAAAAAGAGAAAGGAATACTAAGGGAAATCACAGAAGAAAAACGAGTGGAGAAAACAAGGGCTTTCAAACATACTTGTGTATTCTAATAAACTGCGGAGCTTTAAAAAATAGCTGTGTCAGGGGACTCTCAATAAAGATACAAAGTTCCACAAAAGATTCTGCTGTACATCAAAAAATAGCTGGCACATTTCAAGGAGGACAAGATTAGCAATATCATGAAAGGTTGCCACATTCTTCCAATAAATTAAGGACAGAGAAATAACCTTTGGATTTGGCAACTGCAAAGTCATGTTTGCAGTGGAGTGGTAGAGGAAGAACAGAGGCATTAAATAATGGGAAAATGGGGTACAGAGTAGCACCCTCTTATCCAAAAAGGATACATTCCAAAATCTCCTCTGAATACCGGAAACCACAGATATTACTGAACTCCATATATATTATGTTTTTTTTCCTTGCATGCCTATAATGGCTAAATTTATAAATTGGGCACAGTATGAGATTAGCAACAATAACGAATAATAAAATAGGTCAATTGTAAAGAAAACATACTGTAATAAAAGTTATATGAATGTGTTCTCCCTCTCTCCCTCTCCTTCTCTCTCTCAGTACTGTAATATTTTCAGCCACAATTAACAGCAGGTAACTGAAACAGCAGAAAGTGAAACCAAAGATAAGGGGGACTACTGTTAAGTAGGGGAGACAAACCATGGACTATTCTTTTGAGGAATTTAAAGAGGAAAGAGAATCTTGGCAGGTTAGAAGAATTTCAATCCCACTTCTATTCTCTGAGCTCCCATTGTAGATAGAGAATTTTCCTTGTTCCTGGATACTTAGAACTTCCTTTGGTGTGGGTGTGCTGGTGAAGAATTATTTCAGCTAGTTTTTCTTCATTTTTAAAGACTTCTGCTAGGTATAAAATTCAAGATGGCCAGTTATTTATTTCTAGCACTTTAAAGACATTATTTCTGCTTATGTGTGACTTGATGTTTAAAGGTATCAAAGTCAGCTATTAGTCTTGTTTTTGCTCCTTTATACGTGTATCTTTTTCCACCTTGCAACTTTTAGGATTTCTCTTTGTCTATAGTTATTTGTTTTATTATGATGTACTTTGGTGCAGTATTCTTTATGTTTATACTATTTGATTCCTATTGCTTCCTGAATCTATGGCTTGATCTTTCTCAAGTTTGGAATATTGTGAGTAATCTCTTCAAACATGCTTTTGCCCTATTTCCTTTTACTCTCCCTCTGGAACTACAAATACACTGTTAGTACTACTCACCATATCCAAAGTATCTCTTTGATGCTCCCATCTTTATGTCATAGCTTTAGTCTGAAAAATATTCTCCAGATTAATTTACCAGTTGGCTAATTATCTCTTCAGTTGTGTCTAATAATGCTGCTAAATTTATCCACTGACTTCTTAGTTTCATTTATATTTTTCCATTCTGAAATTTACATTTTGTTCTTTACAGTTTTTAGTTTTCTTCAGACTCGCAATCTTGCTTTTAATTCCTTGAACATATTAATTATTATTATGGCAGACAAGTATTCCAGTTTCCCTGTGCTGTTTTCTATTGTCCATTTTTTTGTGTTAGTTTTCACACACATCTTATTTTCTGGTATGACTGACCTGAGTACTAGACATTGTGTATGAAAAATTGAGGAAAGGTTCCAGATAATACTATCTTCTAAGAGAGAATTTACATTTGCTCTGGCAGGCAGGGAGACTAGAGTCACAGTCTCAGGTCGCCTTAATCCAATAAATTCTGAGATAACTTAAAACTATATAATTCAGAAACTAGGAAGCCTGTCTTAACTTTCAGTTCTCAGTTAATGCTACATTCTAACCATTTAGAATTCCAACTCACAGTCTAAGATGTTTTACTAGGGCTCAAACTTTGTGCAAAAATTTTCTTAGTTCCTCAACTACGCAGCAGTCAGTTCTGGAGATGCCTAAAGGACAAAATCCATCAAAAATAACAAGCTCACTCTATGACTATCCTTCTTTACTCAAAATTCCTCACTGCTTTAGTACTCTGTGATGCCCTCAAAAGGTTGGTTTTATTTCTGTTTTGGAATCCAGCAAAACATCACAAGGCAGATGGTCTAAAACAACCTCATCTACCATTACTCAGTGAAACTCATCACCATTGATTATCACAACAAATCATAAAAATTAAGTTTTTCAAGTCCCAAAGACCCTATATCCTTCACCAAAGTCATATGAGGACTGTCCAATGTATTCCTTCAAAAGAGGTAAGAAAGGGTAACTTTTACTGCCTGAAGAGTGTTTTTGATTAATGCACCTGAAAATAACCATCCTTTCATTCAGTCCAAAGCTAATATGTGAATTTTGAAAAGCACTTACGAAAATGAAGTTTGGTTAGATTCTTGCTAATAACAAAGACATAATGGGGGATAAGAGTTCAAATAATTTGTGAAAAAGAAAGAAGTGATGGCAAGAGTGCAGAGGAAATGAAACATAAACTGCCTACAGTGGAGAAGACTGAGAAGCGTGATAAATTCTCCTCGGAGGATTAAAAAAAAATTAGCATGGTATCACATAAGTTTCATGGTGAGGCAGGGATTGAAAAATAGATGGCATTATTGAAACCACAAGTCTATGTACAGAACAATTAAACCCCCATGTGCTTTCCAGACCCAGCACATTCAGACAATTGCCTCCCCTCTGTGGGTGTATAGGAAATTTAGTCTTTGGAGATCTTAAATGACTCAGGTTCAGAAAAATCAGTCAAATTGTATGTCACAGTACAAAGGAGAGATGATTGAGAGCTACAAACAGCAAGATTAAGTAAAAACATGTAAACTGATACCCACATCGACCAATCCCATTTCTCTAGACTTACTTTTAGAAAGCGAGTGATCATGCTTAAACCACAAAGAATCAGAATTCACCCCAAATTTGAAACAGAGAAATGGTCTATGGGACAGAACTCCAAAAACAAACAAACAAAAAAATGAAGCAAATATGTGTGGGCATACAGAATATATTATTAAGACCATAACAAACATGTTGAAGCATTTAGAAAATATTAAAGTATATAGAAAATAGGGGAAAAAGGTAGCAATTGACAACTCCAGGATAACAAAGTACTATAGATGGGAGGACCTAGTGAATCACTGTAACATTTACAAAGTTATAAAAAATGAAAATACTGACTACCTACTATTTTTAATTTGTATTATAACCATGTTGAGAGATGAAACAAAAGGCAATTCTAGGCAGGTGAACTGAAAGAGCAAATTCCTCATCTATCTCAGTGGGAAGGCATGTCATTTAGAAAAATGAAGATAGAGAAGAAATGGATTAGATACAGGTCTCTTTCAAGGGGCAGGACTAGGAAGCAGACAGGTTTAAGCATTTTAGTGCCACATGATTTTTTCTTTGATGAAAATTAAAGAGAGAAGAGCAAGGAGTATGAATAAGCATTTTAAATTATATCCTGAAATGTTCTGACAATATGCATCATTTTTTAAAATATCCTCACGTACTACTTTAGATACTCCATACATGCTCCCTTTTGGTTCATTCATCCATTCATGCAATAATTACTTGATGGGCTATTCCAATGTGCCAGACCCTGTATTATATATATAATATAGAGTACCCTAAATGTGCTCTCTGCCCTCAGGGTGCCTGTATTTTAGTCAACCTGCAGTTATATGATTTATGAGTAAGGTAACCACATACTTTACCATCATACACAGCAGGGCTTTAGGACTAAGTGACAGGTGCCAACAGATCTACAATAGGAGTAAAAGGGACTATGACAAGCAAACTGAGAAGTATGAGCACCTTACTTCTCGGCATCCAAATGGAAAGGTGCTAAGGGGCTAAGGATCATCATGAGCACCCATACCACTTCAACGACATGTCCCAGAGCTACAGAGAAGAACATACACCTCCAAATAGCTAACTCATTCAGTGACACCCTAGTGGGGAACAGCTGCAATCAGTACTTTCTACATAAAAGTACCAAGTGAATAGGACAAAAATAATCCTGACTAGCTGTGGGGTTGATGTCTAACCTAAAGACAGGCTAATGTTGCCAGCAGCCAAAAGATTATTTAAGCCATTATCTGTACAATCTTCTCTTTGTTTATATTCCCTTTCTTACATTCTGTTCCCCCTTTCTACCAAAATATTGGTCTCAGTATCTAAAATAATAAGTATGCAAAGCTATCTATAACTGTTGTAGCCTACCCCAGCTATATACTTTGAAGTTAAAGGGTGATATTACTAGCAAACTTCTATAACTGGTCAATATATTTACAAGAAAAAGAATTCCCAGATGTTTCAAATTAGTCCTACTAAGTAAATTCCATCCCCGAGAAAATTTTGTAATCAAAACTTTACAGTACATTTACATCACAATTTGAGTAAGTTCCAACTCACTGTGGAAAACAACAAAACCTCCAACACTATGGTAGATTTTTGGCCCAACTTTTCATTCACAAGTAAAAAGTCAATTTATGATGGCCAAGTATTATATCTCAGTTTATAGCTTAGAGTTAAGCAATAATGGTAGAAAATTTTTAAGAAGACTCTACCAAAGATAAAAGTTAAAAGCTACTTAAAATAGTTTGATAGATTTTAAAATTACCATAAAAAATAAAACTTCAGGTGATCTCTAGCCAAATTTTTCTGCCCACTCATCATTTTCCACAATCTGATGCTTAGTGTTTTCTACTCCCTCAAAAGCCATTATCTTATTAGGCCATTATAACCTGAATTTTTAAGCTTATAGGTTACTTCTCCTAGATGTTTAGATTTCACCAAAAGAAAAAATAAATAACTCAAGCCCTCTTATACTTGCCTATGTTAGGAGTTAAGCAGCCACTAAACTTAGATAAAATTTTAAAACTAGTACAATTACTAGTTTTTAAATAAGCTAGGCATTTTTTTAAAAGATAATTTTTTTCTAGCCCATTCCCTCCTTCTTAAAAAAAAAAATCTAAGCTAAAAAGAAAAGCTAGAAAAGCTAAGATTAGCAAACTTAGGGTAGAAACAGATTGTAACTGTATCAAGATTAAACTGAGCTGCTGAAAGAAGTTTTATCCTACTAAAACAAAAGGTCATTATCCCTATATCAGCATTTATCATTTCAAACAGAACTTCCCTACACATACAGGATAGAGAAATAAAAAGCAACTATTCTAACAATATTATTTACAAATACTTTCTTTCTTCTTATACCTTTCTAAGAAAAGCTTCTAATCAATGACCCTCATGTATTTGCCATAATAGTGCTGAGATAGCATCTACTTGACCAAACACAGGCAGCAAAACATGTTCATGAGCACTCAGTTCAGAGCCTTAAAACTATACTTAATATTTTAAAATTATGTCTAAATTATCATATGCACAAACCTTCTTAATAGATAGCGCAAGTAAAGTGAGATAGCCTATTAAGATGATCTAAGAATCTCTAAGGTATCAATATTTTAGATATTGCTTTTTGGCATGTAAGTAAACAACGTATAATCAAGGCTAGAAGCAAAGATACTACTATAGATTTATGTTAATCCAGGTATTCCTTAGCATCTTCATGTCCTGGGAAAGCCAATAACATAGCATATTACTTATTAGGATGCACCACAGCATATTAAAAAGTGAGGTAAATCCAGAAAAACAAAGAAAATCAAATTATATGATATTATGCACCAGAAGCAAAAAGGGAGAAAACGGTGAAAATTTTAGCACTGAAGTATATAAAAAAAAGTTAAAATTACAAGTTAGCAAAAACAATTAACTTGTAGAAAATGAACCAAATAACCTGTTAGTTGCCTTAATATCATATGAAAGTTTAAGCTGTCATACACACAGGTTTGGAAAGTTACAAAATGAAGATATATTTTGAATACAAAAAATAGCATGCATGTCCAATGAAGGAAAAAGCATTCATCACGAACATGAAATAATAAGCTATAATTCAACTGTCACACAAAAACGAACACAAAACATTAGTTAACTTTCCTAAGGAGTAATAAAAATTAAGGACATATTATTCATAAATTGTTTTAAAGTTTTGCAATCTGATGGATAACATTATCAATGTCAACCGAGAATGATAAAGAATTTTGATAACAGTTGTTAAACACGTAAAAGAAAACTGTTCCAAATTGAAAAGAGGGATATCTACACATACATATGTCTCTTATTTTAGAATAAGCAGATCAAGAAATGTATCATTAAGGGATTTCTTAGTAAAAAAAGACAATGTGTTATTCTTGATTTATCAATATTTATTCATCACATCATTTCACATGCAAACTCAGATTTGCAAATCTATACCAACCTCAAACAAAATGCTTATTAAAAATACTAAGTGTCTATAATTCTATAAATAACACTGTCTAGTATATACAAATAAATCTGATCTGACCCACAGAAAGCCAGTTCTAGTTTCAAACTTGGTTACAATGCTTCCATAAATTTGCAGGGAAATATATACAAAACTCTTTCCACCCCAACAATTCCTAAAAGCAGAAGGAAAGGATAAATTGATTCCAAATAAGTGAAAGGCATAAGTAGTGATCTACTGTTAAAAAATACATACTAGAAATGAAAAACAAAGAGGGATGGGAGGATACTTCAATCCCCAAGCTAGTTTATTAGACAAAATAGTATATTAAAAACTTATCTGTACTTATCTTTAAAGTACACAACTTAAACACAACCAACTCACTTTCCATTGCTATCACACACATCAAATAAGAACTGAATAAAGAAAAATCCTTACCTGAATAACAGCACTAAACCAACAAGTATTGCCAACATTCTTTAGCCCAACGGGAGCTTTGTCCTGTCTTTTTCTATCATAAGGGTTTCGAGAATCCCTCCAAACTTCTGTAGGTGTCCTCTTCAAACATGCTTTATTCTCTGCTATGCTGGCTTCAAGAACTCTTAATCAATGGTGGAAAAAAATGCAGCATTATATAATGGTATATATCCCAGGCATATCACACATTCTAAAAGCATTTTCATTACATAAGATTTCAATAATGTATTTGAAGAAATAATATTTAATACTAACTTTACTCAAATACACGTTTTAGCAGTGTCAATGCTAATACATAGAGAAGTATAGTCTTTTTTCCTAAGAAAAATGAAATTTCAAACATAAAATGGCAGTTTTATATAATAGAAAGTACAATAAATCACATTTCAACAAATTAGATATTAGTACCAGGAATATACCATCTAGATGAATTTTCTGAGAAATAACAATTAAAGTACATATTTACAATATAACATGATGACCACTTTTTATAACAATTACTCTGAATCAAGAAAACATTAAAAACTGAACAAGTTGCACTTTTATCACCGACCACTTAGTTCTTCTTCTACAAAAAAAAAGTTCAGTGAGTTAAACTTTATGATTCCTTTCAATTCTTGAGATCTATGCCTCTATGAGAGCCAAGTAAAGGAAAAGAAAACCTGTATGTTCACTGCCTTGCCCAAAAGTTTGCCTTTGGGAAAATTTAATGAAATAAATATTAGAATACATATTAGAATAACAAAAGATAGTTAACCTTTCCAAAATAAACTCACCTATGAATATCTTAAGTATATCTAAACATGGCAAAAGTAATGCTACTTTAATGATGTTTCTTGCTCCTGAGCATGCAACAACATAAGTATAATCATAACTGGAAAACCCTGGTTCCCACATAGGATCTAACCAAGCATTTTGCCTGCTCAAGAAATGTGTTACTTGCTACTTGGCTTCAGCCAAAAAAAAAAAAAAAAAGAAACTTGTTACTTATTATTCTAAATCAGCATAAATAACATTCAGGTATCTTAACCACTTTGTGTTAATTACCAGAACCTGAGTAAAGATTAGTTTTTTTCAACTTTTTGGTTTATCAAGAAAATCTCATTCATTTCACACCATTTTTATCCTAAAGATTTTATCCTATCAGATTAATGTCAAAATATTATTATTTTATCCTTAACAGCAATATTTACCACAAGACATTAGATACAAGGAAATCTAAAATATCCATGTGAATACAGAAGTCAGTCTTTGGGAATCAATAAAACACACATTTTTGAAAAACTGGTAACAACATGATATGTTAAAATGTAAACTCATATAGTGAAAAGTAAACAGTTTCTACTTCTGTCACACTTAAGAGTGACCCGACTGGCCAGCACTACTCTCTGCCCAAAAACCAACTCCCACAGGCAACCCCAGACTCTAGGCTTGTTTCACGAAAAGACATAGAACTCCTTGAAAGACATTTAGTTAGATGAACTGGGGCAGAGGAAAACCAAAGAATATCTAGAACATTCTACTGTTACCAGAAAGCAAGTTTTCAAGAATACAAGGGAGAGATAGAAAGACAGTCAACTTGACTCTCCTATTGGAGACCCAGGAGGTCCTAAAGACCTTCTAACAGTTAAATTTTGCAGTTCAGCAGAATAATAATAACCTGAACAAACTGAATTTGTTCAAGACTGGTTTATGCTCAAAAAAGAAAGGTTAATGCACAGTATATAAAAAGTAACTGTAATACAAAAGACTGCCCTATATAGAGGGGATATTTAACTTTTTATTGACTTTTATAAATGGCAGTATTCTCATTTGAAAATTTTGTTCCTTTTGTAATATATATGTATATTTAGACGTTGAGATACAGCAAACTTATTTGTATCTTGGTAGTCAGAAATAAATAGACTAAAACATGGAATAAGTTCTGGGAAAGGCAGATAAAAACGATACCATAAAACAAATAGTACCAGTGATCCTATATAAGAGATAGAAGAGGTACCCAGCAATTGACTAGTACCAGTGCAGACAGACAATATGTAAAAAGAGGATTCTACAGCATATTCTAAAATATAAACTGCTCAAAAGTCTAAAAGAACCAGACGTAATCCTGAATCTATAGCATATGAACATCTGTCGTTATATTTAACTACTAATTATAACAAGAAACAAATCCTTCTTAATAATGTCAACAGAGCAGATCACACATATCACAATAAGCAGGAAATGGTTCATACATACATCAGCTACAGAAAACTTGAGGACATCTGATTTCTGCACAATACACCCTAAGTACATTTTTCACATTCCAGATCTGGGCTAAGATTACTAAACCCCAGGAAGGTCTTTTGAAATGTTTTAAGTATAGTCAATTCCTTTACGCCCGTCTTCTGCTCTACCAAAAAATATACACCACTTGATTGGCATGTTTACATACAAAATATTTAATGTAAACATCACATTGATATACTGAGATAATGTAAGCTTTTTAGTTCCTTTGCCTTCTCTCTCCCCACACAGGACTTGCAAGAATGTGTGGCCTCAAATGTACTTTCTAGGAGCAAGTAAAGCCTGAACCATTTGTCACACCATTCCAAAAAGGAAGTTGGAAGGGCAAGAAAGTTAGGGATACGAACCAAGACAACATCTTCCCAGCACTCCTATATAACTTTCTTTGCAGAGATCAAATGAGGCACAAAGTGTAACAACTTTGATTAAAGTTCAAGAGATACATGTAATTGATGATTGCTCCTCAAAGTCACCTAAGATTTAAAAATAATAGCCATTTCCCAAGTAGCTCAATTCAGTCATATGGTAGATATTGTCATTCACTGTTAACAAAAGTATGGGTTTTAAAGAAATGGGTTTATCACAATACACCTTAACCATACCACATGGTAGAATTGTGGTGCAAAAAAAAAGCATGTAGGTGAAAGGGGAATGCCATGATTTCCTGACCCTCTTAATTTAAACATATTTTATCACCAGAATTTTACAGCATGCCTCAGTAGGTCTCCTCCTACCATCTCCTCTTGGTTCCTAAAGAACTTAATAAACACACTTAACACTGTGCCAAAAATATCAACCAGTGTCTCCAATCAGTGTCTGAAAAGTAGAAACAAGAATTTGCTTTACCTCTAGAGCAAACATTATAAATGAGTGATAAACACGTTTTTAAAGTAAATGGATGATGAAGATATTAAATGCTGCTACTTCTTGGTTATTGATTGACTGACTGATTGCAAAAGCCAATCTCTAGCTCCAATACTGCTCTATTGCTCCACCTGATCCCCTTCTATAATCTAGTACTGGCACCATAAATCCAAACTTTTTATAAAGCAAAATCCTGCATAAGGGTTCCTCCCCTGGCCTTTCCAATGATACTACCCAAGCTCTTAAGTATAAGACATGCAGTGGCTAAAATCCAGGTATTACCAGCTGGTAGAGGAGAAAAAAAAAAGGCAAATTTCAGAGATAGCCTATAACAAAATGTTTGAAGGGTAAACTCGCAAGCCACATACCAAAAACGAGTCTGACCTATCACCTTGCTTTATCTTCTCAAAATTGGTCATGACCTTGGTAGTAAGCAATATAAAAAGACGACAAAATGTTTTGCTGCGTCTTTTCCTTCCACACACTACGCTAAATGTTTAAAGCATTTACATATGGTAGATCATCATGTTTCCATTAAATTTTATTACACGGTGGTTTTACTTGGGGGGGGGGTGAGGGGGTGTTATTATTTTATTGTTTTTGTGTTGTTAAATTGCCTATAGCAGTAATACTGAAAATATCCCACTTCATAGCTCACCTAAGCCCCTTTTTGGGAAGTATTACACTCACTGAGAAACATGCATACACTTTAAGCTGTATAGATCAACTACAAAGAAAAAAAAAGGGGGCGGCGGGTAATGAAACATCTCATTTGATTTCCTAAAAAAGCAAAAACAAAACTAACGGTATTTTTAATTGGGATCAAACTAAACCCATAAATCAATTTAAGAAGAACCGACCAGTTTAACAATGGTCTTCCAATTCATGAAACAGCGAATGTTTCAAAATATTTATGTATTCTTTAATGTGTCTTAATGATATTTAATCATTTTCTTCCTGGAAGTTCTTGTACATTTCTTAGATTTACTCCAGTTAACAGTTTTTGTCAAAAATCAGTTGGCTGTAGGTGTGTCCATTTCTGGGCTCTCTATTTTGTTCCACTGGTCTATGTGTCTGTTTTTTACACCAATATCATTGTTTTGGTTACTATATTCTAGCAGTACATTTGGAAGTCAAGTAGTGATGCCTCTACCTTTTGTTCCTTTTGTTCAGGCTTGCTTTGGCTATTTGGGCTCTCTTGTGGTTCCACATGAATTTTTGGGATTGTCTTTTCTAATTCTCTGAAGGGTCACTGGAATTTTTACATGGACTGCAGTAAGTCTGGAGATGACTTCAGGTAGTATGGCCATTTTAACATTAATTCTTCTAATCCATGAACATACGATCTACTTCCATTTGTTTGTGTCTTATATTTCTTTCCTCAATGTTTTATAGCTTTCAGTGTAGAGATCTTTTATCTCTTTGGTTAAGTTTATTCTTAGGTATCTAGATTTTTTGTAGCTCTTGTAAATGAAATTGTTTTCTTATTTTTTCAAATAACTCACCGTTAGCATATAGAAGTGCTGATTTTTGTGTGTTAATTTTGTGTCCTACACTTTTACTGAATTCACTTATGAGTTGTAGCAGTTTTTTGGTGAACTCTTTAGGGCTTTCTATATTTAAGATCATATCATCTGGAAACAGAGACAATTTTACTTTCTCCTTTCCAATTTTGATGTCTTTTATTTCTTTCCCCTGCCTAACTGCTCTAAGACTTCCAGTACTATGTTGAATAGGATTGGTGGAAGTGGGCATCTTTGTTAGGTTCTTGATCTTAGTGGAAAAGCTTTCATTTTTTTCTGCATTCAGTATACTACTAGCTGTGGGTTTCTCAACTATGGTCTTTACCGTGTTGAGGTACATACTTTCTATATCTATTTTGAGAGTTTTTATCATGAAGGGATGTTAAACTTTGTAATGTGCTTTTTTCTGTATCTACTGAAATTATATGGTTTCCGTTCTCTTTGTTACTGTGATGTATCGCATTTATTGATTTGTGTATGTTGAACCATCCCTCCATCTCTGGGATGAATCTCGATCATAGTGGATGATGTTTTTAATATGCCGTTGAATCGGACGTGCTAGAATCTTGTTGAGAATTTCTGCATCTAGGTTGATCAGGGATATTGGCCTGTTTCTTTTTGTTGTGTCCTTGTCTAGTTTTTGAATCAGGGTAATGCTGGCCTCATAAAATGAGTTTGGAAGTATTCCCTCCTCTTTAATTTTCTGGAATAGTTTGAGAATTAATATTAGTTGTTCCTTAAATGTTTGACACACTTCAGCAATGTAGCCATCAGAAACTAGGGATCTTTATGTCAGGCTTTAGCAGTTATTCAATTCTCCCACTCGTTGTGGTCTGCTTATTTTTTCCATTTCTTCTCAATTTAATCTTGGTAGGTTGTGTGTGTTCAAGAATTTATCCATTTTTCCTATATTCTAGAATTTGTTGGTATACAGTTGTTCATAATAGTCTCTTGTGATCCTCCAATTCTGTGATACATTTGTAATGTTTCATTTTTCATGTCTGGTTTTATTTATTCGAGTCTTTTTTTTTTTCCTTTTTTCTTAGTCTAGCTAAAGGTTTGTTGATTCTGTTTATCTTCTCAAAAAAATTTCACTGATCTTTTGAATTGCTCTTTTAGTCTCTATTTGTTTACTTCTGCTCTAAGCTTTATTATTTCCATCCTACCAATTTTGGGTTTAATTTGTTCTTGCTTTTCAGGTTTCTCTGAGTTGCACAGTTAATCTGTTTATTAGAAATCTTTCCTCATTTCTGATGCAGGCATTTATTGCCATGAACTTCTAGAACAGGTTTCACTGTGTCCCACAGGTTTTTGTATGTGTTTCCACGCTCCTTTGTCCCAGGGAACTTTCTAATTACCCTTTTAATTTCTTCACTGACCCATTGGTTATTAAGGTGCATATTAACTTCCATGTATTTGTTGGTTTCTAACGTTTTTCTTGTTGTTGATTTCTAGCTTTATATAGTTGTGATCTGGTAAAATACTTGATACCATCTCTAACATACGATCTTTACTGGAGAATATTCCATGCACAGTTGAAAAGAATGTGTATTCTGCGGCTGTTCATGTTCTGTAAATGTCCATGGTGTAGTTTAAGTCTCATGTTTCTAAATCATTTGTCTACTGTTAAAAGTGGGATGCTGAAGTCCCTACTATTGTTGTACTGGAGTCTATTTCCCCCTTTAAATCTAATAATATTTGCTTTATATATTTGGATGTTCTGGTGTTCGGTGCTTATATATTTACAGTTTTGCTTCTTGGTGAATTGATTATTTTATTATTACATAATGACTTTGTCTCTTTTTACAGTTTTTGACTTAAAGTCTATTGTATCTAGTACAAGTATGGCTGCTTCTGCTCATTTTTGGTTTGAATTTGCATGGGATATCTTTGTCCATTCCTTCACTTTCAGTCTATGTTTATATTTAATGATGAGGTGTGTCTCTTGTAGGCAACATACAGTTGGGTCTTTTTTTTTTTCAATCCATCCAGCTGCTCTATATTTTTTAATTGGGGAATTTAATCCACTTACATTCAAGGTTACTACTGATAAGTAATAATTTACTCATGCTAGTTTGTTTTCTCAATATTATGAAGATTCCTCGTTTGATTCTTTCCCTCTTGTTTACTTCTGTGGTTTGGTGGTTTTCTATAATGCTAAGCTTTGTTTCCTTTCTTGTTTGTCTATCTACTATAATTTTTCTTGTGGTTACCATGGAGCTAACATGAAGAGTCTTACAGTTACAACAGACTATTTTAAGCTAATAACAACTTAACTTTGGTCACACAAAAATAATCTAGACTTTTTCCCCTCACTCCCCTACCCCACCATGATTAGTGTTTTGATTGCTGTAATTTACATCTTTATCTTTTTTTTTTTGAAACAGAGTTTCGCTCTTGTTGCCCAAGCTGGAGTCCAATGGCGTGATCTCGGCTCACCACAACCTCCACCTCCCGGGTTCAAGCAATTCTCCTGTCTCAGCCACCCGAGTAGCTTGGATTACAGGCATGCACCACCATGCTCAGCTAATTTTGTATTTTTAGTGGAGACGGGGTTTCTCCACGTTCATCAGGCTGGTCTCAAACTCCTGACCTCAGATGATCCGCCAGCCTCAGCCTCCGAAAGTGCTGGCATTACAGGCGTGAGCCACCACGCCCAGCCACATCTTTATCTTTCATGTGTTCCTTAGCCACTAATTGTAGCTGTTGATATTTCTGACATTTTTAACTTTAAACCTTCATATTAGAGGACGGAAGGAATTACACAGCACCATTACAGCACTGGGGTATTCTGAATATGATTATGGATTTACCTATATTGATGAGTTTTGTATTTTCACATATTTTCATGGTATTAATCATTCTTTCATTTCCTATTATTTCCTCTAAGTGTTTTTGTAGGACCAGTCCAGTGGTGATGAATTCCATCACCTTTGCTTGTCTGGAAACGTCTCTATTTCTTTTTCTTTTCTTTATTTTTTTTGAGACGGAGTCTCGCTCTGTCGCCCAGGCTGGAGTGCAGTGGCGCGATCTCGGCTCACTGCAAGCTCCGCCTCCTGGGTTCACGCCATTCTCCTGCCTCAGCCTCCCAAGTAGCTGAGACTACCGGCACCCACCACCATGCCTGGCTAATTTTTTGTATTTTTTTTTTTTTTTTTTAGTACAGACGGGGTTTCACCATGTTAACCAAGATGGTCTCGATCTCCTGACCTCGTGATCTGCCTGCTTTGGCCTCCCAAAGTGCTGAGATTACAGGCATCAGCCACTGCGCCCGGCCCTTCTTTTTCATTTCTTAAGGATAGCACTGCCGGATATATTCTCTGCTGACAGTTTTTATTTTTATATTTTATTTTTATTTTTTCCCAGCACTGTGAATATGTCATCCCACTCTCTCCTGTCTTGTGCAGTCTCTGCTGAGAAATGTACTGACAGTCTAATGGGAATTCCCATATATGTGACGTAATGTTTTTGTCTTACAGCTTTTAGAATTGTGTACCTTTGAGAGGATTTTGAGGGGCTGAATTTTATTGGGGATCTTTTCATTCCTAGATGTCCATAACTTCCAAGACTTCCTTCCAAGAAGTGCAGAAGGACACAGGCAATCTATTTAACCAAATGGGTGGTCTATGCCTCTCTTCACTTATTCTTTCTCTGGCACTCCCATAATATGAATATAGGTTTGCTTAATGGTGTCTGATAAGTCCTATGGGCTTTCTTCATACTTTGTTATTCTTTTTTTTTTTTCTTCTTCTGAATGGGTTATTTCAAACGATCTGTCTTCAAGTTCAGAAATGTATTATTCTGCATGTTCTAGTCTGTTACTGTGGCTCTCAATTGTATTTTTTTTAATTTCATTCACTTAATTCCTCAAGCTCCAAGATTCCTGTTTTGTTCCTTTCCATAATATCTATCTTTGTTCAATTTCTCACTCAGCTAATGAATTTATTAATTTCGTTAAATTGTTGTATTCTCTTACAACTCAAAAGTTTCTTTAATGTCATTATTTTGAATTATTTTTCATGCATTTCATAAATATTCTTTTCTTTGGATTCCATTACTAAAGATGCATTGTGGTGCCAGGTTTGGGGGTGACACGTTTCCTTGCTTTTTCATGATTCTTCTGTCTCTATGTTGGTACCTGTGCATGTAATGGACAATTGCTTTTTCCAATTTTAACGAGCAGCTTTCATAGGAAGAGGTTTTTTCCTGTTGATGGGTCCTAGGGTGCTGATTGGAAATGGCGTGTGGTGGCTTTGGTTCAGGGTGGACTCAGTATTGTGGTGTCCAAACAGATTATTCAGCTGGAATCCTCACCTGCGATGTCCGTGATTATCTCAGTGACTTAGTATGCAGAAGCCCATGACTGTGGTGGCATGGTTTTTCTGGAGTTGGCACCAAGCTGGTTGCTGGTCAGGCACATGCTGATGCAGCAGGCCAGAAAGGTTGTACGACTGTCTCTCCTGAATGGCAGCAGGGTTACTGCTGGGCTGGCTATCAGGCCAGGGGTGGATGCACACAGGTCTGGAGGCTGTGCATGACTCTGGTGATGTAGGGTTGAGCTGCGGAAAGAGTGCCTCCAAACCAGCTATTGGACTAAAGGCAGGAAATTGTGGCCCGGCAGCTGTGCACAATCCTCCAGTGGTACAGGCAGACAACCTCTGGGCCAGCTATTCAAGCTGGGAGCAAGTTCACACAGGCCCACTGGCTGTATACTACTCTCTCCCTTGGGGTGGGGCCACCTCCAGGCCAGCTAGAGCCAGGGACAGATGTACACTAGCCTGGTGGCCGCATGGGGCTGCCCGGCCATGCAGGCCCACCTGCTTCCCTGGGTAATAGGGAGCCTTGTGGGTTTAGGTATCAGGGCCCCAGTTGTGCCTTTGAGCCTAGGCTCCAAGTAGCCAAGGTATTAGTGCTAGAGGCACTTGTGTGAACTTTGTGGAATGAGGGCAATGCCTCTGGGATACAGGGTGGCTACTGGCCTCCAGGTCAGGAAGCACTCCAGATGTGGGCTTGGTTTCACAGTTGTGTCATCCCTTAGCTGCTTGGATTGCAGGGGTGCAGGGTGTCAAAGAGGTTCCTGCTGTGGGGGAATGTAGCCACATGCACTTTCAGCAACTGTTCATGCTGGACTTGGGACCTGTGAGGACTGGGGAACTCTCTTGTAGCAGTGACTGCTGGCACCTGTGGTGGTGATGAGGACTGATGATTCTCCGCTTACCTTCTTCCTATAAGAAGAGGAACCCCCTGGCTTTGATTCAATCCTCGCAGGGGAGACAGTATGGCAGAGGCAGGATACTTTGGTCTCCTCCCTGTGGAGCTATTCTTGACTCTATGCTCCACAGGGACTTTGCTGTTCTCTTGGTACTCTCCAGGGCATTTCCTCAGTCACTCCAGACAAAATAAACTTATTCGTTGTTTTGGTTCCTTTTTTGTGAGGGAAATGATAGCCAAGCAACTCTAGTTGGCGATCTTGCTGACATCACTTCCCATCAGTCTTTTTAATTTTAGCCATTGTGATGGATGAGTGCTCTAATGTGTTCTTCAATGAGATGAACAGAATAAAGCTTTTGATCAAACTTGCACAACCCAGATCACCACCACTGCCACAATCACAATACCCAAAATGGAATCACATCCACAATCGTATACAGAGTACAAATTAAGGAACTCTACGTTTCTAACACAGAAGCTACCACTACTTGTCAGACATGTGATTCCTACCAAAAGTTGACCTGTGTATCTGGCCGTAGGAGAGCCCACATTGCATGGGGTGTGGCTCCTGCCACACGGACAGCCTGACTACATCGACCAGTTGATCCCTCTTCCTGGGGATATCAGTGGTACCTCACTGTTGCTGATACTTTTTCAAGTTACACTGCTGCTGTTCATCAGTCACCTGCAGCCACAACCTTGTAGCCCAGGAAACTAATCTGTGTCATATTTCTTACTTTTCCAGATCATCTATAATCTGACATAACACACCTTAAATGGTTTGATGGTTATTCGATGGCCCTTCCATGCTCCTTAGCATCCACAAGTATCTGGAATTATTGAGCACCGAAATCCTCCTCAAAGATCAATTTTAAAAGATTTCTAACTCTGCCTCCCTCATCCACTCCTGTTTCACACACCATCTTTAGACAGTTCCCCTTCACAGCTGCTTCCTCAGTAATGATAAGGATAAAAAATGTAGGAGTTATACAGACCTATTTTAATAATTCAGAATTCCACCCTGACTATTCCTGGACATGATCCTTCTTTCTTTCCCCAATGGCAACTCCAGGCTGAAGATAACAAGAAATAACTAGTTGAAACACAGAAGTAATGAGGAAAAAAAGAATCTGTAGTCTACTACTTCTTGAAATTGTTGAAGGTGCGTGCTCTTTGTAACAATTTTAGCTAGAAAACTTAGCACTATCTTCTAATGAGGCACTTCAAAGTTATTTCATGAGGCAAGCCATTTTCACAAGAAATATGCCATAGACACAAACCAGTCACAATGTAGTTTATTAACAAATTTCAACTGTCCATACTCCACTTGTGTCCTGGCAGTGATAATCAAGAGATAATAAATACACCCAATTCTGACACTAAAAAGTGTATAAAGAAATACTTTAAAAACGTTCTACTTAAAAAATTTTAGCATGAAACGTATAAATGCCTAAACACAGGATTCTAAGACGTAAAAAGACAGGCTTTATCTCATCAAATTACACACAATGTAGTATCCTAATGTGTAACTTCACATTAAATTATGTCTACTAAAATATAATAAGCAAATGATTCTGGAATTTTATTTGCAAAGATTTTCCCTATATCAACTTCAGTAATGAAGAAGGAGTTAATTTACTTTTAAGCATAATATATAAATGTCTTCCTTTAAAATGCATCATTTTCTCTTTTGAATTTAGAGTTCTATACCTTAATAAACCCATATGAGCAAATATATCTCTGATAATGTTTAGCTAGAACTCTCCACATCCTCTTTTCCTAATACAATATGATTTACATATAAGTTTATTAAATGCATATTTTGCATTGAACACCCATTTGCTCATTGCGGGTTATTGAATTTACACATAATTAATATGACTCTTTTACTTCTAGGGAGCATAGCTTTATGGCATGTTACATTATGCCGAATCTCTATGTCATCTACAATAATAATATCTACCAAATATTTACTATTTTTAAATTATATTAAAATGTAAAAGACCTAGAATGAAAAAACAGCATTATCTGAAGAGATTTTCTTTTGCCATTTTGGATAAAAACAACTATCCAAAACAATAATATAACATATACATTGAACTGAATATCAAATTAGGAACAGCCTTCATCCCTTTTTATATTACCTTACTTTTATTATATAATTAGTACCTGTTGTTTTAATTAGAAAACACATAATAGAACGACTGATACTAATTGGGTATATAAGCTCACATATATTTTATATTCATATACTCATATAAATTCATATAAACAAAAATATAATTTTAAAAATAATATTTGTATCAAGTATACATTCTTTTTATAACCCTTTTCACATAAAACCATGCCCCTTACATATGAAATCCAACTCATGTGTTTTGTATTTAAAATATTTCTCAAAGTTTAAGTATTGTTGTTTCATAATTATTCAAGACAATTATGCATTGCAATACACGTTTTAAAAAGAAAAAGCCCAATTCATATAATTTCTCAAATGCTTCAGAAAATAAGCCTAACTACGTATTTTTTGGTTTTCATTTAAAGTTCCTGGCAATAAATATTAGCCACAACTAATGAGGGGGACAATAGAGTTTAATTAAGTCTTTACATAATATAATGTCTTACAAAGTAGTTTCCAAAGTAACATTTAAAGACATTAAAAAGTCGCACTAAGATAAAAAATTATATGCCTTTGCTAAACATAGCATTTTGAAACATTTCCTACCATATAGTAATCTCTGATTATTTGGAAAGAAATCTCCTATTGATATTGTGCCAAGAAAAATTACCTGAGAAATTTGGTACATTCTGTTACCAAAGGACTATGTTAAAGGAAAAGAACATTTAAGTCTTAAGATGCATCTGAGCTGTGTGCCTTTGGAAAAAGCACATTTAACCTCTTGCAAGTAAATTTCTTCTTCAGTAACATAGAGTTACCACTGCCTTCAAATAGTTGTTTAGAGGATTACAGTTAGTTACAACTTTATGGCTTATTAAATTATTATATCTCCATTTTTAGAGGTATTATGAAAACCAAATGTATTTTTTAGTCCTTAGATGAATCAAACTGTTTCAAACTACAAAGTTTTGGTTATTAAATGAAAAACTGCATTCTAGCACACATCTTGGAGCCCTGCCCATTTATTTGAACAATATATATAAACATATTATCATGCTATAGATCAGAAGTCAGCAAACCACAGCCGAGAGGACAAAACCAACTGGCTGCCTTTGTAAATCAAGATTTATTAGGATACAGCCAAGCTCATTATATTATTTATCAGCTATAGCTGCTTTTGCGTTATGACACCAGAGCTGAATAGCTATAACAGAAACCCTATAGCCAACAAAGCCAAAAATATTTACTATTAGCCCTTTACAGAAAAAGGATGCTGACCCTTGCTATAAATTGTTGCAAATTGGACAGTGCATCCAAAAAAGATTAGGGGAAGAAAAAAAATGAAAGAAATATTAAAATATGCACCTAAATGTAATCCCTCATAACACCATCCCAAAATCTTAAAAATCTAAACCCAATTGCAATCAAAACTAAATATGAAGATTTTGGTTACATAAAATTTAAAAATACACAAGCATATTACTAGTTTAGAGTAACAAAGTATATCTTATTACCTCTTAAAATTAATTTAACCCAATTAATGATTTCTATTTTTAAAAGTACTTATATCTGCTTTATACAAATTATGTTTTTACCTGCTAATGGCTTGTTCCTCATCAGTTATTCCAGTCTCCCTGAATGCCCTGTTTGATTCGGCCAAACTCAAGGCAATTGCTCTCTGAAGATCATCTTTATCATCTCCAGTGAGATCAATCACATCTGAAAAGCAAAACTATCTTTCTCAAAATTAAAAGTAAAACAAAATGAAAGGATTTTTATTATGGAGATTTTATATCCAATATACTCTTTAAACCAGTCAGTACCAACTAATTTTGTATTTCTAAAAGCCTATCTAAAAATAAATGCAAACATATTTTTAACTGGTCATACTCAGTAACTCAATGATTTTTTTGATAAAATATACCTAAAGCAGTAAGCAGAAATATATTTCACTGTAGAAGAATCTCTGTATTTACTATGAGGTCTCTTATTAAAAGCTAATAAGCAGAAAGACTGCTGAGAATGGTTTATCAACAAAAATTGAAATCAATACAATTAAACATTGACATTTCTGCTTTCTGAAGTTAACCCGATTACATACGTATTAAATTCTGTCCATACTACTACCATCTAGACATTATCAAATTACAATAATTAACAGTGAACTCTTAAAAACTGATGTTTCAGAAACTAACCAGAGATGTACATTTACACATACATTTTTTAAATTCTGAAAGAATGTGCCAAACTATTAACAGTGGTTAACTCTGAGGAAAGGAGTTATAGGAGGAAGAAGTATAAGAATCTTTCACTTTCTATTTAAATACTTCTATACAATCTGAATTGCTTAATAAATATGCAGTCCTTTTAATTTAAAACAAGATTCTCATTTCACAAAAATGAAATATACAAGTGAATGAAACAAGCCCTCTTCTAATAAAAAATAGCCTTGATGCTATTAAGTATTAATTCTTTTTCCAAAAAAGGTTACAACTAATACCGCCTTCAATAAAAATGACTTTTAATCCAATTTCCCAATATATATTGGTCAATTTCCCTAACCCAGATGATGCCAATGATAAATACTCCCATTATCATTTCAACAGTGATAGAAACCATGGTATATTGCTAAGTAGGGAAGTGGTAACAGGTTACAAAATAATATGATCAGAAAGAGAAACTATCTGTTATTATCTTTGCATGGTTGGGATTATGCTTATTTGTATTTTGGACACGTTTTGCCTTCATTTTAGTTATTTGCTTATTTTAAATTTTATTTTTTAGAGACAGTGTCTCACTGTGTCACCCAGGCTAGAGGGCAGTGGCATGATCACAGCTCACTGCAATCTCAAACTCCTGAGCTCCAGTGATCCTCCCGCCCCAACCTCCAGAGTAGCTAGGACTACAGGCATGCACCACTTGGCTAATTTTCTTTTTAATTTTTTGTAGATACAAGGTTTTGCGTCTTGCCCAGGTTGGTGTATTTTAGACATGTTAAAAATATTTTCTTTGTAATCATACAATTTTAGAAGAGGAAAAAAAAAACAAACAGGATAGAGGATGGGGAGGATAAGGTGGCTTTATTTTACCATATGGCTATAAGGTTTTACATAAATACTAGAAAAGCATATTATATATTTAATGAAAAAAAGTAATGTATATTGATATTTTCCAGAGTCTACTTCTATTTTTATCCACACGTTCTCCAAATAGTAGCTTGTAAGAAGATTTAAAATATGAGAAAGAATACCTGATCATGGAAGGAAGTGGTGGTGTTTTTTTTAATGTCTTTAGAGAGTATAATAAAACCTCACAAAAGTGTATTAAGTAGGGCCCCCCAAAAATACAGGCAAGTAAAATGTGAAAGATTTATATAGCATAGTAATTGAAATGGTGAATCACTTTACAGGCAACAGCAGGCCAAAGGTTTTACAAGTCTGGTTACAAAATCCAAGTCCACCCAGACCACAGCTGAAGATGAGTGTAACCCAGAACTGAACATTCATAAACACTGATGAAGCAGTGAGGATTAAAAAGGTATGGAATGCCTCATAAAAATGAAAGCTATCTTGGTTATTAAAATGGCTAGAACTTAGGTCTAAGTAGAGAAAGGATAATGAAAAGTGGAAAAAATTTGAAAATCACAGAGAAGCAGAAAAACAGGGTTTAGGTGTGTGATTAATTAGCGGTCAGATTCCATTAACTCGTTCTCTTAAGTTTACTTTCTTCAATTATAGAAACTAAACATAAAAAAAAACAGAAAAACTATCTTCCTTATTCACTGGCAGTTAGGGTTTTGGATGAAACTTAGGCCTCATCCATTAGAATGCACTAACACGAGACATGGAAGGCAGAGTGCAGCGGGGGCGGGGGGGGGGGGGGGTGGCAACCATTATCCTGTTGCCTTTGGCTGTTTTCTCTAGCTTGATTGAAAAGATTTAAGTTGTTCCACAGTATTCCAGGCTCCAATTTCCAGCTTTAAGAATGTCAAGAGATGGAATATAAGCGGCAACTAGACTTTGCATTCCAATTTCCAGGCATAGCTCAGAGGCAGTACCTAATCCTGGCTTCCTGTTTCCTGGGCTGCAGCTATAGAAGTATGTTCTTGAACTCAGTAGTCCAAGAGGCCGCTTTCCTAATTGTGACAGAAGTAGCCGCTTCCCTGACTGGTCGCTTCCCTGACTGGTCAGTCCTGCAATGATGTGGGAGTCATTTCAGAAGTCTGAGCTAGAGCTTTCCTCCAGTCCTTCCAGTGATTTTTTAAAGAACCTAATCCCCTGTATTAAATTCCTTATTTGAAAATTTCTAGAATGTTTACTGTATCATGACTGACAAGTAAAACAAATGGGCTATAGCCGAAACTAATTTAAAAATAGCAACAACTTACACTTACAGCTTTTCCTAATTCATCAATTGTAATTCAAGCAACAAAAAAGCAAAAAACAAGATGTTTTTTCCCCAAATATATTTTATAAATGAAATCACTGAAATTCTGAGAAATGAAGCACATCATAAGACGCGAGAATGGTGCACAGGCTTCAAAATTTAAGTCTTCTAACTCTTAAATCCAGTGGTCTTTCTGCCTTACTAGCAGTTCTTCAAATATGGTCCATTGATCCTTGGGGTCCCCAGGGCCCCTTTGAAAAAAGGGAGGAAAGTCCTTAAATAAAAAAATAATACTACTCAGATATTATTTGCCTTTTGTACTGTAGCCACATTTGCACCAATGATGCAAAACGATATTGAATAAAACTGCTGCATCTTAGCACAAATCAAGGCAGCAGCACCAAGTTGCATAATTCATTGTATTAGTCACAAATATACACACTCACTGTTTTAAACAGAAGCCAAGCCAGTTTCTTTTAGAATTATGTTCTTGGCGAAAAGATTAAACCTAATTTTATTAAACCTCAAACCTTGATTTATGTTTAATTCTAACATAAGAAGTACACATAAAGTACTTCTGCGATATATCCAGAGTATGCTGTTGCTAACAACTAGTGTAAAATGAGTTACAAGCTAAACTGATTTTTCCCATGGAATGCAATTTTTATTTAAAAGAAAAACTAACAAACTACAAACTAGAATTATTCAGACTTCAGTATTTGGCAGATGTTGTCTGGAAAAAAAAAAGTGAGCCTGTTGCTTTAAGGAAAACAAATGTATCTGTTGACAATGATTAATATGGAATTTTCAAGCAAAAATCTAAACTTTGAAAAACTTGTTTCTACCACTGTGAGCTTGATATCTTCTCAATACTTAAAGGCTTGTATATGAGTGGTGATATTAACAAATTCAACTTTTTCTTATAGTAGACATTCTTCAAGCATTTAAAAAGAAATCTTTTCAAATTACCAATGCACAGTGTTACAAACTCATGCATGGGTAAAAGATCCATCCAAAAAGCAAGAAACACTAATGGATTTTAATGCAACATAACATGAAAAGGTTGTTGATACCACCATAGAATAACTGATGTGATTTCGAATTCCACATTGCAACTAATCTTTAAGAAATTACCATCTGTTAAGTTTGGGTATAGCATTAAAAAGAATATCCATTATTATCTGATTATCAGTTAAAATACTCCTCCCTTTTCTAAATTATTATCTGGGTAAAGCCAGATTTTCTTCACAAACTTCAACCAAAACAACTTATTGCAATAGAATGCAAACCTTCAGAAGCACATTGGAGACTCTAGTTCTCCTCTAATATGGCAGACATTCAAGACTTGCAACAATGTAAAGCAACGTAATCTTCTAACCATTTTGTTTCAGCAAATGTGTTTTTCATAAAATATGTTATTCAAACATAATAGACTGACATTTTAATATGAACTAATAGCCTAAGCTTTTCTCCGTTTTAATTTCTAAAATAGTAAATTTTATGTACCCAAAAGCTCTGAGGTTCTCAATAATTTTTATGAGTGTAAAGGGGTCCTGAGAGCAAAAATAACAAGAATCACCATCTACTCCATGTTCTTAGACATGTTTTTTATGAAACAAATCATAATTGAAAATGGTTTTCTTTGGTTTTTACAATGTCATTCAAAATTTTTTGAAATAACTGGCAAAAGATAAAGATTAGGAGATTGTATGTGTACAATAATAGGTATTACTTCCCTCACGCTCTGGGAGGAAAAAAAAAAACCAGAAGACCTGGTTACACGATTCCTGCATGGCAATAATCATTGTGACAAAGCCAGAGTGTAATAAAAGTAGTAGTAGCAGCTCTCTTTAGATAGAATATTCACTCTTCATTTTGCCCCCGCCCCCAACTTGGCCAGCCACACACATTCACATTACCTTCCTTGCCCTTGCATCCTCGCATATCTTGTACCTCACATGGGTGTAAAAGAATAAAGCTGCTTGTGGCTAGAACGACCATATTAAATGGCTCCAGCCACTCCAGGCATCTCCAATAGCGGAGGGTTCAGCATATAGGCACACCTGTACCCCAGCTGGGAATTTGAGCCTCCAATCCCTGGTATAGAGGAATAGTAGTCCTTAATGCTGGAAAAGTTGGTTGAGACCAGAGACTAACAATCCTTAACTGAAAAGCTGGGACTTTTTCCTTTAAGCAATGGAGGAGGTTTACTTATTATTTTAATTTCATTGTAATTGTAACAATTTTCTTCCATGATCTTCCTATTAATCCATAAAACTGCTTCTTTTCACAGGGTATTTTAGAACAATATGACAATCCTGAAAGATAGCTGAATCCTGAAAGATCCCTCACATACGGTCCACACATACAATCCTGAAAGATGCCTCACATATCAAATGCAATCCTGAAAGATACCTCACATACCAAATTCACATGATTTTAAGACCAGTAAAAGAAAATAAAATGTTATTTCAACAGACTGGTTAAACCCAATTTATTCTTTTTCTGGACTTAGTGGAATAATGATTTGTGTAAAACATGTAACGAATTATCAATTTATAATAAAAACTAGCGCTCAGATATTCTCACATGCTTACAAAAGAAACAGAATAACTTTGGCTATAAACAACTTCTAACTGGTAAAAGTCAGTTACAGAAAATTAGCCTTTGTAAAACTTCCATCTCAATGCCAGAGCATTATTAATATTCTCATATCTGTGTCAAGGCAAGACCTTGGTAAAACACTAAAAACATTATTTTTAACCAACTCTCCCTCTAGTATTAGCGTGAATACAATTCAACAGCACACACATGGGAACAGTTAGCTGGGTGCCACTGTATAAAATCATGTTACAAATGCATCTAAGCAGTAATCTACATTTTTATGAGAGTCCAAATTAAAACATTTTTCCTGTAAAGTGAGAAATATATATCAAAACGTGATACTCATCCTACTAAATCTTTCACTTACAAAGGAATACCATGAGTAAAACTTATACACCAACTACCAAACATTTCTCTGCTAACTCCAAAATATATGCTAGTCATCAACTTATCAATGAACTAGACTTCAAACAAAATATATGCATTGTTTATAACTCATAATTCACTTTCCCATGAAAATATTATATTAAATAGGAACGTGAATTATGTAAGTGAATCTTACTTGAACCTCAGGTTTCTAAGTAAGTTCACAAAAGCCTAGTTGGCCCATAATCTAGCTGAACTATTATATATGTAAATATTTTGAATTCAGAAGAAAAAAAGAGTTCTTCCATTGTTTTTCCTTATCTACACAGGCTAAACCAAGAGGAAATACTTTTTTTAAAAAAAATAAGCCAAGTTTATATTTACTGTCAGCAAAGATTTCTAAGCAAGGGAGTGCAAGACAGAAAAAAACTGGGTAGTGAAGAGTTTGAGAAGCGTTGCAATAAGAATATGTAGCAGGGCAGGAGTAACTGAAGGGAAAAGTCTACATACAAAAACTGACAGATCTGCAAACCAAATGGTTGTTTTGGGAGATTGACAGAAGAGCTATTAAAAGGAAAAAAAAAGAAAAAAAAAATACCCTGGACCACCAGAAGAATGGAAATACCCTTAAGAAAGAAAGGCAAATATGAACATCAGGATGTGCAGCAAGAGATCAGAAACGAGAATACTGCCATTCCTACCCTCGCTCATTCAGCTTCAACAAGGCTGTGTCCTCACTATTCATCTCGAGGGCCAGCACACTGCCCCATCAGGCCCTGGTCTGGGACGCACAACCTTCAGAGAGCCAAAAGTTCATGCTCACACTTCGCTCAGGTATCTGTACAAATACGAGCTCTTCCACACTACCTAAAATCACATATTATCCTATGCCCAGCCCACAAGCACACCCCCATCACTTGTTTGTCTATGTCCAGGTCTACTGTTCCTCAAATATGAGCTCTTCCACACTACCTAAAATCACATATTATCCTATGCCCAGCCCACAAGCACACCCCCATCACTTCTTTGTCTATATCCAGGTCTACTGTTCTTCATGAACGACTTATTACTATCTGATACTGTTTGTTTACTGTGTACTGTCTTTCCTCTATGTAAACTGAGGCTCTGCATGCTTTCTTAATGGTCTATAAAAGTACTTGCTACATATTAGACAATAAATATTTGTTAAAGAAATACAGAATAGAGATAAAAACTGGTGAGTCATCTTCATAATGGCACTAATTAGAAGATGAGAACATATCTTTTATATATTCAAAATTTTTTCAAGTGAAAGGGCAGACAGCATAGTAAGGTATCATGTTGCAAGAATCTTAAAAGCCAGAAGACATAAACAATATAAATTGTTTCCCACTCCACTCTCCCATTTTCCCTTGCTTTCAGCTTCCTTCAGATGTTCCTATTCTTTCAATATTCTCACTGTTAAACTCAGATTCTCTTAAAAGAGTGTTGTAAATTAGAACTTTCTGTGATAATGGAAATGTAGCATTATGTGCACTGATCTGGTAGCCACCAGAATTAAACATTTAAAGTGCAACTGAGAAACTGAATTTCAATATTATTTCATTTTAATTGCCATGTGTGACTAGTGGCAACTATATTGAACAGCTCAGCTTTAAATGGTCTAGTTCTGTTTTTAATAATAGCTGCTAAAATCACAGTGGCAGCAGTGGTAAGCAAGGAAAATGAGTAAGTAGTAAGGGAGTCATTCCAGAGTTTTGTCATTAATTCTACTATGTTTTTCAATTTTTATTGTGAAAAAAAGTAAAATTAATCTCCCATGTTAGTCAACAAAAGTACAAAGACCATGGCTATCATTCTAACCCAAAACTAAAGAAAATTCATCAAGTTATACAAGTCATTCTACAGTTCATATCTAATAAAATGCATCTAATCAATCTGAAGCTCCTAATTGCACCCATCAGTTGGAACTAATTTTCACACCATTTAGCATCTCAGTTTTTAGGCTTCATCTTGACTTTCTGTGAGTCATCAAAAATCGTTTTACATATTAGAAATTTCTAGGGAAAAACTGAAGTTACTTGGGCAATGGGAAAAGTATCAGTGTTCAATTAACAATATCCTAAACTGTTTAGCATAAGAGAATTATCCTAAGAATAAAAGCACTAGAATTGGATCTATTTATCACAGTTTAAATCACTATTACTGTGGCCAAGCAAGATAGCCATAACTAGAATTCTAGGATAGAACCTCAAGGTTTTTCTCCCTTTCTATGCCATCTTTTCAAATTCAAGGTGTTTTAGAAAAAAAGAAAAAAAAAACGGCTTATAAATTTTTGAAGAGTCTTACCACCTGTCACTCATTTCAAGTCTTATACCAATTTCTCTAAAACTTGAGTCAATATGTGGCATTACTTTCTGTGTTAAAATTACCTACCCAAATCCCTCTTATCTTTTGATCGCTCAATTGTAGCACATCTTGTTCTGGAGAGCATATACTGTTTTTTTCCTGTTTTAAAAATGTTCGAAAGAATTTAATGGTCACAAAATAAAAAGTATTACTATTAGACTTCAAATTGGGCAAAAGAGCTGTATGGTCATGTCTATGACAGAGTTTGCCGTGACACAAAAACTTGGCAGAATCTCTCCTCTGACTATTAATCACACCTATAATGCTCAATACCGGGTATCGTGTCCTGGTCTCATTTTCATTTGTGTTTTTGACAGCAAAACTCCAAAACAATTTTATTCTCAATTTAAGCCAGGGACAACAGGCACTCATTTGACAATCTATAATATTTGATCTGATCTGAACAGAGGTCCAAATAATAAAAAATGTTACCTAGTACGTTTGCTAATTATAGTACAAATGATTTGGGCTTTTTTCCAGAATTCAACAGAATTACAGTATGGAATGTAATCAAGTAAAGACATGAGGTGTACGACTTCTAAATTCTTTTTTATGCAGAGCACAAGATTTCTTTGATATGTCTCCTTTTTCTCTCAAAAGTGAAAGGTAAAAAGTACACCAAAAAGGCATATAATTGTCCTACTAACTATTGAAAATATATTTACTTCTTCAATATTAAAGGAAGGCTCACAAATTGTTTTTCAAATCCAGTGACATAATATAGTTTAGCCTCTGACACACCAGGTATGCATAAACAAAAATTTCTCCATATGCCCCAAATATAACTTCCATGTGATATTAGTTTAAAAACTAAATTTTTCTAGTCAGCAAAAAAAAAATTTATTCCTTCTAAAAGAAACAGTCCATTGTAAACAGTGATATTCCAGCTAATATCAACAAAGAGGTATATGTATTTGGTATTAGAGATTTCGATTTCAGAAGACAGACGTTTTGTCAGCACTGCAACCAAGTGTATCACTTAAAGTTAGCATGACTTTGTTTCTGCTTTAGCCCTGGTTTTAAGAGATTTTATACCTCAAAAAGAAGAATGGAAAAAAACTGAAAATAAAAATCCCTGCCATATTTGAAAGAATTAAGTGAAACTGTGGTCAACCTTTAAATAACAATGTATTTCACACAAAATGGAGAAAGTGCTCAAAAAGGGTTTTTATATCTACAACAATCCCTTGAAAACTCACACTCTGATCTATTCTTCTACATTCCTACAGCAGTTAGGTAGATTTTTTTAAATAGAGGCCTGCATTTGAATGTATATCCATTTGTAATTATTTTGTCTTTCCTTCCCTCATGTTTTACCACATCTTCCAAGAATTAAAAATACACGACTTCATTTCTTCTCAACAGTAACTGCACAGTCACTTAAAGAGTATTTTTTTAATACCTGCTGAAATGCATGACATCTCCCCACTTTCTCAGTTTTAAACCAGTAACACTGCATTATGACACTACTGGCAGGAATGTTTAATGGAAAAGTATTACTGTTACGCCAACAGTTAATTTTTTTCTGGTTTGATACTATCATAGTACAATTGCCACATTAAATTCCTACAACTGTTTGCTGTCAATAACCTCTAACCAACTTTATGGACACACTATCTCAATTGGCACCCTGATTAGAGGGAAAGCACTTGATACATATTACGTATTATGTGTTTTATGGATAAAGAAACCACAACAGCAAGCAATTTACTCAATATGACAATCGGTTGAGATGACATCAGAAACTTCATTTCTCTACATTATTTCAAGTGGAAAATAAAATTACCTCGTGAATATTTTTCAAGAGATCCACAAACACACAAAAAAAGTTTTAATTATCAGCAAATGAGACACGTGCCTCCTGAAATTAGGCTGCCTTCTCCCTAAGGGAACCTATTCAAAATTTTTTTTTGTCCTCCATAATATTTTCACTATTCCCTATCTAAAATCGTAAACAGGTGTAACCATTTGCCTTATGCAGTATTTTCTCACTTTGCACAGCAAATATCTTCTTTTGTGCAGGACACACATAATCCTAATTTTCCCCTTTTCTATAAATATACCATGTCATGTCACCAAGTATACCATCTATATTAAGAGTTCACAACTAACAACAATGATCTCTGTTTAGTCAATTTCCTGCTTGCTTCACTTAAACCAGGAGCATTTTAGTCAAAATTATCCTTTTCCCTTTTATCACCCATCTAGTTTCTTTTTCCCCTCGAGTCTTGGAACTTTGAAATATCCAAAATATTATTAAGTACTCATTTTTCTGACCTTTATACCACTTCTCTTTCAACTTTTTGCAACAAGCTTCTCAACTTCATTCCCTTTCATTGGTTTTGAAAGAGCTTTACTGCACATATTATCAAACATAACTCAGTGAACATTTTTTGAGCACCAATAATGTTCAAGCAAATAATTTCAAAATAACAGAGTATTCATTAAGACAGAAGCATGCCCTGGATGCTGGAGAAACACTTGGTCCTAGCTAGAGGCCAGGAAAAACATTCTCCAGCAAGCAGCTCTTTAGCTAAATCTTTCAAGACCAGAACAAATTAGGCTAGGGAGGAAAAGGCCAGAGTGCATTCAAACAGAAGGAACAGCAAATGTAAAGACAGAGAAATTAAATACCACTGAGTACATGAGAACTTCAAGCCATTCTGTATTATCACAGTGTTGAATGACAGGAGGAAAACAGTGGAAAATGAGGCTAGAAATGTGGATGGGGGCCCAGTCACAGCTTGCCTTGAACTTAGACGTTAAGTAAACAGGTCTATCTTATATATGCTACAAACATTCTCCCATCACCTATTAACTAAGTGAGACAGGAGTATTCTAGTTTTCTCTGACACAAGATCATCTATGTAGCAAAAATGCTAAGATTATCCTGAAAACTAAAAATTAAAATATTTTATCAATAAACATTAATAAACATCTATGTAAACGAACTCTTTTCTGGTTGCTTCCTAACTTTGAGAATGTCTATAAACAAAATAAGAAATTCTCTCCAAATATATGTTAATAATCAAACTTTGCAAATCCATAAGGCATAAAAGTAACTATTTTTATGTAGTACAATTATTAAACTATAATGAGATATGAAGGTAACTGAACATAGTTTGAAAAACTGTGCGCTACATAAGTATAAAGTATTCATATTATGAAGAAAAACTTAAGTCCCACATAGAATCTTCCACATGTACGTATTTGTATCTCCAAAACACTTTTTCCAAGTTTTCTTTTCTTTTTTTCTTTTGGATGAAAGGCAATTTCATTACACAATAATAAACTTCTTTGCCAAAGCTTTATTTGGAAGCAGGGGGAAAGGGAAGGGAAATTTTATTAAATGGTAAACCTATCAGTAATTAGAAATAATACTTTAACCTCAAAAGAAATACTAAAGCCTCTACCAGCACTTAAAATCTGCAAAATAACTGTGCCCACTAAAAATTCTAGTTCTTCCTTTTATGAATATATCTGCAGCTATTCCATATTTCAAAACAATAAATTCTATATGAAATGCTCTATGAAAAACTATATAACTTACATAAAATCTTTTCCTTATAATCTGAAAAAGATAATGTATGTTCCTTTCAACTACATTAAAAAGAACCAAGGTTAATAGAGTTCTTTTTTGGTTCTTTACCTCTCCTTAAGCAACATTAATATATTACACCAAGAAAAGTTTTTCAGTATGTTTCTATTAAAATAATAAGAAAAGAAAGAAAACTTACTTGTATCTGCTTGGCTTCCCACACTGATGTATCTATCATTGCCAGGAAGTGCTGTTTGGTAGTAAGTTGTCTCCTCCTGCTGAGGGGTCTTAGCATTCTTCGCAGTAAGGAAAGCCACTGCTAATTCCAAGTTTCCATTACTATCCTTCAAATATCAAGAAAGGAGTATCAAGTGTTTTGAAATAATTTTATCCATCAAAAAAAGTTATACAATATTCTCCATAACTCTCTAGAACAAAATTGCTTTAAATTTGCAATTAATCTATATGTGATTCTAATTTTATAGTGTAAATGCATCATACATAAAGTATACTATATCAATAGTAATACCTTTCTTACTAATTAAAACTACTGATACAATGTAAAAATCCATCTCTAATTTCTTAGTCTTCATTACTTTCCTATCTGCTTAATAAAAGTGAATCACAAACTTATACTTTTGAACAAATAAACTAAAAAAGGTCTTCTGGAACTTGCCATACGAAAGAGTGCAAAATGGGTATTAAAATTAGTACTTCTACAAACAAGGACAATAAAAGATATTCCTTTTAATCTGGGTGCTGGATACATACTTAGGGGCAAACTTAAGCAAAATGTCAAGGACTCATGGGAAGAAAATGGCAAAATGTACTGAAGGGCTTGATAATATGGAATTATGGAAAGACACACAGAACTCTAGACAGAAATACTCAATACTGTCAAGATGACAATCCTGCTCAAATTAAATAGATACATTTTGCATAGTTCTCATCAAAAGTATAGCTGAATAAAATTATTCTAAAGTTTATTTAGAAGAAAGCAGATGCCAGAATAAGAATTTTAATTTAAAACAGCAAAATGAGAAGAGACTTGCCCAGTTACATCTTTATATTCTCTGCACAACTGACAGCAAGTAAAACGTTAGCTCTAAAACAGTTAACCAAAACAACATAGGAAACCCAGATATTCACAACGAAGCTATCTTTGTAACAGAAAACCAAAACATGGAAGGCTCTGTAGGTTCCCTAAGAACTTAGACATGCACACGGGTGTAATAAGAAGCCAGTGGAGTGTTTTGGAAAGGAATGACATAGTATGACTTACATTTTAAAAAGTTTACTCCATGTATTAAGAATAGACTAGAGGAGAGAAAGGGCAGAAGACAGCATCCAATATTATTGCTATCTTATTAAATGTGGGACATGACAGAAGTAGGATCAGGATGATTCCAAAATTTAAGGACTGAGCAGCTGGCAGAATAAAGTCCCCAAGACCTACCCCAATTCCAGTTGTAGCAGTCAGTGACAAAAGGAGTAAGGATGCAGTTTCAAAGGCACCACCACTTTCAAAAATGCTATCTGTCATGATCATTAGACGATTCCTAAGTGACTCATCCAAAATGTAAGATACACTATTGTTAAATAAGTAATCTAACAATAAAATAAAGCGCAATAATGATGGCTAACATTTATTGAGCACTTACTATATGCCAAGAAATGTGCTAAGTGTTTTTCATATATTACCTCATATAATAATTTAAAACAACACAGCAGGAATTTACACAAATTGAAGTTCATTTACTTTTTAGAGCTAAAAATATGTTCTCAAATTAAAAGTACTGAAATTAATCAATGACATTACAGTGCTCAAAAGTAGACTTCTCGTCAGTATTTATAATGGGCAACAATTAAGGTTTAAATACACTCTTTTCCCCTAGCTACTGGTAACTGAAACAAAAATTTTGGAAAATTAAAAATACCTATGCTCACACAACCTCTATCAAAGGAAATGTGGATAAGACTTCATTCGAGCTACATATTTTCTAAGTTTAAAAAAAAAAAAAAAAGCAAATTCCCCAAATTTACCCTGGCAAGGTGATAGGCTATGGTCTCACACTCAGTAATACATAATGAAAAAGGCAGTTTCTGAAAACAAACATGGAATTTAGTAATGATATTTATCAGAATAAAAAGGGACTAGCAATTATCTAAACGTCATAATCATAAAAATTGAGGTATAGCACTTCTGCTTCCTCTCCAAATACTTACAGTGGCTTCATACACCCCGCATTAATGCTCTAAACACTACTATTTCATGATTTTCCTGATGGGGGAATAAGGTGAAGCAAAGCTTCTAGTAAAAGAAGCATAAATTAAGTGTGGCACCTGGGATCAGGCTGCCTTGGTTTCTATTCCAAGCTTCTCCACATACAGGCTGTGTGATCCTGGGCAAGTTACTTTAACCTCTCTGTTGCTCATCTTTTCATAAAGGGGATGAAACTAATACTTATCTCATAGAGTTATTTATTATTAGGATGAGCTAGCCCACATACAGTACTTAAAATACTGCCTGGTAGTACTAAATGTTTAATCGGTACTACTTATTGTTATAATGACTTTTATTATAATCATCTAATAGATTATTTCTAAAAACAAATAAAGAACTCTAGGCTTGAAATCAAGTTCCAAAGGATTGGAGCTGTGTATATGACTGCAGTGGCAAAAATGCTATATTGTTTTTAGCCTATAGTAGTAATATGCAAATAAGCTTAAAATACTGTACAGTTCTGGTTCTTAAATAGCTTTCATTCACTCTTTTTCAATGTGAGTATCCATATGATATGACTCATTTGGATGTCGATGTGAAACTGAAGGTCCAACTAAGATATGACCAAAATGATACATTTTAGTTGTTGCCTATACTGAAGAGTTTGAAATTGAATGTTTAACTTAGGGTGTAATTAGCTGAATGGGTGCAAATTTATATCTCTGCTTCTCAGGAGAAGAAAAATGTAAGTTTTCAGACTTCTATTAATTTTCTACTTTTCCCTTCTCTTACACCTCATCCTCTAATACACCCCACCTTGAACCCTCATTTAAACTCTAAAATCACAGCTCGTAAGTAAAACCATCCATTAGAATTAGGATTCACATCCCACTATCTTGCACAAAAAGCATTTCATATATAGAAAGAGGTTATCTGTCACTCTAAGGTATCATGGACATCAGACTGCTGAAAGCTAACATCCTCAAAACCGCAGTGTGTTAACTGAGGATTTTACTTTACAAAGTCCATTCCTGTATCTCTAAAACTACCACATGGTATACCCCAAAAAAAAAATCAACTATCAAATATAATACGCACTAGAGATGAGCATATACCACAAACTGTATATCATAAAACAGAGGCCATACCTTCAAGGCTTGCTGTAGTATCTGGGTGTCATTAATCCCCGTAATTTCTCTCAGTTGATTCAAAAACGTCTGCTGGTGCTAGAGGGAGGAAAAACCCAAAATCATTATATTCTCAACTCTGAAAATATACTAGGAAAAGAAAACAAATCACCTTTGGTTTTCCAAAACAAACAAAAAACAGAATAAAGTAAACTAGAGTAAAAAAGGAAAAAGAACTTGAGAAAGGCCAAACAACTTCATTCTTTTAGAAAGAATGAATCATGCTGTGGAGAACCCTTATTTCATTCTCACGTTTCGAAAAGGTAACTTCTCTACATTACTCCCCAATAAGTCTTACTGAATTAGCAGTTTCTGTCCTTTTCTTCATCCCCTCATTTATGCCACCTAACAAGAAAAGGGGCCTTATCCATGATGGTAAGCACAAGGAGAGAAACACCTTTGGAAAAGACATGCTTTCGGCAAGACATAACTCGGTGGGTAATTATACCACGGAGATCTTCAGATCTACTTTAAAAAGAAGATCATTTCACTGTCCAATCTGTCATAAAAGATTCTAAATTGAATAGATCATTTGCCCCCATTTGCTTCAGTTCTTTATATGCTATTGGCCTATAAAATTGACTGCATTGTACTGGAAGGGAAAAGAGGTAGAGAGATAGGATTTCACTATCAAACTCTCCCCTGATGGCCCTTAAATAAAAACCAACTTCCTCCTTACATCTCTGTATTTCTTGAAGTTCCCAACACTATAGAACAGTACCATGAAATAAAAAATCACAATGGATATGATAGGAAAAGCAAACCTAGTCAATAGAATAGGATCTATTGAAATCTTTTTTAAAAAGATGTTTCACATTTATCTCAGCAATAATTCAGTCAGGAATCTTCAATGGATGATAAAACTACTGAATGAAAGTTTGATCAGGAACAGAATATTTACATCATTTTAAATTCTCTTCCACAAATTATAAAGGGAGAAAGAATAACTTTATTGTGTTAACAGTGGCGAACCCGTACAGGTCTACAGCAAGCTCACTTCCTGCTTCCTCAGAAGGAATTTGACCAAGGCGCATAGGGCAGAGAGAGACATCAAGGCAAGTTTTTAGAGCAGGAGTGAAAGTTTATTAAAAAGCTTTAGAGCAGGAATGAAAGGAAGTAAAGTACACTTGGAAGGGGGCCAAGCGGGCAACTTGAAAGATCAAGTGAACAGCTGACCTTTGACTTGGGGTTTTATACACTGGCATGCTTCCAGGGTTTGCATTTCTTCTCCCCTGATTCCTCCTACAGGATGGCTGTCCACAGGTGCAGTGGCCTGCCAGCACTGGGGAGGGGCTGCACGCACAGTGTGTTTACTGAAATTGTGCATGTGCTCACTTAAGGCGTTTTTCCCTTACCAGTTGGGTGTTCCTAAACAAAGGTCATATGTCAGTTAAACTCCACCGTTTTGCCTCTTAGTGCATATATGCTTGAGCCCATTCACTCAAATCCTGGAATCTTATCAGGAAGTTGCTAATCACCAGTTTCAGGTGTTTCTATCTATTGGGAGACTGCCTTTCCCTGGCACCGGCTGCGACCAATTATTATTTCAGAGAGATGGTTAATAACAGCCTGACCACCGCCTAATGGTTGCCTGACATTCCTGGGGGGGAGGCCCCCTTCTGCCCTGCTCATGTCTGACTAGCTACCTACTGTAACAACAGTGTAAACCCTGACAGTCACTGCCTTAACCAAGAGATCAAAGTTAGTATTACCAATAATAGGATAAAATGGCAGTGCGTGCCTCCTGACACTCTATAATCTGTGAGATAGCCCTGCCGAAAATGCACAACCGAAATCTAATCTTGAGGAAGCATCACACAAACCCAAACTGAAGGACACTGTGAAAAATAATTATTCTATCATCTTCAAAAATGTCTATGCCATGAAAAGCAGGTGAAGTCTCCACCCTAAAGGAGACTAAAGAAGCATGTGAGCCAAAGGGGGAACTGACTGCATCCCATACCAAATGTTATGCAGGATATTGAGACAACCGGAGAAATATAAATATGCACAGCTTAGTAATGACATTTCATTAATATTAAATTCTTGAATTTGATAACTCCAGTATAGTAAGAGAGTATCTTTTTTATTAGGAAATATATCCTGAAGAATTTAAGTGCTAAAGGGGCATGATGCCTGCAACTTACTATCAAATGGTTTGGGGAGAAAAAAAGTTATGGAAGTTCTGTGTACTAAGTCTTGCAACTTTAAATTTGAAATTTCAAAATAAAAAGTTTTAAAATGTTCTGCATTCAGCTTTGTTGACATCAAATTGTAAAATGTGCATTTCAAAACATGCTTGACAATTTATGTATAAAATATGTATTTTCAGAAGTCTAAAAAGTCCTAAACAAATTACATGAAAGGTTTAAGAGATATTGCAGCCCAAGTATCTTTTACAGAAATCATATGTATTAGATAGAAACTATATTCAGCTACATGTAACAGATTCCCAACTAAACAGCAGCTTCAATACTCTGGAGTGTCTTTCTTTTCTAACTTAGAAGACACAATGGGCAGTCCAGACCTAGTAGGGACACCCAACATCAAGTCTTTAAAGTGGAACATGCATCAGAATGTTTGTCACTGCATGGTCTCCTCCTCCATCATCCTGTCCAAGTTCTAGGTAGGATAAAGAGAAGGGCAAAGGACAAAAGGTGTCTCCCAAATGAATGAGACTTCTTTAACAAGCCCCACCTACAAACTTCCACTTACAAAAGCCTCACAAAGCACAACACAGTTGCATGGCCACTCATAGCTGCAAAGGAGATTGGGAAATGAATTTTTTGGGTGGGCAAAGGCTGCTGTGAAAATGAAATCAGGGTTCTGCTATCAAAAAGAAAAGAATGTTCATTGGATAGGCATTGGCAGTGTCTGCCATGCCACCAAAGAATTTCACTTCCATAAAAATGGTTTTACAGAGCTGAGATAACCAAGCTACCTAAAAATAAAATACATAATAAAGTACACAAACAAAGTCATATAAAATGCCAGGAAGTATCAAAATGGATGAATAAACTGCCAAATTTACAGAGCCGAATTGAGAAAAATAAAATTATCTTTAAACCTATCAGTTTTTATACCGTAAACCAAAAACAAAATCTGAAGCTTCAAGGCACTCTAAAATTTAACCTGAAAGACTGGTTCAGGCCATGACTGGAAGTGGGGGGTAGACATGCCTCAGTATACCTCTCCAGCATTAACATAAACACAGACCTTAAGTCTGGTAAGAAACATTATCAGTCTACTCTCTCTAAAGCCTGCAACTTGGAGGCTTCATTTGCATGATAAAACCTAGGTCTCCACAACTCCTTATCTTAACCCAGACATTCCTTTCTATTGATAATAACTCAACCAATTGCCAATCAGAATATATTCAAATCTACCGATGACCTGGAAGCCACCCTGTGACCAGACCTTGAGTTGTCCCTCCCTTCCAGATTGAACCAATGTGAATCTTACATGAATTGACTGATATATTATGTATCCTTAAAATGTATAAAAGCAAGCTGTACCCCAACCACCTTAGACACATGTTGTCAGGACATCCTGAGGCTGTGTCACAGGCACGTACTTAACCCTGGCAAAATAAACTTTCTAAATTGATTGAGACTTGTCTTAAGATACTTTTTGGTTTATACTACTTTCATTTAGAAAATTACTAATAAATAGCAATGGAATCATGAATAAGCCATGCAATACCCAACATTACGAATTAAAGGCATAAAAGTTTTACAGAAATTATCTTTATTCAATTCAATGTCTTCATTTAGTTAATATAAAATCCTTTATAATTTTTATAAGTCTGTAATGTCACTGCTACCAGCACTCCAAATCTGATTTCATATATAAAGTATTATTTTCCTCAACTGAAAATTATTCAATCATGGCTCAGAGAAAAATTACTTAGTACCCAAGGAAATCAGTCATTTGTACAAATGTTGATGGCCATTAATTATAAAAATTTAAAAATGGCTGTGTCCCCACCCAAATTTCACATTGAGTTGTAGCTCCCATAATCCTCATGTGTCATGGGAGGGACCTGGTAGAAGGTAATTGAATCATGGGGGCGGGTTTTTCCCATGCTGTTCTTGTGATAGTGAGTTAAGGGTTATGAGATCTGATGGTTTTGTGAAGGAAAGTTCCCCTGCACATGCTCTCTTGCCTGCCACCATGTAAGATGCACCGTTGCTTCTCCTTTCCCTTCTGCCATGATTGTCAGGCCTCTGACAATGTGGAACTGTGAGTCTATTAAATATCTTTTTCTTTATAAATTACCCAGTCCCAGGTATGTCTTTATTAGCAGCATGAGAACAGACTAATACACTGGGTAATTTATAAAGGAAAGAGATTTAACAGAATCATGGTTCCACATGGCTGGGAAGGCCTCACAATCACGGCTGAAGGTGAAGGAGGGGCAAAGGCACATCTTACATGGTGGCAGGCAAGAGAGCATCTTCAGGGGAACTGCTCTTTATAAAATCATCAGATCTTGTGACACTTATTCACTATCATGAGAACAGGATGGGGGAAACTGCCCCCATGATTCAATTATTTCCACCTGGTCCCTCCCATGACACATGGGGATTATGGGAACTACAATTCAAGATGAGATGTGGTTGGGGACACAAAGGCTAACCATATCACTCAGTCTCAGGTATGTCCTTATAGCAGCGTGAGAACAGACTAATACAAATGCATGTCCTTCCATTAAGAAAGTAGTTCTCAAACTTTAATGTACAGAAGGATGACTCCATGAGTTTGCTAATAATGAAGATGTCCAGGCCTCATCCCCAGAGATTGATTCCAGAGGGTCTGGGTTAAGGTCTAGGGATCGGCATTTTAATAAGCACTTCAAATGATTTTGATGCAGATCAACTTAGAAGCAGAGTCTCAGTTACACATACAACTATTTAAGTGAAAAATATATAATCTATACAGAAGTTTTCCTTACAAAATCACATTACGCTAAAGCAGAATACAAAATAGTATATACACAAATTAATAACCACAAAGTAAAATACAAACACGAATATAAATCCCAGAAAAGATTACACTGCCTATGCTAGCCTCCCAATTCTCCCATCCCTGTATTCATACTCTTTGCCACTTTTACTTCCTCACACATGATGTATTTCCTTTTGTCATGGATGATGGGATTTGACCAATGGCATGTTAGCAGCCAGCATGCAAGCAGACATGAAACTACCTGCATCGCTGGGCTAGCCCAGTTGAACTTCTGCAACCTGCTTAAGAAGAACATGACTTGGTAGCCCACTTGCCTAAGAAGAATGAGGCACATGTGAAAAAAGTCAACCCAGCCAACCAGCAAATCTGTGAGTGTGAGTGACAATATTTTGGTATGCCACTGGGTTTTGAGGTGGTTTGTTATGGTGGTTTGATAAAGTGCAATAAGAATACTGAGTATATTATGGAGAAGAGCAAGGTCTTTGAAACTGTTATTTTGCTGTTTTATCTTTTACTATAAATTCAGACAAATATCCTAGAAAAAAATCAGGTGTATCTCTAGTATGGTTCATGTTTTCATAAATCTTGACTGAAAATGAAACAATGAAAAGAACTGGTGATCGGGGAGAAGGCCAGGTGGAAAAGAAAACAAAAAAAGTGAAAGAATTTTCTTAGCTAAACCTAGGTAGAGAGAAATGGGAAGAGGTGAGCAATGAGAAAAATCCTAAGTTTAAGTTAGAGAAGCCACCTCATTTGCAAAGTTTTTTTCCCTTTGTTACTGGCATCTTCCAGTTGTGTTTTTCCTGTATTTGAAACCCTGAACCTTCATTTCCTGCAATTATGTGGGGGTTTTGTTGCCATTTCTGTTGTGATTAAGACCCTAGTCTGTTTTTCAAGGTTTGTACCTTCCCATTTATGAAACTTCTGACCTGTGATACGCCCTGATCCTCAACTGGAAATGTCCTAAATATGGTCCTCTCCCTGACCAGCAATTCCAAATCCAAGGTGGTTCCCATCCAATCCACTTCCATATCTAGAGCTCCTCTTCTGGGCTCTGAGATGCTCCTTGTATGGATTTTTTTTCTCTAGTTAAGTACAGGGAGGTGGGTTCAACCTCTTCCCACTGCTAAACCAAAGGGGCAAGATGCAACGTCCAAAGAGATTCAGTTACTTGCAAACACCACAAAAATTAATAAGCAAAGAAGTCAAGATTACCTACAAGTCTTCAGATTCCTTCCTGTTATTTTTACTGCACAATAACATCCTTAAGTGTCTACTATGTGCAAAATACAGTACTATGCACTTCAGATATAAGGAAATATTGGTAATTTCAATATAAATTAAAAACCTGAGAGTTTCATAGAAATTCTTTCCCTTCTCAGGTGACCCCACTTAATGCTGGGTATTTTTAAAATCTGTTTCAGTAAAGAGGGCATATTTAACATCAGTATAACTTTTTGAGGATGCAAAAAAAGGGATCACTGGCCCAAGACAAGGCAAGAAAATATGAATTTATTATACTCTTGCTGTATATCAATGTTGAGGTTACGAAAACAATGCCCCAAAGTATGGCATTCTGGCTTGCTGAGTGCTCTGAACAAAAGCAATTGAAAGGACTCAGAAGCAAGGTCTCTCTCCAACATTCTCCTGCCTCCCCGTTTTCCCTTCCAAAGCACAGGGAGAGGTTTTCTCTGAAGTTCCCTTATCTGACTGAGGGACGTTCATCCAGAAGGAACGAAATTGTCTTGGATAATTCCCTGGAATCTATATAAACCAGAGAAGATTAACTCCTATAGCAGGAAAGAAAACTAAAAATTGCCATGCACCTGGGCATACCATACCCAGACAGACTTTTCACCTATTCTTTTGACTATTCTTCTAAGGGCTATTTCTTACCTCAGAGACTTTATCTATATAACAAAGACAACTTTTGTTTGCAGTACAGTTCTGCCCCTCACCTTCCCAAAAAATTGCCACCATCTCTCCCAGAGCCCGGAAGAATTTTGTTCCAGGTCATTGTCTGCTCTTCAGGCACACTCATCTCCCCTTGAAATCATTTACTCTTCCTCTAAAATTGCCTGCATCCTCCACTTCTCCCTTTATGAAGAGGGGATTCAGGCTTCAATCATCTGGCCCTTTTTAGAGCCTCATATTTTTTTTGTAGCTCCCACCCATGCTTCCATGTCAATAAATTTGTATGCACTTTCTCTTGCTAATCTGTTTACTGTCAGTTTATTTCAGCACTCAATTAATCGAACTTTCAGAGTGAAGGTTTAAACTTCCCTATACCAGACTGTTTCCAATGTTTCCAATATATACTCTCATTTAATACAGACATACCCACACACCCTCTAGAAAGTTACTCTCATTTCATAGCTAACACAGACTTCAAGACATTAGTAAGTGCAGAGACAGGGTTGAAACTTGGTCGTTCAAATTCCATGTCCTTGCCATATTTTCTCAACTCTAGGATATCTAACATTGGAGATTAAAGATTCAATAAAAAATGAAAACTCAGTGCAAAAATCCACTATTATGTTGATGTAAAATACTTATAAAATGGTAAAAGAAAACTAAAGCACCACTGACAACAAAGGAGAAAAACAGTTTGTGTTAAGCGGTGGGTGACTCATTAAGTCAGTCCTTGGCTCCTTCAGCTAAATTTCCAAATATAAATGAAACTTGGTTCAGGAAAAGAAAGTCAAAGGTTTCCATCCTTGGGGATAGGTGTAAGGCGGGGGGCGCAACTCTTAGAATGACCTCTAAAAAAACCTTCCAAATTTTCTAAGAACAGAGGAAAAAAAAAAAACTGATAGAAACTCCAAAGACATTCTTAAACTTCAGAATCACACGCACTGCTAAGCACCAAATGTAGGCATTTCAAAGTTACCTGTCAATGACAAGATTAATTCATTATACTGTCTTTAAAGTGAGTAATCACACACACACCTGATTTTGCAAAAACCTCTGCATCTACCTGCTAACACTACACTGCTCTAGCTCATGTTCTCTTACCATAAGAAACCTCTAATACTCACTGTCCAAGAATTTCAAGTACATAACACATCCTTCATGTTTGTAAGTCCAAACCAGTCTCTAAATAGCCAGAAAGCAAAGAAGAAGAAAAAATCTCCTGAGTCATGTTTTTCTTGTTAATGTGTAAGCCGGATCTTTCATTTCCCTCAACTGTAATATTCTATGACTTGTCTGAGGAATTTTCCTATAGTATAGTCCTCACAGCTTAAAGGACCTCTGCATGCTAGAGTCCCTACCTCTGTCCCCAGCACTAACTTGCTTTGCTTTCCCCCTGGCATTCCTCTTCCCTCTCTTTCATTCAGGGTCTACAGAACACCATTCTCCTTCATAATGCAAAGGTCTCTGCACATGTAGGTGCCTTCTGTGAGACTCACCACAAATTATAATAATACACTATGGTTAATCACAAGGTAAATCCAAAGACGACAAGAACTCTTAAACTTCAGAAGCACGTGCACTAAAGCACTGCTAGGCACCAAATGTTAATCATTTCAAAGTTATCAATGAGACCATAATTCGTTCATCACTGTACTCCTGGTACATACATATAATGCCTGGCACATGGCAAGCAATCAACATTGACTGAATAAATGAATACAGCAGAGCCTGCAGATGTGAGCTGGAACAAGCCATATCACAAGACAAGCTTATCCCACAGAAAAGAGGCACTAACTAATTATTGGAGATGGGAATGCTGGGGCTCAGGACACACCACCTCCAAATAAGACTGCAGGCGACTAGAATATGCCACCCAAAAATATACTTCTTTGGCATATTTTGAGGTAGTTATTTTGAGAAACTGCGGACACAAGAGTAACCTTGAAAAACTGTCCTTTTGTGAAAAAAAATCCATTTTTAAAGGAAATCTACATTAGAAAAAGTATCTGTATCAGCAAGAGGGTTGCAACAACTTTTATTACTTGAGTGACTTTTTATCTACACAAGACACCCTTTATTCACCATACATTTCCTCCCCCACCCTCTCATAACTTGTGTTGCCACCCCTCCCAGAAGCCCCAAACCCCTATCACTTTTTGTAGCTCTGGATGCTACATAAGCTTCAATCATGTGACCCTTCTTCAAGTCTCTTATTTTGTGGGACTCCTGTAAGTACCTATGTAATTAAAATGGGTTTTCTCCTGTTAATCTGCCTCTTGTCAATTTAATTTCTAGTCCAGCCAAAGAACTTAGAAAGGTAAAGAGAAGCCTTTTTTTTTTTTTCCCTCTCATACAGGAACGAGAAGCATACATATATCAGGCCAACTAATAAGCACATTTTCTAATTCTTCTAAATTGAAGAATTCTTCTAAATGACATAAGTCAGGCCCACTTACTAAGCAAACTTTCTACACTCCTACATTCCATCTAGAATTTCCCAGTTCTGGTCCTGTCAATCTCACTTGAAGGTTTGTATAAAATATAATATTACTGAAATTCCCTATTGCAAATAATCTATATGACAGTCCCATGAATGTGTAAGCAGACAAGGAGGGTCCCCCGGGACTATAGGAATTTAATCAACTTAAGTAACTGGCCTGTTTACAACCTCCTACCTTGCCACCTGTTTTTTCCCAAACCCTGTGAGGAATGAGCTCTCACCTAGTCAGTTGGAGCCAGCTCCTGACAGACCCTCGCAACATGCAGATGAACCCAAGTGAACTTTCCTCATTATCATGCTAAAGTCAGCACCCTGGGGGGGAACTACAGCTTCATTACCATAACACGTGACCTACCTGCTGACATAGTGACTCACTGCATTTGCACCACTGGGACCCCTCCTCTACATGTGATGTCACACCCTCTCCCCTCTCCATCACCCCATAAAACCTCCCTGTCACTTTCCCTAGAGGCAACAATGCCCTAAAGAATACTCCAAGTATTCTCCTTATTTGTGACAAGTAGTAAAACTCCTACTGACCAAAACCTGCATTCTCTTGAAGAGTTGTTTATTACTCACCAGGCAACTAATCCTGGTTTTCAAGTTTTTGGCGGGTAACAAATGGTTCAGGTATGCTGCATATCCTACTGTCACAGATTGAAGTTTTTCTCAATCTTTTTGGATTAACAGCACTTTAGCATTAAAATAAATTACTCATATACCTCTATGGGCACATAAATCTGAAGGTATACCCTTTCCATTAAAGCTTAAAAATGCCAAGAATTCTAAATTTTAAGTCTCTTCCTACTTTTTATAGAATTCCAGAGCTAAAACATTAAGCATTCATGCAATCCAGAAAAAAGAAATGAGATACTTTATGAGAAATAGCTAGCAAAGAACAATGGATATAGTTAGTCCTAGATAAATGATGGTTTCCATCCTCCCTTGCCACAGAGTCCTTTTTCCTACCTGTCACCCAACCTTTCAACCATATCTGCATCATGTTTATGACCCTTAAGAGTATTCCCCATCTGGGCCAGGTGCAGTGGCTCACGCCTGTAATCCCAGCACTTTGGGAGGCCAAGATGGGTGGATCACAAGGTCAGGAGTTCGAGACCAGCCTGGCCAATATGGTGAAACCCAGTCTCTACTAAAAATACAAAAATTAGCCAGGCATGGTGGCAGGCGCCTGTAGTCCCAGCTACTCAGGAGGCTGAGGCAGGAGAATTGCTTGAACCCGGGAGGTGGAGGTTGCAGTGAGTCGAGATCACGCCACTGCACTCCAGCCTGGGCAACAGCGACTCCATCTCAAAAAAAAAGGGTGCAGTGGCTCACGCCTGTAATCCCAACACTTTGCGAGGCCGAGGCAGGCAGATCACCTGAGGTCAGGAGTTCGAGACCATCCTGACCAACATGGTGAAACCCCATCTCTACCAAAAATACAAAATTAGCCAGGCGTGGTGGCGCATGCCTGTAATCCCTGTAATCGGGAGGCTGAGGCAGGAGAATAGCTTGAACCCAGAAGGCGGAGGTTGCAGTGAGCTGAGATTGCACCATTGTACTCCAACCTGCGCAACAAGAGCAAATCTCTGTCTTAAAAAAAATTTTTTTAATTACAATGTAAAAGAGTATTCCCCATCCCTATTAATTAGTAGATAAAATAAATACATCATGAGTAGAAACTCTAAATGTATTTCTCCCAAAAAATACTGTTACTCAGCACTATAAGCTAAGTTCACACAGAGTTACATTTCTAAATAAGAACACACCACCAGGAAACATGGTTTCTATGGGAACATGTATTTTCAGTTCCAAAAACCCAACTTGCAAAATCTTTTGGAACACAGTCTGTTTTTAAATTAGAGTGCCTATATTCTGGAAAACAAGTAGGTAAACAAAACTTTTATGAATCAAATCATATCCTTAAATCACTATGTCTGCAGTTTAAATAAAATATGTATTTAACTTGTTGATGCTAATAATCAGATTCCTATTATAGCTCTCTTGTCCAATTAAATCTTTATGCATCTCTAGTTTCTGTACTTGTTTGCCTAATTAGCTTATAATCCAAAAATAAACTCCCTTATACTAATAAAACAAAATAAACGTGCTCTAAGTAGAACTCTGAAACTGGAATACTATATAATTCCTAGCAGTTATATTTGTCACAATTCTTTAAAGCAAATACAGTTTTTGGTCATGCTAATTACTTATATAATATGTCCTATGGTCTCTTGGAAACTCCATTCATCTAGATACGATAAAGCACATACTCTACACCACTTCAAAAGAGCTACTGGCAGGAATGTCCCAAGCTACAGCACTTCTATAAACTGCTCTGCCATCCAGTGGGCTCCATTCACAACCTCTCCAACAAGAACCCAATCTCTCAGAGTCTTGGGGCTTCTGAAGGGCCTCTCCCAAATTCATTTCTTACTTTAGAGTTCTCTTTACCCTCTAGCAGCCAATCATCTGTTCCTAGTCAATACTTCTTTACACCAAATCTCCTTTGTTCTACTTTTTGTCCTTTCTTTGTCCTCACTGGACCCTGAAACAAATTCCTTGAAAACAATTTCTGTATACTAACAGTGTATTAATAATATAATTCTACAGTTTTAAGAGAAAAAAAGGGCCAGGCGCGGTGGCTCATGCCTGTAATCCAAGCACTTTGGGAGGCGGAGGCGGAGGCGGAGGCAGACGGATCACAAGGTCAGGAGATTGAGACCATCCTGGCTAACACGGTGAAACCCCATCTCTACTAAAAATACAAAAAATTAGCCGGACGTGGTGGCGGGCACCTGTAGTCCCAGCTACTGGGGAGGCTGAGGTAGGAGAATGGTGTGAACCTGGGAGGCGGAGCTTGCAGTGAGCCGTGATCACGCCACGGCACTCCAGCCTAGGCGACAGAGCGAGACTCTATCTCAAAAAAAAAAAGAATTAGGGGAAAAAGTTAACCATATACGCTGAGCATTATCATAGAACTACTATTTACTGAACACTTATTAAAAGGATATAAGGGGTCGGGCACAATTGTTCATGCCTGTAATCCCAGCACTTTGGGAGCCTTTCGCGGGTGGATCACCTGAGGTCAGGAGATCAAGACCAGCCTGACCAATATGGTGAAACTCCATCTCTACTAAAAATACAAAAATTAGCCAGGCGCGGTGGCATGCACCTGTAGTCCAGCCTACTCAGGAGGCTGACAGAAGAATTGCTTGAACCAGGGAGACGGAGGTTGCAGTGAACCAAGATTGTGCCACTTCACTCCTACACACCAGCCTGGGCAACAGAGTGAGACTCTGTCTCAAGGAAAAAAAAAAAAAAAAAAAAAAACATACACACACACACACACACACACACACACACGGCACTGGAGATTTCATTAAAGTATAATTGATTAAATCATTGGCCATTGGTGATTGGGCTCAATCTGCAGCCCCTCTTCCCTCCCCGGATGCTGGACTGGGGTTGAAAGTTCTCACCCTCTAACTACAGTGGTAAAGAGTACCCACCCTGAAGTGGAAGCTACACAGCCTCTCCTCCCCAAACACCCAGACCCACGCCACTCATCTGATTAGCACAGACTAGAGAGTAAATTCCAAAGGCTTTAGGGGCTCCATGCCAGGAACAAGGGAAAAAGACCAAATATTTATTATTATATCACACTCAGCCAAATAAAACCATGTGTAGATAACAGAAGGCACTAAATCATTGAAGATTTGTCCCTTGCTCATAGACTTCTCTTTACTTGGAATAACACTTCGACCTGCCTACAAATCTTCAACAGTTTATTTCAGCTATTACCTCCTTTATAAGATCTTTCCTAGTCTTCCTAGATCCTCTTAGTTCTACCTACAAATACTTTATTTAACTTTCAATATTATCTGTGCACCTCTGGCTCTAGCCACTACCAATTTAAAAGCTTTTTGTATGTTATCTATTTCTCAGTCTGCTTAAAACAAAGAATACATAAATGAACGGTCATGATACTGAGTGATGACTAAGCAGAAATGTACACATGCAATTGAAAACCTAAAACTAGAATTTATGTGAAGATGTAACATTACACTTATTTTCAATACACATACTTGATAGTAATGAACATATATGACTCGGAAAATATATAATCTCTCAAAGGTAAAGCTTGCAAAGAAATCAGAAAATCAAAGACAAACCTTGGAAAATTCCCACAGATAAGCAGAAACACATACTAGCAATAAAGCAATATTTAGAATACAATTATTACTTCAGTATAAGAATACTATTTCACAATGTCTACAAAAGCAGTTATCACGCTGCATAGTATGTCACTCTCTTGATTGCCCAGGCACTCAAATATGTACACAAGGCAAAGTACTCACAAGTTCTGATGAATATTTATTTGGCGCTAACTTATAGGTAAGCTATAATTGTTACCTCTTATTCACAGCAAGTGTATCCTGCTCTACATTAAATCACACAACCTGTTCAGTTCAACATGGAAATATCGGCATTTACTGAGCTATAGCTTAAGAAAAAAAAATTAAAAAAAAAAACACACTTGAGAGCATATCTGTTACAGTTTTACAATAAAAAGACCAAAAATACCACTCACTCTACAATAATGGTTATTAATTAGGTATCAAGTCAGAAATGCAGTATAGTTGACAACAGAAATAAAATTTACTTCCAAAAGCTTAACATATTACAATATCCTGAAATACATATACCGATTTCCTTAGTTGAAGCCACAAATGCCAAATTAGCTTCTGCAAAACACTGCCATCTGTCAAATTAAGCTAACCTTTTTATTCTGAATTTCTCCAGTTTTGTAGTTTTGGTTACCTTTAAGTTAGTAGTTGGTTTTTCATCTTATTACATAAGAGCTACCCAACAGAACATAATAAATGTATGCCTAGTTTATATTTAAACAAGTTTCAGTAAAACCATAATAAAAATATTTTAATTTGGCTGAGCACAGTGGCTCATGCCTGTAATGCCAATGCTTTGGAAGGCCAAAGTGAAAGGTTTGCTTAACACCAGGAATTCAAGACCAGCCTGGGAAACAGAGCGAGACCCCATCTCTACAAAAAAAAAAAAAAAAAAAAAAAAAACTAAAAAGTAGCTGGGTGGATGGTACACACCTGTAGTCCCAGCTACTTGGGAGGCTGAGGAGGGAGGATAGTGTGGGTCCAGGAGTTTGAGGCTGAAGCAGGCTATGATTATGCCACTGCACTCCAGCCTGGGCAAGAGAGCAAGACTCTGTCTCAAAAATATATTTTTTAATTCAAGGGCGAAAGTTCCTGACACCTGTTTTTCTTTACAATGGTCCCAACTGAAGAATTTAAAAAGTATACATACTGTTGTCAGGCAGAGTATTAATGGGAAGGAGGAACTGTTCAATAAAGTCGCTGGTTCTCCAGAGGGGAAAAATTCTGACATCTACTCAAACAACATGCAAAAATCAAACCCAAGTGGAATGAAACTTAAACCCTGCATGAAGACAAATTAAGAAAACACTTAGAGGGCAATAAATGAGACTATCTTTGTGAAACAGGACATGGAAGTTCAAATATTAAAGGAAGCTAATTATACATGAAACTAAATTAAAAATAAAAATGTCTACTCATGAAAGTACATAAAGAGAATAAAAAGACATCGTGAAAACAGAAAATATTTGCAAAACATATACAGTAGTTTCCCCTTATCTCGTTTCACTTTTTGAAGTTTCAGTTACCAATGATCAAGCGTAGTCCAAAAATATGAAAAGTTCCAGAAACGATGTTTTAAATTGTGCACTATTCTGACTGAGTGCTGTGCATAATGAAATCTCACTCCATGCCACCCACAACATGAATCTTCCCTTTGTCCAACATATCCACACTGTGTATACTACCCACTTAGTAGTCAGCAGCCATCTCAGTTATCGGATATTTTGAAAAAGACTACATTCACACAACATTATATTATCATAGTTGTTCTATTTCATTACTAGTTATTGTTGTTAGTCTCTACTAATTTATAAATTACCTAATTTATAAATTAAACTTTATCACAGGTAGATACTATATATAGGAAAAAAACTATATGTACTATATAGTTATATAGTGCCTAATTTATAAATTAAACTTTATCACAGGTATATATAGATAAGAAAAAACTATATATACTATATTCTATATAGTACTGAACCATACTATATATGGTATACTATTTCAAATATTTTGAAAACATATACAGTATGTTATGTGAATGTAGTCTCTTTCAAAATATACTCTATAAATGGTTCAATACTAGCCACAGTTTCAGGCATCCACTGGGGGTCTTGGAACACATTCCATGAGAGTAAACGTGGACTATTGTAAATAGAAAAACAAAAGTAGTATCTAAACCATAAAGAACTACCTCAAATCATAAAGAAAAAGATAAATAGCCCAAAAGAAAAAACAGGCAAGAGAAACAAATGTCAATTTCACAGAAAAGAATCACAGTGGACCATAAATATATAAAAAGATATATAAACAAATAGTTTAACTGTAGAATGGTTAAGCTGTAGTATATCTAGAAGTATAAATTAACAATAACACATTTTTAACAAAATAAGAAGTGCAACAACTAAAACCATACTTAGTAGTAAAAGACTGCTTTCCATACAAAATCGGGAACAAGACAAAGATGTCTGTCATTACCACTTCTATTAAACATTTTAGAGAATACCCCAAAAAGCACAATTTTTAAAATGAATAAAAGTGGTAAATACATTTATTAGAATAAGTGAATTTCGCAAAGTCGCAGATACAAGCTTCATACAGAAAAATCAACCACATTCTATATACCAGCAAAAAACAATTGGAATAAAAACTAAAAACCACTGGCAGGGTGCAGTGGCTCACAACTGTAATCCCAGCACTTTGGGAGGCCGAGGCTGGTGGATCATGCTGTCCAGAGATCAAGACTATCCTGGCTATAACACAGTGAAACTCCATCTCTACTAAAAATACAAAAAATTAGCCGGGTGTGGTGGCACACACCTGTAGTCCCAGCTACTAGGGAGGCTGAGGCAGGAGAATCGCTTGAACCTGGGAGGCGGCGGTTGCAGTGAAAGTGAGACTGCGTCTCAAAAAAAATAAAAATAAAAATAAAAAATACCACTTACAATAGCATCAAAAAAGTCAACTGTAACAAAAGATATGCAAAGACCTTTAAACCGTTAAAAAACAAAACCTAAATAAATGGAGAAATATATGTGTTCTTGGATTGAAAGGCTAAAATACTGTAAAGATGTCCAAACAGTCAGAAAGAATCCATACATCCAACACAATCCTACTCAGAAACCCCAGAAGGCTCTTTGTCCAACTGTTCAAAGTACCTCAGAATTGTATATGGAAATACAAAAAATTCTAGAATAGCCAAAACAAATTTCTAACAAGAACAAAGTTGAAGAATTTACATTCACCCACTTCAAGGCACATTTCAAAGCCACAGTAATCAAGAAAGAACGGCACCACATAAGGATAGAAAGGAACTGAGTTCAAAAATAAACCCACTCATACATGATCAATTAATTTTCCATAAAGGTACCAATATAATTCAATGATGAAAGGACAGCTTTTTCAAAAGTAGGTGCTGGGACTAGATTCCACATGCAATAAATGAACCTTGACTTAGTGACACCTCAGAACACACACAGAAATGAATTCCAAATGGATCGTAAACCTAAAATGGCAAAACTTCTAGAACAAAACACAGGGAGAAAAAATTTACAAACTAAGTTTCAAGAAAATGGTTAAAGCAGCCGGGCGTGGTGGCTCACGCCTGTAATCCCAGCACTTTGGGAGACCGAGGCGGGCGGATCACCTGAGGTCGCGAGTTCGAGACCAGGCTGGCCAACATGGTGAAACCCTGTCTCTACTAAAAATACAAAAATTAGCTGAGCGTGGTGGTGCATGCCTGTAATCCCAGCTACTCAGGAGGCTGAGGCAGAAGAATCGCTTGAACCCAGGGAGGCGGAGGCTGCAGTGAGTGAGATCATGCCATTGCACTCCAGCCTGGGCAATAAGAGTGAAATTCCGTCACAAAAAAAAAAAAAAAAAAAGAAAAGAAAAAGAAAAAGAAAATGGTTAAAGTACTAACCATAAAAGTAAATTAAACAATCAATATTAAAATACTTCAACTTCAAAGAAACTGTTAAGAAAATGCAAATACAAGCCACACATTGGGAGAAAGTATTTGTAATTACATATACATGATAAAAGACAACCAAAATATAAAGAATTCCTACAACTCAACAGCAAGAAGATAACCCAACTAAGAAATTGGGAAATAATCTTAACATGTTAAAAAGAAGACATAAAAATGGTCAATAAGGAAAAGACAGAGGCCCTGGGTTATCAGTAGCTCTCCTGCAACATCCCCTGCCTGCCTCCCACACCTCCCTCCCCCCGACCATAAAAGATGCCCCTGCTTAGAAGCTTAAGGCAGAACAACATCAGCACTCAGGAAAAGAAGGAGTGGGAAGGGAGGGGAAGGGAGGGGAAGTGGCGGGGATGGAGGCCGTGGCCCTAAAGTGGTCAGTCAGCCCTCTTGCTTTAGACAGCAAACCGAGAGAATTCTACACACTCTTCTGCTCATGCAAGAAATGCTTGGAAGAGCATTTACTTTCATTCAAAAGCGGCAGACCCGGCGGGGTGCGGTGGCTCACGCCTGTAATCCCAGCACTTTGGGAGGCTGAGGCAGGTGGATCACCTGAGGTCAGGAGTTCAAGACTCGCCTGGACAACATGGAAAACCCCATCTCTAGTAAAAATACAAAAATTAGACGGGTGTGGTGGCAGGCACCTGTAGTCCCAGCTACTCAGGAGGTTGGGGCAGGAGAATCGCTTGAACCTGGGAGGTGGGGGCTGCCGTGAGCTGAGATCACACCACTGCACTCCAGCCTGGGCAACAAGAACGAAGCTCTGCCCCAAAACAACAACAACAACAAAACTGCAGACCCTAGGAGGCCGAGACAGGAAGATCACTTGAGGTCAGGAGTTCAAGACCAGCCTGGCCAACATGGCAAAACCCCGTCATAAAAATTAGCCAGGCCTGGTGGCGTGTACCTGTAGTCCCAGCTATGTGGGATGCTGAGGCATGACAATCACTTGAACCCAGGAGGCAGAGGTTGCAGTGAGCCAGATTGCACCACTGCACTCCAGCCTGGGTGACACGGTGAGACCTTTGTCTCAAAAATAACAACAACAACAAAAAAACGCAGACCCTAAGGTTTGCCTAAGCCAACACCAAGATGGACAAAAATAAAGTAATGGCAAACCCCACCAATGTTCACACAGCCCTAGGACCACACCTCCTAGCACAGGACCCCATGACCTGAGGGAGTGGCTCTGATCTCTGTAACCCCAAAGGCCTGAAACCCCTACCCACTTTACACCATAGAAACCACAGAGCTGACCAGGGTCATCTTATATGCTGCTTTCAGCTACTCTGCTACAGTTCGACATGCTCAGGTACACTGGTGCTCTCCTCCTGGCGCCACCCAGCAAGAATGGAAACACTGTCAGTTCTGTAAGTTCCACTGTTCTAAGTGACTTCAATTCCTGCCTCACTTGGGAAGAAGCCTAGAAGCCAGTTCTGCAAATCTGCATGATGCTACCAAAATTGGTAAAGAGAGTGTCCACTGACCCCAGGAGGCCTGCGCAGAGCTGTTTCTGATAGCCACAGTAGACAAATTCCCAGGCAGGCAGGGACAGTAGACAAATTCCTAGGCAGGCGCCACAGTAGACCAATTCCTAGGCAGGCGCCACAGTAGACCAACTCCTAGGCAGGCAGGGACAGGTCCCTGGTGAAACCTGACCTTCAAACCAAAGACAGTTTAAAGCCTACCAAGCTGCCTGTTCTAGATATAGATAGAGTCCACAGCTGGAGTGAAAACTTTTCTTTTTGCCTACTCTTTCCCAATTGGTTCTTTCCGAATAATGCTTTTAAACCAATTGAATGTTGCCTTTTCCAAGGCTACCTCCAGCCCACATCTCCTCATTCCAAACCTAAAAAAACCCTGGACTCAACTGCAAAGATGGCTACCAGCTTTTGGGGCCCCCTCACACAGAGGGCTATCCACTTCACGTCCCCTCTCATTGTCAAGAGCTTTTCTGTTGCTCAATAACATTCTTCTCTGCCTTCCTCACTCTCTGGTGTCCACGTACCTCATTATTCTTGGTCACTGGACAAAAACCCAGAACTCGCCAAACGGTGGGAACAAAGAACGGCTGTAACACGCACCTGGCTGGCTCCTGGAGCTGTGGGCAGTGGGCATGAAAAGAGCTGTTACACACTCCCAATTGCTGGAATATGGGAGTGATGAGCCGCGACCCCTCTGGGGGCCCAAACATCAGGACCCCTCGAACTAGAACCATAATACACCCCCATTCACAAAGCCATGCGCAGCAGGAATAAACAAGCTCTAACACACCCCCATTCAGGGAGCTGTGAGCGGCAGGAACAAGAGAGGGCTGTGGCATTCCCTGGTGGCTCAGACCTCGGGACTCCCCAGGCAGAAGCTATGACACCCCCTTGGGGCTCCACGGTTGCTGCCGTCTCCGAGTTTCTGGGTTCCACCACGTTCCCCTCATCTGAATGCTGGAGTCCAGCTGTGGAAGCCACATGCGGTATACCCAGTCCCGCCATGGGCTGAGCACGGAGTGGCAGTGGTCGTGGGATCTGGGCTGGGGATCAGCTGAGAGCACCCTGCTGGGCCGAGCAGGCAGAGCGAGCCCAGTGAGTGTAAGCAAAGCCTGGGCAGAGGCACTGCTGGCCTTAGAGGTTTCTTGCTGGTGAAGTGGCACCGATAAAATCTTGTGTCACTTCTTCCCTCCAAAAATTGAGGATTTTAAACCTCAGGTAGTGGACCATTTCTCGTTTCCTTTCTTCTGTGCTCATCCTCAGCTCTGCCCAGCTCCAAAGCCGTTCTCCAAAGCCCCATGGGAAAACTTCAGGGCATTCTTGATCAGACACCCAGACCCAGCCCAGAGGCCTCACACGAAGACAAAGAAAACCCCAGAACTTCATTCAGCCCAGTGTTTCTGTAGCTCCACCTTAACTGAGACATTTGATTATGCATGTATTCTGGCATGAATTAAGACACAAAACTTTTGTATATGTGAATGCACAGTTGGTTTCAACATTGGTGTTACCATAACAAGCCCTGGCCACTAATGGTACATCATTCCTGGCTCCTCTCTGCACACCCCTCCCCAGCACATCTATCCCACTTCCGTGAGGATGTAGCTCCCAGCTCTGCAAACAATTCTGCCCTGATGACCTAATGACCTCTCACCACACACCACCCATTTCCAGACTGAACAGCAACAACAAAAACCCAACAGATATAGTGGGGGTTTTCCAATTCAGATTCCTCTTCTTCCCTGTCTTCAGACAGATAAAAAACTGTTAAAAAAAAAAAAAAAGGAAGTATCTTTCTGCCCAATTTCTGTCCAATTTACTTACCTCACCACAGTTCATCCCACCCCTGCAACTGCACTATGTTCTTTTCAAACTTCCAACCCAACTAAAATGTGAAATTATTTTTGTACACGGTGTAATAAAATATGTATCATAAAGATTTCTCATGTATGTGTGCAATTAATTGTTAAAGAGATAAATTTAATATTTACTTTGAGGCATGATGAAGAAATGAGTTCCCATTTTTCAGCAATGTACCTTTTTATCAGGTGTTAGTTTAAACAAGCAAACAAAAAAAATTGTGCAATCTCAATTTGTTTTGTGAACATATTAGCACTTGGTCCTGGAGTGTTCTACCTTTAGCTACATCTCTGACATTTTTGCCATTTTAAGACTTGGAAGAATGCAGCTACTGTGATTCCTATCGTGTAGGAGTGTTAAAACTGGATAATGTATGAGAAGCAATGTTAAAAAAAATCATCCTCAAACTGGCCAACAAGCACTTGAAAGACATCCAAAATCATTAGTCATTAGGGAAATATACAATTACTACCACAATGAGGTACACCACATATTCACCAAATGGCTAAAACATAAAAGATTAAAAATGCCAGGTGTTGGCAAAAATGTAGACCACCTGAAATTCTCCTATATTGCTAATGAGAATGTACAATGATACAATCAATTTGGATAACAATTTAGTACTATAACAATTCTACACCTATGTATTTGCCCAAGAGAAATAGAAATACGTCTCAAAGACCTGCTTACAAATGTACACATAACATTATATATGGGTCAAAAAACTGGAAAAAAAAAAAAAAGTACATCAAAAGGTACATGAATACACAGATGTGAGAATATTTATATAATATTACTCCATAGTAAAAAGAAACATATTGATACATGCAATAAAACATGGGTGAATCTCAAAAGCTTTTTGCTGAGCAAAAGCAGTCAGATGCGAGAAAAAAAAAAAATTTGGTATAAACAAATCGATGTGAAGACCCAGAACAGCCAAAACTGATCTACAGTAATAAAAATCAGATCAACAGTTGCCTGAAATAATGACGGTGTTGATAATTAATGAGAAAGGTGATACAGGACAAATTTTGTGGAGTGACAGAAATGTTCTGTATGGCCAAATTCATCAAATTACACACTTTCAGTGTAAATCATACCACGATAACATTAACTTGAAAAAAGTCAAGATAGCAGTAGTGTGGGGGTGGGGGGTGGTGTAGAAAAGAGGGACAGTATGAATGAGGAACAAAGGAAATTTCCAGGACAATAAGATATTCTATTTCATGTCTAAAATTGTACAAAGAATACTAATCTTAATATATTTAAGTTGTACATAAGTTTTCATATGCTATGGTTAGCCCCCACAAAAAAATCCTATAGGAATTATTCATACACAAATACACACGCACATACCAAAAAAAAAAAAAAAAAAAAAAAAAAAAAAAAACAGCCAGAAAGAAACAGGAAGATTACAACTTTAGCATGTACAATCACTTTCCAACTCCTTAATCCATCGATTCAACTTATTTGTGCCTCCAGGAGTAAGAGGGGCAAGTATCCCACCTAGCCACCTGAAGCTTTGGGTTTCCATAGAGATGTTGGCCAGAAAAGCCTGAGGGAGGAGACAGCTCCTCTACAAGGAAACATGTTGCTGCACTGATGGAGAGAAACACCTGAAACAAAAAAAAACAATGTCCGTTCAAAGACCCTGCTTCCATATTAAATTTGGTGTATTGTGATAATTCAATCCCTAAAGGACCCCTGCAGTCAATTTACACAGTGCTCAAGGCACTTTTACCTTTAAGAATACTAATTAACTTCAACCAGTGATCCTCAAACATTAAGTGCAGAAGAATAATCTGCGATTCTTATTAAGCAGGCTTTAGCCCAACCCTCAACATCTTGAAACAATACGTCTAGGGTGAGGCACAGAAGTCTGCACTTTTAGCAAGCACTACAGATAATTAAGACAGTCCATAAAAACCATATTATACGAAACTGATCTAAACCTATAGTAACAAGACTAAGGAAAATATTGCTGGGCATTTAAAATATCCAGCAGTTCAGAGAACCAAAAACTAAAAATAAAGCAGATGGTCTGTACTGAAGCAGAGTTAATCAAGGGGCAAAAAAGAGAAAAACTGAAAAATTACTTACTACATACATAAAACAAGATGTCATGACAAGGATGATGTCCTTGGAAATTAATTAAAGTCTGCCAAAATAAATGCAAGGCCTCATCCTTTTATAAATTCAACTTTCACATCATCTACTTGCTCACATTATATAGTGACATTCCTAAACTCACTTTCACAAGCCAAATTTGGTCCTTCAAACATAACAAAAATCAGTGATTATATTGTAGGAAAAAGGCAGGCCACTGCTGCAGGTCAGTGCTTAAAGCAATTCTATGACATTAGAGAGTAAAATTATGCCAGTGTCAGGGGAAGAAAGACCCTGTAGACACCTTACTCTAAGCACATCAGGGCAGAAATCAATTGTGGAGTGGCCCCTGGAGAAGGAAATTAGTGAGGGCCACTAATACAAAAAAAAAGTGCCCTGCCTGACTTCACAGTTCCTAGGATGACAGAGAAGAGACTGACAAACTACCAGCACCCCTCCACCACCACACCCAGGATACCTAGGGTGAAAGCTTAAACAAAGGTCACCAGTACCCAAAGAAAAAATACCTGCAAGCATCACGACTGAAAATACTACAATATCTTTTAGTTAAACAGAACCTACTTTGTAAATCTGCACAACTAACACATGTAAATATTTCAGAAATGCATGAGGTACAAAAGTAGGTAACTGCCTTTTTAGATCAGCAAGAACAAAAAAATACTCATTGTTATCACTTCTAATCAATATTTATTGGAAGTATTTGCTAGTACAGGAAAAAAAATGAAAGTACAGGCACAAAAACTGAAATTATACATAAAACTTTTTAATCATGATGTAGCAGGACGAGCCGCAGACAAAACTCCTCAGAACCGAGTTAAAGGAGGAAGGGGTTTATTCGGCTGGGGGCATCAGCAAGACTCCTGTCTCAAGAGCCGAGCTCCCGGGGTGAGCAATTCCTGTCCCTTTTAAGGGCTCACAACTCTAAGAGGGTGCGTGTGAGAGGGTCATGATCAAATGAGCAAGCAGGGGGTATGTGACTGGGGGCTGCATGCACCGGTAATTAGATCTGAACAAAACAGTATCGGGATTTTCACAGTGTCTGTGCAATGTCTGTAATCTATAGATAACATAACTGATTAGGTCAGGGGTCGATCTTTAACTACCAGGCCCAGGGTGTGGCCCTGGGCTGTCTGCTTGTGGATTTCATTTCTGCCTTTTAGTTTTTACTTTTTCTTTCTTTGAGGGCAGAAATTGGGCATAAGACAATATGAGGCGTGGTCTCCTCCCTTAATGATATGATCTTTTACACAGAAAGTACAAAATTGTCTCTGGAAAAGGTATTAGAAACATTTAGCAAGGTGGCTAGGTATAAAATTAACATACAAAAGACCACTGCATTTGCATACACCAATAACAAATTTTTAAAAGCACTGCCATATAACAGTTATCAGAAATTATCAACTACCTGAAACAAAAGATGTACAATAGTTTTGTGTTAAATTATAAACCATACAAGAGATATTAAACACGACCTAATAAAAATAGTATATCCTGCTCATCCTGTATCATAAAGATCTTAATAATCCCAAATGGATCTACAGATTCAATCAAATTAATCAAAAAGACAGAGGATTTGAGAGAGCTTGGTATGATCATTCTAAAATTTCTAAGGAAAAGTCAAGTGTTACTTCTGAAAAAAAGGAACAAAGGCAAAGAACTTTCTTTTCCAGTATGAGAGATTATTTTAAAGCAACAACAATGAACACAGGATGATATTCACAAAATGAATGATGAAAGTCAAGGAAAGGGAAAAAAATTTTGCATTAAACTTTTGCATATATGACAAAGATGGCCTATCAATTCAGTAGAAGAGAGCATTAACTTTTCAATAAAGCAAGGATAACAAAAGAACTTTTTAAAATCATTTACAGGTTGCACATCCCAAAACTCCAAGCCAGAAATAAGAAATGCTCCACAATTTGAAAACTCCATATTTTCTGAGAACCAACAAGATGTTGAAAGGAAATGCTCACTGGCTTATTTCAGATTTCAGATTTTCAAATTTCGGATATTTACCCAACCCAGGTAAGCAAAATACAAATATTCCAAAATCTGAAGGGAAAAAAAAAAAAGTCCAAAATCCAAAACACTTCTGGTCCCAAGCATTTTGGATATGAGAGATTCAATCTGTATATGATGAAAATAAAACTGTATCCCTACCTCGCACCATATACAAAACTCAAGCACAGATGAAAAAGAGTATAAAATGTTGCAAATATAACTTTAAAACTCTTGGTTAAAAATACAGACGACTACCTTCTAGATATTGTAGCAGGGAAAAGTTCTTAAAATTTTTAAGTTAAAACAACTAACATTAAAAAAAATACCTTCAGCCATTGATATAGATGCAATAAATCAACAGGAAGATGAACAGAGGATTCAAGATGATACACTCAAATGAAAGTAAAGGGATAGGATAAGGGATATAGGTTATTATCGAAGTTCCAGCTTTTGTTTTAAATAGGGGGTTCGTGTGTGTTTATTATTTAAAATAAGCAATTTAACAAATAAATGAAAATATATTTGCAGGAAGAGCTGATCATGAGAAAATTGGCAAAATTAATTCAATTATGTGTACTTCAGAACCAAACTAAAAATATATATTATTAAAAACAAACTCTTTGTAAACTATCTGACCACATATAAGGGTAGTAAATACAGAACTGGCATTACAAAAATAATAATCTAGATAATCAAACTAAAAAGTTACCACAGCATACAGGACAAAATGGGAGAGAAGAAACATTTGAAGCCAGGAAGAAAGATAAGTGACGTATAAAATCCAAATAATGTAGTTTTAAATGAAGATGAGGAAAAGAGTGGAAGAAAAATTCCTGAGAACACAGATTTCAGACGAAAAATCCTAGGCAGGACCATTAAAAAGATACATACATAAACACACGCAAGTGAAATTTCTGAACTCTTAAAAACAAAGAGTAAAATCTTACAAGGTAACACAGAGAGTTAACTTATCTGGAAAAAAAAAAAAAGCAGAGTGGCATCAAACCATCAAAAAGCATTATACAACAGACCAAAAAACACAGTTAAAATTAAATAGTTAATTAAAAAAAACTAGCTACTAATAATGCATCTGCAACACTAAGAAAATTCATCACCTAGAATTACAATTCTATATTATCCCAACAAAACTAGGAATACCATAAGAAAAAACATGCTAAAATGTCTTACCTAATTTGGGGCAAATGGGTGGAGAAAAAAGTTAATTTTTTATGTTACCGAAAAAAGCTATTAATGTTTTATATTATCAAAATTTTATATTATAAAAATATATTTGTTTAAAATTAAAAGAGCCAAAATTGAAAAGAAAACGTTAAAGACAAGGGTGGGGGTGGTGATACAATGAAAATTTGGTCTATCCATCAAAACTGAATGGAGAAAACAAGACTAATAAATGGATAATCAGATGACAATAAAAAGATTAAATTTATCAGTTATCACCACATGTGCATGGTTAAATTCTAAAAGACAAAAACACAAGTTTGGATTGAATCCATTAGAAATACAAAGAGAAACTGCCCAGTACTTCGGGAGCCCAAGGCAGGCTGATCACTCGGGGTCAGGAGTTTAAGACCAGCCTGGCCAACACGATGAAACCCTCTCTCTAGTAAAATTACAAAAAGTAGCTGGGCGTGGTGGTGTACACCTGTAGTCCCAGCTACTCAGAAGGCTGAGGCAGGAGAATTGCTTGAACCTGGGAGGCAGAAGTTGCAGTGAGCTGAGATTGCACCATTGCACTCCAGCTTGGGTGAGAGAGCAAAACCCCGTCTCAAAAAAAAAAGCAGGAAATAAGATCAGCATCTGGCAAACACTACTGACGACAAAACAAGCAGGGATAAAAAAAATGGCATGTCTACATACATATATATATATGTACATACATACACACACACACACACACACATACACACACACACACACAGATTTAGGACAAAACTTTAGACCAATAAATACAGAAACCTAAATGAAATTTAGAATTTTCTAGAACTAAAAAAATTTAAAATTTGACCCTAGAAAAGATAGAAAATTTAAAAGACAATAAGCAAAATTTGGAAACTTTACCTAAAATTTGCTCTAAATGAGCAGCTCAGCCCTGATACAGTCATGTTCACCAAATCTTCAAAGTAACAAGTACCTCAGTTGAACGCTATCTAATTTTTCAAATCAAAAAAGATCATACACCACCAATTTTGAATGACTCAACATAATCCTACACTAAACAATTCCAAAAGCACAGGAAAACACAGAAAGCCTTCTAATCATTTTATGAGCTAACCTTATCTTAATAGCCCTCATGGGCACACCAAACCTTGTAAGCAATCTCATTAAAGAATCCAAGGAGAACTGGTTCCAGGACCCCCAGAGGCCAAAATCTGCGAATGTCAAAGTCCCTTATATAAAATGGTATAATACTTGCATGTAACTTACACATCCACACATCCTCCAGCATACTTTAAATCATTTCTAGATTACTTATAATACCTAACACAATGTAAATGCTACATAAATAGTTGTTATACTGTATTGTTAGGGAATAATGACCAAAATGAGACTGTACATGTTCAGTACAGATGCAACAATGCTTTTTTTTTCCAGAATATTTTCAATCCACAGCTGGTTGAATCTATGGATTCAGAACCTGTGGATACAGAAGGCCAATTGTATACCAAATTCTAGGTTTAAATTTATTATATTAAATATAGAAACATATTTAAAATAGTAAAGCAACATGACCAAATGGGGTTTTATCAGGAATTCAAGGACAGCCAAAACGATACAACATTGTGGTTAAGAGCAGGGGCTTGTGTATCACATGACTTTTGAGTTTATCCAACCCTTAATACATACTAGAGATGAAATGTTGCTTTAGTTCTCCAATACTGTTTCTTCAGCTTCAATAAGAAAGGAGAAAAATAGCACTCACTTCATAAGGTGGTTGGAAAGATTAAATGAAAAAAGTTTGTAAGAAGGCTCAGCACAGCGCCTTACACGGATTATATAGTAAATATTCATATATCGTATGTACAAATGGTTCTTATGTTACTGACATAAAATATCATTCACTGCAAAGAAAAAGACATGACAGTCAACATCTAAATCTAGTTTTGAAACATTTATAAAACTTAGGAATGTAAGAAAATTTCCATATTATAAGGAAACAATATATAATAGAAACTAACATAAATTGTAGTAGCATTCTGTCATCTTAAAGTAATAAGTGGTAAAAATAATGACAAGAAAGAGGTCAGAATATTAAGTATTTGTAAAGGATATGGACTGTATACATATAATATTGAAGAAAATCAACAGAATATTTATTAGAAATGATGTGAATTCATTTAAAAGACTGGATACAATGTGAGTCTACAAGTCAAAAGTAGGTGTGAAAAGGAAAGAATAAGAAAAGGAATAAACAGCTGGAAACCTCTCTGCCCAAATCAAGTCTTATACTAATAATAAGATAATCAACTGATTCCTAATAAAGAATGCCTCCTTTAAGTAACATTTAAAGTGATTTAAGTAATGTTAACTATCAAATGCTGCATGGTATAGTTTTATAACCTTAGATAATCCTAAATTGGAAAATACATGTTATTTTAAGTAAGAAATTTACCCTGAATCCAGTCTGCATTGTTTTTCAAGTTTTAACTCTTGAACTTGGCTAATCTATGACAACCTTCCCACCTAACCCTCATCTTTGGAGGAATTCAGTGAAAGTTGACTGTAGATCTGTTAGATTCCTCTGCTTCCATTCTATACTGTTTCTTTTTTATTCTCCCTATACAGAACACTTGCTTAGGACCATTAAACAATCTAATCTAAAGAAGTTGCTAAAGTTTAAAGCCTTAACATACTACTGTTAACATACTAATATTACTGCTTTGAAAGAACCTTCAGAAGCACTTAATGACTTGCCCAAGGTGACAAAAAGGTGGTTGAGATCTATCCCACATCCTGTCTTTCAGTACCACTGCCTATTCTCCTAGCATGAGCACGCACAGTTTTTCAAGCTTTCATTGTTTTGTTTTGGTTTTTTGTTTTTTTGACATGGAGTCTTGCTCTGTCGCCCAGGCTGGAGTGCAATGGCGCGATCTCGGCTCACTGCAACCTCCGCCTCCCGAGTTCAAGCGATTCTCCTGCCTCAGTCTCCTGAGTAGCTGGGATTACAGGCATGTGCCACCACGCCTGGCTAATTTTTGTATTTTTAGTAGTAGAGACTGGGTTTCACCATGTTGGTCAGGCTGGTCTCGAACTCCTGACCTCGTGATCCGCCTGCCTCACCTTCCCAAAGTACTGGGATTACAGGCTTGAGACACCACTCCTGGCAGGTGTCATTTTGTTGCCCAGGCTGGTTTTGAACTCCTGGCTTCAAGTGATCCTCCCACCTCAGCCTCCCAAAGTGCTGGGATTAAAGCATGAGCCACCATGCCCAGCCTCATTGTTTCTCAATAATTTTTAAATTCCAAGATTCAGTTAGGAAACAAAGTACTACACTCCTTTTGGAAACCAGTCACTTATTTCATTCATCACATATTTGCTGAGTCCTACTATGTGTAAAGAACTGTTCTAAGCCCTAGAGTGAAACAATATATTTTATTCAACTCAGAAGGATACATTTAATTAAATAGTATCCTGTTCATTTCACTCTGTAAATTAATTTGGTCCCTGGGAGCAAAACTCCTCCCAATAATAACTGCCCTAAAGAATCCTAGCTTGGTTCATCGGGTTAGATAGATTGGGGGGGGGGGGGGGGGCGCCGTGGAGTATCCTCATTTGGAACTTGAATCTATGTATCAAATTTCTGAGATCTAAGGCTCCTACACTTTGGTAAACATGAAGCACAAAGGCTGAAGATATATGTCCAAAACCAAAATTATCACAGAATTTAACTCATCTGCTGCCAACTGCACCTCACCTGAAATACCTAAACCTCAGAAAAGCAGCTTTCTGCAGTTTTACTACATCTCATAAGTCCCTGGGTTGGCCAAACTCCAGCAATCAAGCAAAGAACACATCAAAAGGGAAAGGCAGCCTCTTGCCTCATCATACTACATTGTGACAAAGACTAATGAATTCTATAGGCGAACCAAAAAATCATGAAAGTTTTGTGTAGTGTGGTGCTGCAAACAACAAAAAAACTTACATCCATCTGCAAAATAAAAGTTTTAAAAATCTTGAAAATAATATAGCTAAATAGTAAATACTTAAATTTTAAATAGTAAATACTTAAAATTTAAAAACACATATGTACACACAGTTTTTTAAGGTGAGAAGAAAACTGGCTAAAATGTTGGCTATGCAATATACACTACACACCTCTCCTTTTAGATAACCCATAAAGTGTCTGAGTAAAAACAGACTTTCACTTTTGTTTCTTCTAAGTGTGAAGTTCACTTCCTAGTTACCAGCTTTAAGTCCGCTTCCTGGTTACTAGCTTGACGGATTTAAATCTGTCAACTTATCGAGGTAGATGGTTTACTTGTATCCATATAAATATTTTTAAATAGTTCTAATATGAGTAACAAAGTAATCGTGTATTAATACGGAAAGCAAACACATTTAAGTGTTTCTTCTGTAAAACAATCTAAATATTATGGAAGTATAAAAGTTTCTCTAAAAAAAATCCCCAATAACAATGAAATGATCTAAAACACAGCCATACTAAAAGTAGCATCATAATGATAATATTTTGAATTAACTACTACTCCCTTTGTGTGTGGAGGGGATTCATTAAAGTAGGAAATTGGACTCGACAGCCAAGATCACTTTCGTTAACTTGATTCTTGATTCTACAATTTTATGCATAACCTCTGAACCATACAATAGAGCCTGCATAGTTATTTAATACAGTTTAGTCAAAATCAAATGAAAATAAAAAAATCCTAAACTTACAAAGTTCTTCCCATTGTTCAAACTTAGGAAGTGAAAAATTGGTATTTCTCACTTTGAAACAGACTTTAATATTCAACACTGAAGACAATTATAAACAAATGGTACCATACATATTAAATATTGCTTAGCGTTCACATGACCATGTGCTCTTTCCTAAGCCTTAAGTCTTTAAAAATTGAACTTGAAGGTATTCAAAATAGAATAGGGAGGATTAGGAAGGAAACTCTTTTAAATTCTCATTATTAAATCTTGAATTATTTCACTGTAAATAAAGTGCAGTGTGCAATATCCTTCTAACTTTACCAATAATATCAACTAACATACAAGTCTCAAAAACAACTTTCCCAACGTGCCTAAAATAACAATGCACTATCCTTGCTTTCCAAACTTGAGTATCTTCGATTACTTTAAAGCAGTATCATAAAATTCTAAAAATAATCTCAAAGCAAAAATTTAGCAGGCTGTATGTAGACAGCCCATTTTAGAACAGGTCTTATTCTAAAGTCAAGCACAGGTAGAATATTGCAATCTACACCAAATCTACAACAGGGTGGGGCATTCATTACTCACCCAGATAAACCAAACATAACTCTGGTGGTTGATCACAGTAAACCCTAACTGTCCCCGTAATACCAACACAACTAAGGCACGGTTTACTCTTTTGCCCAAAATGCTTTTCACGCAAATTAAAAATTAAAAAAAGAAGTTAAATCATGGCCAACTACTCTTCAGAACATGGTGCAAGCCATGATAGTGCACTTAAGATTCTGAAAGCAAAATCTAAAATAGCAGAATGATCTCTATTCACTTTAAAGATATAAAGTTTCACAAACAGTTTTTTAATTGTTTTCTTTAGTGAGTGACCATTTGAATGTGTGACTGATGCAAGAGTAAAGGGTGAACGAAAGAACAAGGTCAAACTTAGGGGACAAAAGATTCCTGGAATAACATGGCCAGAAAGGTTTCCTCTCTTAGGGACAGTTTCTATATTGAAAAAAAAAAAAAAAAAAAAAAAAACAGAAAAGAAGAAGAAGAAAGGGAAACCTTAAAAGGAAAAGAAACCAAGCAAACCACCTACTTCTAGAGTCCACCTGGTCAACACGCCTGCCCCGCGAGGCAGGTAATTCGATTTTGGTGGAGACCGTTTTGCAAAATAGCAGGCCTGGTACACTACTACCTTTGAAAGACAAAATCGGTTCAGAAAGGATGACAACTAGCTATTCTTTCTCATTTAAGGGGAGAGAATAAAGTTTCATTAAGATGCCACACAGAGCACTGTAGGAATGTGAGGGTCGCTCTCAATACCTGGCACCGTCTGCTACGGGAAAACAATCGGCAGAAGGAAGTGGATTGAAGCCCGCAAACTACACTCTGCTTCCCACACGCAGCTGGGCTCTGGGCGCGACGCCCCCGAGGCGATGGGCAGGGGCCGGGGGTGACCGGGGAGGAAGCCCGGGAAGGCGGCGGCGGCGAGGCCGGGGCGCCCGGCCGCAGCGGGAGAGGACAGCCCGTCGGAAGGAGAAGTGGGGCCCGCCGGCTGGCGGACTCGCCTCACCTTCTGCGCCGCGCTCTGCTGCAGCACGTTCTGCTCCACGGTCATGGCCCCCGCGGCGGCGGCGGCGGCGGCGGCGGTGGCGCCCGGCTCCTCGCGCCTCCGCCGGCCCTGGCTGCCGCGCTCCGCCGAGCTCCAGGGAGCGGCGCGGACGGCCTGGGAGGACAGCGCCCCCGCCAGCCAGGCGCGAAGGCGATGGCGGCCGGCGTGCGCGGGCACCGCGGGCAGGCGGCGAAACGCCGACTGTGAGGGCCACGGCGGCCGCCTCACGTCTCCACGCGGCCCGCCTCAGCGCCGCTCGTCCGCGGCGGCCCGGGCCATGAGCGGGCGGAGGACGCCGGGGCACGGGAGAGCGCGAGCCAGTCGGGCGGCGTCACGCGTTCGCACGTTCCTTTGCTGCCGGTCCGCGGGCTGCTTTGGGGAAGGGAGAGAGGGGACGGAGGGAGCGGCCGCCCGGAATGGCGTTGTCCTCCTCCCTCCGCGAGTCCTCCTCCCTCCCCTCCCCCACGCGCCATCCCCGCCCCCGCCCGGCGGCTCCTCCCCCGCAGAGCCCCGCCCGCCGGCCGCCCTAACCCTACATTGTGACCCTCCGGGCGGCGGGGCGGGGCCGCCATGGAGCCCCGCCCCTCCCTGCGCGGGCCTGGCGTTCCCGGGTGGGGCGAGGGCGCGCCTGGCTGCCTGGCCCGGGAGCCGCCCCTGCGGCAGGTTGCGCGACGCTGGCGCTGGGCTTCGGGGAGCGCGACTGGAGGCCGGAGGGCAGCGTTCCTCCCTGCGCCCAGGGCTTGTCGGATCCCTAGCTTACCCAAAGCCTCCAAAGCAAACATTTCCCTCCATGCCCATAACGTCCCAAAACTGCGTAGGGTCCCGAACTCCGGCCCCTTTCTGTGTCACGCGTTCTCTCCCCTCGCCTTTCTAGGAATTTCACAAGCCTTGAACTTGCCTGAAGGGAAAAGTCAAATAAGCAAAGGGTTGCCAGAAATCTTTATGCTGGGAAGTACTTTTCTCCTTAACTAATCATTACGTAAATGAATATAGACATTTTCTATCTACCTTCATTCATTCGAATATGTGTCAGTCACTGCTAGGCTCTGGAAAAATAAAGTTTATCTTCCCAAGACTTAATATAAATGAAATAGGATCTATCTAGCAAACAACCTTACAAAAATATCACTGCCTAATGATACATAATTCTAATATCCCAGTTGCCAAATTAAGCAAACAATTAACTACCATGCATGGAATGCTTGACTATATATGGAATTGTAAGGAAAATCTAACATTAAGAAAGCAATCTCTAGCCACAAAAATATCTCGAGTTCCAGGAGCTAATCTGGGAACGGAGGTGAGAGTGCAGCAGTGTGAGGAGAGAAATTATCAATGCATATTGTCACAAATAGAATACACTTGAAAATCCGGGTATAATTTTTAATCCAATGACAAGGAAAGCAAGCTTGGCAAATGCTAATTGAAATAGTATGTGGTGTTATTTAATAATCATGGATTATAGTAGCTCTTAAGGCTTTGTAACAGTTCTGTGCACTTTACAACCATCTTTGTTCTGCAGCTCAGATGTCTGGTACCACCTGTTGTCACCTTTTCCTTGAAGCTTCATATTTGTTGACTCATTTGATATTTAACAAATTGCAAATCTTATTATATTAATATCCTATGTCTTTTCTAGAGGAAATGAAAAGTCATGAAACGGTTGGAAACAGAAATTTAGAAATACTGTCACATCTCTAATCTCACGTATCGATTTTTTTATAACTCTGAAGCCCAAGGAGGGTGACCTGTCAAAGAGAGCTTATCAAAACCCATTTTTCTTCATTTATAGATCAAAGTTTCTTCTTTTCTTGTTTATATGCTAACTTCATGTTTCTCCATATGAGGGTTTTGGTTTTTTGGTTTGTTTGTTTGTTTTTTAGAAATCAAGCTCATACATTTGAATTCAAGAAAATTAAATTTAACATAAAAATCTAGTAATCTAGTACCATGGGAGGAAAAATGTTGCCAGATACTAAGGTTTAATTTCAAGAATTTGGCAATACAACTTTTCTCTGAGTTAAATTTGTTACTTCCATACAGAAAAAAAAAGATGATCTTACAATAGATAATCATCAAATAGAGCTTTTATATGGTAGACCTATTTGCCCACTGAGACTGTTCATTTTCAGCTTACTTCTGAGGGTTTCCTACTTACTCAGCATTTCTTTAAATATTTTTAACTGTTGTACTGAAGAACATTGAGAAGAAAATTTCAAGTTTCCTCATAGGCATTCCTTTTTAGAAGGCTTACAATTGGGATGAATAATTAGAGAAATTTGAGCAATTGAGATAAATTGGCACACAAAACCCATCGCTGGGATTTCCTAACTCATTTTTTAAATTTGCGCCGTGACAATTGTGTTGTATGAGTCAGCTTTAATATGCATGTGTGTCGGAATTATATATCCTCAAGATATTATTTAATAACTTCTAAACTGCTACATTACTCTATGTTGTTGACATTCAGGTAAAAATGTTAAGTGACATATTTCATATAATATGAAATATTTTGTGTGTAACAATGCTGTGGTTTGAATGTATCCCCCCAAAAACGGTGTGATGGAAACTTAATCCCCAATGCAACAGTGTGGAGGTGGGCCCTAATAAGAGGTGATTCAGTTATGAGAGCTCTGACCTCATGAATTAATTAATGGTGCTATCACAAATGTGCAGTCCCTATCAAAAGGACAGTTTCCTTATAAAAGGACGAGTTTGGCTCCTTCTTGCCTCTTTCCCTTTTCCTTTCCTTCCCTCTCTCTCTTTCTCCCCTTCTCTTAGCTCTTCCACCATGCAATGATACAGGAGGAAGGCCTTCACCAAATGACGGCCCATCCATCTTGACCTTCCCTGCCTCCAGAACTGTGAGCCAACAAATTTCTGATCATTATCAATTACCCATTCATAGGTATTATGTTGTAGCAGCATAAAATAGACAAAGACAAACTGCAAGACTATTTTTCTGTTTTGGGTCAAAACGTTATTTCTAGCAATACTCAGTATTGTATTTTATATGTCAACTAAGAAAATTGGTATTCTTCCGCCTTAGGTATCTTTAGAAAGGGGTTAAAAATCCATTTCCGGATACCAAAAGTTTACCATATTGCCAAAACACATTTGTAGGACTTTTCTTTGTTTCCCCCCTAGCTGGTGTTGAGCTCCTGGTCTCAAGGGATCCTCCTGCCTCAGCCTCTGAAGTAGCTACCTGGATTACAGGCATGTCAGCAAAGAATTGTTGAATCCATGGAGCAGATTTAGACAATTTCCATTACAAAAGAGTGGTTTTAAATCTACTGCAATGAGGATCTGAATTATTTTCCTCCTTTAGGAGTGTTGGCATTCTGGGATAATTTTATTTCCACCAATAAGAAAACAATAAGCAGGCTGGGCACGGTGGCTCCCCTCTGTAATCCCAGCACTTTGGGAGGCCAAGGTGGGCGGATCACCTCAGGTCAGGGGTTCAAGCCCAGCCTGGCCAACATGGCAAAACACTGTCTCCACTAAAAAATACAAAAATTAGCCGGATGTGGTGGCAGGCACCTGTAATCCCAGCTACTCGGAGCCTGAGGCAGGGAGAATTGCTTGAACCTAGGAGTCGGATGTTGCAGTGAGCCGAGATGTGCCATTGCACTCCAGCCAGGGTGACAGAGCAAGACTCCATGTAAAAGAGCAAAAAGAAAACAATAAGCAATCATTTAAAGAGGAGTCTTCTATGATGTCATAATGGTACTATTTAGCAATCAGGTGTTCATAGATTACAACCTGCAAGAGTACTGCCTGCCTAATACATGCACAATAAAATGCTTATTGAATTAAGTGGGCAGCCATGAAGGGGAGAAAACAAATGTATTTGTGCTTTTGTGGTGCACATCTAACTCTAACTTCTCATTCCAAGTGGATAGCTTTGTGGTCCTGGCAGCCCAGCCATATTATTCTATATGACAAAATGTGTCATTATTAGTTTCTCCAGCCCTCAATAGTGCCTCACATTTTGAGGGATTCTAGATGTTGCTTCTTTGGTATTGTATTAGTTGTCTGTTCTGCCATAACAAAATGCCACAGATTGGGTGTCTTAAAAATACAGAAATGTATTTTTTCACAGCTCTGGACACTGGGAATTCAAGATTAAGGTGCCAGCAGGGTTGATTTCTCCTGCACCCTCTCTGTTTGCCTTGCAGATGGCCACCCTCTCACTGCCTCTTTCCATGGTCCGTGTGTGCCCACAGTATCTCTTCATCTTCTGCTGAGGACATAAATCATACTTGATTTCAGCCGCACCCAGATGGCATCATTTTAACTTAATAACCCCTTTAAAGACTTTGTTTTCAAATACAGTTACATTCTGAAGTGCTAGGGGTTAGGACTTTTTAGAGAGGTTATGAATTTTAGAGAGACAAAATTCAGCCCGTAACAGTCATATTCAATCTGCTTTACTTAATCCTATGCTTCATACTTTTGTGCCGTCAAATATATTTTTTCATGCCCCATCCTGTAACTTCGTAGATTGGTAAGAGATGCATTAGCACTTTAAAGGCTAGTACCTGCACACATTTTCTGCCAGTATTGGCACTTCCAATTAGAATCATTTTGGGGGAAACAAGTTTTGTGCATTGAAAAGCAATCTAGTCTAATGTGCTTTGCAAGGTCCACCTAGAAAGTAAGGACTATGGAGAAACAGCTAGAATTTATCAACGGAGAGCCAGTGCAAAAGTGTGTTATTTCTTGCCTGCATCACTTGCTTTCACTTACCTTGAACAGGCCCGAAGTTATACTTGCACACTGAAAATGGCTTGGAGGCCTCAGACCTTTTCTCATCACTTTTTAGTCCATTCACCTATACTCAAAAGACAAAGTCTCTCCCACCATATTGGTGGGCACACATTTCCCTGAAATTATCCTATGATATATATGGGCAGAGAAAACCACATGTCAGAATGTGACTAATGTCACTTTCCAAGACCTATCTCCCATGTTCAGCGCACATGATCCCTGAAGAACAACCCAGGGACTTCTAGCTCTGTGATCGTGGGCAAGTTACTTAAGCCTTAGTTCCTATTTGCTACGAGATTGATTCCTTGAGCGTCTATTGTTCTGCTGTAAATCACAGAGAGGACTATCCCTGCATGTTTCACGCTCGTAAGTCAGATGGGTTTGAAACAGATTTGGCTAACAGGCAAAGGAAAGGTACTGGAGGGCAAGAGAAAGGGTATAGCCAGGCTATTTCTCTTTCTCCTCCCTCTCCTCTGATGGCATCTCTTTGGGCTGTATGTATCTCTTGGATGGTTTCCCATCTCACCAGACTGCCCTTGCCTGATTCTAGGTCTCCCCAGTGAGGTGAGGTAGGTCCCTGAGATTTAGAAGCTGTGCATCCTCACTTCTCTCTCCAAATTAAGGGTAGTAATGCCTTTTTGATGTTGCTAAACTCTGGCTTAACTCACTCCCCTTGTTCGGCTTTTCAGCTCTGCATTGCCTATATAACAAATTCTTTGGATAGATATTCCTTGTTTTAACCACTGTAGGGGTAAAGGGAAACCTTCCCCTTCATCTTTTGAAGGTTGGCTGAAAATCAACTGACAAAAATCAAATTAATTTTAAAAAGGCATACGAATTTGTATCACTACACACAGAGGAAAATCACAGCGATTACTTCCCAACCATATGAGGTCCAGAGAGTTATATACCCTTGCTCTTAGGGAAAAGGGAGTCCAGGAAGTATCGATATTTTTAAGGGGATAGAAAATGATTTTTAGAGGAAGTCAGTGGACTTAGAGCATGTACAATGGCCAGTACAAAGCCTGTTGGGTCCACAGAGAAGACAATGGCTTGGGATATATGTCTGTTCAAGTGTGTTGACAAACTTCAGCCTGTCTTTCTGTGATATGAATTCAGTTCATGAAAACTCAGAAAAGGGTTCATAGGGTTTTTTTTTCTTCTTATGTGGGTCCAGACTTTAGAGAGAGAAGGAAACTTCAGAGAACAACTTCATTCTGTGCTTTGGAAGACACAGAGAATGAGAGATGGGGGAAGGGAGTGGTCACAGAGACATTGAGGTTTCTTCTTTAGTTCAGCATGTCAGAGTGCCATATTTGGGATATTGGTTTCTCGGCCCCAACACCACCTAGAGAGTATTCTGTTTTTCTGACATAACCCTTTCTGACCTATTTTCTCTGTGTTGGTTCCATCATCTATAAAATGAAAAGAATAATATACAGTTATTTTGATGACTAAATGATTTAGTACACATAAAGTTCCTGGAATACTTTAAGGCACAAGGTACTAAATAAATGTTAGCACATACTTGCTATTTTATTAAGACTTCCTTGTGACCTGTAAGTTGAGAAATTAAAATTGTTAGATGAGCAGCAAGAAAAAGTAGTTGGGATTGAATGTTCTGAGTCTAGGAAGACAAGACAAGAAGCAGGGTTAAGCGAGGTCAGGTCAAAAATCTGCCAGTCTAAGAAGGGGACTATTCCAGTGATATTTCTGTATGATTTAAAATATCAGATCATGTGCAAAAGAATTTGTTTAGTAATTCCTAGGCAGCTACTTTAGTTTCAGACTCTTGATACTTATTTGTATTCTCTCTTGAATAGTAGAAAAGACACAAAGCTCAGGTGTCAATGTCTTTAATTTTAAAAAACACATATCAGCGATATAGGAAATCAGAAATTTATTTCTAGGCAAACCATGCTATTAGCAAATAGAAAGAAAAGAAAAAAACTTAAATGTTAGGCAAAAATGCTATCATTTTTGGATTCTGCACAATGACATTTAACAGCATGGGTGCTCACTAAGTATAATTGAAATAAATTTCAGTTTGAAATGAATAACTCATTTGCAATTTGAAATGAACTTTTAATTTGAACTAATTTGAAAAGAATTTATAATGTGAGATAATTTGAAATGAATAACTACTTTCTAGGCTTTAAGAAAACATTTTCAGTATGTTTAGTATATTTAATATCAGTTTATAAAATGAGATATGAATAGAATAATCTACCACTGCCTTAGCTTATTAGTTTGGTCTGTTTGTCATCAAGAACAACTCATGAAATTTCTTTAATATGAAGGTTCATTGGATAATTCTGTTCAAATCTACCATAGCTTTCAGGTTGGACTATGATACTATAAATACCATTAAATGTATGGGAATGATGACTGAATAAATCCTGTATATATAAAAATAGAATAGCATATTTTAAAATTAGATCCCATGAGTTTTAATTTCAGAACCTTCTCTCTAAGGTTGGTCTTACTCTCAGGTGAGCTGAGATGGCTATTCCAGGCCTTCTATTTTGAGGGAGATGTGGGAAAATATGATACATTTAGGGACAGACACTATTTTTTATATTCTTGCTATGTGCCAGTACCTGTGCTAGGCACTTTACACTTATCATTTAATTTTTATAATAATCCAGTAAAGTTGGAATAATTACCCTCTTTTTACAGAAACAGAAGCTGTGGCTTATAGTTGAAGTAAACAGATCAAGGGCACACAACCCAAACCTGTTAAACCAGTTTGAACCAAGGTAGGAGTTTTGTGTGACTTCAAAGCTTTTGCACTTACACCCCCTACACTGCAAACGAGCTGGTATGGTTTGGATACGGTTTCTTTGGCCCTCACCAAGTCTCTTGTTGAAATTTGATCCCCAATGTTGAAGGTAGGGCCTGGCGGGAGGTTTTTGGATCGTGAGGGCAGATCCCTTATAAATGGCTTGGTGTCATTCTCTTGGGAGTGAGTTCTCACTCTTAGTTCCCATAAGAACTGGTTGTTAAAAAGAGCCTGGCACCTCCCTCTTGCTTGTCTCTTGCCATGTAATCTATACACACTGGCTCCCCTTCTCCTTCCACCATGATTGGCAACTTCCTGAGGCCCTCACCAGAAGCAGATGCTGGTGCCATGCTTCCTATACAGCCTGCAAAAATGTGAGCCAAATAAACCTCTTTTCTTTATGGATTATCCAATCTCAGGTATTCCTTTATAGCAATACAAATGGGCTAAGACAGAAAATTGGTACTGAGCAGAGACATATTTCTATAAAGATACCGGAAAATGTGGAAGTGGCTTTATAACTGGGTAAAGAGCAGACGATGGAAGAGTTTGGAGGGCTCAGAAGAATCCAGGATGATGAGGAAAACTTTAAAACTTCTTAGAAACTGGTTAAGTGGTTGTAACCAAAATGCCGATAGAGATATGAATAGTGAAGGCTAGGCTAACTAGGCCTCATATGGAAATGTGGAACTTATTGGGAACTGGAACAAAGGTCACATTGTTACACAGTAGCAAAGAATTAGCCTGCATGGTGTCCCTTCCCTAGGGCTTTGTGGGACACTGAACTTAAGAATGATAACCTTAATGAATCTGGCAGAAGAAACTTCTAAGCAAAGCATTAAAGAAGTTGCATGGCTGATTTTAACAGCTTATGATCAGATATGAGAGCAAAGGAGTGAACTAAAGTTGGGATTTATGACTGAAAGAGAAGCAGAGCATAAAAATTTGGAAAATGCACAGCCTGGCCGTGTGATAGAGAAGGAAAGCGAATTTTCAGGAGAGAAATCCAAGATTGCTGTGGAGCAGTAGCTTGCTAGAGAAATCAGCATGTATAAAAGAAAGCCATGATTATATATTGCAATGTAAATATGGACTCAGACAGTGGCCATTTTAAAATTTGGTTGATGGATTTGTGGAGGTAGTCAAAACCTTTTCAGAGGCTTGGCAAGATACAACTGCTTCCAACCACGTATCTGTGTGAGGCTAGATATTTTTCATATACTTCAAACAATGTATGGTATCAGATTGACAGTGAAGGCGGATTAGATGATTTCATTGTCTTCTGTTGAACCAGACCTTAGTTTAACAGGTGTTTTAGATGCAAAAATCAAAAACAACACAGTCATAGTTCTCACTGTTTTTTGTTTTGGAAAATATGGTTATTTTAATAACATTATTATTTATATTAAAATATAATGGGTATCTTGTTATTTTTAATGAAGTAATAAATACATCTTTAAAAATTCAATAAATAATAATAGATATAACCTACAGACATGAAATCTCATTGTGGTATTCAATAAATTTTAAGAGTAAAACAGCCTTAGGACCAAAAAAATTGAGATCCACTGCTATAGATTTCTACTGTCATTGGGCATTTTGCAAGAACTAGAAATAAAACTGATCTGACAGCTCTTTATGTCTCTCACGTCTCATTTATCATTATAGTGAACCTTCAAGAAATTGGAGTAGAAATAAATTGGATCAAAATTTCATCTTTATCCAAGTACCATTCAAAAGCTACTTGAGCTCTAGGTTAGAAACAATTATGTAACTATATAGAAAATATAATCCTAGAAATATGTGCATGAAGAAATAAAGCAAAGAATGTTGTTTCACTTTTTAATGTTGGAAAGATCAAAGATGAATTATTTGCAGGCACTCTGAAATGGTAAAGAACAATTCAAATGTATGACATTGCTATGAGTTATTACAGTATTTTGGAAGTACTGAAATTGTGAAAGTTAGGAATTGGCTCCAATAGATAACCACAGTGCTTTTTAATAAATATAATTTTATTGCACTAATATACTATAGTTGTCTTAGTCTGTTTATGTTTCTATAAAGGAATAACTGAGGCTGGATAATTTATAAAGAAAAATGGTTTATTTGGCTCATGATTCTGCAGGCTGTGTAAGAAGCATAATACCAGCATCTGCTTCTAGTGAGGGCTTTAGGCTGCTTCCACTAATGATGAAAGGGGAAAAGGAGCCGACTACACAGAAATCACATGGTGGGAGAGGAAAACAAGGAGAGAGGGGAAAGAGGTGTCACACTTCTTTTAAAACCAATTTTCGGCCGGGCGTGGTGGCTCACGCTCCCAAAGTAATCCCAGCACTTTGGGAGACTGAGGCAGGCGGATCACGAGGTCAGGAGATCGAGACCATCCTGGCTAACATGGTGAAACCCCGTCTGTACTAAAATACAAAAAACTAGCCGGGCATGGTGGCGGGCACCTGTAGTCCCAGCTACTCGGGAGGCTGAGGCAAGAGAATGGTGTAAACCTGGGAGGCAGAACTTGCAGTGAGCCGAGATCTGGCCAGTGCACTTCAGCCTGGGCAACAGAGCAAGACTCTGTCTCAAACAAAAACAAAAACAAAAACAAAACAAAACAAAAAACAATTTTCAGGGGAACTAATTGAGGAAGTACTTACTCATTACCATGAAGATGGCATCAATACATGCATGAAGGATCCACCCGCGTGACCCAAACACTTCCCACTAGGCCTTATCTCCAACATTGGGGATAAAATTTCAACATGGGGCTTGAAGGGTCAAATATTCAAAATAGAGCAATAACTATAGTACATATTAGGTTGGTGCAAAAGTAATTGTGGTTTTTGCCATTAAAGGGAATGGCCATTATTTTTGCACTGACCTATTTTTCTAATTTATTATAACTAATATAACTTTATTTAGTGCTTTACCATATACAAATCACTTCAACATACAGTGTGTCTCATTTGACTCTCACTAACTGTCCCGTGGAACAAGGCAGGGCATACTCTCCATTCTCCAAATGCAGAAACCTAGCCTTAGAGTGGTTGAGTAATTTGCCAATATTACACAGCAAGTATTTGGTTGTGTTAAAACTTATATCTATCATAAAACCTCAGTAAATATTTATTGAATAAAAAAAAAAGAACCCAGGTCTTTTGACTCCTAATCCAGTGTCTTGTCTCTAGCATATGCTGCCTTAAATGATAGAAATGGATTTTGCAACAGTGTCTCACTTGCCATCATTATTTGAAGTGAATTGGAAAAGATACACCATGGTATTTATTTATAAATATCACTCTCTTCTGCAGATCTTTGTCAGGAGAGTAATAATAGATCAGAATGACATGCATTCTTATATTAAGGGCTTGCATTCAATCTTTAAATTTATTTATTTTTCCATTTTTAAAGAGTAGGTGATGTGGCACTCTTTTTCAAATGGCATGTTAGGATTAACTTCTTAAAATAAAATAGCATGAGGCCAGGTGCGGTGGCTCACGCCTGTAATCTCAGCACTTTGGGAGGCTGAGGCAGGCAGATTACGAGGTCAGGAGATCGAGACCATCCTGGTTAACACAGTGAAACCCCGTCTCTACTAAAAATGCAAAAAATTAGTCAGGTGTGGTGGCATGCACCTGTAGTCCCAGCTACTTGGGAGGCTGAGGCAGGAGAATTGCTCGAACCCAGGAGGCAGAGGTTTCAGTGAGCTGAGATCGCACCACTGCACTCCAGCCTGGGCAACAGAGTGAGACTCTGTCTCAAAAATACATACATAAATAAATAAAATAACACACAAGGTTCATTGGAACTCCAAAAATATAATAATTTTACCAAGTAAATGGGAATTTTGTTCACATCTTGTATAAGTCAAGCTCACTTAAGATAAACAAATGGTCTCTTCTCATTGGTTCTTTCAATTTTCAGTACCATGGACAAAGATAACAAACCTATTACATTTCTTTTTTTATCTTTTATTTTAGGTTCACAGGGTACATGTGCAGGTTTGTTATACAGGTAAACTCATGTCACAAGGATTGGTTGTACAGATTATTTTATCACCCAGGTGCTAAGCCTAGTACCCAGTAGTTATTTTTGCTTCTCCTCTCCCTCCTTCCAGCCTCCACCCTCAAGTAGCAACACCCAGTGTCTGTCGTTTCCTTCTTTGTGTCCATGAATTCTAATAATTTAGCCCCCACTTTTAAGTGTGAACATGAGGTATTTGGTTTTCTGTTCCTGCGTTAGTTGGTGGAGGATAACGGCCTCCATCTCCATCCATGTTCCTGCAAAAGACATGATCTTGGTCTTTTATATGTCTGCATAGTATTCCATGGGGTACATGTACCACATTTTCTTTATTAAGTCTGTCATTGATGGACGTTTAGATTGATTCCATGTCATTGCTATTGTGGATAGTGCTGCAATGAACATTTGTTTGCACATGTCTTTGTGGTAGAATAATTTATATCTTCTGGGAATATACCCAGTAATGGGATTGCTGGGTTGAATGGTAGTTCTGTTTTCAGCTCTTTGAGGAATCCCCACACTGCTTTCCACAATGGTTGAACTAACTTACACTCTCACTAACAGTGTATAAGTGTCCCCTTTTCTCCACAGCTTCACCAGCATTTATTATTTTCTTACTTTCTAATAATAGCCATTCTGACTGGTGTGAGATGGTATCTCATCGTGGTTAAAAAAAACAACAACTATTTCTATCCCCAGGAGCCTACAGACTTGTGACTTGGAAATCAGCTAGAGAAACAATGTCATAGTGGACAAGGTAATAAGGAAACTAGGAATAGAGAATGTCTAACTTTGCCTAAATAATATAGTCTTTCACACAGTTCATAATTCTCTGAGAGAATCAAGATATAGACAATGAAATATGAAACATTAAGAAACAAAATTATTTTATAAAATTACTGAGGTTCAAAGAGAGGAGAAATGGGCCCATCATAGAAAAATAAGTCGTGGTTTCACAGAGAAGGTATTATCTGATAGAATCCTCTGGTAGATAAAGAATGAAGTAGAAGTAATTGTCAGCATGAGCCTCAGCTCCCATCCTGCAGAAGGAAGGTACTGAAAATTTGACCTTCCCTTCACCTTTGCTGGCATTTAGTCCACAGAAACGTAGACTAAATGATCATGAGCCTGTTGTGTTATTTTGAAACAATTATGTACATGTGACAGTCTCTGCAAAATCAAGCCAGGAAATAGGAGACATTGAAGAAAACCCCTTACAAATGACAATCATACTTCTTGAACATTGCAGAATCTGCATTCCACTTAAACAGAATTATCTACAGCTGTGCATACATTTTGATATCGCTTTCTTACGTAACCATTGCCAAAAGTGACCCTATACTTAGCCATTAAAAAATCTCATTCTGATGTTCTGGATATATCTGCCTTTATTTCAAGTCTTCCTAGAAACTCATATCTGCTGCATGTTTTCTTTCCACAATACCATCAAAATAAGTCTATTTCTAGAAGGTGCCTGCACTTTGTAGAGGATGTATCAGGGGTTGTGTTTTTGGGTGGGACAGCCCATTCTCTGAACCCTGTGTTCAGGCAATTGGCCATTATGTGACTCTTAGTGAGACATAGGGCTCCACGTACTACCAAAGAAATCCAAAATGCCAGATACTTGCTCTCTCAGATCCCTACAATGAACTCTCGCAAAGCCCCCCAAAGCCCACTGAATCTTTATCTAGTGAGGCAAAGGAACACAGAGGGTTAGAATTCATTCTGGTTGTTGGAATGGTGGTGAGGGGTGGTAGCATGGTGGTGGTGTTGAAGGCTTCATGAGTGGCATCCAGTGTTCAGCCAAGAATGTAGCAACACACTGCATTGGCTGCTAAAGGTCATCTCTTCGGCTGGGGTTTTTTTTCCAAGCCAATTTCTCCATCCATTTTTTTTTACTTCTATCAGCTGCCAGGTAGGTTTCCAATGTACTTCTTTCTTAAAGTCAGAATTGATTTTTGTCATTTATAACAATGAAACCTGACTGGCCTAGTTTTTCCTAAGTAACAGAATGTATCATGCAGTTGTATTTTGTAGTACTTCTAATTGTATACATTCTATAAGAAATGAATGTTAAGAATGTCTTAATAATTGCCAGATTACAGATGATATCACTCCAAAGAAAAACGTCTTTATAATTAAACATGAATGAAGACACATTAATTTGAATAGCACACATGAACCTCCAAACCCAAGGGAGTGAACTTTCACCAGACTATGCAATGCTAAAACTTGCGAGTTACAACCCAAACATGGCTGGTTAACTAATACAAGTTGTTCGCCACTTGGGATCAGTTAGAGGAAGGAATAAAAATAAAAGGTGGGAAGGACGGTTTGTTAGCAGAAGAATTGAACATAAAAAGACCCAGGGCATCACAAAAAGGGATTCATCCATTAATTTATTCATTCAAAGAGCATTTTAGGAATGTGTATGTACTAAGTGAAGGGAGACACAAACAGAACTAAGAAGAGCCAGCTCAAACTGTGTACAATATAGGTTGGCCATGAGGCTGGAAAGGGTCTGAATTACAGCACTGTGTCCAAAACAAAATAGTGGGACACCAGATCTTCATGGATGTTCTGCAAAACCTGTGCTTGCTGGAGACACAATGATGGAAGAGAAGTTTAGGAACCACTGGGTTGCCCTACATCTATCATCCTAGAGATAGGGAACCTGTCTGCAATGTAATGTGACTTCTGTATCTGATAACCATACATCCCCAAGGACTGCAGTTCTAGCTTTAGATTTTACTCTGCCTTTTAGGTATCTAGAGTTTAATTAATTCATTATTATGCCCTTCAAAAAACAAGAGTTGGTGTGAATATCATATTGTTGGCACTTACTGACATTTGGCCTGGAACAATCAAAAGTGAACAATTTTAAGGATCTCGTAATCCTATTATGTTGAAATTTATTTCCAAAACTCTTCCTCACTATAATGTAAGGTAATAGGAGAATCATAGTTATACCTCTGCACTACCCTTGTCAACAGAAGCATAAGATCCCCCTTCCTCACCATGTGCTTATCTAGTTGATGGGATAAAACTTATACTTTCAGGCGGATATCCCTTAAAGGAAGGCAGTAAGTGCCAAATGGGAGTTACAGCTGCTACAAATACAAGTGCCTCAGCCGGATCCCAGAAATTCTGATTCAGTAGAACTAGGTCCCTGGCACCTGTGTAGATTTTTAAAGTAGACAATATATACATAAAGAGATAAATTGCAAAATTTCAAAAGGATATACAGATGACAATATTTCATCCAATTCCCTTGTTTTCTTCTCCACTGCCAATTATTCTTACAAGTTTCTTTTCTATCCTTGGAGACATATTCTGTGCATATACAAGCATATAGAAATCAGAGGGGGAAAAAAGCATCGAATACCCTCTACTGTTTACCTTGCTGTATTTTCATTTAATAACATATATTGGGGATTATTCCATGACCTTAAAACACTCTCAAAGTGTTTTGATAAATTGAAGACACTGGAAAAATCTTCCACATGTATTAGACTCTTCCAATATTCTTTTTTTTTTTTTAGATGGAGTTTCGCTCTTGTTGCCCAGGCTGGAGTGCAATGGCGCAATCTCAGCTCACCGCAACCTCCACCTCCCAGGTTCAAGTGATTCTCCTGCCTCACCCTCCCTAGTAGCTAGGATTACAGGCATGTGCCACCAATGCCTGGCTAATTTTGTATTTTTAGTAGAGACGGGGTTTCTCCATGTTGGTCAGGCTGGTCTCGAACTCCTGACCTCAGGTGATCCGCCCTCCTCGGCCTCCCAGAGTGCTGGGATTACAGGCGTGAGCCACCACGCCCGGCCAGACTCTTCCAATATTCTTTAGGGGTAGTTCCATGCTAGACCCAGACTGCTTTAAAAAGATTCCATCAAATCCAAATTCTTTTAATCCTTACCTACCAACCCAAATTTACCTGCCATTCTAAGTTTACATTTCTTTTGGTCATTTAAACTAGAGTTCTTATGGACTGCTTAGTACATCAGGACATTTTTTCTAATCAACAAATCTTAAAGGCCTAGAAAATGACCATCCTTCATAAAACTTTAGCCTCCTAATTCCTTCTACTTTTGAAGTTTGCCACGTATACAGTTAAAAGAATAGTAAAGGGATTTGTTTGCAAATATTTATACTTTAAAGATACTAAACGGTATACTTCTTAAGGACAGGTATTAATCTATTGCCTAGATAAGCAAAAGAAAAAGCATATTTATATAACAATGGCTGTAAACTTACATTTGGAAAAAATGTTGCTTTCCTTTTGAAAATTTTATTTTCTTCAGGAGCACACAGTTAAAAGTTTAACAGTCATTAAGTGTTTCAACTAGTTTAATTGCCTATTCAACTTGGAGGTAGATTAATTTGGAAATTACATTGAGTAGACCGAAAATGATCAAACACACACACACACACACACACACACACACACACACTCGCGCATACCAAAAGCCTCTTAACCGAGCATCACCAACTTATGGTTATACACCTGGGAAGAACAAACTAGTTTCCATTTTACTCTAGTTAGAATTTACCCGGCACAAGTACTTTGCTGTTTAAATATTAATTAATGTGTTTAAATATTAAATAGAAGCCTCTCTGATTCTAGACATGCACTAAAACAAATTGAAATTGGTTTCTGAGTTGCAATATGGCTATTCTCTTTGGAAACAAGTGAGAAAGAAAACTTAATGACAAAAAAAGTTACACTTAAGGATGTCCTCGAAGACAGAAATAAAATATATACACTTGATATACACTTGATACCGATACCTAAAAGTCTAGGGAATTGTATATAATTTTATTTATGAACTCAACTAAGTACAAACTTAACAGTAACATTTCTCATTTTTTTACTAAATGGTTGGGAAATACAAGTGAAACATACATAGGAAATATCTTCTCTTTTTGGGGATGAAAAAATTTTTTAGATTTTTTGGGTTTTGTTCTCTTCTGACATAAACTTTGCATTTCAAACTGTACATTCATTGGATTTCCAAAGTTTAGTAATTACTTTTCATATTTTGGATCAAATAGCATACTAATAGTTGCTTATTTGTCTACATCTTTTTTTTATTAATTCTATTCTTATGGTAATTAAAATTTTTTCTCTCTTCTATCTAAAATGTATATTCAGCCAGTGCCCCACATTTATTCATAACATGAGTCATAGAATGAATATGAATAAATCACAGGGCTAGAAATAGAATTCCCCTATTTCAGTACAATTCAAAAAGAACTTTAACCATTTCAAAGTTTTATTTCAAGTCTAGCTAATTGCACAGTATAAGTGGTCTGGTCTGCATTTATTTATTGCCTGAATCCTCAAAGTATTCTCATTTTTAAAAGATAGTGATGATTTTTCACAATATTCTTGCGCTGTGAGGCATTCCATTTTATTAACACACATTCAAACATAAATTTATGTTCTACTTTTTAGCATCGGAACTAATTTATAAATCTTTCCTATTGCCTATGAAAATTTCCAAGGCCTGCTAACTATATTTTTAAAGTTTACATTGATTTCCGTTGCACGGGTGGAAATGTTTTGATGCTACATTAGAAATGATGACTAATGGCCGGGCGCATTTGCTCACACCATAATCCCAGCACTTTGGGAGGACAAGGTGGGCGGATCACCTGAGGTCAGGAGTTCAAGACAAGCCTGCCCTTCATGGTGAAACTCTATCTCTACTAAAAATACAAAAAATTGGCTGGGTGTGGTGGCAGGTGCCTGTAGTCCCAGCTACTCAGGAGGCTGAGGCAGGAGAATCGCTTGAACCCGGGAGGCGGAAGTTGCAGTGAGCTGAGATCATGCCACTACACTCCAGCCTGGGTGACAGAGTGAGACTCTGTCTCAAAAAAAAAAGAAAAGAAAAAAAGAAATGATGACTAATGACACTTCTAGATCTCAATTACCAGCTAAATGTCATGTGTTACATGTACAACAATACTGTAGACAGTCCGAAAGTGGGGAAATAAGCTTATTTCCTTTAGAAGCAGAAACTGCAAATGGGGGTGTATGGAATTCTTTTTTTTTTTTTTTTTTTTTTTTGCGACAAGGTCTCACTGTGTTGCCCAGACTGGAGTGCAGTGGTGCAATCATAGCTCATGCATCCGCAACCTCCTAGGTTCGAGGGATCCTCCTGCCTCAGCCTCTCAAGTAGCTGAGACCGCAGGTATGCGTGACCATGCCTAGCTAATTTTTTATTTCTTGTAGAGACAGGGTATCTCCTTGTTGCCCAGGCTGGTCTCAAACTTCTGGGCTCAAGCAATCCTCCTACTTCAGTCTCCTAAAGTGCTGCAATTACAGGCATGAGCCACTCTGCTTGGCTAGAGTTATTCTTAATTAGGAACAATTCTGTTGTTCAACAGAGCAGAGATTTTTAGGAATGAAAATGTTAAAAAATTAAGATTCATCTCAGACTTTATGAAATAGTTGAAAATTGCACCTTTTTTTCTTTTTCTTTTTTTTAGAGACAAAGTCTTGCTCTGTTGCCCAAAGCTGGAATGCAATGGCATGATCATAGTTCACTACAACCTCCAATTCCTGAGTTCAAGTAATCCTCCCACATCAGCCTCCTGAATAGTTGAGACTACAGGTGCCCACCACCATGCGTGGCTAATTTTTTATTTTCGTACAGACAGGTTCTCACTATGTTGCCCAGGCTGATATCGAACTCCTGGCTTCACGTGATCCTCCCACCTTGTTCTCCCAAAGCACTGGTATTACAAGCATGAGCCACTGTGCCTGGCCAGAAATCACATCTTTATCCCTTATTATTGTAAGACACAATTGTCTCTAGTTATGACTAAACTATTAATGCCACATGCTTACCCAAGACACTTTAAAGATAGAATACAATAATTTTTTTTTAAAAAACCCATGACATACTAACTCTTCTCAAACAGAGTGTGCCTTAATACAGATTACACATCTACATGAGTTTTCTTTTATTACAGCTTTTTGCCATTTCAGTTTGAAAAGGACTATTCAAATGACTACCCTTTCAGAGATTCAAAGTATATTTACTTTCATCAGGCACAAGCTTAAGTTCTCGAGTAAGTGAATAGTACATTAAACAAAAGGGTAGGTATTAATAAAACAGTCCTTGCTGTGAAAAAACATAGTTTACTAAAGATAAAACACACATGAATACTATTGATACAAGTGAGATTAGTAGATGCAGGGTAACAAACACAGATGTGATCAATTTCAATGGAGATCAGTAAAATCTTTATAGCAGCAACAATAGAAGTTGTTACAAGTTATTCAAACTGTGTTAAGTGAGTGCTCCCAAGGCCAATGAAGAGAACAGCACAAGCAAGGGCACAGAAGCTTGAAGTATCATATGCCTCGAGGGAATCTTAAGAGTGCTGGTGGGATCACCAGGGAATGGTGGAAGTAAGGAAAGCGTAGTAGGAGCAAAGGCTAGGAAGGCTGGAAGAGGCCAGATGACCTGGAACCTTGCACCATGCAAAGAAGGTTGAGCTCATAAGACTTTATGTTGTCTATTATTTGTTTTCAATATTTTGAAAACTACTTTTAAAACGGGAACTCCCTTTTCTGAGAAACATCATGTGGAAATTCAATATTTAAAAATATATGTAAGTTCTGTTTGATTCTTTTCTGATGATTAGTGATGTTGAGCATCACTTTTTCATATACTCATTGACCACTTATGTGTCTTCTTTAGAGAAACGTCTATATTCAGATCTTCTGCCTATTTTGAAATTGAATTATGTGGAGTCCTTTTTTTTTGTTATTGAGTTGTTTGAGTTTCTTATATATTCTGGTTATTAATCCTTCATCAATTAAATTCTCACCAGAGTTAAAATGTTTTTTACCAGGGACATGCAAATGAAAACCACAATGAGATATCATTTTACCCCAGTTAGAATGACTATTATTACAAAGAAAAAAAAAACACAGATATTGGTGATGTGGACACAGGGGAATGCTTATACATTGTTTGTTGGAACATAAATTAGTGCAGTCACTATGGAAAACAGCATGGAGATTCCTCAAAAAAGTAAAATTGGAAGTACCATATGATCCAGCAATTCCACTGCTGAGCATATATCCAAAAGAAAGGAAATCAATATGTCAAACAGTTATCTACACTCCCATGTTTATTCCAGCACTATTCACATTAGCCAAGATATGGAATCAACCTCTGTGTCTGTCAACAAATGAATGGATAAAGAAAATGTGGTACATACACACAATGAAATATTATTCAGCCATAAAAAGAATGGAAATCCTGTCATTTGCAACAACATGGATGGAATTGGAGGGCATTATGCTAAGTGAAATAAGTCAGGCACAGAAAGACAAATATTGCAGCTTCTCACCCATATGTGGGGGCTAAAATAAATTGATCTTATGGAAGTAGAGAGTAGAATGACACTCAGAAAGGTAGTGGGAAGGGGAGATAAAGAGAGGCTTGTTAACAGGAACAAAAATATAGTTAGATAGTAGAAATAAGATCTAGTGTTCAGCAGCACAATGGGAAGACTGTGGTTAACAGTAATTCTTTGTATATTTAAAAATAACTAGAGGAGTAGATATGGAATATTCCCAGCACAAAGACAAGATCAATGACTGAGGTAGTGGATCTCCCAATTACTCCAATTTGATCATTACACATTATATGTGTGTATCAAAATATGACATGTATCTTATAAATATATGCAACTTAAAGACCTGTTTCAAATACTTATCACATAAATAAATACATGCACTCATCCAAAGAGCAGGCACTTTGCTTTTTGAATGTTGAGGATAGCATGTCCATTCAGCCCTTAGCCACCAGAATAAAAGCTTTTATTCTTAGTTCTATAGAAAATATGAAGAAGTGCTGGCACCAGAGGAGAATGTAGCAGGATGAAGAAACTTATTAACAATGCATATCCCTATCCCCGCCTAGAAGAGACCTGCTTTTGTTTTACAGGATCCTGAGAATGAGGTTGGGTGGGTGTGATGGATAGTGAAACCTGCTAGGAGATTTATTACTGTTTTGAACTCTACAGTTTATGCTTTGCTTACATTATTTAAGCTTAGCATTAAAGTTGATACTGGTAAGAGTATTGCAGTTTGTTAGATACTGCCTGAAAAAGGAAAGGAGGAAAGAAAGAAAACGGAAGAAAAGCTATTGAGATTGGGAAGAAAGTGTTTGGGAAAGAAAAACATTAAGAATTCTTATGTCTAATGAGGATTTTGCCTAAATTTCTGCTGTGTGGTGTGTGACATGGCATCTTCTCTTTCTCTCTGCAACATCTTCAGTGAACCTTCCATTTCTTATTACTACTTGATGGAGTTTCACATGTTTTATGGGAGACTTCACAAAGTGCTGGAAACAACTTCCATGTGAGTGAGGAGTCAATGTGGAAGCTTGTCCAGAAACCTCCTCAAGTGAGTCTCATAAGAATGAGCGGTTTACAGTTTATCCTGAAACCCACCTCTCTCCCACATTAACTTAGAAGATACGTATTACCTCAAGTCACTGTTAAGATTGTGATAGCTGATTGTGTTATCAGTTAGGGTTGTAATGGTATCTGATCCTCAACGTTCCCTACTACATAGACAAAGCTGGTTTCATCCCTCCTCTAGCCTGTCTGGCTACTGGTATTAGACTAATATCAAGTGTTTGAGCCAGGGATGGTGGTGTGTGCCTGTAGTCCCAGCTACTCAGGAGGCTGTGGCAAAAGGATCACTTGAGTCTAGGGGTCAAAGGCTGCAGGGACTTGTGATCACATCTGTGAATAGACACTCCATTCCAGCCTGGGTAACACAGTGACTCTCTCTCTCCCCCCTCCCCCGTGTGTGTGTGTGTGTGTGTGTGTGTGTGTGTGTGTGTGTGTGTGTGTGTGTGTGTTTGGACAACCATCACTGACCAGACATCATTTTGAACATCGGTACACTACTTCCTCTTCAGGACCTATAAAATTGACCTACATCAAGAATAATATCTCTTAGAGATATAGGTATATATTTGTTTTAACCAGAAAAGTTCCAGATACTTAATGTATAATGGATTAATGACTTCCCAGCAGAGTCATGTGCTGATCTGATGTCATAAGAAGGTTTGAGGCTGGCACATTTCACATATTTGTGTCAACACCCAATCATCATGCTCATGATCTACAAAAGGATCGGGGTGAGGTTTATTTGTTTTGTTTTGTTTTGTTTTTTGAGACAGAGTCTCGCTCTGTCACCCAGGCTGGAGTGCAGTGGTGCGATCTCGGCTCACTGCAACTTCTGCCTCCTGGATTCAAGCAATACTACTGCCTCAGCCTCCCGAGTAGTTGGGATTACAGGTGCCCACCACCACGCCTGGCTAATTTTTGTATTTTTAGTGGAGATGGAGTTTCGCCATGTTGGTCAGGCTGATCTCGAACGCCTGACCTCAGGTGATCCGCCCGCTTCAGCCTCCGAAAGTGCTGGGATTACAGGCGTGAGCTACCGCGCCTGGCAGGGGCAAGGTTTTAAGGCTTGTTACTTTTGTGTTTGACAGGTACATAAAAAGGAGAGCCAACTCACATGTCTGAGGAAGAAAGAACAAGTCAACTACTGTTATATTGGGTTGACATGTGGTTAAGAACCCAGACTTGAAGGCAAAGCTTTTCAAGCATGAAGTAATGCACACATCACCTGGAAATCTTGTAAAAATTTACATAATGATTAAGTCTAGGGTAGAAGCACAGGGCCTGTATTTCTAATATCACCAGTGTTACCATTCTGCTGGCCCATGAATTCTACTTTGAGTAGCAAAATTCTAGAGTCTGATTATCTGGGTTCACGTCCCGGTTCTGGACTTCACCGAGCTGGGGACCTTGAGTAACTTAACCTTGAGTAATATGCCTCAGTTTCTTCATCTGTAAAATTGAAATAATATCCATGGGTTTTTATAGGAATTAGTAGAATTAATATAGAGTAGCACTGAGAAGAGTGTCTGGCACATGGTGCATACTTGATAAATATTTGCTGAGTGAATTTCCTAGCAGCAAAACGAGTGGGGAAAAAAGGGCCTGTGCTTTTGAATTCAACGCTTTTGTGTCTCATCAAATAATTCACTTGTCTTTCAGCTTCTGACTTGGCGCCATTGGTTGTCTTTGAGTTAACTCTGTAGAGTCCTAATTAGGATTTAAAAGAACAAGACGGAAAGCTTCTGCAGAAGGTAATGAGGTGTCCTAATTTCCCCTCCACCTAAGAGCAGGGAATGATCAAATTTATATTTAAGAAAATCACTCATAGTAGAAGAGAGACAGAGAGAAGGAATTGGACAAGACTAGGGGTGAAAAGATAAGTTTACAGAATATTGTAATAGGCCAGAGAACATAGTTAAAACCACCTGAGATTAAGACAGTGGAGACAGTTGAAAAGTGGAAAACAATACAAGCACAATTAAAGAGGTTGATTTGGCAAGACATGGCATTAAATAGTGGGCACAGCTCATGTTCAGGGAGAAGTGTGAGGATGTTTTCCAGTTTTCTAGCTTTGGTAAGATGATAAAACTTGGAGAACATTTGCAGAGATAGAGAATAAAGGAGCAGGAATAAGTAAGAATAAAAGGGATGAATAAAATGAGAAGGGAATAAGATGGTAATAAGACTAATTTTGGACATGTTAAAAGTGGCTGTGGGATAAATACCCATAGGCAATTAGAAATGAAATATGGAGCTGAGGAGACTTTACATGTTGGCCATAAGAATTTGGAAGTCATCAGCATTTGTGTATTAAGGCCCTGGAAGTGAATGAGTCAGTCCAGGAGAGTATTAGCTGTAAGAAAAATTGGATACAAATTGAAGACCATAAGGAAGACTTAGAACAATGAAAGAGGTAGGAACAAAGCCAAAAGAAAGGGATGGCAGAAGGCTAGGGAGGAGAGTGCTTCAGCAATGAGGGAATGGTCAGCAGGGCCAAATTCCACAACACATCTATACTCCTGGAAACCAGTTCTTCCACTGTGACTCACTGAATCTGTCAACACCACATCGTTATTTTAATCCTTCGGGGACAAAGCCTAGTATCTTGGTTTGACTCATTCTGCTTCCTCATTCTCTATATTTAAGACGCTGAAATTTCTTTTCCATTTTTTGATATCCATCCTTTTCTAAGCCCAATTTTACATGCTGGTCCAAATACTCCTAGATGACACAAAAACTTTCTGTACTGTATGTTTTAGCTAGACCCAACTTCCTGAAACACCTTTTTCATTATGCCATATTTATTCTCTTCAAAACTTTTCTCTCTCTCTCTCTCTCTCTCTCTCTCTCTCTCTCTATATATATATATATATATACACACACATATATATATATATGTGCATATATGTGTATATATGTGTGTGTGTATATATATATATTTTTTTTTCCAGGTGGAGTCTTGCTCTGTCACCCAGGTTGGAGTACAGTGGTGCAATCTCGGCTCACTGCAACCTTCACCTCCCAGGTTCAAGTGATTCCTGTGCCTCAGCCTCCAGAGTAGCTGGGATTACAGGCATGCGCCACCACGCCCAGATAATTTTTGCATTTTTAGTAAAGACAGGGTTTCACCATGTTGGCCAGGCTGGTCTCGAACTCCTGACCTCAAGTGATCCACCTGCCTCAGCTTCGCAACGTGTTGGGATCATAGGTGTGAGCCACCACATCCAGCCAAATATGTATATATTTTATAATTTCAACTTTTATTTTAGATTCAAGTGATACATGTCCAGGTTTGTTACATAGGTATATTGTGTGATGCTGAGGTTTGGGGTATGAATGATCCTATCACCCACATAGTAAGAATAGTACCCAATAGGTAGTTTTTCAGCCCTTTCTCCCCATCACTCCCTCTTCTAGTAATCGCCAGTGCCTATTATTCACATCTTTATGTCCATGTATACGCAGTGTTTAGCTCCTACTTATTATAAGTCAGAACATGTGGTATTTAGTTTTCCATTACTGTGTTAATTTGTTTAGGATAATGGCCTCCAACTGCATTCATGTTGCTGCAAAGGACAAGATTTCACTCTTTTTTAATGGCTGCATAGTATTCTATAGTTTATATGTGCCACATTTTCTTTATCTAGTCTGTCATTGATGGGCACCTAGGTTGATTCCATGTCTTTTCTATTAAACTTCACAATATATTTTTTAACTTGGAGTATTTGTTTTGTTTTGGAACATAAGCATCTATGTATTATCTAAGTAATATCTATGCATCTGAGTATAAGAAATGCTTAAGAATAATAAACACCAAATGTAGGATAATGATTATCTCTGCTAAGGGAGAAATTAATTATGATTATGGAACAAAACATAGGAGATTTCAACTGCATTAATAGTGTTTTATTCCTAAGCTGGGTGTATTAGTCTGTACTCATGCTGCTGATAAAGACATACCTGAGACTGGGCAATTTGAAAAAAGAAAGAAGTTTATTGGAGTAACAGTTCTACGTGGCTGGGGAGGCCTCACAATCATGGTGGAAGGTGAAAGACACGTCTCACATGGCGGCAGACAAAAGAAGAGAGCTTGTACAGGGAAACTCCCCCTTTTTAAAAACATCAGATCTTGTGAGACTTATTTACTACCAAGAGAACAGCACAGGAAAGACCCGCCCCCATTATTGAATCACCTCCCACTGGGTCCCTCCCACAACACCTGGGAATTCAAGATGAGATGTGGGGACACAGCCTAACCATATCACTGGGTAACAGGACCATAGGTTTAAGTTTCTGTACATTTAAATAATATGAAAAACTACAGTGTTTTAGAAACACTTTAAAATGACAGCACCCTAAAATGTAAGTTTGATGTCCTCTTAATTGGGGACCCTGCTCCCTGTCTCATCTTATTTTCTACAATTCCTTATTGTATTCTCTTCTGGGTTTTTCTTTTCAATGTTGTTCAAAAAGGTCTTTGTGAAGTGTATTGGTTTCCCTTCCTTCCATCACAGTTTCCCTCTGCCAGGAATGTGCCTCCACTCAGTCAGGGCCTCCTGTCCAAAACCTTTGCAGTCCTTTACGCTCATGAGCCTTTGTTGCGAACTTTTATTGGATATGATCTCTCAATCCTGTGAAATCTTGTGTGAGAGAGAGAGAGAGAAAGAGGGTGAGAGAGAGGGAGGGAGTGTGTGTGTGTGTGTGTGTGTTTGTTTGAGACATTCTTATGTATCTCTTTTAAAGCTATTTATGTGAGATTTTTATTATTATAGAAAGTAGTTCAGGAGTTCTAACCCCGTTTGCACATTACAGTTATTGGGAGAGTGCTTTAAAAATATTAATGCCTAGGCCCCAACTCAAACAGGTCCCACCTCAAATAGGCTTGAATGATAGAATTTTTAAAAAGCTTCCAAGGTGAGGCTAATACCACAGGTATAGTCTGATTATGTCTTAAAGGCCTGGGCCACCTCTTCTTAGCCCTCTCTATAACAACACAGAATCACACATATAAATGAGAGTTATGGGCATGGGGAATATATGAATATGAGCTTAAATGCCAATTATAGTCTGTGAAAGTAGGAAAAGCTAATAATCTTATGAAACTGCTATAATATTCCTCTGCTATTATAATATACAAAACAGTCCATTTAGCAGTAACTTGACCTTCAATAGTTCAGTGTCATGAGTATTTGGAAGCAAGTAACCTAAATACTCAAACATGAACAGCTGGACTGAAATCGACACTGACTGAAGTAAAGCTAAATACTGAGTTCAAGGAAGCAAGGCCATAAATAAGAGCTCTTAGTTATAGTGTTTGACAGCTCATCCTTAGTCCCAGAAAGTATCAAGGCAGCAGTAGCTAGCTGAGTGTAAAGGGTACAGTGTGAAAAATATATGGCATTTAGTTAAAAAATGATCATACAGAGATGTTAAAAAGTTGGCCGAGATATTACACAAATAGTGAGGAAAATGTAGACTCTCTTTTTAATTTTTTGAATTAAATTATAACTGTATATAACTGGTATGTTACATTGCTCAGTAATGGCCAAATGGTATTTGAATGGGTAAAGTTGTTTTATCTATGATAGTCATGTTAAAATCACACGCTTGCAATAATCTTGAAAGTGAGAATTAGATGATTACTGACATAATTGGAATCCCATCAGGAAAGAGGGCGTGTGTTTAAACCAGTTCTTAAATAAATGGATACAGTAGACAACTTTTAATGTCTCTTCCAATTTTTAGATACTTTAGTTATTTCTACTGACTTGTCTTCAAGCTCACTGATTCTTTCCATGGCCATGTCGAGTCTGCTGATGAGTGCATACCTCATTATTCATCATATCTGTTACAGTGTTTTGGATTTCTTGCATTTCCTCTTGATTCTTTCTTAGATTTTCTATCTCTCTGCTTGCATTAGTCATCTATTTTTGCACATTGTCTACTTTTTCCATTAGGACCTCTTAACATATTAATAATAATTATTTAAGATTCCCTATCTGATAATTCAAAAATGTGTGTCATATCTGGGTCTAGTTCTAATGCTTGCTTTACCTCTTCAAACTATGTGTTTTCTTGCTTTATCATCAGACCTTGTAATTTTGTATTGATAGGTGCAAATGACACATATGAGTAATAGGAATTGAGAAAAAACAGACCTTTAGCATGGAAATTTACATTAACCATAAATGTGAAAAGGCTTAAGTCTTCTACTGCCCTTGTTTTTGTTTTCCCTCTCAGACTCCCCTAAGTATGCCTCCTCAAAGAGAGTCTGCTCCTTGTGGCTCTTTCAGGTGTAGCCCACTATAATACTTTAGCTTTGTTGGTGTGTGTCTTAGTCTGTTTTGTGTTGCTTATAATAGAATACTTGAAACTGGGTTATTTATAAAGAAAATGAATTTATTTCTTATCATTATGCAGGCTGAGAAGTCTGAGGTCAAGGAGCTGTATCTGATGAAAACCTTCTTTCTGGTGGGGACTCTCTGCAGAATCCCAAGATGGCACAGGCCATCTCATGGCAAGGGGACTGACCAAGTGTGCTCCTTCAGATCTCTCTTTCTCTGTTTATAAAGCCACCAATCCCACTCCCATGATAACCCATTAATCCATTCATTCATTAATGAATTCATCCACTCATGAGGACAGAGCCCTCATGACCCAATCACATCTCGAAGGCCTCACATCTCAATACTGCCACACTGGGGATTAAATTTCATCAAGAGTTTTGGAGGAGACAAATATTTAAACAACAGCAGTGTGGTATGGTATGGCAGAGTGGGGAGCATTCTCTAATCTTTTGATTAAATTTCAGTGTATCAGTGGTCCTTTGTCCTTGGACTATGACCTTCACAGGTGTTTCTCCAGCAGTATAGCTTCTGCCACTCAGGCCTTCTCCTCCCTCTCCTGGCTGCAACCTGCTTCCTTGAAGCTCCTACTTCTGTTGACTGTGTCTCCCCCTCATACTCCCTCACCTTACCCACTCTTTAGTAAAACAGCAATCCTGGAGCGGGTGGAGTAGGAAGAATTCCCTCCCACCAGCTGGAATAAGGTTCTGGTGAAGTTGTTTTTCCAGGAGAATAGGCTTATTTTATAATGATGACTCTTCCTCTACCCCTGCCACAGCCACAGGAATCTTTGTTGGATCTTCATCGTGAGAACATGGTGGAGGTACTAGAAGCAAAACCTATGAAATGTCCCTCAAGTCTCCAGCCCCTGGGAGTTTCTCACAGTAACCTTAGCCCATATTCTGCCTGAAACCATTTACCAACATTATCATTTCAGTGTTCCTTCCAGTTAAAACTCCCCTTGCTTTTGTTTCAGATAAGCAGGTCTCAGCCGTGTCTCCCATCTCTTCAGATTTCTGGCAACTTGCCCTGTGACCTCAGGTCTCTGATGGGTTCAAGAAAAGTTAATGTTCTATCTGACCACTTTTTCCCTGTGAGGATAACAGTAATAAATTCTAAGCTCTTTAATATCAGAGCAGAAACCAGAATTCTATCTAAATTACTTCTACTCATATATTTCTAAGCTTGTAGGCAAATGTAATAGTTAAATTCAAGATTTCAAAGTAATTTATTACAGTTGCATATCCTATCACTTAGCTATATTTTAAAACTTCAATTTTTTTTTAGAAAAGTTGTTAGTGATAAATATTAGTGGAAGTTTAATGTTTAAATTTTGGGCAATTTTTTATTGTTGACAGTTAACAGTTAAAATTGATTTTTGTTATTTAATTTATAGAGCAATTGCTTGTCAATTCATAAATATAGCAATCCCAATCTCTGTCATTTTGTAAAACCTTCCTTAGTCGTTACATTATTTGTATTCCCATTAATCAAGAGTAATGTTGGCTTTTATTTTATTCTATCAGTTTACTTTGGGCATTAGTATATTTCTTGAAATAACTCATGACATCTGAAAACTCTGATCAAGTTCAGCATTCTGAACATTTATTTTGGTTAACTGACCTAAAATATTTTGAAAATAACATTTAGTGTCACAATCCTAGGATTATTTTGATTATTGAAGCTGCTTTGGTTTAAAGGGAAAGTGTTACTACAAATAAAGATAATTCAATTTTCTTTTCTTTTTTGTTAGTACAAAGTGTCATGGATAGATGTAGTAACAAACCATCGACATTGTCCAAGTTTCAGTGATCCTTACTTTGGCATAGTATAATGAAGGTTTTCCTTATTTGAGCTGCTCTATAATAATTTGATATCTTGTCTCATTTTCCAGGCCAATTTTGGGTCAGAGATGAGACCCTTCATCTAAGGCTATGGTCTCAATCAGCAAACACTGGGAAGAAAGATGCTTCTGTATGACTCAATAATCTTGATGGTTTCCTGAATTGTTCTATAAATTTAGGCTCAAATAGAAATACATTGAAATGGAGTTGTATTCTTGGCTGGGTCAAACCGTGAAATTCTGTTGGACAATGAAATAGGCAAATTATTTATTTTAGTGCTTTTGAATGCAGTTAATGAAGGATGGAAACTAATTAGTATTTCTTGGTTTTTCTAATGAAATGAAACTCTACTGAAAGGCTCAAACTATTTTATCCATCTGAGAATCCCCTGGATAGGTATCTGACTTGCCTAAGAGAAGAGTTTGTCAGCTTTCCCTGAGACGGGTAAATCCTCCACTGTCTCACAACTATTTCGCACATTCTCCTCTCTACAAAAGTCTCCAAAACCACCTCCCTGCTCCTTATTCTTAACTGATGGCCTTGGTTCTTATTTCATGGAAAAATAAATAAAAATCTGCCAACTTGTACCTGTACTCACATACCCTATATTCTTTCCTGTAGTTAAAACTGATAGACTGTCCTTGGTCCTAAGGCTAAATACTCCTCTTGTGCACTGCTTCTCATCACTTCTCACCTGCTCAAGGGCTTCACTCCTGCAGTTGTGTCTTCTTTCTTCCATATAAAAAAAATTACAGCAAACTCACCTTGATTCCACATATCCTTCAGCACCATTTTCCATTTCTTTGCTACCCTTTACAGCTAAACTTCTGAAAAATCACTGTCTCTACTAATTGTCTGCAATTTCTCTTTTCCCATAGTCTCCCAAACCTACTCTGATCTGCCTCCTGTCTCTTTCTCTCTGCAGGAACTGATTGTTCAAGATCGCCAATGACCTGCATGACGCCAAATGCAATAGCCAAATCTCAGTCCTATATTGTCTAACCTATGAACAGTTTTTGAACCTCTAAACATGTTTTGACACAAATGATCATCCCTTCCTTCTTGAAACACATTCTTTGCTCCAAGCCAGGATCTTCCTCACTCTTGATTCTCTTTCTATCTCATTGGCTGCTCCTTATCAATCTCTTTTGCAACCTCTGGTTCTTCCTTATCTGCATAATTTCTAAACTGGTTTGCCTCAGAGGCTTATTTTTCTCTTTATTCACTTACTAGGTAATTTTATTTAGCCCCATGGCTTTCATGCTATCTCTATAAAAATTCTAAAATTAGTATCTGCCTATGCAGCAACTCCACATGGACATCTGATATGGTCTGGCTCTGTGTCCCCACCCAAATCTCATCTTGAATTGTAATCCGAATTATAATTCCCACGTGTTGGGGGAGGGACCTGGTGGGAGGTGATTAGATCATGGGGGTGGTCCCCCATGCTGTTCTCGTGATAGTGAGTAAGTTCTCATGAGATCTGATGGTTTTATAAGGGGCTTTCCCCAACTTTGCTCTGCCCTTCTCTTTCCTGCCACCATGTGAAGGATGTATTTGCTTCCCCTTCTGTCATGATTGTAAGTTTCCCGAGGCCTCACCAGGTATGCTGAACTGTGAATCAATTAAACTTCTTTCCTTTAGAAATTACCCAGTCTCAGGTATGTCTTTATTAGCGGCATGAGAATGGACTAATACATCCATGATCACCTCAAACGTATATAAATTTTCCAGAACTGAACTTTTGATTAAACCTATTCCTCCCTAAGCCTCTCCATGAGCACATTTGGATGTTACTATGGCCAGGTACTAGATCATAAATGCTGAAAAGCAAAAGGGGATTAAAAAATAATAGTTAAAAATATTTTTTTTTTAAATATAGCATCATATAATTTTCTCAGTGTGAACTGTGTCTCTTTAATTTAACATTTATTTTATTTTAGGGTGCTGAGAATTCATGCTAGTGGAAAATATAATGATTCTATTTAGTCATTTAAAAGATAATTTGGGCAGGGTGTGGCAGTGGATCTAGGAGAGAAAAGCTTTCTTTTTTTTTAAATTATACTTTAAGTTCTGGGATACATGTGCAGAACGTGCAGGTTTGTTACATAGGTATACACGTGCCATGGTGGTTTGCCCCACCCATCAACCTATCATTCACATTAGGTATTTCTCCTAATGCTAACCCTCCCCTAGCCCCCCATCCCATGACAGGCCCCAGTGTGTGATGTTCCCCTCCCTGTGTCCATGTGTTCTCATTGTTCAACTCCTGCTTTTGAGTGAAAACATGCAGTGTTTGGTTTTCTGTTCCTGTGTTAGTTTGCTGAGAATGATGGTTTCCAGCTACATCCATGTCCCCACAAAGACAGGAACTCATTCTTTTTTATGGCTGTATAGTACTCCATGGTGTATATGTGCCACATTTTCTTTATCCAGTCTATCATTGATGGGCATTTGGATTGGTTCCAAGTCTTTGCTATTGTGAACAGTGCTGCAATAAACATACATGTGCATGTGTCTTTATAGTAGAATGATTTATAATCCTTTGGGCATATACCCAGTAATGGGATTGCTGGGTCAAATGGTATTTCTGGTTCCAGATCCTTGAGGAATCACCCCACTGTCTTCCACAATGACACTGTCTTTCAATGGTTGAACTAATTTACACTCCCACCAACAATGTAAAAGCATTCCTATCTCTCCACATCCTCTCCAGCATCTGTTGTTTCCTGACTTTTTAGTGATTGCCATTCTAACTGGTATGAGATGGTATCTCATTGTGGTTTTGATTTGCATTTCTCTAATGACCAGTGATGATGAGCTTTTTTTCATGTTTGTTGGCCACATAAATGTCACCCACTTTTTGATGGGGTTGTTTGTTTTTTTCTTGTAAATTTGCTTAAGTTCTTTATAGATTCTGGATTCTAGCCCTTTGACAGATGGATAGATGCAAAAATTTTCTCCCATTGTGTAGGTTGCTTGTTCACTCTGATGGTAGTTTTTTTTGCTGTGCAGAAGCTCTTTAGTTTAATTAGATTCCATTTGTCAATTTTGGCTTTTGTTGCCATTGCTTTTGGTGTTTTAGTCATGAAGTCTTTGTCCATGCCTATGTCCTGAATGGTATTGTCTATGTTTTCTTCTAGGGTTTTTATGGTTTTAGCTCTTACATTTAAGTCTTTACTCTATCTTGAGTTAATTTTTGTATAAGGTGTAAGGAAGGGGTCCAGTTTCAGTTTTCTGCATATGGCTAGCCAGTTTTCCCAGCATCATTTAATAAATAGGGAATCCTTGCCCCATTGCTTGTTTTTGTCAGGTTTGTCAAAGATCAGATGGTTGTAGATATGTGGCGTTATTTCTGAAGCTTCTATTCTGTCCCATTGGTCTATATATCTGTTTTGGTACCAGTACCATGTTGTTTTGGTTACTGTAGCCTTGTTGTATAGTTTGAAGTCAGGTAATGTGATGTCTCCAGCTTTGTTCTTTTTGTTTAGGATTGTCTTGGCTATACAGGCTCTTTTTTGGTTCCATATGAAATTTAAAGTAGTTTTTTCTCATTCTGTGAAGAAAGTTAATGGTAGCTTGATGGGGATAGCATTGAATCTGTAAATTACCTTGGGCAGCATGGCCATTTTCAAGATATTGATTCTTTCTTTCCATGAGCATGGAACGTTTTTCCATTTGTTTATGTCCTCTCTTATTTCCTTGAGGAAAGGTTTGTAGTTCTCCTTGAAGAGGTCCTTCACATCCTTGTAAGTTGTATTCCTAGGTATTTTATTCTCTTTGTAGCAATTGTGCATGAGAGTTCACTTATGATTTGGCTCTCTGTCTGTCTATTATTGGTGTATAGGAATTCTTGTGATTTTTGCACATTGATTTTGTATCCTCAGACTTGGCTGAAGTTGCTTATCAGCTTAAGGAGATTTTGGGCTGAGATGATGGAGTTTTCTAAATATGCAATCATGTCATCTGCAAACAGAGAAAATTTGACTTCCTTAGCAGAGAAGAGCTTTCTAGAGGCCTGGACAATGTGCTGTGACATGGCGGTAGGGGGTGAGACAGGCAGGTTGGTTGATTCCCTATTTTAAGATGGTCTAGAGAAAAAGGGCAAAAGCCCCTCACTCCAGCTCTAGCTTACCTAAACTCTCAGTCAATCAGTAATGAAAGACCCAAGAAGCTATTAACCACAGTCTTCCATCTCAGGGGATGAGGGACTTCCTGGATCCTTGTATACTTGGTAAGACTTAAACTCCAAACTGAATTTATCTCTTCCTCATTTTAATGCTAAAATTCACACCAAGTGACAGAGATTTAAATTGTTAATGCTACATATAACATCTGAAGAAGCATGTTGAGCCACTGTGAAACCACTAGGAAAACCCTTGCTACACCTGCCATGACATAACTCTTCCCTATTGAAAGACTCTATAAAACTAACCCATACAGTACCCTTGGGAGAAGCCCATTCCTCTTTCTTTCTTGGTGCTGGCTCCCTTGTGCACAAGCTGAAGTAAACTTTCCTTTGCTGTTATGTTTGGTGATCTCTCTTGAGTTCTATCCTGGTAGACTGTAAGAACCCAAGGCAGATGTAACAGAAGTAGGAGTCTGGCTCTGGGGATATGTATGTACTGTGGGCTGTGGGCTCAGTTAGGGCCTGGGTTCCAAAATTCAGCTTAATGCAGGAGACTAGACCCTTTGGAGTTGGTTGTAGTTTTATAGCAAAAGAAGTGAGAGTGAATAATGCATTTTAGGTAGTGGGACAAAAATAAGTTGCTTGAGGCAAAACCCGAATGATGATACTGGCTTTAAAGAATATGATCTTAATAAGGAAAGCTTTATGATGGTTATGATGGTATCCCAAAGCAGTGGCAGCACCAGCCCCGTCTACAACCCAGTGATCGAATCCTGCCACTGCTGCTGCAGTTGTTTCAACTATAACAGCAGCTGTGGCTCAAGTCCCAGCCTCTGTCTTTGCTTTGCTTGCCACTTGTGCGGCTGTACCCATCACTCCAGCATCAAAGACAGTATCTTCTGCACCTGCACCTAGTAGTGCAACTAAACAAGAGAAACTTGCAGAAAAGTCAGTGAGAACATCAGTGATTAGTAGCCCAATATCAACTGAGAACTCATTAGAAGATTTTTCTCTGGAAAACATTTTGAAGATGCATCAAGAACATTAATGACAGATTGACCTTATAAAAATAGGGTAATGAGATCATGTAAACATGTTATGACCAGGAACAAATAATTACAGCTCTCAAAACTAGTTTCAACAACGCTGGCAGAGCAGTAAAGTATCTTTTCTTTTCTTTACCATGTATCTAAAAATTATTTCATCCCTAACAGACTTCAATTTTTAGAGATTTTTAGGTTTACAGAGTTATTGAGCAGAGTACAGAGAGTTCCCATATACCTCTGCTACCCACCACAGGAGTTTCCCCCATTATTAACATCTTGCATTGTTGTGGTATATCTGTTGCTATTTGTGAAACAATATTAATACATCCATTATATTAACTGAAGTCTGTACTTTAGTTTAGGGTTCACTTTTGGTGTTGTACAGTTCTGTGGGTTTTAACAAATGCATAATGTCATATAGTCACCATGATAATATCATACAGTTTACTTTTAATGCCCTAAAAGTCCTCTGTGCTCCATCTATTCATTCCTCCCTCAATTACCTCCCTCTGACAAACACTCATCTTTCTACAGTTTCTGTAGTTTTGTCTTTTCCAGAATGTCATACATTTGCGATGATTCAACATGTAGCCTTTCCAAATTGGCTTTTTGTTTTTTTCACTTAGCAATAGGCTTTTGAGGTTCTCCATGTGGCTTGATACCTTGTTTCTTTTTATCACTGAATAATATTCCATTTTATTGACATATCAGTTTGTTCATCTCTTCACCTATTGAAGGACATCTTGACAGTTTACAATTTTCATCAATTATGAAAAAAAGCTGCTATAAGTAATTATGTGCAAGTTTTTGTGTGAACATGAGTTTTCAATTTATTGGGCCACATACTTAGGAGCACTATTGCTGAATTGTATGGTAAGACTGAAGTTTAGCTTTGTAAGAGACCACCAAATTGTCTTTCAAGGTGCCATTTTGCATTCCCACAAGCAATGAAGGACAGATCCTTGTGTACATTTGATTTTATCAGTGTTTTTGGATTTTTGCCATTCTAACAGGTGTGTAGTTGTTTTTCGTTGTTTTAGTTTGCAATTCCTAATAACATATGATGTGGAGCACCTTTTCATATCCTTATTTGCCAGCTGCACATCTTCTTTGGTGAAGAGTCTGTTCAGATTTTTGCCTGCTTTTTAATTGCATTGTCTATTTTTTTATTGCTGAGTTTTAAGAATTCTTTGTATATTATGGGTGCAAGTCCTTTATCACACGTGTATTTTGCATATATCTTCTCCCGGGCTGTGGCTTGTCTGCAAAATATCTTTTAATGGGAAGTCCTGGAAAAATAGAAAGCAAGGCTATAGTTGAACCTCCTTAAGTGGCTAGTACTGGACTCCTCCATCTTCACCAGAGGCAACAGCTGCAGCAACTACAGCAGCACCTTCTAGAGGATCTGCCCTTGAATTTTGATGGAATCAGCCTCAGTTTCAATACAGGATATACAACACTTAACAGAATCTGTCCCTGCTTCCAGTATTGCTACCTCAGATAGGTCAAGAGACTCCTCAATGATTGGTACAAATTAGCCAACCTTGGGAACATTTATTGAAATGCCAAATGGACCAGTCCTAGAAGCTAGTGGAGGAGTGGTTGGAAGTGGCAGTGGAGGAGCCGATGAGGCAAAAGTGTGCTTAACCACATTCAAGCATTGCCCCAGGAAACAGACACCAGAGAAAGGTCAACTGCATCAGGATTTCCTGAGGGACTCGTGTTTTCCCCTCAAAAAACACATCAGTGAATGTATTACACTAACTGTTCCCTGGACCATCTAGGATGATATGGGCTCACTTCTTAACTTAGTAAAAGTAAATAGTAGCCCTAAATAGTAGCCAACTAACTTATTTTGGTGATGGGGAGGGATGGATATAGGAAATAGTAAAGGGACAAAAAGAATTTATGTCCACCTAAATTAATATTGCACATCCACACAATGCATAGACTATTAAACAACCCAAAAAGCAACCTTTGTAGGTCTTTATTTCTTCCACAAAATAGTAGATAACCTTTCCTAGTTGCTTCCTCTCCTTAGTACACTAGATCCATAAACTTAGCATCATGCTACGTTTTATATTCCTTTGACTGAAGATTGGTTTCAGAATCTTTGCTAACTAGAATCTGCAGTCTTTATTTTATGGCAATACTGGATCATGAAAAAATATTTTGGAGTAACTATAATACACATATGAAGCAAAAGAGTCATCAATAATTTGGCATTTATGAATATGAATATTCACATATGATATTATAGATACAATATTTGTGTAGGAAAGCATACTGTTTCATGAGAAAATTCATGGGAAAATGAGAACCCTTCTCTTTAAATGAGAGTAATTTCCAACTTTGAAAATATTTCTTGTTCATTAAACATAAGACCCTTCTTCAAGAATTTGAGAAGCTATACCACTACAGTTGCTGTACACAAATATAGTTAGTTTGTTGTTCTCATATTTGGCTTTGTTTTGGGAGAAAAACTGGTAGCTTTCCAATTACAGTTTATGTCAATGGTATATCGAAGTAAAATTTCAAAAAAGTCACCGTGGGTTTGATTCTGATGTATTCTTTGGGGCAATATACATTTGTGGTCAATTGAGCAGTGCAACAATCACTTTCTCTCTATCTTACCCTTTCCTCTGCAAAAACGTTTATCAGCAGGTTGTGAGCTCAAACTGCTGTCTTTCTTTTTAGTTCACAACCCGCCGACTGGATTAAAAATGAATATTAGGTTGGTCCAAAAGTAATTGCAGTTTTCCCATTACTTTTAATGGCAAAAACTGCAATTACTTTTGCACCAACCTAAGAGAGTTATTGCCAAACCCGTTTCTGACATGTGTGGACTTTTTTCTTTTATTACATAGGTAAGACGAGCAGGGACCCTCTTTTTAGGGAACTATGGACCCCCAAGCATAGACATAAAGGAAAATGCTTGGTTTCTTCAAGGGAAATTCCAGGAATCTAGCTAGCAGAAAAGTAAATAAATAGTTTTTTAAACAGGAAGATAATAGTAGCTTAAGACAATAATCAAAGAAGTTAGAGCTCTGAAGATGTTTGCTTTTTCCATGGAAACTAAAGATGACATCTTAACAGATGTGCCTGAGTTGTCTTTCAGAAACTGGCATCCGACCAGGAACCCACCAGATGGATCTACTGGCATTTAGGCCTCAGAAAAGGGGGAGGTGAGGACTGAACTCCGACCTCTGTTCTTTGTTCTAAATTTCTTCCTGAGGGGCCTGAAGAAGGTCCTACCCAGGAGCTAGAGCTAACATTCTTTTCTGCTGATCTCAAATTTTTAGACAAAACCTCACCTCCTGAATCAGTTGCAAATCTGAAAACCTTTGAATCAATCTACAACCTGTAAACTCCTCACTTCAAGAAACGTCTGTTCAGATTTTTAGCCTAAACCAATGTGTAACTTTCATGAATTGATTTACAATTTTGCCTGTAACCTCTGCTCTCCTGAAATGTACCCCTATCTCTAAAATCTCTTATCTGCAAGCCATTGAGGAGTTCAAGTCCTAAGCATGAGCAGCCTTAACTCCTTGCTTGGTGTCCTGCAATAAATGACTCACATTCTCTCATTGCTATCCCAATGTCAGTGACTGGCTTTGCTCCGATGGGAGAGCAGACCCCAGTTAGGTTCTAAAACATAAATATGTATGACAATTAAGTCATTAATATTATAATGCTTCCAAAAAGAGAAGGAGAACAGAACTGAATCTGGCATCATTTACTTCATCCAGAAGATAGGAGCTGACTTTTAAAAGGGTTAGGAGATATTGCTGGAAACATACTTTCAGAAATATAAAATAAACATTTTCATGGCACATTCAAAGTAAGAGTTTAATAGCAAAAAATTATTTGAATGCCTTTTTAGTTGTATAAATATACAATTATCTACTTAATAACTCATATATATTTTACAAGCATCTCAAATCTATCATTTTCTGAGTAAACAGGATTCTCTCTAAGGCTTATCCATATGAATAAATATAAATAGTAGCACTATTCATCCTTACTGACTTAAACAAGACTTTTTTAAAACCATTGTTAGTGTTTCAATTCTATTTGTTGCATTTCTGACATGCCAAACATGTTGGGTTTTAGATCATCAAATCTATCATAACTTTCTTTTTATGACTTATTGCTTAGAACAACAACTATAAACCAAAAACATATAGATATTTCTCTGCATTATTTTAGAATTCAGTTTGAATATCTGATATGTCTGTTATATTTCACGGTAAGTCCTTGACTTGATCAATAGTTAATTCAAACCCCTATCTAGAATTATCTTAGATTTCGGGACCGTTTGAATCCAGAGAAATTGTTTCAGAGCAGTGATGTGATGGTGGCAGTGGTGATAGTCACGATAGTAGTGGAGGTGGTGTCCATGCATCGACTGATGGAGGAGATGATGGGGGTGATGGTGTAATGGTGATGGTGGTGTTGATGGTAGTGGTGGTGGAGATGGGGGTGTTGGGGGTGGGACTAGGTAGTAACTGATGAGAACATATAGTCTTACAGTCTGGCTCATCAGGGAACAACTGAGAGGTTTCAAAATCTTATGTAGGAAAGGCATGTGATAATCATTGCATATTTATTATACACTCCTATGTATTGTAGAAGGAAAGCATATAGATAGATCTCAGATGAGATGGAATGTTGAAATGTGCTACCATAGTATTCTGAATTATTGCGATGCTTTGCATTGTGATCTCTCTCCTTTTGCCTCAACAAATTTCTGTTTTGATGGCGAATGTTACAAGCAGTTTTACTAGTCAGTGTGAGTATTAAAAGATTTTAGACTTTTAAAATAAATTCTAGCACTATTAAATTTTAAGCCATATTTAAAATCCCAACAATATCTTTTTATTTCCCCATTTGTTTTTAATACTTCATTGGTAAGGGTGCTGAAGTTGCTGCTTTCTCAGATTTTTCCCCTAAGTATAATTATTTGTCACGAGTCATGGTTTTAGAATTTTCTGAAGTTTCATGATCTCTATAAACATGCCTAGTTTTGGAGGCATGTTTTTGTCTCTAACATTTGTCTCTAACAAAAATAATTTTTAAGAACAAAATTTGATTCTTTTTTTCTGTATAAAGGCCATTCAAAGTAAACTACAAAAAATAAAGAAAATAGTTATTTTAAACACTTACAGTTTAGGGAATGGAAAAGAAATATCCACTACATGCCAACCTCCTAAGGCTTCCAGTTGTGGTTTCTTGCTTTCTTTCTTCCTTCCTTCCTTTCTTCCTTCCTTCCTTTCTTTCTTTCTTCTTCCTTTCCTTTCTTTCTTTCTTCTTCAAGGTCTCACTCTGTTTCCCAGGCTGAAGTGAAGTGGCATGATGATGGCTCTCTGCAGCCTTGACCTCCCAGGTTCAAGTGATCTTCCCACTTCAGCCTCCGAAGTAGCCCTGACTACAGCTGCACACCACCACGTCTGGATAATTTTTAATTTTTTTGTAGAAACAGAGTATTGCTATGTTGCCCAGGCTGGTCTTTCTTGAACTCCTGAGCTCAAGCAATTCTCCTGCCTTGGCCTCCCAAATGTTGAAATTACAGGCATGAGCCACCATACCCAGACTCTCTTACCTGTCTGAATGGGCAAATGGCCACCTCCAAAGTAATAACAAGTTTCTTTTCATATTTTGTAGCCTCTCCCCTCCCAAGTGTACCCTTTAACAACTTAGAGGCCCTGGTGACCTCACAGGACTCATTCCGATCATGAATAAGAATAGAGATAATGGGAAAGAAAATCTTTACTACTGCTCAAAGTGGAACATCTATATGAGAAAAAAATTAAGGAGACGAGAAATAGAGTTAGATACTTGATAATATAGTACTAGTCAGTACCTCATCCAAGTTCAATGAGCATGAAATTTCATGGTAACTCTGCCACCCTAGATGAAGGTTTCTCAGCCTTGGCACTGGTGATATTTTGAGCTGGACAATACTCTGTTGTGGGGAGTGTCTTCTATATTATAAGGTATTTGGCAGCATCCTGGCCTCTATCCTTTAGATAAGATTGACACCCCTTCCCCCAGTCACAAGTATCAAAAATGTCCCTAGACAAACGTCTCCTCAGAGGCAAAACCATGTCCTAGACCCTCGACCCACATTGAGAACTGCTACTCTACACTAAGATGTAGGTATGTGGGGTCTTTTTACACAGATCACAGAAATGAACTGTTTGATGACTAGGCCACTCAATCTTCCAGTGCTTCAGAAAATATGGCCGGGCACTGTGGCTAACGCCTGTAATCCCAGCACCTTGGGAGGCCGAGGCAGGCAGATCACCTGAGGTCAGGAGTTCGAGAGCTGCCCAGCTAAAATGGTGAAATCCTGTCTCTACTAAAAATGCAAAAATTAGCCAGGCATGGTGGTGTTTGCCTGTGGTCCCAGCTACTCGGGAGGCTGAGGCAGGAGAATAGCTTGAACCTGGGAGGCAGAGCTTGCAGTAAGCTGAGATCACGCCACTGCACTCCAGCCTAGACAACAGAGTGACACTCCGTCTCCAAAAAAAGAAAGAAAAAAGAGAAGGAAAAAAAGAAAATAAGACAGAAAGAAAATAAGAAGGAAAGAAAACCAGTTTGGAGTACTTCATCCATTTTTTCTTCAGTAGTTGTTATGGGCCTCTCATGGTGTAAGCACCTTCCCCATCCGAAACTTAAGCGAAGTATATTATCTGTTCCAGAAGAAACAAAACCTAGTGCAAGGCTGAGTGAAAGACTGGCTGTATTGGACTCTTAGAAATGGTAGATTATATTAAAATATGGTGTAGAAATACCACGGACTATATTTTACAAGCAATGTAGGGGATTTTCAAAGACAATGTTGACTATATGCAAGTTTTCACATTGCAAGTTGAGCCCAAAATCAAGCCCTCAGCTGTTAGGTTGTTGCAAAAGTAATTGTGGTTTTTGCCATTACTTTCAATTTCATTACCGCAATTGCTTTTGAACCAACCTAATAAAATTTGACACTAGCGTAAAAGAGAAGTCTTGTTTGAGTCAGACATAAAAAGAATTCATACTTACAAAATATGTTAGGGTATAACTAATCAAATTCCAAAAGAGTTAGCCAATGTTTTCATAAAGTATTGAGTTTATCTGGACATTTAACAGATGATGACTTTTACAAAATAAATGTAACTACCTGACACATTTTGGAGAGAAAACAGCAGTTGGAGTACCATTCATCTTTAGTGTGATTGCTACATTTCTGTAGACTTTAAGTCAAGGTGTACTTAATATTACTAATGGTACTAATATACCATTTTGACTATAATGTCAAATGATAAGAGATGAGTTTACGAGTGAAGTTTTTATAGTATATGTGGAATAACTCTATAACCATCAGAGCACTGTTGCATTGCCCAACCCCAGGGTCACTCCTGTATTCTTGTGTGAAGCACTCTGGAGTACGAATGGTCCTGAAGATGAAATCTTTTTTGTTGTTGTTGTTGTTGTAGATGGACTAGTAGTCCTTTATTTTCTGAGTGTGGTTTTTATATAAACATCAAAAAGGAAAAATTTTTTTTAGCCCTTTTCTTTTCATACTAAGTTTCTTGAAAGCCACATTCTTTGCCTTTAGTTCTTATGCACTTTTCTACCTGTTGTGATCTAACATCTGTTCCTACAATGAGGCGGGTGGATCACCTGAGGTCAGGAGTTCAAGACTGAAGATGAAATCTATTCAATTTTTAGATATTTGTTATGGCTAGCTCGGCATAAGCACCTTATTTTTCTCGAGAAAATGAGTTATTATTTCAAAGTCACTCTTTGTGTGGGCAGAGGGCTGTGGTAGAGACTTGTGAGTAATGAAATATTTCTGAATACCAGAAAAATACTACTGACTTTTTAAATAGGGTGTTTTCTATTTAGAAAAAAAGTCAGTCTCAGTAATTTGAGTGGAAGTAGGGATGGTAGTTTATTTGATGTTGAAAACTTAATATTTTTCTTCTGAAAAGCTGCCACTAACTAAAAAGAAAACAACCCATAATATGGGAGTTGTGTTTAAATATTGTTAGCTCATTACTTTTGATTATTTTAATGCCATTTTTAAGTCCTTTAAAGTGAACTTCATAACCACAATTATTTTCTACCCTTTCCTCTCTACATTGTTCTGTTGCAACACTTTTGTTGAACAAAACTTCAAATAAAGTTGGCATATTTGCTTTCATAAAACAGCAGAAATGTCCGAAAGAAAATGTAGTTGGGAATAAGCATAAGCCATCATATTTTCTTATACTCTATTCCTTATAGCAAAGCTATTTATTATCTCTGTAGACTTCTTTTTTTTTTCTTTTTGTAATGGCAATGGCAGCCCTCAGAAGTAATACGTGTATATTTGAAGCAAACTTGTATAGGTTGAATCCCATTAGAGTGAATGAGAAGACACATTTCAATTTTTTAAAAATAAAGTATCCATTTCATTGAATAAATTTTCAAATAAAAAAATGACTTAGTTCATTAGAGCTGCTCTAAGAAAATACCACAGACTGAGTAATTTATAAACAACTGAAATTTATGACTCACAGTTCTGGAGACTGGGAAATCCAAGATCAAGGCACCAGCAGATTTGGTGTCTGGTGAGAGCTCACTCTGCTTCATAGATGGGGCCTTCTCACTGCATCTTCACATGACAGAGGGGTGAGCAATTTTTCTCGAGCCTCTTTTGTATGGGTACTAATCTCGTTCATGAGGATGAAGTTCTCATGATGTAATCATCTCCCAAGAGCCTTATCTCCTTATATCATCACACTGGGACCTAAGTGTCAACGTATGAATTTTGGGTGGAACAAACATTCAGGCTGTAGCAAAAGTATGTGAACATACATTAGATAATTGATTCTTATTGGAGGGTTGGAGGAGAAGGCAGCTGATAAAGAGATTCAGGCTTGGCCAGAAAGGTGGGAGGAGATCAGAATCTTGTTATCCTAGAAGAGAAAGGAAGAGTATTTCCAGAAGGAAGTTAGTAGTGGTGTCAGATGTGCCAGACAGTTCACAATATGAAGGACTGAAAAATGCTTCTTTTGTTTCAGCAAAGAAATTGTTGGTATCTCTGGAGAGAGCAGTCTTAGGCAGGTTTGCAGACAGCATTTGGAACCCAGGCAGTTAAGGAATAGAGGTAAACAAGATATAAGAATGTAGAAAAATCAAGTGTAGGTAGTCCTTTCAAGAAGTTTGGCAGGAAAAGAAACAGAGAGGAGGCAGCCACAGAATGGACATGTGGAGCTGGGAGGGGGATTACAAAACTACTAAAAATGGGGAACCTTAGAGAGCTTGTTTGAACACAGAAAAGAAAGGGGAAGAAGAGAGGGAACGATTAGACTCAAACAGGGAAAAAGATCACTGATGCACCAGAGTCATCCTTCCATACAGAACTGAAACCTCATCTCTGGAAAGCCTTCCTTGGTGGCATGCACAATCCACTTTGGAAGATTCTCCTCATGCTCCCAGAAGCTCCTTGTGCATTGCTGCATGCAGACTTTGTCCTATAATAGGCATTGACTTCTCAGTCTCCTTTAGACTGCAAACACTTTGAAGGTAGTAACATATTTTATTTGCCTTTGTATCTCAGAGCCCAAACCATATGAGGAACTCCATCTGTATCTGTCGAATCACTTTTGCTTAGTTGAAATGTAATGTCAAACTCCTCTGAACTCCTATGAGTGGTGGGGCATGGGAATGGCGTGAGCTCCCTTCCACTCTCTCTCGCTGTGAATTTCTGCTCCTGACTTGATTTACAATCCCTTCTAATCATCTTCACTCTGCAGCTTTGTTCTCTCTGAGCTTGGCTTTCATCCAGGCTTGACAAACATAGCTCTCCCATCTTCTTCCTTCTTTCCAAAAAGTCACCCTAAATAACAGATTTTTTTACTAGATGTTAGGGCTTCATGGAGAACTACAGAAATGTGCAGAACAGGGATCACCCTAAAGTGGTATGTTAAAAACCATGATAAAAATCAGTTTGTAGTCTCATTGACAACCCCTACTATAGAGAAACTCTCACTGGTGTCTTTCTCCTGAGAACACAGCCTGCCACCATTTGCAGGAGCTTCCTTCTCCTTATCACTCATGAGAATTATTTCTCTCCCTTCCCCACATTCCATGGCACCCACCCCTTCCTGCAGGGATTGTGGTAGGCAGAATAATGGCCCCTAAAGATGTCCATGCTCAAATCCTCAGAACCTATGAATATGGTGTATGTCAAAGGGGAAATAAGGTCGCAAACGGAATTAAGGTAGCTAATCAGCTGACCTTAAACTAGGGATATTATTCTGGATTATTGATCCAATAATCTAATAAAATCTCAAGGGTCTTTAAAAGTAAAGAGGGAGTCAGCAGTGTCCATGTCAGTGTGATGCAATGTGAGAAAGATTGAACCTGTCGTTGCTGGCTTTGAAAGTGGAAAGGGCCACAAGGTAAAGAATGTTGGTGGCCTCTAGAAGCTGGAAAAGGCCAGAAAATGGATTCTCCCTTAGAGACTCCAGAAAGCAACACAGCCTTCCCGACATCTTGATTTTAGTCTGCTGAGACCCATGTTGGACTGCTAACTTCCAGACTATAAAATAATAAACTTGTGTTGCTTGGAGTCAGTAAGTTATAATAATTTTCTATAGCAGCAAATAGAACACTAATGCAAGGACCCAAACAGCAAATCCATTTTCAAAAATTTTATGACGTGAAATATATTAATTTTGTTCACTCAAAATCTGCTCCAGCCTAAGCTCTGGAACTTTCTTTTGGCAAATTAAAAAAAGTTTAACAAACTTTCTTTAAAAAACAGTCATTTGTCCCTAAGATTAATGAAAAATAGTTCTCTCATGCCAAATCCTCTTGCTGCATTTATGACAACATTTTTCATTTCCATCATAAATACACTGTTCAATGAATGAGTCTAGAAATAACCTTCTTCTTCCAGGAAGACACTACATGTATGTTGGTGTTTACCACACTGTGTATTTTAAATAAGAACGTATAAATATGCACCCATCGAAGGGATGGGAGAAGACATGTTTGAGAAATAGAAAATTTTTAAAAATGTTGATTTACCAAACTCTTCCAATTTGACTCTTACAACTCAGTATTAAATAGCTGCATACTTCAAAACACAAAGATATTATGTTTAATGAAATTGAACAAAAATGACATTAAACTAAACCTTTTCAATTATTCAAATAGAGATTCCTATATAAATAGGATCAAGTTCCTGTTCTAAATAAATAGAATAAAGTTGTAGGGCAATTCCTCTCAAGCTTTAACGTGCAAACAAATCACCTACAGATCTTTTAGAAATGCAGATTCTAATTCAGTTAGTTTGGTTGGGAACTGAGATTTCAACTTTCTAATAAGCTCCTAGTTGCTGCTGATGCTACTGGTACCTGGACCGTATTTCAAGTAGCAAAATCATAGAAGACCTTGAGGGTCGTAGTAGAATCTAACACTTGAATTCTATACATCAATAAAATAAGTGTATTAAAATACATGCTCACAAAGTCTCAGTTTATATAGCAAAGAGAAAATTATTTAAAATTATTATTTGAAATTGAAAAGACTTTTGTGGCAAGATCCTAAGATTGTACATTTCACTTGCAATTGGTGATGGCATAATTAAACAATTCTATTCCAATAACTCTGTAATCATGGCAAACTCTGTGTTGCCCTAAGTGTGTACATCAAGCATATATTTCAAAATAGGTTTCCACCAGCTTATTCATCTGTGTACCAGGATGAGGTAGGATCAAGAAGTCAGATGTCATTAGCTCACTCCCTTTCCCATCACTGACATACCTGAGGGAGGTTCCAAGTCTCTAATAAAACTTTGCATTTGGCTAGGTTTCACATTCAGCACATTGCAGGAGCAACAGTACAGCAAATTTGATCCTATTACCTAGACTTAAAATATACCAATGGCCCTTAACTGCCTACAATACTTACTGTCCCCATGATCTCTCTCCTGCCCACTTCTCCAGTCTCATCTGTGCCAGTCTCTGTCCTTCTTTTCTTCATCTCCATTCAGCCACACTGCTGGTCTGTCAGTTCTTTCAACATCCATTCTTCCTCCCACCTCAGGTCTGTGTTCATGCTCTTTTCTCCCCATAACTACAACTCTCTTCAAACTTCTCACTTTATTTAATTCTTAATCATTTTTCCGATCTCGACTAAAAAGTCACCTTCTCATCAAAGCCTTTTTTGACCCCTCAGACTAAATCATATATTATTGCCATATACTCCCATAGCTTCTTTAAATGTGCTTATCACAATTCATAATTATTAATATATGCTTGGCTGATTGGCTGATCATATTTGTGACTCTAGATGACCGTATGTTCCCTGAAAACAGGATCTGTGTTGGTTTTTCTACCGTTGTATCCATATTGCCTAGCACAGAAAAAACTTAATAAATATTGATGAAAAATGAATGTAAAATTTGCTTTTAAATGAGCTAACTTAGACAGCTAACATTAGAATCAGGAACTTATTTTCTCATAGAAAAATGCCTGGCTTGGAAATAAAGTTTTAGAGCCAACCTTTCTCATTTATTGATGACTGATAATAGTAGGTTGATCAATTTTCACCTATATTATTTGTTCATCTTATATCCATCACCATGTACTATGCCAGGTGCTGAGGGTATAGATTTAGAGCTAGGTAGGAAGCTGAACCTTAAGAAGCTGAATCTAGTGAAGGGCTCCTGTTGACTGTCCAATGCTCAAGTGCCCAGAGAGGTGTTTGTGCACAGTTTTCATTTGTGTCTGATCCTATGATTACAATGGAGAATATGCAATCAGCACATGGTTAGAATCTGACTCATGTTATTTCCAGGAAGCAGACTCTGCCTGCTCAATGTTTTAAACAATAGAATAATAAATATTATTTCACTGCAATGAAGCAAGACATAACCGTTTGCCACTTCCTTCTTTCAATTAAGTGTTGTTTGCAAATCCAACAATGATCAGAATCTGTGTCATGTAAATGCTTAAAGGAAAATAATATCTACACACTTTATAACACTAGGACAATAACGTTTCAATTACAGCAGAAAAATGATACCAGTTTTGAAGATTCATTTTATAAAACAAATATTTATTGAGTTCCCCCTTTATACTAGACATCCTCCTAGGAACAAATATCCTTATACTCGCTGAGTTTTTATTTTCATTAGGAAGAAAAAAGACACATAAACTAACAAGGTAATGACAGATAGTGGTAAATATTATGAAGACAATGCAAAGGTGTGTTGAGAAACTTACAGAGAAGGCAGATCTGGAACGGAGACCTTTGGGTTGAGAGCTGCATGATGGGAAGGAGCACGCCTGGAAAAGAGATGGTAGAAGAGCAGAGGAGACCAGGAATGCAGAGGACCCAAGGCAGAATCCACATTGGTGTATCTATCAGAAAAACAGAAAGAGGGCCAGATGGGCCAAAGCAGCAGAGGGAGGTTGTGGTCGGATCATGTACATTTCAATTTTAGGTGCAATTGTAAGTCACAGGAAGGTTTTGAACAGGAATGTAATGTTACTCTGCTACTATGTAAAAATGAATTCTAATTGAGCAAGAGAAGATGTAGGGAGATCATTCAGGATATTGCGTAAGTCCAGGGAGGAAGTGGTAGTAGCTTGAATCAGAGCAGTAGCCGTGGAAGGGGAGCAAAGTTCTTGGTTTCAAAATGCAACTCCACACATTAAATACTGCACATAAATTCTAGTTAGGCAGTCATCTTACACAGGAAGCTGCTCCATCAGGCAACTGCCATTGTCTTTAGGTCATTTTATGAAAGAATATTATGGTTATAGCTAAAGTAATACTTTTATTTCAAATATAGGTTCAGTTAACGGACAGCAGTTTGGATTCAGCCGTGTTTCCTATATTTGCCTTTCCTCACAAATAGGCCAAGACATTAAAAAGGAATCAGAATGATTCTATCATAACTTTCTGAAAACACGGCTGAAACACAAACACTGTTGTTAATGAAGAAATATAATGCTGCCTCATCACGACACTCATTTTAGTGAAACAAGTGGCGACTTCATATACTGATAAAATTGTGATCTAATCAGAGAATGAAAAAGTAACTGGAAACGATTTAATATCCTAAATATTCTAAGTTTGGAATGTATTCTCCAAGAATATGTACTATCAAACAGTACTTAGATTGCAGAATAACTTTCTAGTTATCATTTCACTCTGTTATCTAATCAGTTGTCCAAAATGTTTGTCAACAACCACATATATATATAATATATATATTTACATTAGAGAACCTAATTCTTTAGTGTACAAAAATCACATGGATAATATGGTTAACTCCTTCATTCCAGGCTTTGATTGGAGACTGTTTTGCCTTGATGGCCACAGACCTTAAGGTTGTTAGTAACCACAGTAAAACATAACAATACTTTGTTGATTTATTAAATTAGAATTTATGTGCTAGATAGAATTTTATATTGCCATAGTACTAAGTGGGATGGAATTTGTAAAACTATTAAAGAAACTTACCAGTACCTTCAATAGCAGTAAATGATTTTTTAAAAATTGTAATCTCTCAATTATATTTTCCACTGAAGTACAATTCTTCATGAAATAACTATTTTTATACATAAGAAATTGCATTCATATTCAAAACCACGACCACACAGTTTTGAACAGTATGGCCAGTTCGTCTTCAAGAATATCTTTTGTCAAAATTTCTGCTTTTTATTTTTAAATAACAAATCTACATTTCTGAAAATATACTTTCTTTATCCATTGCTGTTTTTGATTTCTAAAAGTGTAACTCACAGACACAGAATGTTTTAATTAGCAATATCGGACTAATAATTTTTCTGGTTTGCATTTACCACATTTGAACCAGGAATAAAAATGGAAACTAATATTTTTAATTACTAAATTGCATGAATTACTGTGAAGAATGAATTGTTATTTCTCTCCAGTTATTATCTGAGTTTTGTTATGCATAAAAACAAGCAGAGTTTTCAGTGAAGCCTAGTCAGAAGGTAGAATAATAAGGGATCCTCTTTTTCTGGTTACTTAGATCACTAAAAATATTCCTAAGTATATCCATATAATAATTATCTCCTGGATTCAAGACAAGCCTGGGCAACATGGCGAAACATCATCTCTACAAAAATTAAAAGGTTAGCTGGGCATGGTAGCACACATCTGTAGTCCCAGCTATTTGGGAGTCTGAGGCAGAAGAATCACCTGAGCCCGGGGTTGTCGAGGCTCATATGAACTGTGACCATGCTGCTGCACTCTAGCCTGGGCAACAGAGTGAAAGCCTGCCTCAAAAAACAAAACAAAACAAAAAAAACTACCTCCCGAAGGAGTCTTATTCTCTTTCTACGTTAAAACTCAACATACGCAATGATAATTTTAATTAAAAATGGTTAATAGTATTACAAAATAGTTCATCAACAGTAAGAATCTTAGTATTCATGTGAGTAATGTACTCATTTATATTGTTGAATACTTAAATATAAGCACTCATGGCTCTGGACTATTAGCCTAGTCTCCTAATTCTGAACACTTTTAAATTAATCCCATGCTGTTTTGTGATGTACAGCACTTTGAAATCTATAAATCATAGGTTTCATAGTAATCATAGTATCTATTGGAAATTGAATTGTGGGAAAGAGAGCTCCTAAATTCCTTAGAGAATTAAATGGTGGGGTTTGTGTTGAACTAAGTATCTAAGAAACAGACCTATAGCCAAAATATTTGAAAAAAAATTTCCACTTCCAAAAAAATGTAAATTACCAATACGATGAGAAACACATTGTAAACATTGCTCTTTTGGGTCATAATTTTGAGTTTAGTGAAAAGTTACAAGAATCATGTGAATAACTCTTGTATATTCTTGACCTCGATTGACCAATGTATACATTTTGTCTCACTTACTTTATTATCCTGTCTGTTTATCAATCTATTTATGAACTTTTTGGAACCATCAGAGAGGGCTGCAGAAATCTTGCTGCTTGACCTGTAAATACCAGTGTGTATTTCCTAAGAAAAAGTATATACTCTTAAATAACCAGACTATAATTATTCAGGTAAGAAAAATCAATATAGATATACTATTATCTAACACATGTTATTTTTACAAAATTTCGTCAATTGTCCTAACAATGAATTGTGTACTTTAAAGCCTTCTCCTCCAGCTTCTGGCGCCCCCTCACTGTCAAATATCCAATCCAGGACCATGTGTTGCTTTTTTTTTTTTTTTTTTGAGATGGAGCCTTTCTCTGTCACCCAGGCTAGTGCGGTGGTGTGATATCGGCTCACTGCAACCTCCGCCTCCCGGGTTTAAGCAATTCTCCTGCCTCAGCCTCACGAGTAGCTGGGATTACAGGCGCCCACCACCATACCTGGCTAATTTTTGTATTTTTAGTAGAGACAGGATTTCACCATTTTGGCCAGGCTGGTCTTGAACTCCTGACCTCATGATGTGCCCCCGCCTCAGCTTTCCAGAGTGCTGAGATTACAGGCGTGAGCCACCGTGCCAGTTCCCTCGTTTAGTATTGAACACTTTCTCAGTCTTGTTCGTCTTTCATAACCCTGACATTTTATAAGAGTATAGTCCAATTATTTTACAGAATATTCTTCAGTTGGGTCTGTCATAGGTTCCCTTATACTTAGAAAATATTGGGCTTTTTTGATAGGAAAACCTCAGAATCATGTGAGGATTTGTCCCACTAACTTTGATGTTAACTTTGATCAAATGAATAGCTTGATGTCTATAAAGCTAGTATTTCTCCCTTTATGATTAATACATTTATAGTGAATTATTTTGAGGTTACATAAATATCTCTGTGATGATTAATTTACATGTCAGCTTGGCTAGGCTATGGTGCTTAGTTGTTTGGTCAAATATAAATCTAGATGTTGCTGTGAACATACTTTGTAGGTGTGAGTATTGTTTCCAATCAGTTCACTTTAAATAAAGAAGGTTACTCTCAGTAATGTGATTGGGCATCATTCAATTAACTGAAGGCTTTAGGAACAAAACCTGAAGTTTTCTGGAGAGGAAGAATTCTGCCTTGAGATTGTAACACAGAAATTTTGCCTTTGTTTTCAGCCTGCTGGCCTGACTTGCCAGCCGCCACAATCATATGCACCAATTCCTTAAATTACATCTGTGTGTGTGTGTGTGTGTGTGTGTGTGTGTGTGTGTAATAGAATATATGTCTATATGTATAATTTTATATTTTATATAAATATAAATAGAGAGATGTAACAGATTCTGTTGAATCTGTGTCTCAGGAGAACTCTGACCGATACAATCTATTTTTCATATTACTTTCACTCACGAGGTTTAGCATTCATTGATGATTCTTGCCGAGATCAGGTATTGCTTTGACAGTTGCTGAATGGTAATTTCCTATCATCATGTCTACGTTTATTAGTTGGCATTCTAAGAAACTTTTCTCTCTCTATTTTCTCCACATATTTATTTCTATCATAGACTTGTGGATTCTTATTTTATTCAGTAGATTATAATAAGTTACCATCATTATTTAGGTCGATGCCTAAATTGTTCTAATTGGGCCAGGTGGAGATCTCTCAAGCCCACTCCCATGTCGTTTTCGCATGTGTCCATCATCCTGTAACCACTTCCATACTTTCTGTCACAAGATGTTCCAGTCTTATCTCATACTTTCTCCAACCCTGCTGCTGATTTAGTCGTTTCTCTAAGGAACCTCAGTTTCTGTTGTTGTCATTTGGCTTTTCATTTGTTTTTTAGTGAATAATAGTATGTAGAAATCAAGATCTGGGTTCTAGGAAGTCACTGTACCTTTCAATGGCAGATGACCAAAACCCCCCAGGCAATTTAATCAGTTCAATTTGATGACTCTTTACAGATTATCAACTAGGTAATAGAAGAACTGCAGGATATTCTGATGAGAAGGAAATGAGGAATTCAACAGGTTTGTATTCAATGGGTTAATTTAGAGTCCATTGAAAATACTACCTATTTTCTTGTTAGTGTTATAATCTTCTCCAAACTCAATCTATAGGTCAATTAAACATTGCTGAAAACATCCCAGGTGATTTAAAGATCTAAACCATTTCAAAAGTAAATTATGAAAATCAGAAGAAATGCAAAATACGTCATTCTTCTGCGGGGTGGAAGAAGCGGGTGGAATGTGTTCTAAAACTGTTTTAAAAATCTAGTATTGACATAGATGTGGGAAAACCAGAATTGGAGTACACTGCTGTGACAGTGTGAATTGTTATTCTGCTAAAAAGGATAATTTGAGTCTTTCTATCAAAAACTGTCATGTCCTTTGAAATTCTACCTCTACAAGTCTGTCTTAGAAACACCTAGTTCATGAGCACAAAAAGATAAGCACAAGTCTATTAATTGCAACAGTTTTGGTCAGAGTAAAATATTAGAAATAACCCAAATGTGTAATAGTCAGGGTAGATTAAATAAAATTGTGTTATAGATATGTTATTGATTTCAGCAGCAGCTAAAATAATAAAATTAGACATCTGTGTACATCTGTGGGAAGGTCTTCAGGACTGGTTAATTTAAAAAATGGTTGTAGACTATTCCATGTCATTCCTGTGAAATAAAAAATCATATATGAAAATGTAAATGCAGAGAAAATGTTTGGGAAAATAACTGTTTGATTAACTCAGGAGAGGGATGTAGAATTAAAGGAGATTGGAGATTAAATGTTACTCTTTTTATATCTTTGGTATTTGAAATTTTTGATCTAGCTAAAGTAATATATTACTTGAATAAAATGTTTTTAAGTTATTGGAAAAACTGATTCCTAAGCACATGACCTTAACACTATATTATAATAGAATCCTCGGCCTTTCCCCTTCCCCCTTATTAGTCATCTGTGGTTGCATAACAAATTCCTCCACAATTTAGTGGTTCAAAGGCTTAAAACAATACACATTTATTATCAGTTTTTGTGGATCAGGGATCCTGGGCATGGCTCAAGGTTTTCATTAGATTGCAGTCAGGCTCTTGACTGGGGCTGCAGTCTCATCTGAAGGCTCAACTAGATGGGGAATCAGTTTCTAACTTCCCTAATCACATGAGTTTCTCCAGGAGCATGTCCAGAGCAAATGATCTACGAGACAGCACAAGAGAACAAACAGTATGGAAGCCACAGTCTCTTAAAACTTAATCTTAGAAGTAACATCCCATCACATTCATCTTAATCTCTTCTTGGAAGCAAGTCAAGAAGTCCAGCTCACACTCCAGGGAAAGGGATTACACACAATGGGTGAATTCCAGGAGGCAGGGTTCATAGGTTCATAGGTGATAGCATCCTAGAGGTTACCTATCACACACTCTCCAATAAACCAGACTCAGAAACAAAAACCTTCTAAGTTCTTGTATTTTTTAAAATTTTGAAGAGGCACAGGCCACTTTTTATTTTTGACACTTATATTAAAAAATCAAGGTTTTTTTTAAAAAAAGTTAATAAAATTCTAGTCTACCTTACCTGTTCACATTAAACAGATTAATCCTTTCAAGATGAAAATATAATTTACTATTTACAAGTTAACTTCAGAATTTATAGAAACTATTAATCGACAGTTCACTATAGATGGTATGATCTGGTAAGTAGTTTACAAATTTCAAGTTATGAGACACACAGGTTCTTTCAATTCTGTGATTTTATGCTATTCCTTTTGGAGATAGATAAGTCAATGCTGAAGACCCCTCGTGAACATGCATTTCTAATCAAATGACCCTCTTGGTAGGCCATCTTTTGGCTGAGGGACACTTGAGCTTACCCAGATTTGTAAGAGGGAAGGAAGTGTCCTCCCCAGGAGTTTCAGAGGCAGCATGGCCTTGCCAACTCCTTGGTTTCAGGCTGCCAGTCTCAAGACCTGTGAGAGAACAGATTTCTGTTGTTTTAAACGAGCTAATTTCTGGTACTTTGTTATAGGAGCCCTAGGACACTAAGACACTACCTGCCTTAGTCAGTTCGGGCTGCCATAATAGAATAATATAGACTGGATGGCTTACAAACAACAGAAATACATTTTTCACAATTCTGGAGCTGGAAAGCCCAAGATCACGGTTACAGATTCATTGTCTGTTGAGGGCCCTCTTCCTGGTTCCTAGAGTGCCATCTTCTTACTGTGTCCTCACATGGCAGAAGGGGTGAGGTATCTCTCTGGGATCTCTTTTATAAGGACACTCATTCAAAGGCCCTGCCTACAAATACCATCACATTGGGAGTTATGTTTCAAAGCATGAATTTTAGGGAGGGGACACATAAACATTCAATCTGTAAAATACCAACAAGTATAAAACCTGAATGAACTAATGTTAAATTTTACTTTCTCCTCTTCATGTCAACATGTAAAAAAAAATCCTTGAAAGTTTTCACTCACTATTGGTGTTAATACAACTGATTTAAGCTTAAATTTCCTATCTTCTTGTTACAGTATAGATATCCCAAAAGAGACCCATGAAGATCTCATTTATTTAGTTAACTGCAAGGAAAATATTAGAGCTCAGTAGTTAATAATTTGGTGATCAACTTTGTTTTATTTATATGCATGCATATTATACACTATGGATTGTGGATCTCTGAATATAAATTACATTTCTCAGAAAATTGTCTGTTACAATGTGCTATATCTGTCCACTAAGAAACTTAATGCATCATTCGTATCTTAATTCATAATTTGGCATTGTTTGATGAATCCTGCTGAATTATTTTTCTTTTCACAGTTAAACTAAAGAACAAATAAGTGCTAAAAGACTCTTGATTCCTGAAAGGATTCTATTCAGTTTAGTGAAATAGGGTCTAATATCACTGGTTAAATCTCACTACAGTTGTAAACAGAAAAAAAAAACTTCCAATATTTGATAAAGCATATTGATGTGTGTGCTAGAAAAAAGTTCCTTTAATTAATTGACTAAATTAGCACCTTTGAACAGAAAATAAAAATGATCATGAGTGAAATATGACATAGATTAATTTACTCTAAGCAGAAATTGACTCAATTTTTATTTGTTTTATGCTGATACCTCCAGAGGGATCTGTAATATGGATAATACATAATCACTCCTCTGTAAATGTATAAATGCTTTAGTGATAGGGAAATGGGCTAGATATCAGGAGAAGGCATCAATGGATGCTTCAAATGAGAAAAAAATATTTTTTCAGACTTAAATAAAACTTAATTATATTTTCAAAAATATGTTGAAATCTTTCATTTAATATAGAAGAAATAAAATATCACTGGTGAGATACCATCAGCTAGAAGTATGTATAACAAGTAAAGAAGGTCTGAATTTAATTTAATTTGTTCTTAGAGTGTTCATTTGTAATGCATAATGATATATAGGGTGACATATTTTCAACAGTAGAGATGGCCGCAGTTTTTGATTTAGTTTCACTTAAAATGTTTTGGAAAATTATTAGTCTTCTTGCAGATGCTAGTATTCAACCAGGTAAAGAACTGATACCACTGAAAACATTTTATGGTTTTGTTTTATTTTCATGAAGCATCATGATAGCTAAATCTTAAAAGTATGGTATATGTCTATGGAACTCTTGGGTCTTCCTGAAATGTAGTGGCTACCTTTGAATTTGTCACTCAGGTTAGATGGTCCATCACAAATCTAGCAATGATTTATATTTTCTGCAAGTAAAGTTACTATTAATCTTCTAAAACCGTTCTCAGTGATTTTTTCACATAGCTAAAAACAAAGACACTCTCTTTCACTGAAACTGAAATATTTTTTGTTTTCTACTACCGTCATATTTTAAACAAATTCACAGTTGTTCTTTGGTCTCTTTAAGTTGTCTCCTTGCCTGTTAAACAAGCGGAGAGGGCATGGTTATGATTCACAAGATGGTTTTCTTTATTCCTATTATTTCATTTATAATTTGTATAGAAAAGATGGGTGAGGCCGGACACAGCGCTTCACGCCTGTAATCCCAGCACTTTGGGAGGCTGAGGCAGGCAGATCACTTGAGCCCAGGATTTAAAGGCCAGCCTGGCCAACGCGGCGAAACCCTGTCTCTACAAAACATACAAAAACTAGCCGGGGGTGGGGGTGCACGCCTGTAATCCAAGATACTCAGGAGGCTGAGACAGGAGAATCACTTGAGCCCAGGAGGTGGAGATTGCAGTCAGCTGAGATCACAGCCCTGCACTCCAGCCTGGGCGACAGAGTGAAACTCCGTCTCAAAAAAACAAAACAGGCCAGACGCGGTGGCTCACGCCTGTAATCCCAGCACTTTGGGAGGCCGAGGCGGGTGGATCACGGGGTCAGGAGATCGAGACCATTCTCGTTAACATGGTGAAACCCTGTCTCTACGAAAAATACAAAAAAAAAATTAACTGGGCGTGATGGTGGGCGCCTGTAGTCCCAGCCACTCGGGAGGCTGAGGCAGGAGCATGGCGTGAACCCGGGAGGCGGAGCTTGCAGTGAGCCGAGATCGTGCCACTGCACTCCAACCTGGGTGACAGAGTGAGACTCCGTCTCAAAAAACAAAACAAAACAAAACCAAAAAGATGGGTGAAAATATTTTGTCCTCCTCATTTATACTAAATTATACCTCTAAAAATTTTACTCTTGTTCTCAGATTAATCTCATGAAGCCCTCTTTCAAGTAAAAACTTGAATTTTCTATGTCATATTATTTTCACATATGGAGTCCAGACATATTCTGTGTTCTTTAATCTGTTTAAAATGTGTTAATTTTTATTGACAATTTTACCACAAATTCATATTTCTTTCAGAATTCTAATTTCAAATGCATTCCACTTAAAAGTCTTCAAGATTTCTCAGAACTTTTATCCAAATATAAGTTTTTTATTGCCATTTTTCTCCCATAATAGAATTTTTGTCAGCAGAACAATGAGTACAAGGAAATGCTACCTATTTATATCAGTACGTATAACTAATACAAAATATGCTGTTCTGGTAGAGTAGTTATTAATTAAATATTACTTTGATTTTGTATTTATTCACATATTTCATTATAAGGTCAATGAACATCCTCTTCATATTCAGATTTAATATCTAATGATTAAGTTCCTATGAATTGTCTATGACTAAAAAACTGGCAGTGATATATTTTGTCTTAGCATCAAATGATAGGAATGCTATTGCTGAGTTTTGTGTTTACATGTTCTGTATGATTTTTATTTTCTATGTATCCCTTACAAAAAGCCGTTGCAGCGCCTCTGCCTGGCCGCCCCGTCCGGGAGGTGAGGAGGCCTCTGCCCGGCCGCCCCGTCTGGGAGGTGAGGAGGCCTCTGCCCGGCCGCCCCATCTGGGAGGTGTACCCAACAGCTCCGAAGAGACAGAGACCATGGAGAACGGGCCATGATGACGATGGCGGTTTTGTCGAAAAGAAAAGGGGGAAATGTGGGGAAAAGAAAGAGAGATCAGATTGTTACTGTGTCTGTGTAGAAAGAAGTAGACATAGGAGACTCCATTTTGTTCTGTACTAAGAAAAATTCTTCTGCCTTGGGATGCTGTTAATCTATAACCTTACCCCCAACCCCGTGCTCTCTGAAACATGTGCTGTGTCCACTCAGGGTTAAATGGATTAAGGGCTGGGCAAGATGTGCTTTGTTAAACAGATGCTTGAAGGCAGCATGCTCCTTAAGAGTCATCACCACTCCCTAATCTCAAGTACCCAGGGACACAAACACTGCGGAAGGCCGCAGGTACCTCTGCCTAGGAAAACCAGAGACCTTTGTTCTCGTGTTTATCTGCTGACCTTCCCTCCACTATTATCCTATGACCCTGCCACATCCCCCTCTCTGAGAAACACCCAAGAATGATCAATAAATACTAAAAAAAAAAAAAAAAAAGTGCTCAGCACCCAGCAGCTGGCACAGAGTTCTCTGTCCAGGGGGAAAAAAAAAGCAAAAAACCTAAAAGCGGTTGCAGTAACCCAGGAATATGAAAGACGTGATTGGAGGAAAATTCATCAGGACATCAATTATTGTATTTGTGTAATGTGTTTAATTTGCCCCAATATTCTTGTATTTCTCTACTAGTGAGGACATTTGTTGGATGACTTCCCAGCCCCTATTCCCTATTCCCAATGGTATTAATAGCAGATATTTTTCTGGTGGAGATGGCGGTGGATCCATATGGCTCCAGGGAAGCTAAAAAAAAAAGTTCTAGGTATGGAGTATGTGATCAAAGCTACTTTAATCGGTTAATTCTACCTCCCTGGATACAAAGTGTGGTTCAGCAGGTGGGCATGTAGCATTAGCCCATGCAAAGATAATTAATTTTGAGACATTTGCTGAGAATGCTAAGACACATACACTCTCCTCTATGGTGCAAATGTATTCTGGGAAGTGTGTGTTCCAGAGATGTTTGTAGTCATCATGATATTACAAAAAGTCATCTTTAGAATGAAACCAGCTCTGCAGAAAACATTCTGGAAAGACAAAGAAACTGTATCCTTGGTGATATGCTTGCACAGGTAGCTCAAGCACCGTTCAAACAAGGCCTAACTTTGGGTTTTGCAGTTATATAAGCCAATACAATACTCTCATTTTTAAGCTACTTTGAGTTGTACTTTCTGTGATTTGCAAGCCAGGCATTATAGCTGACCTAAGTACCGATATTAGAAACATCCTTCCCATGTTACATTTCTTCTTATTGGGTAGTTGTGGCTGTGATCTCGGCTGACTGCAACTGGGGCTTTCCATTTCTAGTTACTCTTTCTTATTTCAGAGTACTATTTCCATTTTAGATGTGACAGAGTTTTGTCTTGGCTCTTAGACCATTTGTTTTCTTATTACTATTGTATTTAGATTTCTTCTTAGAGTTCTCAGAAATAATTCTGCATTACTTATACTTTTACCCTTTACAATTTCAATCATATAAAAATATTTAGGAAGGCATTAATTTCTTATAAACAATTTTTTGCACTTTTTAAAGTCAAAATAGTTGGAGTTGTTTAATACAGCAATGTGTAAAATTCAAAGCTTAACTTCAAAAAGATTTACTAAGCATTGGCATATAAACATAATTCCTATAGTTATTTACCTACTTGTTACTTGCCGCTATTTGTTGATAAATTCTTAGGTATGATTTTACCACAATCACTACATTCAACAGTAGATTAGCTGAAGTAATCACATAAAAACCATACCCAGCTGAACTTAAGAAGGCATATCTAACCGTTTGACATATGTAGAATAAGACATATATAAAACATCCTAAGAATCGCAAATTTTAATACCAATACTCTTTAAAAACTCATGGCTGTTTTAACCATTTGCCGTTTACTGATAAATTTTGATACACAGTCGACATGAGATTTTATTATTATCTAAATTTATAGTGGCAGTAGCTGTATGCTGACCGAACATTCAATGAAATATTCCACTATTTCACACATTATTACCCTTGATTAATATGGCAGCCAAACTCAGAATTTTTGTGAAAAACAACAGAATTTGTTTTGACATTATTTTCATATGAATCAAAATTTCTGGTAAAGAAACCATAACAAGTCAATGTTAAAATGCTAAATGATTGAAGTGCAGTAAAATATATATGCAAGACCGGGCATGGTGGCTCATGCCTGCAATCCCAGAACTTTGGGAGGCCGAGGTGGGCAGATCACCTGAGGTCAGGAGTTCGAGACCAGCCTGGGCACATGGCAAAACCCCGTCTCTACTAAAAGTACAAAACTTAGCCAGGCGTGGTGGCATGCGCCTGTAATCCCAGCTACTTGGTAGCTGAGGCACGAGAACCACTTGAACCCAGGAGGCGGAGGTTGTAGTGAGCCAAGATTGTGCCACTGCACTCCAGCCTGGGTGACAGGGCGAGACTCCATCTCAAAAAGAAAAACAAAAAATAAATAAATAAAAAAAAAACGTATACAGCAAGAGATGCAAAGTCATGTGCCATTGTGAATAAGCAAGTCCTTTTCAATATTAGGCAGAACATCAGGCTGTTAGAGACCAAGAGTGGTGGGATTGGTAATATCATCCACAGGGTTAATATTCAGGTAGTATACACAAATTAGGAAAAGGCAGGGCTAATATTCGGGTAGTATACACAAGGTTTCGTCTGTGCCAGTTGTTAAAGAGTGAAGTACATGTTAACACCTTGTTCATCTCAGCCCCTTCCCTGTATCAGCAGACCTCTAGAGCCCTTTTCCCAACAGTCTGGTCTGTGCTCATTTTAATAGGTCATTGTTTATGCCATACCAGTTGTAAAATATTTTTGTATCATCTCTGGATCAAAGTGTTAATAGCATTTTTAGGTTAGTATACTTTATACTATTTTTTCCAACAAAATGTTCTCACTGTTAGTAAGCACATAACAATGCAACTTCAGGATCGTAATTGATTTAGTTGATTTCTTGTATTTTTGACAGTTCCTCTGTATTACTGATATACACCTCTGAAAGGTGTGGGGAGGTAGGTGTCAAGCACCGTCCTCAAACCCTTACCCTCAACAATGCTAACCTAATTCCCTATAATCAGGAGTAGTGGGAGGTGCCCCAAAGCATTTTAACACCCATCTCACAAACAGATTGCAGTTGGGCAATCCTGCCCTTTATATAAACAGTTACTGATTCTTACTTTGGAAAGAGCTTGGCTGCGTTTGAGATAACATCACCAGCTTCTCAGTTCACAGCAGGAACTCCTCCTACTCCTTTGGTCTGACAGGGACAGCAGAAGCTTCAATTCTTCTACCACTTCTCATAATCCACAAAAACCTGTCAAAATCCACTCTCTTCTCCCATCTCACCACTCCCTGATCATATCCCACTAGCCACTTTGGTGTTTTTTTGTTTTTTTTTTTTTTGAGATGGAGTTTCGCTCTTGTTGCCCAGGCTGGAATGCAATGGCAATGGCATGATCTCGGCACAACACAACCTCCGCCTCCCGGGTTCAAGCGATTCTCCTGCCTCAGCCTCCCGAGTAGCTGGGATTACAGGCATGCGCTACTACGCCCAGCTAATTTTGTGTTTTTAGTAGAGACAAGGTTTCTCAGTGTTGGTCAGGCTGGTCTTGAACTCCTGACCTCAGGTGATCCACCCGCCTCAGTCTCCCAAAGTGCTGGGATTACAGGCGTGAGCCACTGCACCCAGCTGCCACTTTGGGTTTTTAAGATAGGACAATTTAAATAAATGAGAAAAAAATGAGGGAAAAGTTAAGGAAGATGTACTTAGTGACTGTTAACCAAAATTAAATTCTTTATTTAGTATACATCTGCCTATGCCCATTACCTGATTCAAATTCACATGAACATCCCTGTGTCTGGGTCCCTTAATACTGACATCTCTTAATTATGACCACATAAGGAACAACTTCTTTCCCAATATGAAAATTTCATGATTCTAAACAAATATAGGTTTTCCCCAAAACAATGAATAAAGGAATCCCTGTATTCTCTGTGTTGGTCATGACATAATTTCATAGTAGATTAGCATTACAGTACTTTTTTTGGGCAATAGTCAAATCTGCTTGCTTTCCCTAAATACATAAAGACTACTTGCAAATACAGTCTGTTCATAACTTGGGGGAGGTTGGCGGTGGAGAGTGATGGCAAAAAATGAGCCCAGATAGTTAAGTACAATAAATGACGTGAGTACTGATGCAGTGTTGACTATGGTATGAGTGCCTTCTGTGGCCAACTAGATTTTCAATGCTGTCACTAATAGTAGTAATAGAGACTACAAATCATTTACCAAGAATGTCTGGGCTAATGTCTAAATAGAGAATATATTTCTGAATAGACATATAGAATACAGTAATGTCTGAATAGAGAAGTCAGAGAGGAGACCGCTAAGCTTGGGAAAATACAGAATTATTTTTGAAAAGGATCGGAATATATTTTGGGGAGAAAAAGTGAGCAATTGGGAAACAGAGATGGAGATGCCACTAGAAGGGCATCGGCTATTGGGGATGAGTGGCACCGATAGCTACGAGATCTGTTGTTGAGCTAGTATGTGTGAGTGGAACAGTCTAGCAGGCTAGCATTCCATAGGCCTGAGATTCCAGAACAGTAGCAGCTAATCCCCATTCAGTCCACTTGAAATGTCATCCCTGCTTAATCCACAATCTATTCTCAAATGCTTTCCATCAACATTTGACGTAAGAAGCTATAAATTATCCATGGATATTCAAGTTTGTATTCACGTACAGTATTTGCCGATTTCTTCAAGATAGCTCCTTAAATCTGAGTTTAATTTAGTACCAGTGTATCAATAACACAATGCAAAGCATGATGGGCTGTGGTCCAGAGGTGAAGTCTGAAAGGTCATTTGAGGAGTAGCGTTATTAATGTCAGTATACTTATGAAGGAAATAAATGATTCTCTAATTATATCTTACTGGTGTAATAATTCACAACCAAATTGGCATGCTTTTAAAAATCACATTATCTGAGCCAGAGTTATTTATATGCATGTGTGTGTGTATTTGTGTGTGTGTGTGTGTGTGTGTGTGTGTAGTGTTTCAAAATCCAGAAGAAAATAAATGTGTTATTCTAGTTCTAGTTTATTGGCATTAAAACAAAGGTATCATTTCTATGTATTTAAGATAAAGTTCTGTACTTCAAATGTACAGGGTTTCACTTTTATTTTATTTATTTTATTCACTTTAGCATCTGAGGTTTATTTCAAAAATAATATTTGAAGTTAGAAAGAAAAAATCCAGATGATGAAAACATAGGGTAGCCTCATAACCAGACTATACAGAAATCATTAATGTTGGTGATCTATAGACATATTAATTCAACAAGTATTTCTAGATTCCTCTTGGATGGTTACACAATTTTGTTTTGTTAGAAGTTAAAACATGAGTAAAGAATTCCTTGTTACTGATTCATCTTTGAGTACCTTATACCACCAAATGAGAATTAAACAGATGTTTCACAATCTATAAAGAGATTTCACCAACAGTTGTAAAAATTTCAAAGTTTTATTTGCTTACTAAATAATCTCATCCAGTGAGCGAAACCAATACCAAACAAATACAAATGAAACTTATTCAATAACTAATCATGACAATCATTTTTCAGTTAAGCAATACTGATTACTTGTTCAGATTTTTAAGGGTTTTATTTTAGAGGCTAAATTACAATGGGTTTGGAAAATGAGAAGCTGGATTACATTTCTCCCACCTGTGGCAGATGTTTTAAAAATTCAAGAGTGAATATGATTTTAAAATTGTTTGAATGATTATATACTCAATAAATTTAAGATTAAGAATAAATAAGCCAGTTGGCATGGTGGCTTATGCCTGTAATCCCAGCATTTTGGAAGGCCGAGGAGAGACGATTGCTTGATGCCAGGAGTTCCGAATCAGCCTGGCCAACAGAGCAAGACCTCAATTCTACAGGAAATTGAAAAACTAGCTGGGCCTGGTGGCGCGTGCCTATAGTCCCAGTTCCTCCAGAGGCTAGAGTGGGAGGAGTGTTTGAACCCAGGAGTTTGAGGTTGCAGTTAGCTATGATCACCCCACTGCACTGCAGCCTAGGTGACAGAATAAGACACTGTTGCTAAAACAACAACAACAAAATGAGTCAATTAAGATATTCACTGAGGACAAACACTGTCTATAGCTCATGTATAGCTTTAGTTTTATTAATTATCAGAGAATTTGTGTTTATAAAATGGATTTTTAAACTAATAAATATAAGTGATATTTCATGATTTAAAAAGAAAATAAATCTATTTGAAATACAATCTGACTCTCCTGTATGTGTCAAGAATCTTTAATAGTCCTAGGATTTTGCTTAAAAAACATGCGGAGACGGTTGAGAACATTTTCTCCTTTCCTTCTTAATATGAATCACACTTTTAAAAACTTTATCTTCAACTATTTTTATTTTGATAACCTACCTACCATACCTCTATCTATGCTTGCCCTTTGGCTATTATTTCTAAATGCTTTAATTCTCTTAAAAAAGTTTTTACTTTTTCTTAAGGGTACTATTTATTGCTTTAAAAAATTCAAATATGATAGTTTGGAAGATGGAGTAATGAAAAAAATAAAGGCACTCAAAATGCCATCATCCAGAGTTACCTATTTAATTTTGATGTAGTCTTCATATATTTTTTCTAAGCTAAGATAATACTGTACAGTGGCCCAGGAGTTCAAGACCAGCCTGGCAATATAGGGAGATCCTGCCTTTACAAAAATAGATTAGCTAGGCATAGTAATGCACCCCTGTGGTCCCAGCTACTTGGGAGGCTGAAGTGGGAGGATTGATTGAGCCCAGGAGTTCAAGGTTTCTGTGAGCCACGACCATGCTACTGTACTGCATCCTGGACAACAGAGCGAAACCCTGTCTCCAAGAAAAACATTAATGTTGAATCTTTTTAAAAATTAACAAATAATAAGAACACTGTATAGCATTCCATAATTTCTGTCATTTAAAGCTATTATACAGTGAACATTTCCCCTATATCAGGAATTTTGATACCCAACTACCTCTTTGGGTAATGAATTTTAGGCAATCAATGTCTTTGATTCAATAAACCCATTGTTATTCCATTTTAGAATATAACTTTTTATATTTATTATAGAGGTAGATGCTGTTTTTTACTGGATGGTTGTCTCAGTCCATTTGGGCTACAATAACAAAGTACCATAAACTGAGTAGCTTGTAAACAACAGAAATGTATTCCTCACAGTTCTGGAGGTTGGGAAGTCTAAGATTAAGGTTCCAGCAAATTTAGTGTCTGGCGAGGGCCCACTTTCTGGTACTTCTAGATGTGTCCTCACATGGCAGAAGGAACTAACTAGCTCTCTGGAGTCCCTTTTATAAGGTCACGGATCCTTATCATAAGGGCGTCACTCTCATGACCTAATCATCACCCAAAGGCCCTACCTTCAAATACCATTACATTGGGGGTTAGGATTAACATATAAATTATGGGGGTACACCAACATTCAACCATGGTAATCGTCTTCCTTTGTTACGTTTTAACTAAATAGATCTGTTTCTTTTTTGTTTTGTTTTTTTGAGAAAGAGTCTTGCTCTGTCGTTCAGGCTGGAATGAAGTGGTGCAATCTCAGCTTACTGCAACCTCTGCCTCCTGGGCTCGAGTGATCCTTCCACTTCAGCTTCCCAAGTAGCTGGGACTACAGGATCATGCTACCATGATTGGCTAAGTTTTTTTGCTTGTTTTTTTTTTTTTTTTTTGGTAGAGATGAAGTCTCACTATATTGCCCAGGCTGGTCTCAAACTCCTGGGCTCATGCAATCCTCCTCCCTCAGCCTCCCAAAGTGTTGAGATTACAGGCGTGAGCCACTGCACTTGGCCTGAAGTTTTCTTTTTAGATGTTTGATAACCAAGAAACATACTGGCTTTACTTAGCAAATACATGTAGAAGCAGTGTAGTAGTAATAGGAGGATTTCAAAGCAAATTTGTGTTATTAAGTTACTGATTCTAGCACCTTATTTCAAGTTATTTTATTTTACTTTTATTTCAGAGATAGGGTCTCACTCTGTTACCCAGGCGGGAGTGCAGTGGTGCAATCATAACTATGTAATCACAGCAGTCTATGAAGAGATTCGTAACCTCAAACTCCTGGACTCAAGCAATCCTTCCATCTCAGCTTTCTAAGTAGCTAGGACTGCTGGCACACACCACCACTCCCAGCTAATTTCTTTTTAAAAATTTTTTTGTAGAGACGGGGGCCTCACTATGTTGCCTGGGCTAGTTTCAAACTCCTGGCCTCAAGTGATCCTCTTACCCTGGCATCCCAAAGGGCTTAGGATTATAGGCAGGAGCCACCAGGCCTGGCCTCATATGTAATTTTAGACATGGTACAACTTCAACCTGTAAATTTCCTCCTCTGTAAAATGGGAATAACACCATCTATTCGAATTTGTTTTTATGAAGAGTATGTAGCACTGTGACCATGAAAAGACTTTGTAAATAATAATGAATGTGGTTGACTGGTGCAAATATCCAACTTGCTGGCTTTCTGAAAGTGGGCCTTTCTGTATTGCAAAGGCTTGAAGACCAAACTACGATACCCAGGCTCTCATTCATCTATCATTATGTATTTAAAATAAGTTCAATTTTTTGAACTTATTGTGGATGCCAATGTGGATGCCAGAGCTTAGGAATCCAGAAAGGAGCCAGAGACCATCTCTTGGTTGCTCGATGTTGTGTTCTGCTAGCAGGCGGAGCTGAGAAGTAGAGTTCGTGCGTAGCAGAAAAACTCATCCGTAAGTTTCAAAGGTGTCAGGAAGAAATTGTCCTGAGGAGGCAGCTGGTCTCATGGGGTAAGTGCTCCATTCCTGAGGGAGTTACTCTGGCAGTTGCTTTTTAATCCTTGCGGCACAGCAGTGGAAGCATTTTTTCCTTTTCTTTAAACTCTAGAGCTTCATCAGCTATCCTTGATTCTCCATCTTCCTGAATCTAGCAAAGGTCAGACCTGGAGGCCCAGCCCTGCCTTCAGGTCTCCAGTTCTTCCAAGGATTTTACACAATTTATAATTATTGATCTGATTTCTTTCCTGCTTAAAATACCTAAGTGATTTCCAGTTCCTGAACCAAACTCTAATACTGTCAACTGTAAAGCATACCACAATACCAGTGATCCAATGATTGACTGAGTATTTCCATTTTCATTTGAGTCTTTCAGTTTATGGATCCATTCATAAGCTAAGTTCTAAAATTGTGATTCTGAAGTATTCCATGATTTTCTCTCACATGATTCATAAAAGTCTCCTTTATTTTTAATTACTTATTAATTATATAGCAAACTTCCTCCCTCCTCTTTACCCATATTTGAACTCCCAGCTTTTCTGCTTAATAAGTCATGTTTCATTTCTTTTTTGTTTGGAAGTTATTGAAGACTTTGATCTCAATGATTTATGGAATAATTTCCATTTATAGGCTATAGGTGTAATTTTCCCAACACGTTCATGTTGGTCAATCAAGGCATAAAACAGAGAGAATGGTTTCTAAATTATTTTTGACATGCTAGTAGACTGACCTCTTCAGCCTGTATATTCTTAATGGGGTAAGAATTCTCAGAAGACAGCCCACAGAGACAATGAAGACAAAGAAGACCATGAACCTCTTTTGTGAGCTAGATTGAAAGGCGCACTTACAAGTCTTTATAAATGAAGCATAGCACAAAATAGATTATTTAGAGTATTAGTCACTTCACAGATTCAAAATACACATGGATAACTTAAGCTGGATCCATTTCTAGTCACCTTGATATGTTTCTGGTCATTAGGATATATTTGGTGGTTATGTCAATATGTATCATTTATTAAAGAAGAATTCATCAACATTGCTATTATGTATGCTCAATAAACCAGCAGATGGTGTATGACAATTTCTTCAAGGTGACATCAAAAATGCTCCATGTAATCCTTTCTTCTTTCTTTCAACATCAATATATTGGAACATATTTTTATTTGGAACATAAGGTAACTAGATATCTGATTGACTTTTGTATGCAGAAATAAGTGAACATTAAGGACATCTAAATTTGCCTATGTGATCCTCTGTGAAATGTACTGAAAATGATAGAACAGTGTTCTGTAAGCAGAAAAAAATGTTAGTATAGAAAAAAAATTGCTGATCATCAAACTTTAATCTGGCACATATTTCCTACTTAGCCAGAGGTTGGATGAAATCAGTTGAATGTGAAAATGAGCTGAAGACATATTTTAAATATTTTCTTTTCTCCAGAGCGAGCTAGGAGAACATGAATAGAGTGACTGAAATACATGTATCTTGAGTGTTTGATTTGAAAAATACTGAAATACTGCTTTAATACCAGTCTTTAATGCAGAATTATTAGAATTAACCAATAAAACCTACGTACTAAAGATTTAATACAATTTATTTACAAATTTAGGAAAAAATATTTACAGACTGGTATTTACTTTCATAAAACATTTATAAGGTACTATGTAAGTTGAATTTGATAACAACTGAGTCAATATACATTATTGTTTTAATATTGATGTTTTAATATAGATCTATATTATTATGGATCTATATTAATATATTATAAAATTATATAATATTATATGTATATATGTATATGACAGCTCTGTCACCCAGGCTGGAGTTCACTGGCACAATTATGACTCACTGCAGCCTCCATCTTGCAGGCTCAGCCTCCTTGCAGGCTCAGCCTCCTGAGTAGCTGGGACTACAGGCACACACCACCACACCTGGCAAATTTTTCAATTTTTTTGTAGGGACCAGGTCTTACTATGTTGCCCAGGCTTGTCTCAAACTCCTAGGCTCCAGCAACCCTCCTGCCTTAGCCTCCCAAAGTGCTGGGATTGCAGGAATGAGCCACCGCACCAAGACAATAGGCATATATTTTTGTGAAAAAGTTTCCAGTTGCTAATAACCTTTTTTTTTTCCTGACTTTAAACTAGTTGGTGAGGTGGGAGTGTAATGAGTTTGTTTTCAGCTGATCAGCCGATCAAAATGTTTCCCTCTGTCACCATATTCAAATAATCCAGTATCTCATTTGATAACTTTGTGAAGGGCTTTTTGAAAAGCTTTTTGCTTTTGAAAAGGTTGTAACCTTTTATTGGTGTCAAGTTGAGCGTTTTTTTTTCCTAAGTAAAGAATTTTGGGTTTGATATCTCCTTTGGTTTCATTATGCATTGATGGAAATTTTGGCTTACTGCCATGTTCACGTTCATATTCCACTTATTCTGAAAGTTTTTGGATTAGAAAAATATTTTTCTTGCAGGCAGCTCCTTATAATACCAGAATATGGTTAGTTTTTGAGATTTAACTTGGTACTAGTCTACCTTGGCATTAAAAAAATTTTTCTTAAATGAATAGAGTCCTTAACTTGAAATGGGTCCCCAAAACTTAAATGGTTGAGATGTCAGATTTTAAAAAATCTAGAAATGGTAATATTTCATTGGCAAAATGGTTAATGTTTTATACTGTGACACCACACAAAATTATTTCCAGTTTGGAATGACAAATGAAGATATGAGAGATTAAATTTAAAAGATTTTTAAAAACTAAGAGAGCAAAGAATGGCGGAAAAATTCTGCAATTTACCCCTCTTTGTGGTAGCAGCAATGTAGCATTTAGGGAGAGGTGAGAGGTTGGGGGAGGTCAGATACTTTGGTTTGATTTATCATGTCAACCTCAAATAATCAGATTCAGAAAATACCATCACGTACAGAGTTTCTCTGAGCCAAAGCTTGAGGGTGGCCACTAGGCACAGAATTAAGTGCCCTGAATATACACTTTGATTAGCAGCAGTTACATGTGGGTTTTTAAGGGGGAAAAGGAGGCAACTTCTATGTTGTTTACCAAGAATTTACATTAAAATAACATAAGCTATTGATTGGCTGTACATTATTCTTTGTATCACAAACTCCAAGAACATGAACATAAGCAGCTAGCTGGGAATAAGATGCCTTTAAACATTTGTCCCCTGGGCATGGATGACTTGTATGAACTCATGTCTCTCCAAGCCTGATAAAGTTTGCGTACTTTACATATCTGACTGCTCTGAGCTATTTTTCTTTTCTCAGATTATTCTATTTTAATAATAGCAGGAGCGAACAATTTTGCATGTTTTGTCATTCAGTATCTCAGATAGTGTGAGACCTACTCTACACAAATTATCTAATTTAATCCCTGCAACCACTCTATGAAAGCAAGTACTACTGTAATCATTTTACCACGCATTTTAAATGTTGGGAAATTTGTCCGAGACCCCACTGCTCATAGTTTGTGAAACTGGGGAAAAGAAATAAGCTTTGACCGAGGAGCTGAGGAGTTAAACAGTCTCTTCTGGAGCTGCACTCCTAATTATACTGCTATTACTACAGCAAGTGAAAAGAGAAGGAATTATCTTGTTAATTTGACAGCTAAGAACTTGTATGCATTTGAGCATTAAAAGAAAATTCATAGTATCATAGGAAAACCATTTAAATCTGTTTGTGGTAACATTCCAAACAAACATCCTCATTTAGTGTGCTAAACTGGAAAGTGGTTTAAAAAGAAGCCTCTGTGTACTTTGCAAAGGGTAACTCTGCCAATGATTAACAGTCACCACTGTGATCACTGCCATAAAATAACTTGATGAGGCCTGTTGCTAGGTCTTTGAACATTCCTGATCTCAGTTAAGGATGGCAGGTTTCAGGCAGTGGAATAGTGTGGGTGGGGCTGGGATCAAGAAATTCCCTGTATGGAAAGATTTGAAAACAGCAATAAAACTCACTAAAGTCAGTCTGCTTTTTATTATCACCAGGCATCAGCAGACTCTAAGCAATACCATGGTAAAATACTCCTGCCAGAAAAAGATCTCTAAATTCTAAAAGATCGTTGTAGTAACTGTTGGGTTTTAATAACATGGATGTGAGCTTCCCATTGGCAATGTTTTATTACTTAACCTTTGATGAATGTTATATTCTATATGAAAGTTACTTTGGAATATTCTTTGGATAGATTTGCCTCTCCCTAAACACACACACACACACACACACACACACACACACACACACACTGGTGGGTGCAGTTCTCTCTCTAACTACCATGGTAACACATATTCTTCTATTTAAACAGTGGATCAAAATAAATAATGGCAGCACATTGTAAACACGAAGAAACAGAACTTGACTTACTTCAATTCTATCATTCTTTGTGACAACTTACAGTTTTACTTGTATTTAAATATTAAAACAGTGAAAAACTATGAACTGCACATTGTAATATACAGTTGCATTATTTGGTAAGTACCTATTTTAGTTAATATGAAATATTTTACTTAATCTAACTATTTTTTTAGTTTGAACTTTTATTTTTATTTTCAGTAAATAAACGGTAATTTTAAAATGTCAAATTAGACTTTCCCACTCAAGGGGAGAGAATAGAGCACTTCTACTCCTGACATTTAAGTCATTTTTAAAATTTTTAATTTTTGTGGGTACATAGTAGTTGCATATATTCCTGGGGTATATGAGATATTTTGATACAGACATACAATGTGTAATAAACACATCAGGGTAAACGGGGCATCCATCACCTCAAGCATTTATCCTTTGTGTTACAAACAAGTCAATTATACTTTTAGTTATTATTTCAGGTACAATTAACTTATTATTGACTATAGTCACCCTGTTGTGCTGTCAAATGCTAGATCTGATTTATTCTTTGTAATCATTTTTGCATCCCTTAACCACAAATAATGTTATTAATATTAAAATGTGTTCCTTTTAATTGCTTAGTTATTTTAAAAACAAAAAACAAATCAAGAAAACAGAACCTGCAATGTTATTATTTACTACAGTTATCCTTTGTTTCTAAAAATATATTAATACAATTCACAGTATTAATTCATTGCCCTTGCTCCTTTTTATGCTGTCATTTTGGTGGGTTTTAAAAAATGATGTCTTCAAATGAAGTCCAATAAATTAAAAAATTTCACTGTCTGCATTTTTTTACAGCTATTGTTATGGGCTAAGAATCCCATTTTTTTAATAAAAAACTCAAATTTTACAGATATGTAAGGTGCTCTGTGGAACACTAAGAAGCTGGACTTCTTGGTTTCTTGATAGCTGGGAACACATCATAAGTATCCTTTTATCTATTTCCTTAGTAAAATAGTTAAGAAATACAATACCGCCCATCTTTTTGGAATTTACAATGACATCAGAGTTGGTAAACATGTACAAATGATTATCATAAAATGAAGGATCTGAATATTGCAGACAAATACTAGAAAGTTTCAAAAGAGAGAGAAGTAGAAGATCTTGTAATCAGGGCAATCACAACATATGTCATGGATGATTATTTAAACTGCACCTTCAGTAACTTCTAAAGAATTTATGATGAAGGAAAAGGCTTAATGGGGCAAAGATAAGGAGTTTGTGTGTGGATATGTTGAGTAGCAGGTGACTCTTCAGTCTTAATTATAAATAGGGGTCTGGGTTTCCTCTGTCAGGTTTTTAAAGTGCTAGTGAATTGGATTTTTAGCTAGAATCTGAAAACATTTTTTTGGCCAACAAAAATGAATAATTTATTCAGCATTGCTTCATTTAGAAAGTATAGAATGTTATAGAGCTTGATGTCAAATGAACAATAATACGGCATGAAGTTGTTGTTTTTTAAGATACTTGCACATGCATGTTTATAGCAGCACAATTTGCAATAGCAAAATTATAGAATCAACCCAAATGCTCATCAATCAACGAGTGGATAAATAAACTGTGGCATATATATACAGTGGAATACTACTTAGCCATAAAAAGGAATGAATAAAGGGCATTTGCAGCGACCTGGATGAGATTGGAGATTATTCTTCTAAGGGAAGTAACTCAGGAATGGAAAACCAAACATCATATGTTCTCACTGATATGTGGGAGCTAAGCTATGAGGACACAAAGGCATAAGAATAACACAGTGGACTTTGGGGGCTTGGGGGGAATGGATGGAAGGGGGTGAGGGATAAAAGACTACAAATAGGGTGTGGTGTATACTACTTGGGTGATGGGTGCACCAAAATCTCACAAATCACCACTGAAGAACTTACTCATGTAACCAAATAGCACCTGTACCCCAATAACCTACGGAAAAAAATTTTTTAAGTGGGCTTAGCTGTTTTATTATCCTCTGTGTTAAAATTGACAGAACTTCATTCTCCCTTTGGAAAGCTACTATGTAGATGAGATCAGAGATTTAGAGGAGAGGAACCACCTGCAGAACTATGGACACTGCAAAATCTTTATATCTCTGTTAAGTCTCCCAGTGAAAAGAGATGGTAGCAAACTCTGCCAAGTGCAATTGACACTGTGTGGGCAACATAATATTCTTCTTTTATTTATAGCTCACATCCCTTTTGAGATATAAAATGAGGCTGATATTGTTAGTTCTGAGTAGCAGTGTATTTAAATTTGAAATTTGTGTAGGATAGACTTTTAGCCTATTCTATCTAAATATGTATATAGTTTTCTAAAAAATTAGTGTTTTCTTTCTAACCAAGGCCAAAACAAAATATACATTTATAATATTGTTTATTCTGCAGAGTGTTATGATTCACAACGAGTTTGGTTTTTAGAATTCAATTTACAATCATATTTTTATTGCTATTATTTTTCTGGATACTGTAAATATTCAGGTTTAATTTTGGTGAAGTAGCCGAAACACCAACGCCAAAACCATAGGCCCAGACTGGACATTTGGTATCTCTTGTTCATAAGGTTGTAAATATTTCTGAAGTTGGATACCTTCCCAAGAGCATGCCTCTTTCATATGCCTCTGAAGCTATTTCTTTTGATATCCTTATTCCAGCCTAGCCCTAGAATTGTGAGGCCCTTGAAGGCATTTGAACCTCTGAAAGTTCTTGGGAGTGTAAAGTGTTAAGTAATTAACTCACAAAGAACAATGTATTTCTTCCAATTTATTTTGGACAATTAAAAACCAAATAGGGCCGGGAGTGGTGGCTCACGCCTGTAATCTCAGCACTTTGGGAGACAGAGGTGGGCGGATCATGAGGTCAGGAGATCGAGACCATCCTGGCTAACATGGTGAAACCCCGTCTCTACTAAAAATACAAAAAATCAGCCTGGTGTGGTGGTGGGCGCCTGTAGTCCCAGCTACTCGGGAGGCTGAGGCAGGAGAATGGCGTGAACCCGGGAGGCGGAGCTTGCAATGAGCCGAGATGGCGCCACTGCACTCCAGCCTGGGCGAGAGAGTGAGACTCTGTCAAAAACAACACCACCCAAAACACCCCAAATGGTATTATAGAAACTTAATAAATATTTAAAACTTGAGGTTAAAGTGTTTCCAAAGATACTTCCTTGGAGTTCTTAGTTCAACTGATATTCAGAAATCGGTCAGAAATATCTTCTTGTTAATTACAACCGAATCTTCTGTCTTAGATTTGTGGGACTTGAGATCTGGCATAGCTAACTATGTCTGTCCGTGACTATGGATATGTCACTTTGCTCACCTGAACTCCAGTTTTGTCTGTAAAAGGGAGATGAAGAATTCCCACCTCAATGGGATGTTGTTCTTTGGTCTTAAATGAACAGACACATGAGAAGGTGCCTGATTCATATTAGTCACTCAACTGAAAACATTGTAAATATGTCGTTGTAATGCAAGCTACATTATTTATAAAATCCATGTGACTCATTTTGAAACTCAAAATTGATTTAAAATCTATATTTATATAATTAATTTATTTTAACTAACATAACAACATCTCTTTAAACATTTACTATGACTTTTCTAGTTATTTACTATAACTTATCTAGTTTTTCCCTTTTGGCACTAGCTTCAATTTAATTTTTATCTTAACATGTGAAAAAATCATACTATGGTAAATTTTCTATTTAGATTTTATTTTGTGAGATAAAAAAGTTTGTATTAAAAAATCTTCAATGTACTAACTGCCAATTATTTACTTTGAGACAAATTTTCTATTATAGTTTTCCCCAGTTTTATTAAAGTTTGTTCTTAAATCTCCACTTTCTTTGTGGTAAGTTTATGTTGAACATATTTCGACATTTAACAATTTATCTATAGAAAAACTGTGGGTTGGCTGGGTGCGGTAGCTCATGCCTGTAATCCTAGAACTTTGGGAGTCCAACGCGGGCGGATCACTTGAGGTCAGGAGTTTGATACCAGCCTGGCCAACATGGTGAAACCCCCTTTCTACTAAAAATACAAAAATTAGCTGGGCTTGGTGGTGCGTGCCTGTAGCTCCAGCTACTCTGTAGGCTGAGGCAGGAGAATGGCTTGAACTTGGGAGGTTGAGGTTGCAGTGAGCTGAGATCGCACCACTGCACTGCAGCCTGGGCAACAGAGCAAGACTCTGTCTCAAAACAAACAAACAAACAAAAACTGGGGGTTTTCCCATGTGTAGTTAATATTTGATTTCCAGAAAACCTAGTGATAAAGTGGTACCCTATTTAACATCTGTGAATTCAAATATTCCAATTGTAATGGGGAAAATATCCAATTATGCAGATGGTTTCATCCTTCCCCATCTTATGAAGTACTAAGAAATACCTGTGCCTAGATTTTGAATATTTGAACAAAACACTTTGCGGACCAAGTCCTGGGATAGTTGTATCAATTTGGTGTAGGAGGGAACCTGAGAATGAATAAAAGCAAAGAACATGTAGATATGCTCCAAAAGTAACTTGAAACTTGTAAAATACATGGTTTTACTCTAATATATGGCTTTTGGAACATAAATTCTGACTATGGTTTATGAAGAACATTATAGCAATACTCATCAAAATGTAAAATGTACATATATACTTTTTTTTACTCAAAAATTCTACTTCAGGACACTTATTCTATTGATAAATGCTTATGTGCAAAATGACGTGCATACAAAGACATTCACTAGAATACTGTTCATAAAAGCAAAGATTAGAATCAATCTAAAGTTCGTCAACATGATGTAGGCTAAGAAGTGGTTAGCAGCACATGTTTTATTATGAGAAGCAGTTGGGCACTAGTTAAGAGTGAAGTCTCTGTTGCTGCACTGATTGGGTTCTCACCCTGCTTCCTCCGCTTATTGCAAAGTGGGTTCTAGTTAGCCTCGTTGCTTCCATTTGTGCATCTGCAAAATGGGATAGTATTAGTACCTACTTCATTGGATTTTTGTGAGGGTTAAGTGAGTGCAGTGTGCGTTAAACATGTGCAGTATTTAGCGCAGTGCCAGCACAGAGGAAGCACTTAACAACTATCAGTAGATCCTCTGCCCTGCTGAAAACATTTGTCGCACATGAGCCCGAAGATATAATGATACATCAGTAGTAAGTGCTACCATAGAGAAGGAAGATGCAATTTTATCTGAGATGTAAAGATATACTTGTTAATGCAGATGATCTTACAATGTAGATTATTTCTATGTAGTATAAGGGAGGGTTAACTTTAACTAAGGGCACCCGATGGTGGGAAAAACAAATAATTCAAATCTTTATTTCTGTAGCCAGGACGTGATAATGTGCTGATACTCAGTTTGACTTGTGATCCATTCCACTTTGGACTGTTGCCCAAGTTCTTAGGAGGTAAAAGCTGTGATAAAGAGTAAATCAAATAAAAGTCGAATTACCAGTCTTTTTACAGGAAACTATGGGATGGAGTCATGTGGCTGCCACATGACCTGGTAGCAGGATAAAATGATGATGGGGAAATTATTTTTTACTCCACTAGAGTAATTAGCAAAGGTCATATCCCATAGGTAAGAGAACACTATTTCATAGAGATAATGAGTTCTCCAGATGGTGGTGACAGCTGTGTGATGGGCATTCCCAGGGCAGCATCAAGTTATCAGAAACATCAGTAGAAGCCATTTGAGGATGACTAATAAAATGACTTCAAGAGAGAAAGCCCAGAGGAACACGGAAGATGAAAATACTCGAGAATGCTTCCATAATCCTCTTGGATCAGACATTTGAGCAACCTAATTTGGTGGGCACAACACAGCGTTAAAATACACGAAAAAGATATCCAAATAATCAATTTAGATTTCTGAAACCACAGGACAAGCAAGATTGAGCCAACCCAGGTATGTCCTTGTCTGTGTGTCCTCAAATTTTTACTCCAGAATGTAGCATACTTTATTTTTACATTATAACATTCTAGAAGCTTCATATTTGGATTTTGAGAACTGATTTTGGCAACAGTCATTTTGCTCAGTAGAATATGGGAAAGATTGATTGGCGATAAGAGAAAAAGGGAGAATGGGTTTTAGTTTTAACAAACTACAGAATCGATGGCTTTTTTTCTTTTCCTTGTACCTGCAAAATTATACTGTCAGATTTCTTTAAAGGTGATGATTTTCAAACATAGTAAGCTGAATTCAGAAAAAACTAAAACATTAAGCATAATAGCTGTGAGTAAATAAAAACATTTCTGATAGAGACCCTTTAATTTTTTGGGTGGTGAAATTCTTGAAGAAATAGGTCCTTGAAGTTTTAAAATGATAGATATTGTTTCTTCCTTGTTTCTCCTTTCTTAAGCCAACCAATAATTTAATACAAATAGGAAGTAGTAAAGGAGCCTGTAATCCCAGCACTTTGGGAGGCCGAGGCGGGCGGATCACGAGGTCAGGAGATCGAGACCATCCTGGCTAACACGGTGAAACCCCGTCTCTACTAAAAATACAAAAAATTAGCCGGGTGAGGTGGCGGGTGCCTGTAGTCCCAGCTACTCGGGAGGCTGAGGCGGGAGAATGGTGTGAACCCGGGAGGCAGAGCTTGCAGTGAGCCCAGATCGCACCACTGCACTCCAGCCTGGGCGACAGAGCGAGACTCCGTCTCAAAAAAAAAAAGAAGTAGTAAAGGAAATGTCAACTTTACCAAAACAATGAAACCATTTAGCCCTGAAATTTAGTATACGTGCATGAAGAAAAACAACTGGGGGTGGTGAAAGTTTGAGCAGGGCAAAAGAAGACAGCAAGGAATAGATAACGGCTCATGAAATGATTAGCTGGTTTAAGAAATAAGTCAGGGGAACAAACACAATATCTGCTCTTTTAAAATTGAAAGTCTCTATTTGTCTTGAGGGGCTCCTCACCCTCCAAAAATTCAATGGTATCAGTTGTTAATATTTGTATTCATTCCTATCATGTATAGCTGCTTTTGTTTTGTTGCAGTGTCAGGTAAACATAGTTCTCCAAAATCAAAAACCTGTTGCTCATGCCAACTGATGTCATAGACACAGGCTGCTTGCAAGTTTCTGTGAAGTCTGTTTGAAGAGATGCTATAATAGTCTGCAGCATCTTTTGGTTACCTTAGTGCTTATAGCATAAACCTTCAACATATTGGAGTCTAACAGAAAGTGGTATTATATCACTTCAAGAGTAGTATGACAACTTTACATTAATACATTTCTATTTTTCCTCTCCCAGCCTTTGCACTGTTACCATAAGAATCATAGATAAGAAAGAAAGGAGGAAGAGCAGAAATGGAGTAGTAGAGTATGAATTTGGTTTGTGACAATTACATTCGAAGACATAGCTTCAGAGATGTGAATTTGGAGTGTCAAAGAAAAAGGGATGGGTTGGAGACAGATATTTATCAAGTACTACGTATGGACATTAATTGAAATGTGACAGTGAAGAAGTTCATGTAGACTGTGTAGTGAGGAAAGAAGAGAGAAAAAGATGGAATTCTGTGGGTAAGAGGTGCTAGAAGAGAAAAATGAGAAGGAAAAAAAAAATCCTACCAAGAATTAAGAAAGCCATTAATGTAAAAGGAAAGAAAGGGAATGTGAAATCGTGTGAGAACTAAAAAAAATAGAATCCAATTTAGGGGTTATGAATTAGTAGGCAATACGTGGCAGAGATTTTTGATTCTTGTCTGCTATCTTCAGATCCAGGGATCTTGCAACCTGTTGTATGTATGTGTATATGCATACATACACACATATATATCCGCATATATATGCATCTTTAAAATTTACATAGATACAAGTATTCTTTCCTAATTATACCTTTTCATGCCTTCCCCTGAAAGGCAGGATCCTATAGAAAATAAGCAGATTTTAAGGCTGGTGCCCAGGGATATGCCCAGATGTGTAATTCAGCTTGAACATACTGACACTACCAAACAAGTAATAGGTTCTGAGGTTGGTCTTCCCAACAGGAATGATGTGAACCTTATAAAGATGCCCATAGTTCTTATCTGGCTCAACTAGAAAAGATGCGTCTGCCAGATTTGTCATGATCTGAGAATGCAACATGGTATTCGACCCAATTTCACCACCACCTCACCTCAAGATAAATAGATTTGGCCTGTGAAGTAACTTTACTTTTTCAGGAAAAAGAAGAAGAAATGGAAGAACACAAGAATCAGTTACTTTTAGAAATTGAGATCAGTGTGGCTTTTCCTTGCAAAAACCCATGTCGGGGTTGTTTTTTTACAGATCACTTAAAAGAAGGGTGGGAAGCCAAAAACCAGAGATATTTGGTTAGTGCTTGCAAATAACTTTGTTGCTCTCAAAATGAAAACTTAAAATTAAAATCTTTACAAAACACTATCTAATTAACTAAGGCCAGAAAGTGACTAAAATAGATGATTGTGCTGAGATTGTGTATGTTCCATAGAGACTAATTTTGTCAAAAATAAGAAAGCTGCATAGCCTATTTTTAAGGAGCCAAATTGCATTTCTGTACTTTTAAGTTTAGTGTATCTTAGCAACGAACAGAGCAGAATATGCACGCCTGAGAACAAGAGAAGATTCACACTTCTTTATGCTCTGTTTTACGGAAATGTTAAAACTCATGATTTTCTATTATTTTTGGATGAGATAGCTCCTCTCCAAAATATAACAGAGCCATTTAATGGTATTATATTTCATGGGGGAAAGGTACTTGGAAATTTTCTTTTGTTTACAGAATTTATACAATATTTTAGAGGGATGAATTAAAGTTTTCACTGGAAAGCTTATACAAAATTATAGATCCCAAGAAAACATTTATAAGGATGAGAAAGTTTGTATTACTTAACTAGCTTCATAGTTAGAACTAACAGTTTTTAGGGAAATTAAATATCCTGAGCATGGCCATTATATACATGTAAAGCTTTTCATTACACATTTATTGAATAAGTACCATGTACCGTGCACTGTGCAAAGAACTAAAACGATCTTATAGAAGTGGTAGTTTCTGTCTTCAATGCACTAACATTCGAAGAGAGAAAAAAGCAAACAAACAAAAAAAATTTACAATGTAATTACAACATTAATAAAAAATGTGCATCAGGACATTGTACAAATTGCAATACAAACCAAAAAGATATACAGGCCCATAAGAAATAACTTTTCATTAGGGAATGTATGATACATTTTGAGCTAATGAACCTTAAACACATACAACATATAAACATTTACATGTAGGAGGGATTAAAACCCCACACTTAGGTTGAATTTCACTTAACTGATAATTGAGTAATGTTTTCTCCATGCAGTTTGTAGAGTTATCATTAATATTATAGTGTTTTCCTGCATATTTTACTTTGGCTGTAAAATGTGCCAAATTATGTTGTGAAAATATGTTTATCCTGGGGGAAAACAAAATATATGCCTGAAATTGAGGTGCTCTTTTTTTATTATGAATTCGGAGTCATAAAATAAATTTACCTGGTTTCTTTCTTCTGTGGTTTAAATGCTGCCTCAGTCTCCAAGATAAAAACTACATGGTTAAACTATCTTTTATAGTCAGAATTCTTTTTTTTTATTAAAAACTCTGTCTACAGTAGGAGTTGTTGACTTAAGCAGGATACTTTCCTTTCTCCAGATCTTTTATCATCCTTTATATATTATACTTAAAACATTTTTCTTAAAAGTTTTCTCATATTTTCTCAGAAAGCCTTTAAATGTCATTATAAGAATTAATTGCTCAGTCAAAAAATATTATGAACCATATCCATGCTTTCCAACATGTTGTTTATCTTTTTTTGCTATGGAACAAAAAGGATAAATGTGAATAGTTGAAAATTTTCAAAAAGACAAATCCCACCCATGTATAATACTAAAAATTAGTCTAATCCATGTTTAATGCTAATAACTATAGCAAGTCATGAACATGATTAGTTACTGATTTCTGAAGGCTCATTAGGTTACAAGTAATAATGTTCTCTGTAGCTTCCTGGAGGCAATGGCAGAGCTTGGTGCTCAATTAATAATTTTGCTTCAATAATCTATAACTCTCAAAATACTTAGCTTTCTTCTTGTCTCATTGTAGACAATAATTTTAAAGTTTTTAATCTGTCCACCCACTGTTGTTTTATGAAGATGATGGCTATTTTCACATAATTCCTTCCAGACAGATTTTTGTCTAGTAAATAAACAGGGTTCCAAGCAAATCTTTTTCAAATCTGTTCCCTCATCTCTACTTCCACTTCTGTTATATCCACTGCCTTGGTTCAGACTACCTTCCTTCATCTGGACTAGTACATCAGTCTCCCTGCTTTTATACTTGCTTAAAATTTTTTCTTTGGCATACAAAGTGAAGAAGAAGTTCTCAGATCTAATACAGAATCCATCACTTTAAAAAGAGGTGTGTATTTCTCTGAGGCCACTCTTCTGGCCTAACAACTGCCTTGAATCAGAAAAGAGAGAAGATGCATTTCTGGCAATGATCGGTCCGATATGCTTTAGAAATTTTTCCATTACCACTGCATCAATTCATGGTCTTGAGCAAAGTGAGGAGGAAGGACATCCTAAGGAAGGAGAAAAAGACAGCCTAGGATCTGGGGATGAATTCTCAGGAAGGATGGCTTACTACAGCATTTAAGGGTCAGGTATGTAGACGGAGACATATAGAATCTCTGTTGTGACAGTGAGAAAAGGAGGAAGAGGGGACTGTGGCTCCGAGAAAACAGGCATGGGGCACTGTACATCACAAGAGGTTGAGCTAGAGGGAGGAGATAATGATGTTTTTACTCCGGTAATTTGGGCCCAGCTAACTTAAATGAAGCTTTGATATGAGATAAGAATAAAAAGAGGCAGTGAAATCTACCAAACTGGTAAACTTAGCTCTACACTTGGGAATCCCTTTGCACACTGGGGTCTCCATGCTGTATGGGTATCACCGCTAGTGAGAGTGATAACCCACACTCCTTCCCTGTCTCTATCTCTCACCTTTGTCTTTCTTTCTTATTATTATTAAGTAGATATAAAATCATATTTATACCATATTTAGTATGTATACAAACACCCATGAACCCACCATCCAGTTAAAAACGGAGAATATTGTTTTATTTTTGAAGTTCCCTAGGCACCACTCCTCTAAGCCCTCCATAGAGGTAGTAGCTGTAAGAATTATCTTTACCATTCCTTTGCTTTTCTTTATAGGTTTCTATTGGAGTCTGTTCAAGCTGCTATAACAAAATATGTTAAACTGGGTAATTTGTAAACAGCAGAAACTTATTGCTCAGAGTTCTGGAGCCTGGGAAGTCCAAGATCAAGGTGCCAGTAGCTTCCATGTCTGGTGAGGGCTTCCTGTCTTCTTCAAAGATGGTGCCTTTTTGCTATATCCTCACATGGCAGAAGGGCAAAAAGGGGCCAATGAGCTCTTGGAGGCCTCTTTTATAAGGACACTAATTGCATTCTTGAGGGCTTCATCCTCATGACCTAATCACCTCCCAAAGGCGCCACCTGTTTGTAACAGCATTTTGGGGATGAAATTTCAATTATATGCATTTTGGAGGAATGCAAACATTAAGACCATAGCACTTTCCCACGTGTTTGTGATCCTAAACACTAAATTGTTTAGTTCTATATTTTAAAATTTGATGTAAAGAAATGCTGTATGCATTCTGCACTTTCCTCTTTCCCTCCAAATTGTATTCTTTCAATTCATCCTTGTTTCGCTCATTACTGTTGTTTTATTTTCATTGCTGGATGGTATTATGTTGTGATAGATATTTGGGTTGCATCTGTTTTGTTTTTCTTTTTGTTGTTGTTATTATAAACAGAGCTTCTGAGAGTATTTTGGTTTCCTGGTTCATATATACGAGAGTTTCTCTGTGCTATATACCTAGAAGTGCAGTTGCTTTGTCATACATAGAATACACACATCTTTTACTCTAGATACTGCCAAATTGTTTCCAAAGTGGCAATAAAGTCTTACACTTCCACCTGCAGTGTATAAATGTTTTGGCTTTCCACACTTTTGATAACACTTGATATTCTCAGTCTTTAAAATTTCCAAGTGAGCAAACATGAAATGATATCCCACTGTGGTCTTTTCCTCAACAGTAATATGGTTGAACATCCTCTAATATACTCATTGATCTTTGAGACTGCCTTTTTTCTGAAATTCTATTTAAGTATTTTCCTCACTTTTCCATGGAGCTGCTTATCTTTTTTCAATTTGCATTGCAAGAGATCTCTGTCATTTCAATGTATTTATTGCAAATACCTTCTCCCCATTTGTGATTTATATTTTTACTTTCTTTGCAGCTTGGTTTGATGAACATTCTGGAATTTAATGTAGTCAAATTTATCAATATTTTCTTTTCATCAATATTTTTCTACATTTTTTTCCTTGGTTAAGACATCTTTATCTGAAGAATATAAAGGGCCAGGCGCGGTGGCTCGTGCCTGTAATCCCAGCACTTTGGGAGGCTGAGGCGGGTGGATCACGATATCAGGAGATCGAGGCCTTCCTGGCTGACACGGTGAAACCCTGTCTCTACTAAAAATACAAAAAAATTAGCCGGGCGTGGTGGTGGTCGCCTGTAGTCCCAGCTACTCAGGAGGCTGAGGCAGGAGAGTGGCATGAACCCAGGAGGAGGAGCTTGCAGTGAGCTGAGATCACGCCACTGCACTCCAGCCTGGGTGACAGAGCAAGACTCCGTCAAAAAAAAAAAAGAATATAAAGATATGTTGATATGTTTATTTTAAATCTTATAGTCTTCTTAAATACATTTTGTACTTTTGAATAACCTTGGATTTATAGAAAGATTGCAGCAATAATACAGAGTCCCTGTGTTTCTCTTTCTCAGTTTCACCTTTTGTTAACATCTTACATTACCATAGTACATTTGTCCAAGATAAGAAACCAACATTAATACATTACTGCTAATTGAACTCCAGATTTTATTTGAATTTCACTAGGTTTCTTTTCTTTGTTTCCAGTATTCAATCCTGGATCCAGATTGTGTTTCTTTGTCATTTCTCCCACGTCTCCTCTGGTCTATGACAGCTTTTCTTTCTTTTCCTTGTTTTTCATCATCTTGGCAGTCTTGAGGAGTACTGGCCAAGGAAGCTGTAGAATTGTCTTGGATCTAAATTTATCTGATGTTTTTCTTATGATTACAGTGAGCTTATGGGTGTTTGGAAAGAATATGTCATGGGTAAAGTGCCCTTCTCATCCCAGAATATCAAGGGGGATATCATACCTACATGACATCACTGACGATGTTAACCTTAATTACTTGGTTAATCACGCCTTGCCAGATTTTTTCACTGTAAAGTTACTGATTTTCTCTCTCCTTACCCTAGTCCTTGGAAGCAAGTTATTATGTCTAGCCTACCAAGAAGGAGAAATGTGGTGGTGATTAAGTGCCACGCCTTTGAGGGAGGAGAATCTGCATATTTTAAATGGAATTCCTCTGTAAGGAATATTTGTTTTTCCTTTCCAATTTATTTATTTAACTATTCACCTTTTTCAGTACATATGCGTGTGTGTATACATATATATATATACACATATAATATTTTAAGTTAGTCTTGTAGCTTTTTTCCATTTAAGTATTTTGTGTGTCTGTAATTGATTTTTGAAAATGGTGTGATGTAGGGTACTAGTTTTATTCTTTTATATACAGATGGTTAGTTGTCCTAATGCCTTTAATCTAGCCCTTTGCCCCCACTATAATGACAGTCTGTTGATAAAAATATTCCGTTAGAAATTATTGCTAATCTAGGCCAGGTGCAGTGGTTCAGGCCTGTAATCCCAGCAGTTTGGGAGGCCGAGGCAGGCGGATCACGAGGTCAAGAGATCGAGACCTTCCTGGCTAACATGGTGAAACCCCGTCTCTACTAAAATACAAAAAAATAGCTGGGCGTGGTGGCACACGGCTGTAGTCCCAGCTACTTGGGAGGCTGAGGCAGGAGAATAGCTTGAACCTGGGAGGCAGAGCTTGCAGTGACCTGAGATCGTGCCACTGCACTCCAGTCTGGGTGACAGAGCTAGACTCTGTCTCAAAAAAAAAAAAATTGGTAATCTAACAATTAAAAATTTTTATTGATTTCATTTTCATATCAAGAATTTTTGAAGTTTAACATTTTTTGTAATCTATTGGATGTTTTGTGTATTCCTTGTGGGTGTTAAGAACTGTTTATAGCACATATCAATTAAAAAAATCTGTTAAGATACACAGTTTTTTGTTTGTTTGTTTGTTTTGAGATGGAATCTGGCTCTGTTGCCTAGGTGGAGTGCAGTGGTGTGAATGGTGTGATCTTGGCTCACTGCAACCTCCACCTTCCGGGCTCAAGAGATTCTCCAGCTTCAGCTTCCCGAGTTGCTGTGTTTACAGGTGTGTGACACCATGCCTGGCTAATTTTTGTATTTTTAGTAGAGATGGGGTTTCACAAAGTTGGCCAGGCTGGTCTCGAACTCCTGACCTCAAGTGATCTGCCCGCCTCAGCCTCCCAAAGTGCTGGGATTACAGGTGTGAGCCACGGCGCTGGCCACAGATTTTATTTTTTAAAGCAAAACTAGAAATGTCTAGGTAATAAGAGGTACAATTTATTAGATGCTTTTTGTGAATCCTATGCTAGAAATTTAGCTGCATTATCTCATATAGTTTTCACATCATTCTCACGAGGTCTGTATTTTCCAATTGTACACATGACAAAACTGAGGTGCATGTTCCAAATCTTAGCTAATCAGTAGCAGAGCCAAATTTAATCCTAGGTTTGATTTGATTTCTAAGTCCATAGCCAATTTTTTTCAGAAGCCACAGCCTCCGCTCACTTTACAACCTAATTCTTTTGATTCAAACATACTTTCAATGAACTACTCATGTTAACAGTCCAAGGAATATTTATTGGTAAGGGTGGCGTCTACTACATCTTGCCTCAGCCAATGTTGATTATTAACAATAGTAGTTTCAAATGGAAACAAATGCACAACTTAAAAACCAAACCTAGCCCAACTGGCAATATAAATATTAAATTATTTTTCAGAGAGAAAATGTGACTGCTTATAAGTGAAATTATTAGAAAGAATCAAATTTGCAAGCCTATTTAAGCTATGAAAACTATTTTTAGACAAAGCAATAAACCAAATGAAGCCAGCAAGAGCACCTGCTATTAAAACCATGGAGAATTAAGATGAGACTAGAAAAGAGAATGAGAAAGTAATTTGCAAAAGCAATTTAACATCTTTGAGGTAATAAGGCACACTCACCTCTTTGACAGATATTTGATTTTGAATTTTACTATGCAGAAGACATTTTAAAGGAAACAATAAAAATTTTAAGTAAAGGATTATAATTACTTTTCAAGAATCTATGTTGTTGACAAATTTCATAATTGGAGAAAATCTTATTAGCAAGACCAAATTCTCATAGAAACTAGGGAACTGGAGAAAAAAATTAAAATGACAGTCACTGAAAATAAAAGCGTTAGAAGGCATTGACTTATAAAACAAACCAGCGTAGATAGTGTTCAAAATCTTTGCCAACAGGCCAGCAGTTCTTCCAAATTACATTTCTTAATTACTCAGGAAACTGCAGTGACTTTGCCCTGGACAGCCATATTATTTCCCAAAATTTCACATTCTGCAAGTTATGTATCCTCATAAATTATCAAACTGTTCTTCACTAGTTTAGAATTCTGTACCTTCTACTTCTATTTCTCTAATTCATTACTCTAAGGTTTATTAACTAAGTAATGTTAAAAGTTAGAACAATTTCAAATTTCAGTATGAAAATGTGGGTTGCTACCTAAATTTCAACAAATTCTCAAAAGCAAGGATTTTAAAATCACTGATGGTTAGGTGTTACTTTCTTGGCCCATGCTGAACACCCAAAATCATACGAAATCAGAAAACAGGTTTTTAGGAAATGACCTGCATAGCCACATCTATAAGTCAAGCAGCATGAACGTTATCCAAAATGCTTTGCAAATGTTCTCTGTTTGAGTCACTTCTTAGGCAGTAGAATTGATGGGCATGGAAGGCAGAATAATGGCTTCCAAAGATGTCTAAGTTTTATTCCTGGAACCTGTGAATATTAAGTGGCAAAAGAGAATTTGCAGATATGGCTAAATAAGAACTTGAAATGGGGAGGTTATCTGGGATTATCTTTGTGAGCCCAGTGTAATCAGGAGGGTCCTTATAAATCAAAGAGGAAGATAGGAGAGTCAGAGTCAGAAGGGGAGATGTGACCATGGAGGCAGAGGTCGGAGGGCTGCGCCGCTGGCTTTGAAGATGGAGAAGAGTCATGAGCCAAGGAATTCCAGAGGCATCCAGAAGCTGGAAAATCTCCTCTAGAACCTCAGAAGAAAGCAGGCTGTGGCTCTCTTGACTATAGTCCAGTGAGACTCATGTCAGATGTCTAGTTCATAAAACTATGAGATAGTAAACATGTTGTTTTAAGCAACAACACTTGTGGCAATTTGCACAGCAACAACAGGCAACTGATACAAAGGGCACTGGAATACATTTCGCCAGAATAAGCAATTTCTGGGTTTTAAAATGCAGAACACTGAGACACAAAACTATAAAGATTTCCAGGAGAGATTGTCTATAATTACAGTTTTCTTCAAAACAGAGCAACAGAGAACATTTCTATGCATTGGTTCTACAAATATCAATTACACATATTTGGTTTCAGATTCTCCAAAAGGTTTAAATGCCAGTCTCATCTTACAGTGAAATTCGTCTTAGCAGAAAAAACAAGTTACTCATATTCAAACATTTACTGACCAGCTAAACATATACTAAACACTGGGGTTAGCAACATAAATAAGGGAAGATCTCTTTGAAGTATACAACCTAGTATAGCATTTTTCTGTTTGTTCTTTTTGACCATGAGCCACAGTAGGAAACATATTTTACGTTGTAACTCAGTATATATACCTTTATAAGCCTGAACCAAAAACTTGATACACTTTAATATTTGCTATTCTTTTCTGGCCTAGTTCATTTAAAAATGCTATGTAGAAACTGTTGAATTGATTTTATAACCCACTAATGGGCTTGAAAAGCACTAGCTTAGTGAGTAAGTTAGACATGTAGAGAAATAGCAGAGCATGTCACATACTAATGAAGATGACAACCAAGATAAGTACAAGAAAAGTAGTAAGTAACATTTGAGTGCTTACTATATTCACTGTTCTAAGGGAGTATTGAACATCTGAAGTACCCTACTCAGGTATTCACACTTCAGAAGTAGCTACATAATAACTTTAAATATTATTATAGGAATCTATACCTAAGAGTTTTTAATTAGCATACAAACATTAGTAAAATGAGCTGTGCTTGAGTTACATGACTGGATAGAATGAGTGTACAGGCACCAACACCCATGTATGAACTCGATGTAAAGATATGCAAATCCGGCAGAAACTAATATCTCTGGAGCAGCATGGTAGGTTCACATCTCCATTTGGCCACACACTTTCATTTCAGAGATGACAATGTTGCTTGACCCAAACTAGAAGGTTGGCTTATCCTGCTTTCAGAATGTCTGAACAGCCTTAGTATTCTAAGCTTACAAGAGCAGTTGATGTGACTATTTTTGCTTCTTGTTAATACATTTTAGACAATCTTAATCTGTTATATAACTTGTTTTCATTATTGACATACCATGGGGTAGCACGGTTACATGGGAGAGGATTGCCATCCAACGCCTACTTGCCTACCTCTAATTGCTGGGAGCTCTCAATATTTGCCAAAAGAACCTGATGATTATTAAATGGTCAACTTGGCTTCTCTCAGTTCCCCAAGAGATTCTGCGTTCTGTTCCAAGAAACTCGTATTTCATATTTTAACTGGTATTTGTCAAAAAGAGGCATGCTGTCAGAAACACTTAAACAGAGCTCAACATTCCACATATTGTACTTAAGCAGTAGCTCTCCCACTTTTAATCAGCGTTCTTAATATCTGTATGTAGTGAATGAGAGGGGTGCTTGTTGACTCTGTAGAATATTGAGCTCTGTTTAAGCAGTTCTGCTACAGTCTTACTCCTTTTTCTCTTCCCACCCCCAAACTGGAAAGACAATGTGTTCTGATCATTGCTTTGAAGACCATGGCATGTTCCCTTCTCGCCACACCTGAAATTCTTATTGATTATTGTTTTCTCTCAGTCTGTGGCCTAAAATTTGTCCTCACTCTGGCAGTCTCATAAGGACAGAATTACAGAGAATGGGAATCAAACAGTCATAGGTAGTATTATTAGTCATTTGTTAGTTATTATCTGCAGCCTTCCTATAAGAAAGGATAAAAGGCGCATAAAAGTGCTGAAAACATAACCTATCTCCTTCCCAATCTGAGCTCTAATTCCTCAGGTTCCTTCCAGTGCAATCTATAGATAACTTCCTGCGTATTAGTCCATAATCTTCAAACCTCCTCAATCACCACGGAAATGGCTGACTGTACTTCCTCTGAAATGTCATGAAACTTATACTCACCATGAAAGAGTGACTCCTAATAATTGTGCCAAGTTTGTTTTTCTTGGAGACATGAGATTGAAAAGGAAAGAGTGAAAGAGAGAGAAGGAAGGAAGGAAGGAAGGAAGGAAAGAAGGATGGAAGGAAGGAAGGAAGGAAGGAAGGAAGGAAGGATGGAAGGAAGGAAGGAAGGATGGACGGAGGGAGGGAAGGAGGAAGGAAGGGAGAGAAGGAGGGAGGGAAGGAGAGAGGGAGGGAGGAAGAGAACAAAAATGTTCTAGAGACTTTAGAGAATAAAACAAATTATTCTTCCTATAATTTTGATGATTAAAAATTAAAAACAGGCCAGGTGCTGTGGCTCATGCCTGTAATCCCAGCACTTTGGGAGGCCAAGGTGGGTGCGTCTCTTGAGCCCAGGAGTTTGAGACCAGCCTGGGCAACATGGTGAAACCCAGTATCTACAAAAGATACAAAAATTACCTGGGCACAGTGGCACGTGCCTGTAGTCCCAGCTACTTGGGGGCCTGAGGTGGGAGGATTGCTTGAGCCTGGGAAGTTGAGGCTGCAGTGAGCCATGTTCACACCACTGCACTCCAGCCCGGGTGACAAAGTGAGGCTCTGTCTCAAAATAAATAAATAAATAAATAAATAAATAAATAAATAAATAAAAACAAGCTAAGCTTTAGGATACAAGACTGCTTGCCTCAGGGACTCCTGGAAAAATTATCTTTCCTAATTCCAATTTTCAGCATTGTGTCTGAACCATGTGAAGATCAATAATTATGCTTGATGGACAATGGATTATCTGAAACGGATTTAAATCTGTTTCTTATGTATGCCTATGTTATGTATGCTTAGGACACACAAAGATTTTCATAACATAATAATAACAGCTAAATTTACATAGAACATTTTCTGACACTGCTTTAGAATGTTTCGAATTTCAATTTCTAAAATCTCCATATTATCTATTTACAAGTATTCAGCTCCTCTGAGAAGTCCTCCCTCACACCCCTTCTTTGTTCGGAAGTGCGCCCTAGTTCAAGGTTTTCAGAATACCCCAAGATTCCCTGTTTTTAGGGCCTTTATGAGAATTATCTTTCACTCTTTCTTTGCCTAGATAAAAATCTGGCATACAATAGGTGTTCAGTAACTGCTGGATGGAGGAATAAATGACTTATTACCACTACTATGGATTTATTTTTTTCCACTAATGACTAATTTTCCTTTTGTTTTGGCATTAAGGCACTTTTTACAGAAATGCAAAAACATTACTTAATGTGAAAAACCACTATTATGATGTATTATAATCTTCACTCCAAAACAGAAAGGAACAAATTGTCTTTTGCAGCTACTGTCTAAATTGTGGATTAAAAGTTTCGGTTTCTAAATGTAATTGCTGTGCAGATCTATTCATTTTGTTCATTTTGGAGCTCCCTGAAGCATTCCTCTAGCCTTCTACCTTTGAGTTTTGTTTTAAGAACACACTTGTCAGTTGAGATTAAGATAACATTTCTGTGTGAACATAAAAGCTGAGAAAGAATTCCAGTCACGCTGCCAGAGGAACCAGCTGTGCTGTTTAGCTCCTGTAGACAGAGTGCTGGCTGGGCCTCAAACATTGAAGGGAGTCAACAGGTACAATTCCTGGGTGAGTAAGGTGTTGCACAACATTCCCTCCAAAACGACAAACATGGCAAGCACCAGGATTAAGGCTAGGCCCCTAGCCTTCTAGTAAACATTGTGGAAAAAACTGATGTTTAAAGTAAGTATTTTAGGGTACTGGATGGGCTCCTGCCGTACTCTTTATTCCCTGTTGTGAACCCAAAGTATCTGAGACAGATCTCACACACTTCAGAAAGTTTATTTTGCCAAGGTTAAGGAGGTGCCTATGACCGTCTCAGGAGGTCCTGACGACATGTGGACATGTGCCCAAGGTGGTCGGGATACTGCTTGGTTTTATACATTGTACGGAGACATAACACATCCGTCAATACAGGTAAGATTTACATTGGTTTGATCTGAAAGGACAGGACAACTTGAAGCAGGGGGCTTCCAGGTCATAGGTAGATATAAATATATTCTGATTGGCAATTGGTTGAAAGAGTTATTATCAGTAGAAAGAGATGTCTTTGCTATGATTAGGGGTTGAAGACACCAAGGTTTTATCCTAAAGATGAAGCCTCCAAGTAGCAGGCTTTAGAGAGAATTGTAAATGTTTCTTATCAGACTTAAGGTAGGCATTGATGTTACTGCTGGAAGGGTATGATGAGGCATGTCTGAACCCCACTTCTCATCATGGCCTGAACCAGTCTTTCAGGTTACATTTTAGAGTGCCCTGGCCAAAGAGGGAGTCCATTTAGACTTTTATTCTAATGCTTTGTTTTTTTTTAAATTCCTGAAATACCATAGCCCAAAATTCTGAACAAAGTTGCTCCCCAGATTCTACTACACTGTATTTTTGCAGTGTTCCCCAAATGGTTTCTCTCAGTAAGCTATAAGACGTCTTTATAAGAAATCATGTTTGGTAAAAGTTTGGATTCTCAGCCTGTGAATCCCAAGAGAGTCTGTTTTGGTAGCAGGATTAACCCATTAAGTTGTGTTTCTGAAAAAACTTCTAAAGTGTTTTTTGGGAGGCAAACACTCAAAAATCAGAAACATTTTTTAATAGCAGAAAATGTAAGTGACTAAATAGTTGAAAAGCTTTTTTAATGTTGGTTTGGTAAGCCCATTAAGTCACATTTAGAAGAAAATTATCAAATACGACTTAACCCAGTGCAGCAATAATCATGTTAAAGAATGACTAATGCTCTCAGATAACTTGATCATTGAGAATTTCTCCAACTCACGCAGTACAAATTTAAAATAAGTCATGCAAATTTGTAAAAATTAATAAGACTTGTGAATGTAAAATGAATGCACATCTTTTGTTCTGGTTAGGTGCTGAAATATGGCAACTATCCTGTCTTTACCAGTGTGCACAGAACTTCAAAGAACATTTTCTATAAGAATAGGTACTATAAAAACACCCTATTGCTGTGTAATCACATGATGAAATGTCTTCTGCATTGACAGAGCCAAAAGCTAGGATTACATCTAAGTAATTTTGTTTTCTTCTTAGAATCATCCAAATCCTTTTAAGGGGATCTATAACCAAAGCCTTTGTAATCTTAGGTAGAAATTTGACTTACAAATGCAGACTTTTGTTGATTTAAAATTTTTAATAACATTTGATGTTTGATATATTTTAATTTCCAGAATTTCCATTACTAAAAATTAATATTTAAGGATTCTTCCCAGAAGCCTTTACATGTTTAAAGACAACAAATAAAACAATTACTTATTATCTCCTTTATGATAGCTGTCTAACTTTACAGCATTTTTTTCTTCATTTTAGATTTGACCCAGTCATTGCCAAATTAATAAAGTGCCTTTTATAATTATCCAGAAATACAGAATTCCTAAAGGTGAAAGCAAAAAGAACTAAAAAATTATTTATGTTGGAGTGATGAAAATGTTCTAAAACTAAATTGTGATGATGGTTGTACCACTTTGTGAATTATTAAAACCACTGAACTGTATACTTTAAAAGGGTAAATTTTATGGTATGTAAATTATATCTCAATAAAGCTGTTAGAAATAACTTATTAGGTTTATATTAAATGCTTGTGATGGTTAATACTGAGTGTCAACTTGATTGGATTGAAGGATACAAAGCATTAATTCTGGGTGTGTCTGTGTGAGTGTTGCCAAAAGAGATTAACATTTGAGTCAGTGGGCTGTGGAAGGCAGACCCACCCTTAATCTGGTGGGCACAAACTAATCAGCTGGCAGTGAATATAAAGCAGGCAGAAAAATGTGAAAACAAGAGACAGCCTAGCTTCCCAGCCTACATCTTTCTCCTGTGCTGGATGCTTCTTGGCCTTGAAGAGCAGACTCCAAGTTCTTCAGTTTTGGGATTCAGACTGGCTCTCCTCGCTCAACAGCTTGTAGACAGCCTATTGTGGGACCTTGTGATCGTGTAAGTTAATACTTAATAAACATATATATATATATATGTGTGTGTTTATTTAGTAGGATATATATATATCCTATTAGTTCTATCCCTCTTAGAGAACCCTGACTAATACAGTTTTCGGTACCAGGAGTGGTTCTAGAGGAACAGAATATTAAGGATGTTGTTCTTTCATTGGTTTTGGGGATTCTGAAATTGGCTGCTTAATATGATTAGACCTAAAGATGCCAGGGACTCTACTTCTAATAGTATGGAGAAAACTGATAGTCCTTGTTGAAAACTGTTTAAAGAGTTATGCAAAATAAATGCATTTGAGACTCCTGATTCACTGCTCATGAGAGGCAAGGGGTTTAGTGACTTTATACATAATTCCTTTGGCCATATGTGGAGAACCAAAGAACATAATGAAGCTGGTTGGTTGCTCCTGTTCAGTGGACAAAGTGATGAAAGAAAATGTTGAACTCAGGGATTCTGTCTCCCGGCTTCAGAAGCAGATACTGAGCCACAAGTATGCTAAGATTGCCCTGAGTGAGAGTCTTATGTCCTGTAGAGAAAGAGTTGAAATTGTGGAAAAACAGACACAAGCTCTTATCATGCAAGTGGCTGACCTGCAATGAAAGATGCACGCACAGCCTCGCCAGGTGCCTACTGTTAAAGTGAGGGCATTGATTGGAAAAGAATGGAACTCTGCAACTTCAAATGGGATCTTGTGAGAGGACCCTGATAAAGCCGGGGACACTGAGTCTGTAAACTCTGATGAACCTTTTTTGCCAGAAGGAAGAACTTCCCCATCCCCAGTAGTGGCAACATCCCCTCCGCAACCCGGGCTGCCATCAGCCTTTCCACCTTTGTCTGAGGAGATAAACCCCACACTACCCGAGGCAACAGTGATGGCCTCCCCGGAGGCAGCTGCCAGGCAAGATAATGTTGACTCTCCTCAGAGCCACCCTCAACACCTCTGTTTGCTTTTAGACCTGTAACTACACTAAAGTCCCTATGGGCCCCTAGAGGGGAGGTTCAGAGTGTGACCCATGAGGAGGTGCGCTACACTCCAAAAGAACTGTTTGAGTTCTCTAATTTATATAAACAGCAATCTGGAAAACAGTCATGGGAATGGATGTTAAGGGTATGGGATAATGGTGGAAGGAACATAGAGTTGCATCAGGCTGAGATTAATGATTTGGGCCCACTAAGTAAAGACTGTGAATTTAATGTTGCAGCTCAGGGAGTTAAAAAAGGTTCTAATAGTTTGCTTGGTTAGATGAAATATGGGTTAAAAATGGCCCACTGTGGATGAGCTGGAAATGCCTGATCTCCCTTGGTTTAATGTCAAGGAAGGGATCCAAAGGCTTAGGGAGATTGGGATGGTGGAGTGGATTAGTCACTTTAGACCTACACATCCCAGCTGGGAGGGTCCAGAAGATATACCCTTGACTAATACCTTGTGAAATAGATTTGTGAAGGCAGCACCTGCATCTTCGAAGAGCCCTGTAATTGCTCTTCTCTGTATGTCAGGTCTAACAGTGGGAACTGCAGTCACTTAACTAAAAAATTTAAATAGACAGGGAATAATTGGATCCCGAGGTGGCAGGGGCCAAGTGGCAGCACTCAGCCATCAAAGCCAAGGTGGGCGTAGCTACCATAATGGATAGCAGAGGCAAAGCGGCAATCAGAATAGTCTGACTCATTTAGAGCTCTGGCATTGGCTAATTAATCATGGTGTTCCTAGAGGTGAAAGTCATAAGAAGCCTACTGCATCCCTACTTAAATTATCCAAACAGAAAAATTCTAGGCCTAATGGACAAAAGACTAATTTGAATTATAAAAACAGAGAATCACGGCCCCTCAATCAATTTCCAGACTTGAGCCAGTTTACAGACCCAGAACCCGTTGAATGAAGGGGAAGCTGGGTCCTCTTGAGGAAGGACCCCACTACACTACTGACAATTTATGCAGTGAAGCTTTCTCCCATCCTTCCCCAGGGAGACATTTGGCCTTTTACCAGGGTAACTGTGCGCTGGGGAAAGGGAAATGATCAGACATTTCGGGGACTACTGGACACTGGCTCTGAGCTGAAGTTGATTCCAGGGGACCTCAAGCATCACTGTGGTCCTCTAGTTAAAGTAGGGGCTTATGGAGGTCAGGTAATTAATGGAGTTTTGGCTCAGTTCCGACTTACAGTGGGTCCCGGGACTCATCCTGTGGTCATTTCCCCAGTGCCAGAATGTGTAATTGGCATAGACATACTTAGCAGCTGTCTGGCAGAACCCCCACATTGGCTCCCTGACTGGTAGTGTGAGGGTTATTATGGTGGGAAAGGCCAAATGGAAGCTATTAGAGCTGTCTCTACCTAGAAAAATAGTAAATTAAAAACAATATTGCATCCCCGGAGGGATTGTGGAGTTTGGTGCCACCATCAAGGACTTGAAAGAGGCAGGGGTGGTGATTCCCACCACATCCCCATTCAACTATCCCATTTAGCCTGTGCAGAAGACAGATGAGTCTTGGAGAATGACAGTGGATTATCATAAGTTTATCCAAGTGGTGACTCCAATTGCAGCTGCTGTACCAGATGTGGTTTCATTGCTTGAGCAAATTAACACATCTCCTGGAAGCTCGTATGCAGTCATTGACTTGGAAAATACCTTTTTCTCCTTTCCTGTCCATAAGGCCCATCAGAAGCAATTTGCCTTCAGCAGGCAAGGTTAGCAATATATCATTACTGTCCTACCCCAGGGGTATATCACCTCTCCAACTATGTGTCATAATTTTATTCAGAGAGAACTTGATCGCTTTTTGCTTTCCCGAGATATCACACTGGTCCATTACATTGATGACATTATGCTGATTGGATCCAGTGAACAAGAAGCAGCAAACACACTGGACTTATTGGTGAGACATTTGCAAGCCAGAGGATGGGAAATAAATCTGACTAAAATTCAGGGACCTCTACCTCAGATAGATCAGTATAACAAGAAAAAACATGTCGGCTGACAATGACTATACATTTTGCTTATTTACCATGTGTTTTCATGCTCTATCTTTGTGAATATTCAAGCCAAGTTGCCATCACATTTGTAGAGTATGCTTTAGAAGGCATTTCCACACTGAGTGTGAAATTGGGCTTAAGGATTTTAAAGGTCCATATGATTCTGAATTGAATAAGAACTGTGACATGGTTTAGCTCTGTGTCTCCACCCAAATCTCATGTTAAATGTAATTCCCAATGTTGGCAGAGAGACTTGGGGATTGGATCATGGGCTCGGATTTCCCCCTTGCTGTTCACGTGATAGTGACTGAGTTCTTATGAGATTTGATGGTTTAAAAGTGTGTGGCACTTCCCCCTTAGCTCTCTCTCCTGCCACCATGTTAAGACATGCTTGCTTCCCCTTCACCCTTCTGCCAAAATTGTAAGTTTCCTGAGGCCTCCCAGCCATGCTTCCTGTACAGCCTATGGAACTGTGAGTCAATTAATTCTCTTTTCCTCATAGATTACCCAGTCTCAGGTGGTTATTTATAGCAGTGTGAGAATGGAATAATACAAACTCCAAAACATGGAAACTCAGCCCTACTGTAATAACTTTTGTTGTGGTATCTATGGATGTGTACTGAAGAAAAAACAAAAAGCTTAATGTTAGAATATTTTACAAGAAGCATACCATTTAAAACATGTTAAAATAAGTATATTTCTAAAGCAGGTTTCTTTTGTTCATATAATTTAATCAGTTTTATTACCAGTATTATTGTCTTCCCCCTAGGGTAGTCATAACTGTTCTGTGAAAACAAAGGCCAATCTTGGCTAAGGAGACTATGATCCCATGAGACATGCCAGCATTGTGGCAACATGGGGTTCTATATTTTAAGCTCATCTCAAAGAAGTAAGTTTCTGTAAATCTCAACTAGGCCAAGGTCCTCCTCACCATTCAACTTCTTTAATGACTCCCTTCTAGATTGTTTCTTTTCCCATCATTTAAGTAACACACACCCCATAAGTAGTTAGGTGTTTTCAGGGGAGGTGAAGGAGTCAGTATTGGTAATTGTCCTTGAGAATCCCATTTGGTGATTTCCTGAGTTTTTGATATGCCAAGTGCATATCACCAATGCTCTGTACTTAAAAACCTCTATGTGTGTCAAGACACTCTGAGTATCCTGAACATTGCTCAGAGCCATTTACATTCTTGTAAAAATATGCATCAGTGATAAGATTGCAGAGATTGTATAAAACCAAAATGAAGAACACATATTTCCAATGTTAAACTAGACTTGTTACACAGACAGCAACTCTATAGCATTCTGAAGTCAAAGGGCAATGAGAAATGTTAGACAACAGCAACAATTACCCAAAGACTCACCCCCCAGAGTAACAAGAAAGGAGAAGTACCCGGACCAAACTGGTGATTTGGTCTGGATTTATACTTTATACTACAGTATTTATATTTTATGATGATTTATTCACTCAGCATAATGATTGGATTATTCACCCTCTTCCTTGACTTCTTAATTTGAACATATAATACACATTTCCAGCTCTTTTTGGCCTTCCTTAGAGTAGAACATTTACCTTATTTTGTTATACATGTACACTGCACTAGCAACTCTCAAACCAAGAAGTCGAGAGACTTTTCCATTTTTTTTTTTAAGAGCAAAGTAACAGAAAACTCTCTGTTACCAGGAACACCACATTCATGGATAATTTTCTCTCCAGAGTCATGTGCTAATTTGATCTATTTGATTGCCTGGAAATAGAGATGGGTTTTAAATACAGAGGAAATTTACTCCAGAGGCTGTGAACATGTGAACATCATCACAGAATGAATCCTGTAAGTTGAAATACTCATAATCTGACTTGATAAATTATTGTATATAGGAATAAAAATGTTAGACAGTATAAATGTGCATGTACCCACATAAGTACACAACAAATAGTGGCTATCATTATTATTAGTAGAAAATGGACAAAGATAACCATGTTCTAATTCTGCTTTTAACAATACCCAAATATCTGGGGGTCATCTTCGATATTTGCTTGATTTCAGTCTTTGTGACAAAGAATATGTAATTTTAATGAGAAAAATCTGTTTATAATGATTTTAAGAGAATCATCATATTGGGCATGGAACAAGGCTCTTGGAAACATGTAATAAAGACATTTCATGACTGTGTGAAATTCCCACATTGCATGGAAAAGTTTTGAAGTAGAAGTAAACATTTTGAAGACTAAAACTATAATTACTAGTCATGAGATAGTTGACTATGATAGGCATTTTCAGACCGTGAAACTCAAACCTGCTCACAGATGCCTTCTCAGATGATTTCAGTAATTTGTAATTCCTGAGTAATTGTAAAATCCATTTATATTTTGGAAGGAGCAGAAATAGCACAAACGTTACCATTTCACTCTATAAAACAGGAATACTGTATGCCAAACAGTTTTCTACATGAGTCATCAAGATCAACAACCAGGTCTCCATGGAAACACAGGCATTTAAAAGCCTCTAATATTTCTTTTACTTTATATTATTTTATTATTTATTTTTTAAATTGCAGTAAAAGATGCATGATATAAAATTTACTATTTTCACCATTTTTAAGTGCATAGTGGCATTAGTACATTTAATATATATATATTTCTGTTTTAGAAACAGGATCTCACTCTGTTGCCCAGGCTGAAGTGCAGTGGTGCCATCACAGCTCACTGCAGCCTCCAATTCCCGGGCTCAAGGGATCCTCCCACCTCAGCCTCCTGAGTAGCAGGGATACCTTTAAAATTTTGTGCAACTATTACCACCACCCATCTTCAGAATTTTTTTTTAATCTTACAAAACTGAAACTCTGTATCCATTAAATAGTAACTCTCCATTCAACCCTCCCCATAGTTTCTGGAAACCACCTTTCTACTTTTTCTCTATGAATTTGACTACTCTAGGTCCCTCATGTAAGTGGAATCATACAGTATTTATACTTTTATGATGATTTATTCACTCAGCATAATGTCTCCAAGGTTCATCCATGTTATAGCATATGCCAGAACTTCCTTCCTTTTTAAGGCTGGATACTATTTCATTGTATGTAAATACCACATTTTGTCTATCCAGTAATCTATCAATGGGCACTTAGATTGCTTTCACGTTTTGGCTGTTGTGAATAGTGCTGCTATGAACATGAACGTGCAAATATCCATTCATGCTATCAGTTCTTTTGGGTACATACACAGAAGTGGAATGGATCACATGGTAATTCCATGTTTAATTTTTGAGGAACCATCGTACCATTTTCCACAGCGTCTGCCTCTTTTCACATTCCCACCAGCTATGTACAAGGGTTCCAATTTCCTTAAAAACACTTGTTACTTTCTGTTTTTAAATATTAACTATCCTAATAGGTGTAAAATGGTATCCCACTGTGGTATTGATTTGCATTTCCCTAATAATTAGACATGTTGAACATCTTTCCATGTGCTATTGCCCAGTTGTAAATCTTCTTTCGAGAAATGTTAATTCAAGATCTTTGACCATTTTTAAATCAGGTTGTTTGTTTTTTTGCTATTGTTGAGTTTTCTTTATATATTCTGGATATTTACCCCTTATCAGATGTATGATTTGCAGATATTTTCTTCTGTTCATGGGTTGCCTTTCATTTTGTTGACAATATCCTTTCATGCACAAAAGATTTTTAAAATTTTGATGCAATCCAATGTATCTATTTTTTTTTATCTTGTTGCCCTCATATTTTATTTAACAAAATGGCATTCAGTTGAATTGGTCAAGGTTATAGTTATAGTCAGTTATACTCAGGGCGATTTTCCATACAGACTAGATGAATTTAAATGCATAATGATTGTGTACTCTGTCACCCAGGCATACTGCAGAATTGGCGCACAGTTTCATCTAAGTATGGACAGGTTTTCTTATTTTGGTAATTTTTTTTCCATTTGATTTCTACCTGCATTTTCAAATAAAATTACTGTTTAATCTGAAGTCTTAAGTATTAAGTTAGGTAAAAGAACTAACATTCAGAAAGGTTTTTTTTTGTTTTTTTTTTCCAAGACAGAATCTCACTCTCTCACCCAGGCTGGAGTGCAGTGGTGCCATCTTGGCTCACTGCAACCTCCACCTCCAGGGTTCAAGAGATTCTCTTGCCTCAGACTCCTGAGTAGCTGGGATTATAGTCGTGTGCCACCACGCCTGGCTAGTTTTTGTATTTTTAGTAAAGATGGGGTTTCACCACGTTGGTCAGACTGGTCTTGAATTCCTGAGCTCAAGTGATCTGCCTGCCTCAGCCTCCCAAACTGCTGGGATTACAGGTGTGAGCCACTGTGCTCGGCCTGAAAGGTTTTTCTCATTGCCATTATTCATACTTCTTAGACCTACTACATACAAATATCTAGAAATTTTCCTCCAAGGCTGGATAGTATTCAAATTAATTTGTTCTATAGTCACTTCAGTTTCTAGTCGTGTGTTATTTACATATAAGAGATGAATGGAAATATTCTGAAACTCTACCCCGCTGTAAAAACTCCAGATTTTCAGGAAGAGTCAAATTCAAAGATCCTGTGATAGTTTAAGTTTACTGCGTAGTGCTTTGGTTATAAGTAAACAGACCAGAATCAAATACCTGATCCAATGAATAAAGCTGGATAGCTTCCTCATCACACACACACACACACACACACACACACACACACACACACACACACGGTGAGGAAACTAGAAATAACCCAGTACTTCCAACCAACAGGCTATCTATAGATCTTAACCAAAGTGGTGGATTTCAAGAATGCATTAAAACAAGCAAAACAGGTTGCCCCACTTTCTACTTCGGTGGGCCACCTATAGGGCCTTTGACATTTACAAATATCTAATGTTTGACATCAGTTAAGATTGTGAGTAGGCTCCAAATATGCTAACATTTTATATGTAGGAGATTTTAAAATATGTATTTTCAGAAAGTCCATGTGAGAAAAAAAAAATCACTTGTTTACAAGTTGGCTGAGATCTAGCCAGTAAGATTTTAGGATTTCTAGGTAGACGCTCCATTCCAAAAATATGGAGATATTTAATTATCTTTTGTAATCTAAATACATTCCTTGTTAAATGCCCAGTCTTTTAGGTCTGAAAGGATTTTGGTTTTCTAATATCCTGTTAAAAAAATGAAAGCTCAAAAAGTTGACATCATTATCAGCTGAAATAAGCCAGGAGCTAATTGTGAGCTCTTGTGGAAACAATGCATTTGATAGTAGACTTGGAGGTCAAGATGTTCCAAGGTAGAAGAGAGAGATGTTAAAACAGTGTGGATCTGCACCTCTCTCAATGGAAAATTCAGATGAATTGAAAAGTTAAAGTTAAAAAAAAAAACACTTTAAAATACAAAGTTAAAAAAAAGCTTTAGAATAGTTATAAAAACGGTTTCTCTCTCTCTGTCTCTCTCTCTCTCTGTCTCTCTCTCTCTCTCTCTCTCTGTGTGTGTGTGTGTGTGTGTGTGTGTGTGTGTGTGTGTAGGTATTTGGATTCAGATAACTTTCTAACACAAAACAAAAAGTTATTACTACCAAAAATCACTCAAAAAACTACAAGTAAAATTAAAAGACATACTGGGAAAACAATCACCTCAGACATAAGAGTTGATGTTTTTTATATTGATTTAAGCAAACCTAAGACACGATATCTTAGAAATAACAAATTCACAGAAGAGTAAATGTCATATTCATGGTAACAAATTTATAGAAGAATAAATGTCATGTATCTTAGTCCTTGACAGACATAATCATAGGGAAAAATGTACAATTGAAAAATAATAATCTCGTGTTGGCAATGAGTGATTAAAAAACAAACACGTGATACCAAGGGTTTATTTGATGGGTCATGCCATTTTCCCAATCAGTCTAATCACTTGATTAGAGGTGGCCCTAAGGAGAGCCTGCTCTTACTGAGCCATTTCTCAAAGGCCATTAGGATTTAGCTGGTAAACAAAACGTGATTAATGTGGCATGGCTACCGTCACTTTTGTGGCAGTATAAACACATAGCTTTTGCGAAGACCCGACATTAAAGGGAACATGTATCTATATGCCTGCATTGTTCTGTGTAAATCACGAAATAATTATCAGGGATTGACTTATTTTCTGTTGAAGATAAGTGCTTTTGTGTTTCCCTTCTTTTGTAGTTTTCTCCCTAACAGCCTGTTTGGCTCTGAACAAATGAGGACAGTTAACAAAATATATATGTGCATACTTTTTAAACCTGTACTTTAACCTCACTTCAGCTTCTTTCCTGCTTAGATTGCAAACGTTGTTAGAGACTGATCAACATGTCAGTTTTGTCTATATTCTCTAAATTGCGTATTGTCTGTTCACCAGAGCTCTTACTCAGGTTAAGTCTGGGTTAATTAACTGTGTTCCTTTTTCTAAGGCAATAAATCTCAATCATATTGTTTTTCTGTTGTCTTAGCTGTAATTTTGATCTTATAGTTAAAAATTTCTATAAGATCTTATAAAGATCTTACAAAAATCTTATAATGTCTTATAGATCTTATAGTTCCTTTAAAGGGAACTGTAATTTGGAATGCTTTTCTCATCAATAAACACAAATTAGAATTTGCTTCAGATGATGACAAGATCTCAGATTGAGGTCTGTAGATAGCATCTTGAGTGTCCAAAATAGCTTTCTTTGAATTCTGCATCGTGTAGATGCCAGTCTTATAATGGATCTCTCAGTCACATCAACGCCCGAGTCTATGGTGATGATAATGTTTGTGCAAAGTGGATGCCAAGTGACTGCACAATCAAGGTTTCTGAGTAGTTGAAATAGATAAGTCTTGAGTCAATCAGTACATCTGTACCACATTCATGTGGCAAATGCTGCTTTATGGAGATGTTTCTAATACTGACCTACAATAATTCAGCCAAGGTAAGTGAGCACTAAATATGCAATAAAGAAATTTGCTACTTTCAATTTTAGCAATCAATAAAATAAAAATTATTTAATGTTGATTTCAACAAAGCCACGATGCTAACTGAAACGTTAAGCAAACAAATAGTCTTTTTCGTTTTTCACGTCTTAGATTGGCACTTGAAGACTGCTTGTTGGGTAAATTGTGATTATTCTGAGCTAACTGTCTTAACAATTCTGCTTTATATAGTATATAAATGTAAGAGGCAATTCTTACATTAGTAGGATTCGTGAAAATATACATAAACAGATCAAACGTAAAACCAGATCGAAGGCTATATCATTCTGTCATCAAACTCAGTATCATTGATCACATTGAATTATTAATTTGAATATTTAAATTGTTTTTGCTTGATAATTCTTGGAATTTTACTTGGTTTCATGGTTGTAGTTATGTTACAAATTTAAAATATTTATTCTTAGTTTTATTTGTATTTAATATTAAACATAAGGAATTTTAGTCTAAGTATTTTTTCTTTAAATTGGATTTAAAAGAAATGAGAATTTTGCAAAAAAAAACTCATGAAAACAACAAAAGATTCCTCTCCTTTATTCAAAGGATCATGAAGAAGAAACCCCAACTAAAAAAATATCCTTGAGAAATATTCCACCCATTCAAGCTGTAGTAACACTACTGTTAGCCAGATAAAATATACATTTTTGAAAATAAACATTTTATTTGGTGATTTCCCAATACCATAAGAGTAGGTGATAGAAGCCAATGATTCATTTTTACTTCTTATTTTCAAATGAAAGCTGTAATCTTCATATCTTATTTTAGAGAAGTACTGAAATCTTGCATTATGAAATACATCCATATAACTGCTACACCATATTCTTAGAAATGTTCTTACTATAAGCAGAAATTCTTACTTGATTTTCTTGTCTGTCTTTGGTTATGTTTTCAAAATGTGTGCCTTGTGAGGATGTTGCAATAGGAATACTAATATTATTACTGCTAATAACATTAATGAAGTAGAGCTGATAAAGCCTTTGGATTTTGTAGGGTTTAAAACCTTATAAAATGCTTTCTCCTGTGTTAATTCCCACAATGGTATTTTGAAGAAGGTCGATGACTCAATTTACAGGTAAAGAAATGGAGGCAAAGAAGCTTACCCAAGGTCGTAGAGTTAGTGAGTAATTTAACAAAGGAGACTTTATCTTGGCAACTTCTAACAATTATTGCCTCTTCTTTTTCTCTTATTGCCCCAAACCATTCTAACAGCCCTCCCTCTGTCCTTCCTGCCCCTAGCTTGTCTCCCCTTCCAGATGATCCTCCTGAATCTACAAGAATCCCTTCCTTCCTTTCTTCCTTCCTTCTTTTCTTCCTTCTTTCCTTCTTTTCTTCTTCTGTGCATGTGTGTGTGTGTGTGCGTGTGTGTGTGTGTGTGTGTGTGCATGCATGTGCATGTATGTGTCAGACTTTCACTCTGTTGCCCAGGCTGGAATGCAGTGGTGCAATCCTGGCTCACTGAAGCCTCGACCTCCTGGGCTCAGGTGATCTTCCCACCACAACTTCCTGAGTAGCTAGGGCTACTCAGGACGCACACCACTATGTCCAGCTAATCATTTGTATTTTTTGTAGAAACAGGGTCTTGCCATATTGCTCAGGCTGGTGTTGAACTCCTGGACTAAAGTGATCTACCCACCTCAGCCTCCCACAGTGTTGGAATTACAGGGGTGGGCCACCACGCCCAGCTAAATTATTTTCTTATAGAAATAAACCTGAGTCTGTCACTCCCCTTCTCATTAAAGAGCCTCTGCTAGCATTATTGACTGAAGGGCAGAGTATCACGAGCCTGACATCTCTCTTCATCCTTACCTTATGGCCATCTTTCATTACAATCACTGCAAGTTGCATAGGATGAAGGACAAATAACCTAAGAATGTCCCATTAGGTGGGCAATAGGCAATTATAGCATTGAAGCATAATGGTATTGTCAAAATTACTTGAAATCAATTTCACATATTGTTGTACCATCTCAAGCAGTTCTTTTTGCTCTCACATCAATTCCTATTTGCTTATTTAAGGCCCCCTTGTGAAGAAACTTACTGTGATTATGAGCTAATAATGCTTCAGATATTTCAGTCTTGATATGCTTAGGCCAAGTACAGGACACGCTGCCATTGCCATGGAAATTACCAGGTGCTTTCATTTTTCCGTGTCTGGAATGCCCTCCTTGCCACAACTTGCCTGACAAACCTATCCTTACATTTTAGCTCAACTGTGTTGTGATGTCTTGCTAAATTCCTTAGGCAAGGTTAGGGCATTTATCTCATCCTCTTGTCTAGCATTCTGTCCATTCCTCCAGAAGTTCAACCATCCTCTATTTGCAATGTTTTTAGAAAGCTGCTACATGTAAGGAAGAGAAATAAAATCACCTATAATTCTATTACTTATTAAAAATTAGTATAATTTTGGCTTTACTCATTGCAAGTTTTTCTAGGATCTAGCTGTTTTTCTCTTTTTATTTGATGATTCAGTAATCCTACTATACATATGAGTGCCTTCTGCTTCCTTTCATTATTTCATGTCTTTGAAACCATCAGTTTTAATGTCTGCATACTGTTCAATTATGTATCACCGATTATTTATCACTTCCCAAATCTTTCAAAATATGTTAATTTATTTAGTTCTTCTTTAATCATATATATTTGCAGCTCCAATTCTGTCACTAAGCTTGGCATGTTAAATATTCAGTAAATTAGTGGTTAAAAAATCTTCTGGCTGTCTGGAAACTGATGCGATTTCCCTATTATCTTACTATTTTGATGATAATTACAAATACTAATTTGGGATTTGTGACTAATTTCCCCAATATTAGTTGAAAATTTATGACGAGGTGGGAAATGAAGCGAGAAAGGTAGAAAAGCTCTCTGGATATTTTAGTTTGGAAACATGCAATATTACAATTCCTGTGGTTATCATGAGCATTCCAGATAGACGATTGTGTTTACAAGTGTTGCTCCTTCCTGAAATATTTCCTTTGACTCTATCAATAGCAAACATTATTTATCAATGCCACTAATGGAATGGAAAGAAGAAGATGCCAATATCTTTTACAAAATATCTAATGATTTATGCTTGGATAGATATCAAGCATGTGGCATGCAAATATTTTAAAAAATATTAAATTAATAGTAAACTGAAAAGGTTTACTCCTTCAGAAAGGGGAGAATTGTCTTGTGGCTCAAAGACATGTCACAGAATGAATAAATGAGAGTTAATTATAGAAAGCTTTGCCTAAGTTTTTGGCCTTTTTAACCAACATCAGGATTTGCTTCACCCATCAGTGGAAGGTGGGAGCGGGGAATGGGATAACAGGTGAGTGGGTGAAACACCTTCCATTTGACCATATATATATATACAAAAGGTCAGTGAAGTTAGCTGATATGGCTTGGCTATGTCCCCACCTAGAATTTCATCTTGAATTGTCATAATCCCCATGTGTCGAGGCAGAGACCAGGTGGAGATAATTGAATCATCGGGGCGGTTTCCCTCATACTGTTCTCCTGATAGTGAGTGATGGTTTTATAAGGGGCTTCCCCCTTCACTTGGCTCTCATTCTCTCTCCTGCCACCATGTGAAGAAGGATGTGTTTGCTTCTCCCTCTGCCATGATTGTAAGTTTCCTGAGGCCTCCCTAGCCATGTGAAACTGTGGCTCAATTAAACATCTTTTCTTTATAAATTACCCAGTCTCAGGTATGTTTTTATTAGCAGCTTGAGAACAGACTAATACACTAGCTGACTCTGACAAATAACTGTTTGCTAAAATAAGTGACATATTTGGAAAACTGTTGACGTTGGTATTTTATACATTGGCTTTCATCACACAGTAAGAAACATAATATGGAAATAGTCTGGTATAGAGGAAGAAACAAGGAATTTGGATTCGGGCATGGGTTCAAATTTCATTTCCATTTTTTATGACTTCTGAGATCTTAGACAAGTTATTTAACCTCTTTGATCTTTAGATTTCCCATCTATAAAACTTGTCAAGTTGATATAAAAGTAAAAAGAGGCAAGCACTTAGCATCTGACACACAGTAGGCATTCAAAAAGTGGGAGCTATTATTATCATCATATTATCTTACATATTGGCATATAAAAAACAAATAGAAAAACTTGGGTTTTGTCTGAAATAAAAAGCAATTGACATAAGAAACATACTGAGAAGAATAGGTTATCACAGGACTCCTGGCATTTTTTTAAATATCATCCAGAACTTAGTTTATCTGATATTGTTTTAAATCCATAAACCTCTCTGAAGGACATCTGAAAACATCTGAAAACTTCCACAGCACCTATCATTGATTGAATCAATAAACTGGGTTTCTGGTCCACAAAAAATAGGAATCTCCAAAATGACACCTTTAGTTGCATAAAATTGGGGGTAGTATCTGCTTTGAAATTCTACCCTTGAATTATTCCATCTGAAGGCTCTAATCTGAGTCCAGTAAAAACCTCTTGCAAATGAGATCTACCAACCAAAGAACATAACTGTGCTCAGATTCTCCTTTATACCTAGAATATTTTTCTTCCCAAATATATCAGTAGAAAGAGCTTTGCGTATTCAAGAGAGAACAGCAAGCTCACAAATAAAGACTCTTCCTCCATGTCTTGTTCTTTCTTCTGGACAAGATGCTAATGAACATATGGAAACATCAAACCCTTTTGGAAGGAAAGCCATATTAATGAAAATGGGAGGAATAAAAAGGGAGGTTGTGGGAAGAAGAGAGGGGATATGAATAAAGTATTTATCTAATTAAAATATACAAGAAGACTAAATTTGAGGTTCATGAGATAGATATAAATTAACTTTCTACCCAAAATAGATTTTGGAGAAAGTAAAATCAAAGTAATTTGGCTGGGGTTTGATTAGTACTGTGTGAATGTAACTGATTCAGAAGAATGGTTCATTAAGTTATGCCCAAGCATATGCAATATCTCTTTAAGAACTATCATTTCTTTTTGTAAATTGGCAATTATCTTTCCTAATACATTTATACCAAGAAAGAAATTTGCTAGCTGGGAAGGTACGAAACATTGATGGATGAATTCTCTGTTTAATTTGAAAAGACAATCAAGTCCCCTTTTCCTGAAGAATGCTTTCTCTCAGATTTTAGTAAACAATTGGTACCACCCCCTACTGCCCATAACTTTTTCCCAGAGTAAATAGGAAGGGTGTCATTTTCACTATTACTCTTAGAGTAATAGACTTCTGCTGTTGTCTTAAATCAAAACTTCTCATTTGTGAGCAGACAAAGCCTTTTTACACGTGCCCCTCCTAACCATCTATGAAGATACTTTTCTCTATTCCATGACTGAACTAAGTGAGTTGAAGGGTTTTTAGGTAACCTGTCCAGTGGCACGCTATTGGTGAGAAGAAAATGGAAATGGAGGCCTCAAAAATCCTAGTCTATATTCTCAAGAACTCATCGAATCAATTCAATGTCATCTTGGAAGGCCACAGACAACTGTGGCAAGGAAGGCAGGCAGTAGACCATGTTGGGAGACTGGCAGATAAGATGCACAAGAAAAACCTTAGTAGCAACAAATGCTTTATGGTCTAAATTGGTATAGGTAGCCAAAAGCAAGGTAGTAATTTTGAGAACATCAGATCAGGAACATAGAAACAAGGTGTTAGAATAAGGGAAAGGTCACCTGGAAGAAGTAGAATATAAACAACAGAGAAGATACTCTTTGAAAACACTTCATTTTGGTCTCAGACAGGCATGCAAATGAGATAAGAAGATTGCTATGGTCTGAGTATCTGTCTCTCCAAAATTCATATGTTGAAGTCCTGACCCCCAGGTGATGGTATTAGGGGGTGGGGTCTTTTGGGAGGTGATTAGGTCATGGGTGTGGAGCCCTTGTGAATGGGATTAATGACCTTACGCAATAGGACCCAGGGAGTTCTCTTAACCCTTGCCACCATGTGAGACACAGTGAGAAGACGCCATCTATAAACAAGAAAGGGGACCCTCACTAGACACCAAACCTGCCAGAGCTTCAACCTTGGACTTCCTGGACTCCAGAACCATGAAAAATGAATTCCTATTGTTTATAAGCTACTTTGTCTATGGCATTTTGTTATAGCCAGCAGCCTGAATGGACTAAGACAAAGATTTTATCTATTTTATACTGTGAATGACTGTCAAGTAGAGTCTTAGCAGTTAAGATGATTTTTGACTCTTATGTAGTCATCATTTATTCTACATTGTATTCAAGTTTGAACTTTCTATTGAGGGCCGTATTTCACAAACATCAACAATTTTTTACTCCTCCTGGAAATTACCACAAGAAGTAAAAACTAAAGAGGGATAAAGTAGAGACGGAGTGCTAGGTAATGAGCTAGGATTACTCACCAGATATGGGACCGTCTGAATTTCCATTGTGTGATCAAATTCTTTTTCTGAAGCACTGGGATAGAGCCCTTGTTAAGGTGAAGTTTACTATATAACCATCTAGAATATGCACGAGACATCTTTGGACTTGTTTAATTTATATAAAGCTCTCTGTCTTGTACAAAGCCCAGAGGCTCCAGGACCTGTAGCAAAAGACAGAAATGAGCTTCAAGACCCTATGACAAAGTCAAGGACATATCTGCTTTAATGACAATCATCCCGCAGAGTCTATAATGAGTGCTGTATGATCAGGGAGCTGAAATTTCTATGAAGAATAGCCTCCTGTAGATAAACTATTGTATATTAATGTGAAAATTACTTCCTATATCCAACTTAAGTTACTTTGATTCAGAAGATGACTAATTTCTGCTCTCAGTAACCAGACATGCTAGATCTCTGAAAGACAACCTCCCTCCCAGTACACTTCTGATGGACGGACAGCGGGCTGTGGCCTGACGGTGCCTCCATATGGTCACCTGGATTCACACTGACCCTAAATGGGTCAAACTGAAGTCTTAGAGGCTTAGAAAAATGGCATATTAAATGTTTATTCATAGTTTTTATTTGAAAGATCTCTATTAATATGAATAAAATTGAGACAAGGGACGAAGAATACCTGTTTTCCTAAATTCACTGTGATATGAAGAGAATTTTCTGACATCTTTTAATTCAGAGAATTCTTGCTGGTGAAGTGTTCCCTTAAAAGGTGATCAAATAGGTGATGGGATTTAGAACACAATACACCCTAAAATACGACAGTTTGTCATCTTGAGTTTTTTAAATTTAAGGAATTCGAGAAAGGGCAAGTATGGAAAGGATTCTCTGACCTTCCCTGAGCAGATCATGCGTGTCGGGAAGCATGTTGTGAAAGCCTGTAATCTCAGCGACTTAGGAGGCCGAGGTGGGTGGATCACAAGGTCAAGAGATGGAGACTATCCTGGCCAACATGGTGAAACCCCGTCTCTACTAAAAATACAAAAATTAGCCGGGCGTGGTGGCGTGCACCTGTGGTCCCAGCTACTTGGGAGGCTGAGGCAGGAGAATCGCTTGAACCCAGGAGGTTGAGGTTGCAGTGAGCCGAGATCATGCCACTGCACTCCAGCCTGGGGACAGAGCAAGGCTCCATCTCAAAAAAGAAAAAAAAGAAAGGAAGAAAGAAATGCCTCTTCTCTGGAAAGTTCACCTTCGTCAGTTGGATGCATTGCAGACTTGTTTGAACTCTTGGACCCTAAGATGAAGATGAGGCTGGGTGCGGTGGCTCAAGCCTGTAATCCCAGCACTTTGAAAGGCTGAGGCAGGTGGATCACCTGAGGTCAGGAGTTCAAGACTAGCCTGGCCAACATGGTGAAACCCTGTCTCTACTAAAAACACAAAAATTAGCCAGGCGTGGTGGCACACTCCTGTATTTCCAGCTACTCAGGAGGCTGAGGAAGGAGAATCAATCGCTTGAACCCTAGAGGCAGAGGTTGCAGTGAGCTGAGATCACGCCACTGCACTCCAGCCTGGGTGACAGAGTAAGACTCTGTCTCAAACAAACAAACAAAAAACAAAAAGAGAAAAATGAAGATTATTGTTTTATTGGAGCAAAAACTACTGTTGAATTAGAGGTTAATGTCTCTTCCAGGCATTTCTGGAAGCTTTTCTTCTGCTGACTTCTATATTACCTGATGGTGAGCATCAGTTAAATGAAATCTTAACAAGATTCATTTAAATGTTATATGTTTTGAGAGTCTAAAGCTAAAAGTACCTATTCTTCCTACTGCAAATGTTGACCATGGTTTAGTTCTCTTACCATGTCCCTTTGAATATGAAATAGGAATATGTTTAAGGAGATAAACAGGTAGAATGTGATATTTCACTTACTATCCCCGATTAACAAAGTACATGGAATAGTGTCGCTTAACTTTCTATACACTAATCCCAACAAAGCAAAATGACATATTATGAGTCAACCTGAGTTACATAAGTATGTGCTCCTTGCAGTGATCATCTTTTGTATCCACGGCATATCTTCTCTCTCAGATTAGAAGGAAAATGCCTCACTCCTAATTTCTTAGCTATTTTACCTAGCTATTGAGGGCAGCAAATGATAATTCCTCAATATTAAAAATAAAGTAAGATGAGTTTCCTGCACTCTTTAGGAATCAAGCTATTGCTATGAAATTACCTGGAAGACTATTTTCAAGCTCAAGAATAGATGGAGCTCTGTGTTGTAAAGGGTTAGTTTTTGAACACTGTTTGAACTGAATTTGAACACTATTTTCCTTCATAATGGGTGTGGATGGGAACAAAAACCAACGTCTCATAATGACCTCAAACATCCCAGGAATGCAGTCTGACCCTTCCCAAAGATGGGATGGCCGGCAGGGTGCATGACCATGTGGGATGAGGATTCTTTATTTACTTCCCCAGAGGATATCAAATGAATGGTTCATAGGATTCTGTTTTCAAGGGTTTTGTTTGGCTCATTTCAGGGAACTCCCTTGTACAATGATGTTGGCGTCTTTCCAAAAAATGTTGATGCTTAGATAAGTTTATAATATCTCATCCCAGGAAGTGATTTATGTCTCCTATATTGTGAGAACTGTCTGTTCAATTTAACTGCTCCTATGTTGTTTATATGTGGGAAAAATTTTGTAACACTAGGAAAAAATTAAAAATGGCACAACTTTTGGATAAGCAGGGCCTTAAAAAAATCCACAAAAACCCTGGTTTTGAGTTTTGTCTGCATAACAAACCAGCTATATGATCCTCAATAAATCAGAATCTCTTGACATTTCAGTATCTAATTTAAAAATGAGAATAATAAAACATACTTAGTAGATGCTGTAAGTAGTCAATAATAAAAGTATGCTAAAGAACCTATACTCTTTGGGCACAGTATACTCAATAAATCTTGATTACTAGTTTTCCTTCTATCTTAATTGTGAATTCATATTTTATTAACCTATAAGTGTGGATTTGGCTGAACATGGTGGCTCATGCCTGTGTTATCCCAGCACTTTGGGAAACCGAGGCAGGAAGATTGCTTGAGGCCAGGAGTTCAAGACTGGTCTGGACAACCTAGCAGGACCCTGCTTCTACAAAAAGATTAAAAAAATTAGCCAAATGTGGTGGTGCATGCCTGTAGTCCTAGCTACTCAGAGGGCTGAGGCAACAGAATTGCTTGAGCCCAGGAGTTTGAGGTTACAGTGAGGTATGATGGCATCATTGCACTCCAGCCAGGGTGACATAGTGAGACCCTGTCTCAAAAAAAGAAAAAAAAAAGGATGGTTTTATTTTTCACTAGCATTCTTTGACATATTGAGTCATTTAGATTTCCAAGAACGTGATGAGGTAAGAAGACATTGAAAATAATATTTCTTTAGAAAGTTGATGTTTTTATTTCTAGGGTTAATACACATTTATATTGGACATCTATGAATAAGTGCTAGAGTTATTAAGAAAGATTAGTACAAGCTTTGAAATTTAGACTCTTTCTGTTTCAAAGAGTATCTGAGCTCAAAATGTGATGCAACTTCTGTGCATTAATCCATCGCCTACTCCCACAGAAGCCTCCTATTATGCCTGATAACAGCTTGTCATCCATTTGGCAGAAGTTTTATCCTTTGAGAACAACCAAATTCCAAATTGTGGAGGTGTTTTTTAAAATGGCAACTTTTGTTTTATTCTTTTTTCTCTGTGTTCATAAAAGTAAAAGAAAATTCTACTCTTTAAAAGTAAAGAATTTTATGAGCCTAAATTTTACATTAGATTTAGTTATGCCTTTAAAACTTAACATTCAGAATACAATTAATTTACAATTTCTTTACAACAAAGAGATATTAGATACTGAACTCAAACTGAAAAATCCTTTTTCATGAGCCTGGCAACACGTTCTTCTTTGGGAATGGTTTTGGAAGTCCACGGGTTTTTGTGCAATTCTAAATTTTAAATCTTTGGTAATAATACATCACTCATCTTAGTTTCCCTCCAATTATCCTCACTTTTACACTTAAGAATTAAAGAAGCAAACACAAATATAGCAGGATGGCTTGGAATAAATAAGAATACCTGGGAACTAGATGATTTTTAAATTATTTGTTTCCTTGTAGACCAGGCACAAACCTGTAGATCTGAAATTCTAACTTCTGAACTAAATATAGCTCTATATTTTGGCTTTGATTGGTTAATTTCATACCTATGTTACTATCTCAGTGTATTCACTTATTTGATGCTACTATATAATTGTGACTTCTTTGAATAGGAAGTCACATGAGTCTTAGTCTTTTATTTTCACAAAGAATCACAGGTAATTCAAAAGCCTATGACTCGAACATACTTTGTCAATGCTGTGTTTGTAACGGGACAAAAAGAGCTTTGATAACAGAGTCCAAAAATCATTAAGTATTAAAATAATTATTTGGAAATCTGGCAATTACACATACACCCCACATTTTTTTTTGTCATTTACTTCTTTAACACTTTATTTTATTCAGAAATAAAAATTTTATTTGTCAATTGCTGACCCATCCGAAGTAACATTTTTTTAAAGGAGAAAACTGAATTTCTGAGAAATTAATTACTTTTACTAAGGTCGCACACTGGGCAGGGGAAGCCCGAAGTCTCATCTAGGTTTGCCTACCCCCATTGCTTTTATTTGTTCCACATGATCCATACTTTGACATAGACAGTCAAGCTGAGAGCTCTTCCCTAAAAAGACATCATTTAACAAGAGAGACAAACATGTAAACAACCATTTATAATGTACTTGAAAGCAGAATACATTTTACTAGTTTCATTGAAACTCCTATAATGGGACCAGCTCAATCTGTCTGGATACCACCGAGGAAGATTTCATTGAGGAGCAGGACTGAGAAGGAACAGAAACTTTCAAGACAGAGTAGGAATGAAGGCATGAGACCCAGAGGAACTAGCACATGTAAATGCTTTGAAACATACCAGAACAGCTCAAAGTTAGGGAATCACAAAGAGGAGCATGTGATAAGAACCTAGAAAAGAAGAGGATGCATGAAGACTTGAAGTCTCAGACACCATGTTAAGGAATTGAAACTCTACAGTATAAGAAAGTAGAAGCCATAGGAGGGTTTTAATCATAGGAAGAAACTTCATTTACTCAGCAGATATTTGAGGGTCTATTATCACCAGGCACTAATCTCATTCATAACTTGGAAAGATCTGACAGCAAAATAAAAGACAGACCAGACATGGGAAAGACTGGAAGCTATTTTGAAACCTTCAGGCAAAAATGATGACACAGAATTGAGGTAGAGACTATGTCTATTCCACCTTTGGGTAAACCATTGTCAGGTGGCAAAATAATAGCAAGCATCATTTTTGCAGCTTTCCCCTCTCATCCCCCTACCTGCAGTTCCCCAGAAGACCTCTAAGGAGCAAACAAGTTTGTCTTGAACATAGATAGTACCACCTGGCTTGCTCCAGTCACCACTGTATTTCACTACCATGCCTAAGACACTGTCTCCAGTGGAAGTCAAGTTTAAGAAAGAAACTGTTGAGACAGTTCAGCAGTATAAACCCCCATAGGCTTCTGCCTATAGCCCAGGGCTTTAGAGCACTCCTGCTTCACTTAGTGAAATCTTTTCCAAGTTGCTTATGTTATTCAGGAACACTGTAGGTTTGGCTCAGTTCCTGGGCCTTTTATGTAAAAACTCATTAAGAAGCGAGGAGGACTCTTCCCTACTTTGCCAAGCATCTTATGCTACCAACAATTTAACTCATATTTTTTCCCCTCTTTCTTTTTGTCCTCTTCACATTCCAGCTGTTGAATGTAAGTTTAGAAACACCAATAAAAGAAGAAATGTAGAAATAAGCACATAGGCAAAGGAGTTCAAGTAATTGAGTTTTACTATAATGTTAGTGTAATGCACGCAGAATTTGCTTAAAGAAATCTTTATCCATGCCCCCCAGGTCTGGGACTGTGTTTCACAGTAGAGGGTAGTTTTTTTAAAAAATTATTATTTCTACTGGACTTTTTGCTAGAACAGTTTTAGTTTCAAAGCAAAATTGAGCTGAAGGGACCAAGATTTTCCAAATACTTCCTGCCCAAACACATGCACAGCCTTCCCCATTATCAACATCCCCCATGAGAGTGGTACATTTGTTAAAACTGATGAGCTTACCTTGATGCAGCAGCAGCAGCTCACCTGCCAAAGTTTATAGTTTACATGAGGGTTTGCTCTTTTTATAAAAGGTGGAATGCTTTATGAATTTGCATGTCATCCTTGTGCAAAGGCCCTGCTAATTTTCTCTGTGTCACTCCCATTTTAGTGTACATGCTTCTGAAGGGAGCATATCATTGTCTTTTTACTATATCCATAATTTTGCCTTTTCCAGAATTGAAACCATACTGTATGTAATCCTTTCAGACTGGCTTTTTCACTTAGTGATATGCATTTAAGTTTCTTCAGTGTCTTTTTATGGTGTCACAACTTATTTCTTTTTAGCACTGAACAATATTCCATTGTATGCATATACTATAGTTTGTCCATTCACCTGCTAAAGGACATCTGGGTTGCTTCCAAGTTTTGGCAATTATGAATAAAACTGCTATAGACATTGTGTAGAGGTTTTTGTGTGGACCTAAGTTTTCAATTCTTCATTAGTCAGAGTTCTCCTAAGAGATAGAACCAATAGGAGATGATAGATAGATGATAGATAGATAGATGATAGATAGATAGATAGATAGATAGATAGATAGATAGATAGATAGATGATAGATAGATAGATAGACAGATGAGAGGGAATTTATTAGGGCAATTGGCTCATGGGATTATGGAGCCTGAGCTCCACAATAGGCCATCTAGAAGCTGGGGAGCCAGGAAAGCCAGTCCAAATGTAAAGGACTAGAGCCTACAATATAACCCTCAGTCTGAAGCTGAAGGCTTTAGAAACTGGTGGGCCACTGGTGCAAATCTCAGATGGCAAAGGCTGGAGAACCTGGAGTTTTGATATCCAAGGGCAGGAGAAGAAATGTACCTCAGTTTCAGGAAAGAGAGAGAAGTCACCTTTCCTTTGTTTTTGTTCTATCTAGGCCCTTAGCTGATTGGATGGTGTCTGCCCACATTCAATTAGGGCGAATCTTCCTTCCTCAGTCCACTGATTTGAATGTCAATTTCTTCCAGAGACACCCTCATCGACAAACCCAGAAATAATGCCATACCAGCTATTTGGACATCCTTTAATCCAGTCAAGTGACACCTAAAATTAACCATCATGAACTCTTTTGGATAAATACCAAGGGACACAGCTGCTAGATCATATGGCAAGAGTATATTTAGTTTTGTAAGAATTGCCAAACTGTCTTCCAAAGTGGCTATACAAATTTGCATTCCCACCAGCAAGGAATGAGAGTTCCTGTTGCTCCTCATCCTTGGCAGCATTTGGTATTGTCAGTGTTCTGGATTTTGGCCATTCTAATTTGTGTGTAGTGGTATCTCATTGTTGTTTGAATTTGCATTTCTCGGATGACACATGATGTGAAGCATCTTTTTGTACACTTATTTGCCGTCTGTGTATCTTCTTTGGTGAGGTGTCTGTTAAGGTTTCTGGACCATTTTAAAATCATGTTGTTTGTTTTCTTATTGGTGAGTTTTTTGTGTATTTTGGATAACAGTACTTTATCAGGTATGTCTTTTGCAAATATCTTCTCCCAGTCTGTGACTTGTCTTTTCATTCTTTTGACACTGTTTTTTACAGGTTTGAAATTTTCAATTTTAGTGAAGTCCAGCTTTTGATGTCATATTGAAAAAGTCACATATTGAAAAAATCTAGAATAACCCAAGGTTTTCTAGATTGGTGTGTCTAATCTATTGGCTTCCCTGGCCACATTGGAAGAAGAATAATTGTCTTGGACCACAAAAAATACACTAACACTAACAACAGCTGATGAGTTGAAAAGAATCACACAAAAAACATCTCGTAATGTTTTAAGAAAGTTTACAAATTTGGATTGGCCTGCATTCAAAGTCATCCTGGGCCACATGCAGTCTGTGGGCCCTGGGTTCGATAAGCTTATTCTAGATTTTCTGTTGTTAGCTTCCAAGAGTTTTATAGTTTTATGTTTTACATTTAGGTCTGTGATCCATTTTGGTCATTTTTTGTGAGGGGTGTAAGGTTTGTATGTAGATTAATTTTTTTACATGTGGCTGTGCAATTATTTCAGCACCATTTGTTGAAAACACTATCAATTCTTCATTGAATTGCTTTTGCTCTTTTGTCAAAGATTAATTAACTAATATATTTATGTGAGTCTATTTCAGGGTATTCTATTCTGTTCCATTGATCTTTTGTTTATTATTGCCATACTGTCTTGATTACTATAGCTTTGTAATGCATCTTAAATCAAGTAATGTCTGTCCTCTGACTTTCTTCTTCTCCTTCAATATTGAGTTAACTATTTTGATATTTTGCCTTTCCATATAAATTTTAGAATCAGTTTAGTGTTATCTACAAAATAACTGATGGAATATTGATAGAGATTGCATTGAATCTATACACCAAGTTGGGAACAACTGACATCTTCACAATATTGTCTTCCTATTCATTAACATGCAATATGTATTTATTTAGTTCTTTGATCTCTTTCATCAGAGTTTTGTAGTTTTCCTAATATAGATCTTGCATAAATTTTGTTAGGTTTATTCTTAAGTATTTTGTTTTTTAGGTGCTAATGTAAATGGTATTGCGTTTTTAATGTCAAATTGATTTATTTAAAGGAAATACAGGAAAGGAAAGCAGGAAATAGGAAAGCAATTGACTTTTTGTATATTAACCTTTTATCTTGCAACCTTGCTATATATTAATAGCTTATTAGTTTCAAGAGTTTTTGGTCGATTCTCTTAGACTTTCTACATAGACAATCATGTCATCTGTAAATAAAGACACCTTTATTTATTCTTTTACAATCAATATTCCTTTTATTTCCTTTTCTTGTCTTATTGCACTAAGATTTCTAGTACAATGTTGAAAAGGAGTGGTGAGGAGGGACGTTCTTGCCTTGTTCCTCATCTTAGTAGGAAAGTTTTTCATGTCTTACCATTCAGAATAATAATTTTCATAGATACTATGTATCAGGTGAGGAAGTTTCCCTCTGTTTCTAGTTTACTGAAAGTTTTTAACATGAAAGGTGCTGGATTTTGTTAAATGCTTTATCTGCATCTATTTATATGCTTATGTGATTTGTTATCTTTAGCCTGTTAGTATGATGATAGCATCAATTAATTTTTGAATGCTGAGCCTACAGCCTCACATACCTAGGATAAATCCCACTGGTCATGGTGTATAATTGTTCTATATATTGTTGGCTTCAATTTGCTAATATTTTGTTGAGGATTTCTGCATTTACATTCATAAGAGATACAGGTCTGTAGTTTTCTTTTCTTGTAATGTCTTTGTCTGCTTTTAGTATTAGGGAAATGCTGGCTTCATAGATAAGTTAGGAATTATTCCCTCTGATTTTATCTTCAGAAAGAGATTGTAGAAAATTGGTATAATTTCTTCCTTTAAATGTTTGATAGAATTTACCAGTGAGACCATAGGGTCTGGTGCTTTCTGTTTGGGGATTTAATTTTTTTAAATAGATACAGGCTAGAGTTTTTATTTTTTCTTTGTGAGTTCTGACAGATTGTATCTTTCAAGGAATTTGTTTATTTCCTCTAGAATATCAAATTTATGGGCATAAAGTCATTCATAGTGTTTCTTTATTATCATTTTAATGTCCATGGGATTCATAGTAATGCCCTCTCTTTCATTTCTGGTATTTATAACTTTTGTCCTCTCTCTTTTTTTTTTTTTTTTTTTTGAGACAGAGTCTCGCTCTGTTGCCCAGGATGGAGTGCAGTGGCACGATCTCGGCTCACTGCAAGCTCCGCCTCCCGGGTTCACGCCATTCTCCTGCCTCAGCCTCCCGAGTAGCTGGGACTACAGGCGCCCGCCACCATGCCTGGCTAATTTTTTGTATTTTTAGTAGAGACGGGGTTTCACCGTGTTAGCCAGGAAGGTCTTCATCTCCTGACCTCCTGATCCGCCCGCCTCGGCCTCCCAAAGTGCTGGGATGACAGGCGTGAGCCCCGACTCCCGGCATCCTCTCTCATTTTTAATAACTTGGCCTAGCTAGAGGCTTATCAATTTTATTGATCTTTAGAAAGAACCAGCTTTTGGTTTTGTTGATTTTAAAAAATTGAATTTCTATTTTCAGTTTCATTGATTTCTGCTTTAACTTTTATTATTTCTTTTCTCATGCTAACCTTGAAATTAATTTGCTCTTCTTTTCCCAGTTTCCTAAGTTAAAGTTTAGATAATTGATTTTAAATCTTTCTTCTTTTGTAACATGTGCATTCAATGCTGTAAGATTACCTGTAAGCACTGCTTTCATTGTATCACACAAATTTTAATTTTTTTCATTTTTGTTTAGTTCAAAATATTTAAATTTTTTTGGATAGTTCCTTTTTGACTTATGAGTCATTTAAAAGTATGTTGTTTAATCTCCACATATTTTCAGATTTTTCAGCTACCTTTTTGCTATTGATTTGTAGTTTAATTTCACTGTGGTATGCGAATGGAAATTGTATAATTTCTATTTTTTTTAATTTGTTGAGGTGTGTTTTATGGCCCAAATTGTGATCTCATGTGGTTTCATGTGAGCTTAAGAAGAATATATAATCTACTGTTGTTGAATAAAGTACTCTTTAAATGTCAATTGTATCCAGTTAATTGATGGTATTGTTGAATTTTACTATGTTCTTATTGATTTTCGACTGCTGGGTCTGTCCCTTTTCTGATCAAGGAGTTTTGAAATACATGCCAAAATCCCTTATTGTGTCATATTTTGACATCGTGTTATTGGCAAACACATGTTCAGGATTATTATATCTTCCTGGAGAAATGACCCCTTTATCATTGACCCCTTCTTAATCTCTGATAACTTTCCTTGCTCTGAAGTCTACTCTGTCTAAAATTAATAGTGACACCACTTTCTTTTCATCAGTGTTAGCACGGTTAATCTGTCTCCATCCATTTACTTTTATTCTGTATGTCTTTATAACTAAAGTGTGTTTCTTATAGACAACGTCTAGCTGTGTCCTGCTTTCTGATTTACTCTCACCATCTTTGTTCTCTAATTGGTGCATTTAGACCATTGATGTTTAAAGTGATTATTAATGTAATTGGATTAGTATCTATTGTATTCATTACTGTTTTTAATTCATTGCTTTACTTGCTTGTTCCTATTTTTGTCTTCCAATGTTTCTTGATCTGCTGGTGCTGCTATAACAGGATACCACGAACTGGGTAATTCATAATGAATAGGAATCTATTGGCTTGCAATTACAGAGGCTGATATTGTCTAATATCAAGGCAGCAGCAACTTTAGTATCTGCTGAGGACCTGGTTTCTGCTCCCAAAATGACACCTTGAATGCTGAATTCCCCAGAGGGGAAGAATATTGTTCTTTACACAGCAGAAAAGCAGAAGAGTTGAGAGAGAGCCCACTTCTGAAAACCCTTTTATTAAGACATAAAACCCACCCCTTAGAGTGGCACCCTCAAGGCATAATCACCTCTAAAAGGTCTCACTTCCTAATACCATTACATTGGCAATTCAATCTCTAAATAAGTTTTGGAGGGGGACAAACATTCAATCTATAGCACACTATTGTTCTGTCTTTTAACATTTTAATTGTGAATTTTATATGATTTTATTTTTTCTCCTTTCCTAGATCATCAGTTATACTTTTTTAAAGGTAGTTTCCCTGAAGTTTGCCATATGCATTTATAACTAATTCAAATCTACTTTAATAAGACTATACCATTTATTATGGGTAGTATGTATAGTACCTTATAATAACAAAATAATCTTAATTCTTTCCTCCTATCCTTTGTCTGATTGCTGTATTTCATTTAATTTATACATGAGCATAAATAAGCACATGTATACACACATACATATTATTGTTATTATCTTAAAAACTGTTATCCTTTAGATCAATTAAGAATGAAAAAATTAAAAATTTTAATTTTACTTTCATTTATTCCTTTTCCTATGCTTTTCCTTTATGTAGATCTGAGTTTCTGACCTATATATTTTTTCTTCTTGCTAAAAAAACCTCTTAACATTTCTTGCTACATACGTCTATTGGAAACACATTCCTTCAATTTTTGTTTGTCTGAGAAAGTTTTTATTTCTCATTCACTTTTGAAGATAATTTCACGGAGTTCTAGTTCGGTTGCTTTTTTTCCCCCTGAACATGTTAAATATTTCACTCTACTCTTTTTTTTCTTGCATGGTTTCTGAGGAGAAGGTGGATGTAATTCTTATCTTTCCTTCTCTGTGGGTAAGGTTTTCTGTTCTTTTGGCTTCTTCTGGGATTTTTTCTTTATCTTTGATTTTTCTATAGTTTTAAAATGATATACCTAAGTGTACTTTTTGGCGGGGGGGGGTGTATTTATCTTCCTTAGTGTTCTCAGAGCTTCCTGGATTGGTGGGTTTAGTGTCTGATATTAATTTGGGGAAATTTTCAGTCATTATTATTTCAAATACTTATTCTGTCCCTTTCTCTCTTTCTTATTCTTCTGGTATTTGCATTACACACATGTTACACCTTTTGTAGTTTTCCTAGCCCTTGGATATTCTGTTCTGTTCCTGTCAGTTTTTCTTTTCTTTGATTTTCTGTTTTGGAGGTTTCTATTGAGATATCCACAGGCTCAAAGATTTTTCTACGGCCAATTTTAGTCTACTAATAAGCCCATCAAATACATTCTTCAATTCTGTTATAGTATGATTGATCACTGATATTTCTTTTTGGTCTTTTTTTGGAATTTCCATCTCTCTGATTACATCATCTGTCTGTCCCTGCATACTATTTACTTTATCCATTAGATCCCTTAGCACATTATTTATTGTTGTTTAAAATCATTGATCTGATAATTCTAACATCCTGGCCATATCTGAGTCTGGTTCTAATACTTCCTCTGTCCCTTCAAATTATGCTTTTTGTCTTTTAGGACAGCTTGTAATTTTTTTCTTGATAGCTGGACACGATGGATAGAGTTAAAGAAACTACTGTGAACAGGACTTTAGTAACATGGTGGAAAGATGTGAAAGGAGGAGAAGTGTCCTATGGTCTCATGAATAGGTGTCAGTGTTTATTGAGCTTTTACCTGGACTGTGAACTTCACAAGGGCTTTTCAGTCCCCTTCCCTTTCTCATGAGGCACGATGGCTGGACTGGGCTGGAGTTGGGTTTCTCTTTCCCTATCTGGAAGCCAGAGGGGACTGGGATTGGGTATTTCTCTTTTACCAGGACACGCAGACTCTGAGAAAACCACATTAAGTTAGGCTCTGGTTAAATAGCTTCTCCTGAGGGCAACCTTGTTAAGTAGAACAGAATGCTCTGGTGTATTTCAAGGTGAGATCTTTTCCCCTCCCTGTGCTGGAAGAATGAGATTTTTCTTCACTGTTCACTGAGAGAACCTGTTAGGACTCCAGGAGGCAAAACTCACAAAATTATGGGGACCCCACAATGATTGGGTTCCCCTAGAGATTTTATCTATCAGACTTGTCCATACTGAGCCTTCAGCAATCCATAAATTACAGTTCAGGTTTTCCTACTGGTTTCCAGGGAGATTTTTGCTCTGGTAAGCTGTGCTTCTCTGTAGTCACTTGTCCATCTCTCCAATTTTAGGATTAGCGATTTGCTCTGGGACCTCACTTTGCTTACAGACCTGACAAGAGTTGCTGATTTTTTCAGGCTGTTTAACTTTTTACTTGCTAGAATGGGGCGGCAACCTCTAAGATCCTCACCTGCTGTTAAATCAAAAACTAGACACCTCTGATGAGAGGTTTTTTTTTTTAAGTGAATTTTATTAAGTGATGTTTTAGGAGTAAGGAATTAGAAATATGTGTACAATTTAGTAACATTTGATACTCTCAAGCACCTTCAAATTTCTAATTACTTGAGAAGGGCAAGATCATATCACAAACCATACCTCCTTCGTTCTTCTTTCTAACTCCCCTTTTCATATTCTTCCAAAAGACCACACTACCCCCTCCCCTGGATGACCTACTCCATGGCAATCAGGGACAAAGAAAATACAGTGTAGGTTTCTCCTCTTACTAGTGCCATTGCTATCAAAGAATAGCACCAAAAATTCTGGGAAGTCTGTTTCCTTCACTTTGTTACTCCTTGGCATTTTATGTTTAAAGGCAAGACTTGCCAGGAGCCATGGCTCACACCTGTAATCCCAGCACTTTGGGAGGCTGACGCAGGCAGATCACTTGAGGTCAAAAGTTCAAAACCAGCCTGACCAACATGGTGAAACCTCGTCTCTACCAAAAAAAAAAACAATTATCTGGGCCTGTAGTCCCATCTACTCTTTTATTTATTTTATTTATGAATAAATAAGTTTTACTTACAAATTTTATTTTATTTATGAATAAATAAATTTTATTTTATTATAAATACATAAATTTTATTTATAAATACATAAATTTTATTTATAAATGTTATGTACATATAAATAATTTTATTTATAAATAAATTTATTTATTAATTTTATTTGTAAATTTATTTATAAATAAATTTATTTGTAAATTTTATTTGTAAATTTTATTTATTTATAAATGAATTTTATTTATAAGTTTTATTTATAAATTTTATTTATAAGTTTTATTTATGAAGTCTTTATTGTACTGTGGATTTGACAGAAAAAATTTAGAGGTGATACTATATTGTAGGATTCCAGAAGTTTTTTTCTTGAAGTTGTGATTTAGGAAAGGAGTTTCTAACCCCATTAGAGGAATTCAGGGTTTGTAAAATATTTTGGAGAAGTCCCTTCCTTTCCATACTCATATACCCAGAATATGTGCAGATAGTGTGTGACACTTGGGAATACTCAAATGTTAGTGTTTTTCAAACCTGTCAGGTGCTGTGGAGTTTGTGTGAACCAGTCTGACAGGACTTCATTGTCTGTTCTTTTAAACTTATAAAACCAATTCAGGAGGGATAAAGGAAGGGTAACTGGAGTTTAAACTGGAAAATCCTATAGCACCAGTTTATTAAAAAGATGATTTCTTTCTCTGTTTGACTCTACAATTCTGCCTAAGCCACAGGCAGTCCCCTAAAATCATCCATTTTGTACGGATATTAAGTTCCAGATGGAAGTTGGTCTGAAAACAGATGCAGGTCCTCTCAGGGTCTGGGCAAAAAGACATGATGCCCCAGGTCACATTCATAGACATTTTCCCTTGGACATAGCAACTCAAAGATTTCCCCCCCAAGATCTAACCTTGGGTTCAATGCAAAGTTATACATATTTAAGGCTGGCAACCTAGGGATCACATGTACCAGATTCAGGCTTGGGGTCCAAGTCTTTACTTTGGGTTTGAACAGTTATTTGGGGTAGTAGTGGAATAAGTTTACGCATTAGTATCTTCTCCTAGGGGAATGTAGGCAGAAATATTTACCTAGCAGTAGTACAAATTAAAAGAATTTTTTGGTTGATTTTTATCTGAACATAGAAAAAATTAAACCTGTTCTCTGTGATGCAGAACTTGGGGTAAAGGGATAGCCCACCATTCCCGCTGCCATGACCGTCACCAAAGTTCTTTCTTATTCCCTTTTCTGCCTACACTATTCATTTGGTATTTACCACATTTTTTTAATTATCATTTAACTTCTCAATCATTTGTTTCTTCATCTTTATCAGGAACGTGTGAAGAACAAGATTCACTTGGTATTCTATCTTGTGGTGAGAAAACCTCATTCTCCAAATGTCAAAACCAAGTAAACAAAGGTGCTTTAGTTACTTACACACTTACTAAACATAACACATAAACTGAAGCCCAGAGTTCAAAATTTTCCCACCCTTCATGAGGGCGTATATGACAGAAGCTTAGCAAAATGTCATCACTCAGTTTCTGGAATTAAAACAACTGAGCTGTTTGCCACACCCCACAGCTTGGCATGTAGTCAGGAATTCAGGAATGTCAGCCTCCACTCAAATTAAGATGATGCAAAACAATTGCATTAGATGGTGAGGAGGTCTGCCCTCTTCCTACTCAAAATGCCTGGGAAGCAGGAAATACAAGTTCAATTAAAACGGCCTTTCTGGAGCAGAAAAGTAATTGTCTCATGCCAGAGACAAGTGAATAAATATTATTGATGATTCTACAATCAAAGGAGACTTGGCTTTTGTTATTGTGACAGTCATTTGGCTGCCGCCTTGCAAATCAACACAAGTTAATAGATTGACGATGACTGAACAATTACAATGAAAAAAAACTTGCTTTTGATCCTTACTAGGGGGAAAAAAGAAGCCAAGACATGTTCAAGGTGGCAGCAGTTCAGAGTTCTCTAAGAGGCAAATACAAGTTATCTACATTAGAGGGCATTTTAGTCAATGGTGAAGATTATGCTGAGTATAAGGATAGCAACATCTAAGGATAAGGAACCTCAGTACCCACTTGTATTTTGAGCTGGCGTGGTGTCCTATTTGCAGGTAATTTCCCACCGTGATGATTCCTTTTGGAAGGCAGTATCTTATTTCCCACTGCAAAGGGCAAAGAGGATAAGGAACAGCCTGGCGGCCAAGCAGTTACGATGATTTAGTTCTCTCAACTGGATTTTCCACACATGGTTTGGAATCTTTACTTCGTGGTGCATACAAGAACGATAGCAATTCATTCTCAACAGCAGTGCCCACATCTGGGCCAGATGAGATGCTAAGAGATGCTGCTTCAGACAAGCCTTCTATTAATATAGTGAGCTCTTGATATCCTTAAAGTATACGTATTTAAGCTATCCACAGTATGTTTCTGTTACTTATTGCAAAACAACCTCTTAATTGATACAGAAAGCAAAGCAGATAGACACAAACTAAATATCCCTGGGAAAATATGGAGAAAATGGGATTGGTTGTCTGGTCTGAATGCATCTAGTTGAAGTTCCCTAATATTTTGGTTTTGGAATTCAGTAATCCATGACAAAGAGTTGTGAAAACTGCTAATTAAGTCATCCTGTGTACTGCTAATTATGTCATCCTGTGTGCCCTTGGGAACAAAGTTTGGGAGACAGCATTGTTGCCACCAAAGTATGGTAGCAAAAATGGAAGACCTGTATGGTGGCATGACTCTAGTAGAATTAGATGGTGTAAAGGGAGGGAATTTTAAACCCAAATATCTAAATTCAAGAACCAGAAATCAGATCTATAGGTGGTTTTCGCCCACCTTCCATGAAGCATCTCCTACCTTCAAAAGCAGATTTCTTTTTCTTGTCTGAGAGTTCTTTCTCCATTGCTTGAGGATTATTTTGTTGCCGCCTCACCATAGTGATTTCCTTAAAGAAACAGTCCATTACCCACACGTCTCTCTTATCCCTACTTTGTCCACACCTGTCACTAGAGTTTGGTGTCAGTATAGCAAAGGGAATAAACTACAAATTAAAAACTTGCAAGTTTGGTTGATGTCATATACATAAAAAGAGTCAAAGACTTGCTAATTTAAGTTGGAAAAAATCTGGAGGGTGTGTGTAAGAACAGATTTTAGGGTGCTCATAGAAGGGCGAAACATTTTTAGATCACTAATACCAGTTGCTAAGATAAAATTCTCCTGCCATACTGTGAACACTGGTACTTATATAACTTCGTTAAAACCTTCCCAAGTGTGTTTTGAAGAAACTAATACAGTTAATCATCATCTCCAAGTGACTATATAAAGACATTTGAAAAATTATAAGTTTAATGTATTATGCAATTTTGGATATTTTATCAACTGTTCTTTTTTTGTTTCCTCTATCTCCTTCCCTTAGCTGCCTACACTTTTTTCTTTTCCATGACAACTATTTGTGATATAGTCAGTCTGATTAGATTATGAGAAAAGATTAAGAAATTCTTAAATGTACCTTTTAGAATTTTCCATTTGATTGTCTAAAACTGAACTCTTTTCTCCTACTTACAAGAAGCTGAGAATGAAAATGTCAAAATTAGTCTTCATATACTCATCAAACACTTATCTTCTAGACTTTTCCATTACTAACTCACTTTTCTTTTGTAACAAATTATTTTTGTTTCTTCCCAACTAGTTGTTGCCCTGAGCAATGGCCGTAACACTCATGCCTTTCGTAAATTGCCCTTAATCATAATTCTCTGGCAACTGTTTTATAAAAATCAGTAGTATTTTTTCCTATAGATGTAAATAATAGTTGTTTAAATAGTTTTGTGTCAATAGTTGCTTTCATGAAAGGAAAAAAAAATTGGCCTAAAATACACAAAGGGCCACAAGATGACATAACTATATTGGTTTTATTTACTCAGGGAGGAAAAGAATAAGCTTTCATGCTCTTTTAAGGATTAGAATGAAAGCAAAAGTAGGGTGAAACTATGGGAAGAAACCTCAGAGGGTCAAAAGAACATAACCTCCTGGAAAGTATTAAAACAGCTATACATAATAAATGGGTTATAAGTGGCTACTATCCATTTGGTTTTAAACAAAATGCAAAGGCAATATTAAAAATACTACTCTACATGTATGTTAGATGCATTCAGATATTTACATGGAATGTTACAAATAACCATTGGAAACTTATTCCTTCCTTGGAAGGTGTAAGAATTAGTCAGGGTTCTCCAGGGAAACACACACACACACACACACACACACACACACACACACAGACACACACACACACGAGAGAGAGAGAGAGAGAGAGAGAGAGAGAGAGATTGAGAGAGAGATTGAGAGAGAGAGATCTATTTTAAAGAATTGACTCAATTATTGGGACTGGCAAGCCTGAAATTCATGGGGCAGGCAGAAAAACTGGACTCAGATTTCAGATAAGAGTTGATATTGCATTCTTGAGTCTGAAGGGTGGAAACTCAGGGTGGAAACTCAGGCAGAATTTCCTTGTGACAATCTGGAGACAGAATTCTTCTACTTTGGGAAACCTCAGTCTCTACTCTCAAGGCCTTCAACTGATTGGATGAGGCCCACTCACATTATGGAGTGTAATCTGCTTTACTTAAAGCCAGCCAATTGTAGATGTTAATCACATCTAAAAAATACTGTGCAGCAATGTGTAGACTAGGGTTTTACCAACCAACTGGGCACCATAATCTAGTTAAGATGACACATAAAATTAATTACCATGGAAGGTTTGGAGGAAGAGTACATTTTGTTTATGATGTGGTTATATTTGCTTCCATTTTTTTTTTATTTCATGGTTATTCTCTGCTGATTTTACTAAAAATTTAAAATAATTTTGAATATCTTAGACACAGATTCCTGTTTAATATGTTGTACTATAAGACCTGGCTGTGGCAAATTTTACCACTGGATTTACTGGAGTACATTAAGTTCATTTTTTTCCTGCAAGTCAGCATCTGGTGGCTCAGGCTTTGCTTAGTCACTTAACAAAGTGGCCCACATGTAAAAACACTGTAAAGAAGAGGGTAGACAAGTGATAATTAAAATTACAGAAATAAAAATTGGGTCCCCCAAAATGAAAGAAGGAGGACATCTTGTTCTGACATATTGGGACTCAGAGAAATGAATTAAACAGGAAGATGTACCAAAACATTTTAAGTAGAGTAGCAGATTATACACCTCCAAAAATAGCACCAAAGCCTACTTTTAGTTATATCTTGAGACTATGTATCAAAAACTGAAAACATCCATACCTCACAAAAATCAAACTCCATCAGAGCCAATGGTACAAGGCTAACTGTATTATTTCTTCAGAAACTGGATTTAGTTCTCTCAGCTATGACTTGATAATTCACATGTCACTCAGAATTATTTTTGTTCTAAATCTTGCAACCAATTTCCACACATAGCACATTAGAAAAGCCTTCTAAATGGATTTTCAAGTAAAGGAGATGTCAAAAGACAGCCAAATATATGAATGGTCCTTGGTTGGCCACCAATAAAAAAGTTTAACTTTTAATTTTATTATTTTTTAAAATAAACAAAGCTGCAATGTTTTCCTCTAAATTCCTTAGCATAATAAATAAAATTCCCTTTTGCAGCACACATGATACATCATTTTATATTTCCTTAATAGTCTCATGAATATCTTTTCTCATTGAGATTCCACCTGTGTCCAGTAGAAGGAAAACTTAGCTGAAAGGAACATGAAACAGGCTGAAAAACAAAATTTCTAAATTGCTGGTAGCCTTAGAACACCTTAACTCAATTTCAGAGATTTAGCTGCTTTGAAGCTGGGCTGCAGTCAGTGTGAGGGCAGTGCTACTTGAGGTTGATTCAGAATGTAGTCTTTAGGGCCCCAAGCTTAAAATGTGGGCCTAGATGCCACCTTTGGTGTCTTTATCCCTGAGAAGCCATCAAAAGTGCTGGCCAGGTCCTGAGCAGCTAATGGTCCCAAGGGAAAAATTACCCTCTCAGCTGGATTCACTTTTCTGCACTTTAATCTTCTTTTGGATCTTCACCTGATAATTTTTCACCATTTTCTGAGCTTTTTGTGTCATTAGGCTAATGGCTTTGATAAAATGTCCATTTTTTCACCTTGTCTTTAGTAGGAATATTGGTTCAAAGTATGCAGCCCTACCTTACCAGAAGTAGAATTCATCCCCATTTCTCAACTCTTTATATATATTTCCTGTCTCTCTTAAATTCAGATGTGCATAATGACCACCATGTTGATGACCAAAACTAAGTATTATATAATGTCATTTACATACCATAATGTGAATAATGTTGGTTTTAACATTATATATCTAATTTTACTGACTTCTAACTGTGGTTTTTTATTTACTGTCTTTGAGCCTCTAGCTGGGGCTTCTTTCCCATTTAAAAAGCCTCCCTACCTTAAGGTTATCTATTCTTCTCCTACTCATATTTGAAGGTCTAGCTTGAAGCCAATTCAGTCCATGATTTCTTCTTCTATCCCTCCTTTCCACTTGATCACCTCCTTTTCCAAATACCATTTTAATTATTCTTTGTATGATAGACATAGGGTTTACATTCTTTATGGGTTGGCTAGTGTGGAGGTGGACAAGATGATTCTGTTGGCCACTCTGCGTTGCAAACTCTCCTAAAAGAGGTTTTAAGTTCTTAGTCCTTTCCCCTGCATTTATTCTAGTGCTATGGACACAACAGGGACTCTAGTACTTGTTAGAGAGATCATTTTTACTATCTCACAGCATGTTAGAGAATTTCCCATCAGTCTCTGAATCCCGTACAAACTTCTGAACTCTACCTTATTCAAGTATGTGGGTAAGTTTTTCTCTCTCAATTTTTAAGAGTTATAATGTCTAATGCACATAAAAAAGTTTTAACTTTAAACCCACAATTTCATATATGGTTATGGTAATGTAGACCTCATGAATAAATAGAATGTTAAAGAGTTGGTAAAGGAATTTTTGGAAAATGCATGAAGATGGTAGATAAATGTGGTAGGCTGATTGCAAAAATCATTCCCAGTTCTTCACGATGTGACTTTAACTTTCTTCCCATCAGGAGGTGGTGTCCATCTCCTCTCCTCTGAAACTGGGCTAGCCTCAGGACATGTTTCGGCAAATCAAATGTGGCGGGAGTGACAAGATGATGGTTCCAAGCCTAGGCTTCTGAAGAGTTGCATATTTTTGAGCAATCCCCTGCACAACTTTGCTAAGCAATTAGAAAAGAAGAGGCTAATTGGGAAGAAGAGCCAATATGACAGTGAGAAGGCTGCCTGTCAGGAGAATTTGCTCTCACCTGAGTAAGGATCAGTCTTTTGTTCTATTTAGTCCTTCAACTGATTGGATGACGCCCTCCCACATTATGGAGGATAATCTGCTTTATCTCATTTCTACTGATTTAAATGTTAATCTCATCCAAAAATATCTTCATATAAACACCCAGAATAATGTTTGACCAGATATCTGGGTACCCTGTGACCCAGTCAAATTAACACATAAAATTAACTATCACATTCCTCATTCTTAAATGAAGATCGAAGGCCAAGAAAGGTATAGAGATTTACTTAAGATATAAGTAATGACACTCAGGATTAGAATCATAGCTGCACTGACAGAGGTTTAAAAACCAGATCTCCTTTTGCCATGTAAAAGCTCTTTAATTTAATTAAGTCCCAGCTATTTATCTTTTTTTATTGCATTTGCCTTTGGGTTCTTGGTCATGAAATCCTTGCATAGGCCAATATCTAGAAGGGTTTTTCCAATGTTACCTTCTAGAAGTTTTATAGTTTCAGGTCTTAGATTTAAGTCCTAGATCCATCTTGAGTTGATTTTTGTATAAGGTGAGAGATGAGGATCCATCATCATTCTCCTACATGTGGCTTGCCAATTATTCCAACACCATTTATTGAATAGGGTGTCCTTTCCCACTTTATGTTTTTGTTTGCTTTGCTGAAGATCAGTTGACTGTAAGTATTTGGAAAAGTCAGCAGAGTAAATAGACAACCCACAGAGTGGGAGAACGTATTCACAATCTATACATCTAACAAAGGACTAATATCCAGAATCTACAATCAACTCAAACAAATTAGCAAGGTAAGAAACAAACAATTCCATCAAAAAGTGGGCTAAGGACATGAATAGACAATTCTCAAAAGAAGATATACAAATAACTAACAAACATATGAAAAAATGCTCAATGTCACTTATGATCAGGAAAATGCAAATCAAAACCATAATGCAATACCACCTTACTCCTGCAAGAATGGTCATAAACAAAAAATCAAAAAATAATAGATGTTGGCATGGATGTGGTGAACTGGGAACACTTCTACACTGCTGGTGGGAACATAAACTAGTACAACCACTATGGAAAACAGTGTGGAGATTTCTTAAAGAACTAAAAGTAGAACTACCATTTGATCCAGCAATCCCACTACTGGGTATCTACCCAGAGGAAAAGAAATCATTATACGAAAAAGATAAAGATACTTGCACATGCATGTTTATAGCAGCACAATTCACAATTGCAAAACGTGGAACCGACCCAAATGCCCATCAATCAATGAATGGATAAAGAAACTGTGGCACATACACACATACATACACACACACACACACACACACAGACACACTAGAATACTACTCAGCAATAAAAAGGAATGAATTAATGGCATTTGCAGTGGCCTGAATGAGATTGGAGACTATTATTCTAAGTGAAGTAACTCAGGAATGGAAAACCAAACATCACATGTTCTCACTCATAAGTGGGAGCTAAGCTATGAGGATGCAAAGGCATAAGAATGCCACAGGGGACTCAGGGGAAAGGATGGGAAGGGGGTAAAGGATAAAAGATTACATTGTGTGCTGTGTATACTGCTTGGGTGATGGGTGCACCAAAATCTCACAAATCACCACTAAAGAACTTAATCATATAACCAAACACCACCTGTTCCCCAATAACCTATGAAAACAAAGAAAAACAGATTTCTAAAATAAAAAAAAGGCCTGGCGTTGTGGCTCATGCCTGTAATCCCAGCACTTTGGGAGGCCGAGGAGGGTGGATCACAAGGTCAGGAGATCGCGACCATCCTGGCTAACACGGTGAAACCCCGTCTCTACTAAAAAAAAAACAACAAGAAAATTAGCTGAGCATGGTGGCAGGTGCCTGTAGTCCCAGCTACTCGGGAGACTGAGGCAGGAGAAGGGCGTGAACCCAGGAGGTGGAGCTTGCAGTGAGCGAGATCGAGCCACGGCACTCCAGCCTGGGCGACTGAGTGCGACTCTGTCTCAAAAAAAAAAAAAAAAAAAAAAAAAAAGAAAAGAAAAAAAAAGAGAGAGAAAAAAAGATCGCTGAGGTCTGTCTGAAACACACTGCTCCACCGACTCTCATGGCTGCTTATGCCTAATCATGCCTTAGCCCAGTCTCCTACTCCAGACAGCCTCTCGAATTGTGGTTAGGTGTCTTATAACACTCACGTTTAACTCAATTAATGCTACTTTATTCATTCATCCAGTAACATTTGGGTGTTTACCACGTGTGAGGTGCTTGCTGACTTCTAGAGACACACATATAAGCAAGGAGACATTGTTCTTCACTCATTCCTTGCAATGCCATGTAGGGGAAAAGAAATATCTTTCCTTCTCATCTTAGGTTCATGGCCAAGATCCCGATAAAAAAAGACAGATTAACAAAAAAAAAAAAGCATACAATTTAATTTTTTTTAAATTTTACTTAAAAAATTTTGTGGGTATATAGTAGGTGTACATATTTTTGGGGTACATGAGATGTTTTGATACAGGCATGCAATGTAAAATAAGCACATGATGGAAAATCCTCTCGATTGTCTGAGTTACAAACAATCCAATTACATTCTTTAAAGTTATTTAAAAGTTATTTAAAGTTATTTAAAAATATAGAATTATTATTGACTATAGTCACTCTATTATGCTATCAAATAGTAGGTCTTATTTATTCTTTCTATTTTTTTTTATACTTATTAACCATCACCACCTCTCTCCAAATCCCCCGCTACTCTTCCTAGCCTCTGGTAACCACCCTTCAAATTGCTATGTCCATGAGTTCAGCCGTTTTGATTTTTAGATCCCACAAATAAGTGAGAACATGCGATGTTTTTCTTTCTGTGCCTGGCTTATTTCACTTAACATAATGATCTTCTTCGGTTCCATCATGTTGTTGCAAATGACTGGATCTCATTCTTTCTTATGGCTGAATAGTACTCCGTTGTGTATATGTTTCACATTTTCTTTATCCATTTATCCGCTGATGGGCATGTAAGTTGCCTCCTAATCTTAGCTATTGTAAACAGTGCCACAACAAACATAGGTGTGCAGATATCTCTTTAATATAGAGATTTCCTCTCTTGGGTATGTACCCAGCAGTGGGATTGCTGGATCATATGGTAGCTCAATTTTTAGTTTTTTGAGGAACTTCCAAACTCTTCTCTATAGTGGTTGTACCAATTTACACTTCCACCAACAGTGTACAAGGAGGTTCCCTTTTCTCCACATCCTTGCAAGCATTTGTTATTGCCTGTCTTTTGGGTATAAGCCATTTTGACTAGGGTGAGATGATATCTCATTGTTAGATGTTTTCTTTTTTTGCATATATCTGATGATCAGTGATGTTGAGCACTTTTCATATGCCTGTTTTCTATTTGTATGTCTTATTTTGGGTAATGTCTATTCAGACCTTTTGCCCATCTTTTGATTGGAATATTAGGTTTTTTTTTTCCTATAGAGTTGTTTGAGCTCCTTATGTATTCTGATTATTAATCCCTTGTCAGGTGAGTAGTTAGTTGTAGTTTGCAAATATTTTCTCCCATTCTGTGGGTTGTCTATTCACTTTGTTAATTGTATCTTTTGCTATGTAGGGGCTTTTTAACTTGATGTGATCCTACTCATCCGTTTTTGCTTTGGTTGTCCCTCTTTGTGGGGTATTGCTCAAGAAATCTTTGCTTAGATCAATGTCCTGGATAATTTCCCCAATGTTTTCTTGTAGTAGTTTTATATTTTGAGGTGTTAGACTTAAGTCTTTAATCCATTTTGATTTGATTTTTGTATATGGTTGGAGATAGGGACCTAGTTTCATTCTTCTGCATCTGTACATCAAGTTTTCCCAGCACCATTTATTGAAGAGACTGTCTTTTCCCCAGTGTATGTTCTTGGCACCTTTGTCAAAAATATATTCACTATAGGCATGTCTTGTTTCTGGGTTCTCTATTCTCATTGGTCTACGTGTCAGTCTTTATGTCAGTATCGTGCCATTTTGGTTGCTATAGCTCTGTAGTATAGTTTGAAGTCAGGTAATGTGATTCCTCGAGTTTTGTTCTTTTTACTCAGGATTGCTTTGGCTATTCTGGATGTTTTCTTGTTCCATATAATTGTTAGGAATTTTTTTTCTTTTTCTGTGATGAATGTCATTGGTATTTTGACAGAAATTGCATTGAATCTGTAGATTGCTTTGGGTAGTAGGGACATTTTAACAATATTGATTCTTCCAATCCATGAACATGGAATATTTTTCCATTTTTTGGTGTCCTCTTCAATTTCCTTCATCAGTGTTTTATAGTTTTCATTATACAGATCTTTCACTTATTTGGTTAAATTAATTCCTGGGTATCTAATTTTATGTATTGCTATTGTAAGTGGGACTATTTTTTATTTCTTTCTCACATTGTTCACTGTTGGAATATAGAAATGCTAATGATTTTCGTATGTTGATTTTATATCCTGCAACTTTACTGAATTTATCAGTAAATTTAACAGTACTTATAGCTTTCTTGTGAAATCTTTAGGTATTTCCAAATATAAGATCATATCATCTGCAAACAAGGATAATCTGATTTCTTCCTTTCTAATTTGGAGCCCTTTACATCTTTCTCTTGTCTGAATGCTCTGGCTAGGACTTCCAGTATTATGAAGAATAACAGTAGTGACAGTGGGCATCCATGCCATGTTCCAGATCTTAGAGAAAAGGCTTTCAGTTTTTCCCCATTCAGTATGATACTAGCTGTGGGTCTGTCATATATGGCTTTTATTATGTTGAGGTATGTTCCTTCTATACCCAGTTTTTTGAGGGTTTTTATCATGAAGGGATATTGAATTTTTTCGAATGCTTTTTCTACATCAATTGAAATGATCATATGGTTTTATTCTTCATTCTGTTGATATGATGTGGCATGCTGATTGATTTTCTGTGTGTTGAACCATCCTTAGATCCCAGGGATAAATCCCACTTGGTCATGATAAATAATCATTGTAATGTATTGTTGAATTCAGTTTGCTGGAATTTTGTTGAGGATTTTTGCATCAATATACATCAGAGATATTGACCTGTAGTTTTCTCTTTTTTGTTGTTGTTTCTTTGTCTGGTTTTGATATCAGGGTAATACCGGCCTCATAGAGTGAGTTTGGAAATATTCCCTCTTCAACTATTTTTAGGAATAGTTTGAGTAGGATTTAAATTCATTTAATATAAATTTTATGTAAGAGAGGAGGCTTCAGAAATTTGAAGATCCCGCAAACAGGTAAGCTTATGTATTTTAATGCTTCAGTTTGATTAAGAGTGAACAGTTGTCAAGAATTGTGATTGGACAGAGGGCATAATCTAGTGATAATAAACTGGGGGAGGGGGGATTTAGCAAGTTCTGCTTGTGCAGATTCTTTTCTGTGTCCCTGTTTCTCTCCTCCTGGTATAGGGAGGATGCCTCTGAAATGAGGGTCTAGAGAAGGTCAAAGAGTAAGCTCGCTGGATTTTGTAGTCTGCTTTAGGAGAAAAGTGTGATGGGAAAGTGAGAGTGACCTTTCTGCCTCTGCTGTTTTCTCAAAAGCCAAGGTCTCACATGTTGGGGTAACATGTCCTCAATCCCACTAGCCATATTTTGTCTTCTGTTTGCCTATCTGTGTTTCTGCTTTCTATAGTTACTTGATACTTCTACAATTACTTTGAAGGGAAGAAGAGTATGTCATGTTTACTCTGTGTGCAACACCTCACCAAAACTCAATAAATATTTGCTAAATGAGTAACTGAATGTCCTTCCAACTCATGGTTCTAAACATATCTGAATCCAAAATCTCTGGTTTCTCCATGCAAAATGGACAGGCATCTCTGGCACAAGTGGTTTAAATAAGCTAACAAATAAAGAAGTGTTTGAACAAATTTACAAACAAACAAATGATAAATGAAGTGTTACATTAATCTACATGCAATAAAAATCCAAAATGCTGTATCCGGTAGTACCATCCATGCTACTATGGACCAAAACACCAGTTGGTTTTGCTCAGTGTATGTATCAGTCACCAAGCCCAGCATGGCATTCACACAGCTAATTCCAAAATGTTTTTGAAATATATAGATGCGACTTAAAATCGTGCTTACCCAAAAAGTTTACAAAATTTAAAGCAAAATTCCCAACTGCACATGGTGTGTTTGCTTTTTACAATTCATTGTTTAAAGGCCTCTAACACTAATGTTCACTTCATGACACACGCAGGAAGAGCTAAAACTGTGTATTTACTCTTGGGATGGCTCAGATCCACAGTAAGTAATAAAATCAAATTACACTACTCTAGCATTTCCCTTCAAATTCAACCTTGCATCTCCATATTTTAATAATTGTACATTGGTCATTTTCAATCATAAAACATTTGCAATTTGTTAGCCGTAGTGGCCATTAGATGGCAGTGGTATACCATAATATCAGTGGCATTTTGTTTGGTTCTTGTTTTTCTTAGGCATAGTGCAAATCGTTTTTCAAAAAGCAAAAGGCTGAAGAGAATTTTCAGAATAGAGATAAGCAACCAAATCTCTTTGAAAAATACAAATTTAATTAAATCCCCTCTACTTGAAATAAAAGAAATTTTAATATATATTTTCTTCCTGAGGCTTAGATTTTTAAATAGTGGCTAACTGCACACTCTATAGTTACATGGATAAGGGATTGAATTTTTTTCTTGAGAACTCACCAACAAGCTCATCGTAGGCAATTACTAAATCTTTTTAGCCTTTGTTTTCAAATCTGTAAACGCTATTCTTATAGTGCCAAACCCTACAGTGCAGTTTAGGCCACATAGTTCTCAATAAATGCTAACTCTAATAAAACAAAAATTATTTTATTAGCAGAAGCTTGGTAGCTGGAAGAAAATTTAACTAAAAAGTCTTCACCTTTGAGTTTAAAGATGGAGAGAGTGATCGGGCACTGTGGCTCACACCTGTAATCCCAGTACTTTGGGGGGCCAAGGTGGGCAGATCACTTGAGGTCAGGAGTTCAAGACCAGCCTGGCCAACATGGTGAAACCCCATCTCTACTAAAAGTATAAAAATCAGCAGGGCATAGTGGTCCATGCCTGTAGTCCCAGTTACTCTGGAGGCTGAGACAGGAGTGTTTGAACTGGGGAGGTGGAGGTTGTAGTGAGCTGAGATCGCGCCACTGCACTCTAGCCTGGGCAATGGGAGTGAAACCCTGTCTCAATCAATCAATCAATCAATAGAGAGAAAGAAGCATGAAGGGCAGAAATAAAGGGAATATCTAATAGGTTTTGCAAGAGAAGCAGTGACAGAGTGAAAACATCAATTTTAGAGTTTTATAGACTAGTGTTGGAATACTGATTTTGCTGTTGACTACCTGTCATAGAAAGAGTCAAAGGAAGAATCCTTACATTGCTAAGCCTCGGTTTCTTTATATGTGAACCAGGACTCATGACACTTTTAGGGCTAAGATAAGATAAAGCAGGCTAATATACAGAAAGGACTTGTCAAATAGTAAGTGCTCAATGTTGCTATTTCTTTTCCTTGCAGACTTTCATAAAAAACTACTAAGAAATTTTGGACACTAAAGTTTGATTTCATTATTTTCCTGGGGCTTGAGCTCTCTCAGAAGTCTGTGAAACATACAGATCTAGTAACCCCACTATGTGTTTCTCTATGCAAAGGTTAATGTTACAGGTCTTTACAATTTTAAAACCTTTGGCCAGGCACAGTGGCTCACGCCTATAATCCCAGCACTTTGGGAGGCTGAGGTGGGTGGATCACTTGAGGTCAGGCCAACACAGTGAAACCTCATCTCTAATAAAAATACAAAAATTAGCCAGGTGTGGTGGGACACGATTGTAATCCCAGCTACTCCGGAGGGTGAGGCATGAGAATCGCTTGAACTGGGGAGACAGAGATTGCAGTGAGCCGAGATCGCATCACTGCACTCCAGCCTGGGTGACAGAGCAAGACTCTTGTCTCAAATAAATAAATGAATATGATAAATAAAAAAAACTATCCAAACTTATAGATTATCTTAAATCTTCAACAGCTTTCTTTAAGCTTCCGTTCTCTGGGTAAGATATTAATGGCTATTGAGATGACAAGACTAGTCAGCCTAAGGAATTAGAAAACACACAGAGGATTAATCCTCTAAATGGAAACACAGTCACTTAATGACCTATGTTTTAAAAGATTATGAGAAATAAACTTCAAAGTGATGCCTACGGATTTTTCCCAGGGGGGTTAAGAGAATTAAATTATGGATTAAAGAAAGCAAAAATACAAACAAATTGTGTTGACTGGTGGATCAATGTTGACCTAACAGGTGATGTTATAAGTCCCGGTAAAAAATACTAACAGTAGCAATGTGAACAATGTTCTGTGTGCTTACTCTTCAATATATAAATGGAATTTCCATGGATTAGAATTTGAGTGTTCAATAGTAGAAAAATAGATAGCATAAATCTGTAAATAGGCCGGGCGTGGTGGCTCACGCTTGTAATCCTAGCACTCCAGGAGGCCAAGGTGGGGTGGACCACATGAGGTCAGGAGTGTGAGACCAGCCTGGCCAACATGGTGAAACTCCATCTCTACACAAAAAGTAGCCGGGTGTGGTGGCGCACACCTGAATTCTCAGGTACTCAAGAAGCTGAGGCACAAGAATTGCTTAAACCCAAGAGGCGGAGGTTGCAGTGAGCCAAGATCCCAAGATCGCATCACTACACTCCAGCCTGAGGGACAGAGTGAGACTCTGTCTCAAGAAAAATAAATAAATAAAATCTGTAAATAGATTCCCATTTACAGAAGAAGATGTATGCCCAAGAGAGGATTCATTTTCTTGGGCATATATCTTCTTGGGAATACTGGTGCTCTGTTACCTACTCATTCTCCATATCAGTCTTTGTTTTTAAAGAGAGCAATATAGTTAGAAATGCTGAAAAATGTAGCCATCATACTGTCAAACTGATTACCAATGGAGAGACTGAGGCTTTGAGAGACTGGATTTTTCCAGGCTGCACATGTTGTTAGTGGCACTACTCGCCTAATTCCTAATCCAATACTTTGATTTCTCACATCCTGCCTCACAGAAGAGGAAAAATCCACAGTTAGATTCTAGTCTTTTTCACTTCAGCTTTTAACTAATTGCTATGCCTCCTTTTACATAGCAGACTGAAGAGTTGCTGATTATAAAAAGCAAGCAGACCATAAAATGAAAACCCTACTTATAAATCCAAATTAATGGCACATCTTTATTGGACAGTTTTAGGGACCTGGAGGGATTCCTGGTCTTTCTATTTCTTATTGATCTAGGAAACAAGGGTATAAACAACCTAAAAGACTTCAAAAATGCTATTTTAGCTGCTGCTGATCTTGAAAGCCAAAATGAGAGAATAGTGGAATAACAGCCCAATCTAGGGGTAACCTGGGTGAAAAGCCAAACACTTAACTGAATTGGTTGTCCTTTCAATCTTGCCTTTCATTCCCAGGGTGGTAGAAAGGTATTCAGATGTCTCCATTATGTTGCTTAATCTTGCTGGCCAAAAAGGCTGAGGGTTCTCATTAATTTAATGGGAAGCTGCTAAGTCCTTACCATTCTCACTATGGAATGCACCATGGTCAGCACTATCTGTCATTCCCAATTTATTATTGTCTGATAGCTAACATGCTGCTGCACTTGACCATCTTAGGGAATCCATTCTCTCTTCGTACACTTTGGATAGAGTTATTTCAATATAAAAACAGCACATTTTAAATGTCAAATAATAAACAAACATGTTAATGATTTTTTAAATAATTGTTTTCTTTGAGAAAAAGAATTTGTTGGAACATAATCCATATGACATTAGAATGTAGTTGAGACACTAAGCTTTCTTTTTTAAAGTTGTGAGCAGCTGGGAACAGTGACTCATGCCTGCTATCCCAGCACCTTGGGAGGCTGAGGCAGGCAGATCACTTGAGCCCAGGAGTTCGAGACCAGCCTAGGCCACATTGTGAGACCAAATCTCTACTAAAAATACAGAAATCAGCCAGGCATGGTGGCAGGCACCCATAGCCCCAGCTATTGAGGAGGCTGAGAAGTGAGAGGATTGCTTGAGCCCAGGAGGTCACAGCGGCAGTGAGCCATGATTGTGTCATGGCAACTCAGCCTGAGTGACAGTGTGAGACCCTATCTCAAAAATAATAAAATAAAATAAAATTAAAAAGTGTGGGCAATGTCCCTAATTTGCAGTTTATGGATTAAATGTTAATTTAAAGAATACTTACAACATATACCTATTCTCTTAGAGATTCCATTATAACTCAAACTAAAATATTCTATGTAACTAGATGGTTAACCTCAGTGAAAGATAAGGAACATAAGGCTAAGAGCAGTTAAATCATCAGGCAGAGGTAACACAGCTGGTCAGGTGAATGGAGCCCAGAACATCTAATTCCTCAACTGGCACGTTGTTTTTCACTATGCCAAGTTGTTCTTGCTAGGAATTCTTTGGATGCTGGTTCACCTGGGAGATTGAAGGGATGAGCCAGATTGCTCTCATACCTTGGAGTTCCAGGTGGAGATGGGGAAGGAGGGGGAAGAATCCCTAATTTGAGCAAGTTTTATAAAGAGGATACCATTTGACGCCACTGTGTGTTGAATAAACATGGAGATAGACCTGGTCCAATGGAAAGATTATGAATGTTTCCTTGATGGTTACTTGATCACTTGACTCTTAGTTTTCCTAAGAATAAATAGGAAAAAAAACATAAGCCTTGGGAAGTTGTTTAAGGGAAAATTGGGTAGACTATGTAAAGCATCTAGCAGAGTGATTTACTCACATTTGATGTTTAGTTAACATAAAAACTACTTTACCAGGCTTCTAAGGCAATTAACCATTTAAACCAAATTTGAATTAAAGCTAGGCATGGGGTAAGAAAGCAAGAAGTAAGAGAGACTTGGAGTCTGGTGTACTCTAATTAAGTTAAATGTGCAAAGGAGAAAAAGTGTTAATCTTTTCCTTACCTGTTTCAATGTTCCCAGCTAAGGCACCTGTAACAAAAGATAGATTAACAAGAGAAAAACAAATCTATTTAATATAAGTTTTGCCTGACATGGGAGCCTTCAGAAATGAAGACCCACCGGATACAGTGGCTCACGTCTGTAATCCCAGCACTTTGGGAGGCAGAGGCAGGTTGATCACTTGAGGTCAGAAGTTCGAGACCATCTTGGCCAACATGGTGAAACCCTGTCTCTAATAAAAATACAAAAATTAGCTGGGAGTGGTGGTGCATGCCTGTAATCCTAGCTGCTCAGGAGGTTGAGACAGGTGAATCTCTTGAACCCAGGAGGCGGAGCTTGCAGTGAGCTGAGATCGTGTCATTGCACTCCAGCCTGGGTGACAGAGCAAGACTCCTACTTGAAAAAAGAAAAAAAAAAAAAGAAAGAAACAAACAAAGTAAAATAAGAAATGAAGACCCCAAGAAACAGGGAAACTCGTATATTTTTATGCTTAGGTAGGAGGAAGAGTGGAGAGTTGTGCAGAAGTGTAATTGGACTAACAAGGTATGATCTAATGGTAACAAACCCCATCTTAGCAAGGCCTGTTTGCTCAGATTCTTCTCTGTGTCCCTCTGACTTCAGAGATAAGAACATTCTTTCCCTCCAGGTACAAGGAGGGCACCTCAGGAAACAGGATTTTATGATCTGCTTCACGGGAAAGTCAGCTGATTTTATTCTCTGCTACAGGAGAGAAGGTCAGAGAATTATTTCTACATTTTATGGCCTGCTTCAGAGGAGAAGGGGCAAGGGGAAGGTGAGAGTGACCTTCATGTTTCTACTATTTTCTCAAATGTCAAGATGCCACATCCTGGGTTAGTGTGTCCTGAACTCCATCAAATGCAAAACTTTAAAAGTTCAGGAACATACCAGTGTACTCTTTTGTTTGTTCAGGAAATACAGTGCTGTTTAATAAAGTTAACGAATCATAGGCCATCTAGTCTGTGTTTCCGAAGCATTCTCTCTCACCTTGGAGTATTTCAATCTTAGCAATTGCTAGCATCTAATAGGATCATCTGCAGAGGCACCAGAAAAGACTTCTGAGAGCAATGCTTTTAACTGAGACTTCTTTCTTGAAATTTAGATTGTTACATCTTTTTCCCCTTTGTGCTCTAGTTGCAGTCAAGACAATTTTCTTTTGTCCTGTGATGGTATTTTCTGCATACTATTGATCTGAGGCAAATAGTATCTGAGAAAAGAGAGTTTTCTTAGGCTATCGTGCCTTTCATCAAACAAGATAAATCATCAAATGAGCAAATTTGAGGTCTGTCTGGTTGTTATTCTTCACACAGTTTTGCCATGTGGATAGACATTGAGAGAACATGTACTCCACTGGTCTTTAGAGAATTAACAACAATATATTCTCGAGTAAATGTAGGCAAACTTGCCTTCCTGGTATTAGTGAGGCTCCTGGTAAACATTACTGAATAAGACACAGTCATTATCCTTAGGGAGCTCACAATTTAGCACTTGTTTATTGAACTACTGAAACAATTTATAGAACTGAGTTGTTAGTCAAGAAAATGAAAAAGGAGCTACAAACCAGTGTTCACAGAGAAGCAGATTTCCTGCTTTTAAAAAGCAATTCCATATACAAACGTTTGCTGCAATGTAATAAACAAGACTATTGGAAGAGAAAGAAGTAATTTAACTCTTTTTTTTTTCTAGTGGTCTAATCAAGCTTCCACCTAAAAAGAAAGTGTAAACTTTCACCCTTTACAGGAATTTAATTTTCGCTTAAGCTATCCGTGTTGCTTCTTTTTCCTCTTGGATCATACATTACCTCAACTCCAAGTTTAGATAGACAGGCTATTAGAAATCTGAATAGAATGATTTCCTTCGTTCCTTCCTTCCTTCCTTCTTTCCTTCATTCCTTCCTTCCTTCTTATCTTCTTTAATTGTTTTTAATGATTATTAAGGCCTGAAAAAGTCAGAAATGAATTAACACATACCACCTGATTTTATGTATGGTGAGAGAAAAGGAGTGTGTTAAATGTTTCAAGAGAGTATTTACAAAGAGCAATGGGAATACAAAAGAGAAAGAGAGTAGATTGAAATTTGAGTGATTTGTAAACTGGGAACAAAAGCAGATCTTTTTTTTTTTTTTTTTTTTTTTTTTTTGAGACGGAGTCTTGCTGTGTTGCCCAGGCTGGAGTGCAGTGGCACGATCTCGGCTCACTGCAAGCTCTGCCTCCAGGGTACATGCCATTCTCCTGCCTCAGCCTCCCGAGTAGCTGGGACTACAGGCGCCTGCCACCATGCCCGGCTAATTTTTTGTATTTTTAGAAGAGATGGGGTTTCACTATGTTAGCCAGGATGGTCTCAATCTCCTGACCTCATGATCTGCCCGCCTCAGCCTCCCAAAGTGCTGGGATTACAGGTGTGAGCCACTGTGCCCAGGCAAAAGCAGGTCATTTAACTCCAAAACTTTTGCTTCTAGACTTTTGTTATAGGTATGTCTTCCTTTTTTGAGACTCTGTTAGTGGTAGTAATGAGGAGATTAAGTATTAGGTTGGTGCAAACGTTGGCACCAACCTAATAAATTCAACTTTCTACTCACATGTGAGGTGATGTGTTAGGAATATCAAGAGGGAAACCTTTGAAGAGGGAGTAATGTCTGGGGTAAGCATTGAATGTCTGTAGGATTTAGCTCACTGAAGACAAATATCAAGGAATTTTCAAGTAGAGATAACATCATGAGCAAAAAAAAGAGAAAAATATGAAAAGATACAGGTCATTTGGAGAAATAATCCTTTGCTTAACAGGATGGGACATTTTAAACAAATAAAATAAGAGTGAAACCACAAAGTAAGTTTCTCCTGAAAGGAAAAAGGGTGGAGGATGGAGTGAGGGCCGCACAAGTTAAAGAGATGATAATGTGTTTGCATGAGGGAGATCTGATCCTACCTGATGCTTATAAAACAAATTACTGTGAAAAAATTTGCTATTACTAAAACGATCAGAAATACTTGGATGAAAAACAAATGGTTGGAAAATCTAGTGTCATTATAAAATTTACAGTGGTACCACACACACGGCCTGGCAAAATGTGCATACTGTTTAGACTATTCCATCAGAAACACTTCTTCAAAAGTTCCTATACTTTCTGAGATGGGCGGAGTTTGGTATGGTAGGCAGGGAGTGATAAACTGAGGTGAGATTGGAAAATCAGGTTGGGCTCAAAAGCTTTGAAATCCATTCTCAGAAGTTCTAACTTTCTCCAAAAAGCAGACAAATGGCATGATTAATCAGTATTCTAGAAAGAACTTTCAGGCTGAGGTATGGATTGGACAGGGGAGGAGATTGTTAGCAATAAGGTCTATTGGTAGGTTATAGATATACCTGTGAAAAGTGTTGAAGGACTGAATGGTGCTGTTTATAGAGCACCCTTGACATCTGTAACTCCATCTTAGAAAAAGACTCATCTTATGTTTCAGAATGCATCATACCAACAGGCATCATACCAACAGCGATCAGATGTTCGCCTAATCAATAGAGACAGCAATCAATCAGATAAGGACATAACCAGGCACACTCTTTACTATCAATTCAGTCCTCACCAGAAGACTCCGGGGCCATAAGAATAGCAAGACTTCACCAGCTCAAGACGGCCATCTTGATAGACACGGTTATGCTGTCACTTGTGATTAGCACCTGGCATCTGAGGCTGAAGGCTCTGCCCAAATAAAAGACTCTTCAGTGGAAGTCATTGACATCCATCAGGATCAGGCCAGGACACTCTCCTTGTCCATGTCACTCTCCTTGCACTGGTTCATTTGACCCCATTTTCCTAATCCTTTTCGTCTTGATGTTAATTGTTTGTCTGATATGGAATATTTAATCTATAACATTTATATATTAATTATACTACAATGTGTGATTTGCAATATTGACTGACTTGTGGCTTGAGCCCGTGTGCCCATGGCGCTAACTACTGAGTGAACAGGTAGTGCTAAGGAGAATTGCTTCCTTGGGAACTCCATGTAGCCGTGACTTTTGCAATTGAAATAACACCAAGGAAAATCTGACCTTGTGGAAAGATACAAACATGCACAGACTTGGTTACGTCTCATCTTTCGCTGCTCACAACACACAGTTACAGCAGTATTAAAGAAGAGCAGTGGGTTCTGAACACATTTCAGAATTATGACATCAGGTTTGGACATGGCTTTTGAGGCAGAGGGGCAAGTCAAAGAAGTATTCAGGCTCTTGGTATCTGCACTGATAAAGATGGAGGTGGAAGCAAGGTGATGTAGTAGTAATTTCTTTTAATAAGCAATAACTTCTAAAATGCTTTTCATAATTGCTCCCAATTCGATCAATGGAAATGGAAAAAAAAAAACAAAAAAAAAAGGTTAAAAAAAAAACCTTGCTGAAAGAGAACAAGGGTACAAAATAGAAGAAGGGAAAGAAGAGATAGGGAAACAAAAACATCAAAATTTGACTGAAATTTGGTTAAAAATAATTAAGGTTAAACCTAGTTTAGGTTAGGTAAAACTCAAGAATTTGTTTTTTTGTATCTTAGGGATTTGATAATGCAGCAAAAAGTTATTAAGAGGACTACAAAGAGATCCTTTTGGTGTGAACACCAAAGAGAACACAAAAATTGAACTTCACATTACTTAGTACTTGGTAAACTGTTTCATTGTCAATTAATGCTGTGTAATAAACCTCTTTATATAGATTACTCTTCCACAACATAATTTTAAATGGGTGGATAATATTGCATTATAAAAATATATCATAATTTATATACAAATTTCATTGCTTGAGCATTGTATTAGAGTTCTCTAGAGGGACATAACTAATAGGATTTATATATATCTCTTATTAGTATATATTATATATATATATGAGCTTATTAAGGAGTGTTAACTCACACAATAATAAGGCCTCACAATAGGCTGTCTGCAAGGTGAGGAGCAATGAAGCCAGTCCAGAGCTGAAGAACTTGGAGTCTGATGTTTGAGGGCAGGAAGCATCCAGCACAGGAGAAAGATGTAGGCTGGGAGGCTAAGCCAGTCTAGCCTTTTCTGTTTTTTCTGCCTGCTTTATATTCTGGCTGCTCTGGCAGCTGATTAGGTGGTGCCCACCCAGATAAAGGGTGAGTCTGCCTTTCCCAGTCCACTGACTCAAATGTTAATCTCCTTTGACAACACCTAGCAGATACATCCAAGATCAATACTTTGCATCCTTCAATCCAATCAAGTTGACACTCAGTATTAACCATCACTAGTCTACTCCCTTTTCAACTTGAACCCATACACATCTCCTGAGATCATACATAATCTTCAAATAAAGACAGTAATAAAGTTATAATTACACCTAACAGGATACAACTATCTTTCATACAACCGAAAATGCACCAATCCTCGACGCAAATGCACCAATCCTCGACGCAAATGCTATTACATAAAGTCAACAATACTTAAATGCTGATATGAAGTCAATAAATCTTATGTCACAGGATAAAGGAAAAAGGAAATAAAATGAAGATATTTTCTTAGTACAAGTGTATCCATGCACAAACATGTTTTTAACAAAAGAAGGTGGATATACTCATGACAATTACAGTCCTCCTTTCTGTAACTGACCACGTGATCATAATTGGTATTAATTATTACCCTCTTCTACCACACATTCTGTATTCCCATCAGCAAGCACCTCAGCAGGTCGTAGTTTTTTTTCCTGGTGGAGTGACCCAATCCTTCATTCCTGATGGGCCATTGGTAGTCCTGCCTGGATTGGGCTGTTGCAGTTTTCCATTGACTTTAATCACACGGCATAGTAATACTAAGAGACATCCTAATGGATCTCCTGTATTCCATGCATGCTCTTCCTTAACTCTGTTGTGGAGTAGTAGACTTATTTCATCTTAATAGCCTCAATCACCCCAGCAAACACCGTAACACCCTTCTTAGCCTGTTGATTTAAAGGTAGGAGGAGCCTAAAGTGTCCAGGTGGCAATCTTAGCTTCCAGTTAAATGGAATTGTTGTTGTGTCTCCCAGTGGCAGTGTTCCTCCTTCTGGAACTAAGACCTCTAGGCCGGCAGAATGTAATATTGTGGGAACGGGAAGCAAAAATCTTGCTAGTGGATCACTTGGGGTGATGGTGAGTGGTGCCACTTCCACTTCCACCCCTTGATTCCTGGACCTGTGAATCCTGGCTATGGGACAAACAGTGCCATATATTGGATGCTGATGCAGAGCACACACGACCTTCTGGAGAACTTTGCCCAGGCATGCAAAGTATTGTCACTTAGTTGGTGTTGTACTTGTGACTTCTAAAAGCCATTCTCCCGTTCATCAATCCAGCCTCTTCAGGATGATGGGGAACATGGTAAGGCTAGTGAATTCCATGAGCATGAGCCCACTGCCACACTGCTTTAGCCGTAAAGTGAGTGCCTTGGTCAGAGGCAATGCTGTGTGGAATATCATGATGGTGGATAAGGCATTCCGTGAGCCCACAGATGGTAGTCTTCGCAGAAGCACTGGTTGCAGAATAGGCAAACCCAGTAAGTGTCTATTCTAGTGAGGACAAACCTCTTCCTTTTCCATGATGGAAGAGGTCCAATATAATCAACCTGCCACCAAGTAGCTGGCTGATCACCCTGAGAAATGATGCCATATTGAGGGCTCAGTGCTGGTCTCTGCTTTTGGAAAACTGGGCACTCAGCAGTTGCCATAGCCAGGTTAGCCTTGGTGAGTGGAAGTCCATGTTGCTGAGCCCATATGTAAACTCCATCCCTGCCACCATGGCCACTTTGTTCATGGGACCACTGGGCTATGACAGAGGTGGCTGGGGAAAGAGGCTGAATGGTGTCCACAGAACTGGTCATTCTATCCACTTGATTATTAAACTCTTCCTCTGCTAAGGTCACCCGTTGGTGAGCACTCACATGGAACACAAATATCTTCACAGTTATGACCACTCAGAGAGGTCCATCCACATATCTCTTCCCCAAGGTCACCCGTTGGTGAGCACTCACATGGAATAGAAATATCTTCAGTTATGACCACTCAGAGAGGTCCATCCACATATCTCTTCCCCAAATTTCTTTGTCACCAATTTTCCAATCATGCTTCTTCCAAGTCCCTGACCAGCCAAACCACTGGCTACAGCCTATGAATCAGTATATAACCGCATATCTGGCCCTTTCTCTTTCTATGCAACCTGCACAACCAGGTACACTGCTTGAGGTTCTGCTCACTGGGAAGACTCCTTCACCGCTGTCCTGCAGGGATGTCCTAGAAAGGGGCTGTTGTGCTGCAGCTGTCCACTTTTGTGTGGTGCCTGCATATCATGCAGAATCATCTGTGAACCAGGTCCTAATCTTCTCTCCCTCTGTTAGCTGATCATAGGGAACTCTCTATGAGGCCATCAGTGCAGGCTGGGAGAGAGAAGGCAGGGTGGCAGGAGTGGAGACCATGGGCATTTGAGCCACTTCCTCATGTAACTTACCTGTGCCTTCAGGACCTGCTCGAGCCCGATCACGTATATACCACTTCCATTTGATGATGGAATGCTGCTTTGCATGACCCAGTTTATGGCTAGATGGGTCAGAAAGCACCCAGTTCATGATAGGCAGTTCAAGTTGTATGGTGACTTGATAACCCATAGTCAAATGTTCAGTTTCCACCGAAGCCCAGTAACAGGCCAAGAGCTGTCTCTCAAAAGGAGAGTAGTTATCTGCAGAAGACGGCAGGGCCTCTTCTGTGATTCACCTATGGGGGCCTGCCAAAGGCTACAAACTGCATCCCTATCAGTCACTGACACCTCAGCACCATTGGATCTGCTGGGTCATATGGCCCAAGTAGCAGAGAGCTTCCACAGCAGCCTGGATCTGTTGCAGAGCCTTCTCCTGTTCTGGACCCCACTCCAAACTGGCAGCTTTGGGGTCACTCTATAAATGGGCTGGAGTAACACACCCAAATGAGGAATGTGTTGCCTCCAAAATCCAAATAAGCCCCTAGGCATTGTGTCTTTTTCTTGGTTGTAGGAGGGGCCAAATGCAGCAACTTATCCTTCACCTTAGAAAGAATATCTCAACAGACCCCACACCACTGGACACCTAGAAATTTTACTGAGGTGGAGGGTCCCTAAATTTTAGTCAGATTTATTTCCCATTTTCTGGCACACAAATGTCTTGCCAGTAAGTCCAGTGTGTTTGCTACCTTTTGCTCAATGGATCCAATCAGCATAATGTCATCAATGTAATGGACCAGTGTGATATCTTGTAGAAGCAAAAAGTGATCAAAATCTCTCCAAATCAGGTAATGACACAAAGCCAGAGAGTTGATATACCACTAAGGGTGGACAGTAAAGGTATATTGCTGGCCTTGCCTGCTGAAGGCAAATTACTTCTTTGGGCCTTATGAACAGAAAAGGAGAAAAAGGTATTTGCCAAGTCGATGGCTGCATACCAGGTACAAGAAAATGTGTTAATTTGCTCAAGCAATGCAACCACATATGGTACAGCAACTGCAATTGGAGTCACCACTTGGTTAAGCTTATGATAATCCATGGTCATTCTCCAAGATCCATCTGTCTTCTGCACAGGCCAAATGGGAGAGTTGAGTGGGGATGTAGTGGGAATCACCACCCCTGCATTTTTCAACTTCTTGATGGTGCCACTAATCTCTGCAGTCCCTCCAGGGATGTGATATCGTTTTTGATTTACCATTTTTCTAGGTTGAGGGAGCTCTAATGGCTTCCATTTGGCCTTTCCCACTTAATACCCCTCATCTTACCAGTCAGGGAGCCAATGTGGGGGTTTTGGCAGCTGCTAAGTGTGTCTATGCCAATTCTGCATTCTGGCACTGGGGAAATGACCACAGGATGAGTCCGGGGACCCAGTGTAAATCAGACCTGAGCTAAAACCCCATTAATTACCTGACCTCCATAAGCCACTACTTTAACTGGAGGACCACAATGACCTTTTCAGTCCCCTGAAATCAACATCCCCTCAGAGCCAGTGCCCAGCAGTCCTCAGAATGTCTGATCATTTCCCTTTCCCCAGTGGTAAAAGACTAGAGGACCCTTTGGGGAAGAATGGGAGAAAGATTAACAGCATAAATTGTCAGTAGTGTAGTGGGGTCCTTCCTCAAGGAGACCTGGCTTCCTCTTCATTCAAGGGTTTCTGGGTCTGTAAATTGGCTCAAGTGTGGAAATTGATTGAGGGGCCATGATTTTCTGGTTTTATAATTCACATTAGTCTTTGTCCATTTGATCTAGAAGTTTTCTGCTTATATAAATTAAGTAGGAATACAGTAGGCTTCCCATCGATTTCACTTCTAGGAACACCTTGATTAATTAACCAATGCCAGAGGTCTACACAAGTCAGACTATTCTGATTGCTGCCTTGCCTCTGCCACCCATTACAGTAGCCCACCTTGCCTTTGTTGTTTGAGTGCTGCCACTTGGCCCTTAGCAGCTCGGGATCCAATTATACCCATTGTATTTAAATATTGAAGTTGAATGACTGTGGTTTCCACTTTTAGATCTGACATACAGAGAAGAGCAATTACAGGGCTCTTCTAAGAGGCAGGTGCTTCCCTCACAAATTTGTTTCCCAAAGCGTTGGTCAAGGGTATATCTTCTGTACCCTACCAGCTGGGATGAGTGGATCTAAAGTGACTTATCTACTCCACCATCCCAATCTCCCTAAGCCTTTGGATCCCTTCGTCTACATTAAACCAAGGCAGATGAGGCAATTCCAGCTCACTCAGAGTGAGCCATCTTGGAATCCGTATTTCGGCTAACCAAGCAAATAAATTATTAGAATCTTTTTCAACTCCCTGAGCTTCAACATTAAATGCAGAATCCCTACCTAGTGGGCCCAAATCAATAAATTTAGCCTGATCCAACTCTGTGTTCCTTCCACCATTATTCTACAACTTTAATATCCATTCTCATGCCTGTTCTCCAGATTTCTGCTTGTGTACATTGGAAAACTCAAGCAGTTCTTTTCAAGTGTCCCACACCTCCTCATGGGTCACACTCTGAACCTCACCTCTAAGGGCCTGCCCAGACTTTAGTCTAGTTATAGTTCTAGAAGCAAACAGGGGTTTTGGGGGTGGTTCCAGAGGAGAATCAACATTATCCTGCCTGGCAACTGGCTCAAGCGGTCCACCACTGTTGCCTCAGACAGTACAAGCTTTATCCCCTCAGACACAGGTGGAAAGGCTGATGGCAGCATGGGTTAGAGAGGGGATGTTGCCACTACTGGGGATGGGGAAGCTATTCCTTCTGGTAAAAAAGTTTCATCAGAGTTTACAAACTCAGTGTCCCCAGCTTCATCAGGGTCCTCCCATACATCCCCATTTCAAGTTGCAAGGTCCCATTCTTTTCCAGTCAATGCCCTCACTTTAACAGTAGACACCTGGTGAGGCTGTGCATGCATCTTTCATTGCATGCCAGCCCCTCGCATGATAAGAGTTTGTGTCTGTTTTTCCACAATTTCAGCTCTTTCTCTACAGCTCTTTCTCACTCAGGGCAATCTTAGTAGATTTGAAGCTAAGTATCTGCTTCTGTAGCCTGGAGTTAGAATCCTTGAGTTCATCATTTTCTCTCATCACTTTGTCCAGTGAACTTAGGAGCAACCAACCAACTTCATTATGTTCTTTGGTTCTCTACATATGGTCAAAGGTATTATGTATAGAGTCACTAAACTTGCATCTCATGAGCGGTGAATCAGGAGTGTCAAATGCATTTATCTTGCATAACTCTCTAAACAGTTCATGCCAAGAACTATCAGTTTTCTCCATACTATTGGAAGCAGAGACTTTAGCATTTTAGGCTCTAATCATATTAAGCAGACAATTCCAGAAACCCCAAAACCAATGAAAGAACTCCATCCTTAATATTCTGTTCCTCTAGAACCACTCCTGGTTCCAAAATCTGTATTAGTTAGGGTTCTCTAGAGGAACAGAACTAATAGGATATATATACAAAAAGGAGTTTATTAAGGAGTATTAACTCACACAATCACAAGGTCCCACAATAGGCCGTCTACAAGTTAGGGAGCAAGAAGAGCCAGTCAGAGTCCCAAAGCTGAAGAACTTGGAGGCTGATGTTTGAGGGCAGGAAATATCCAGCACGGGAGAAAGATGTAGGCTGGGAGGTTAGGCCAGTCTAACCTTTTCATGGTTTTCTGCCTGCTTTATATTATGGCTGTGCTTGCAGCTGATTAGATGGTTCCCACCCAGATTAAGGGTGGATCTGCCTTTCCCAGCCCACTGACTCAAATGTTAATCTCCTTTGGCAACACCCTTACAGACACACTCAGTATCAATGTTTTGCATCCTTCAGTCCAATCAAGTTGACACTCAGTATTAACCGTCACAAACATTTTAGTTGATTCCTATTTTTCACCAATGAATAGTACTCCAATAAGCATTCACTGTAGCTAAACTCTTGAACATGTATTGAAGAATCTATCTTTACTGGAATTGAAAAGTAACTATTTCTGTATATTACATTTCTATAAATATCTGAGTTCTTTCTGGACCTTACATTGCATGATTGAACTGCCTATACTTCCTACACTTGTTCTTCTCTATTTTAATTACTTTTTTCTTATTTATTTTAATATCTAGTAAGTCAAAGCACACCTTTTTTCCAAAAATCTGTTGGCCATTTTATAATTTATTTCTTACAGGTAATATTTTTAATAATTTTGACACTAATCGGACTTATAAAATATTTATAAATTAATTTGGAGAGAGCTGACTTTTAAGTAGTGAATCTTTAAGAATTAGGGTATTCTTATTCTTAGATCATTCTCAGTTTTATTAAAAATAAGACATTTTACTTTTACCTTTGATATCAGCTTTTGAATTCTAATATATGGTGTACAACATATAAGAAGCAGGGCATGGGGGGATGACCTGGCACGGTGGCTCACACCTGTAATCTCACTTTGGGAGGCTAAGTCGGGTGGATCACTTGAGGTCACGAGTTGGAGACCAGCCTGGCCTACATGATCTCTACTAAAAATATAAAGATTAGCCAGGTATGGTGGCATGCACCTGTAGTCCTAGTTACTCGGGAGGCTGAGGCATGAGAATCACTTGAACCCAGGAAGTGGAGGGTGTTGCGAGCTGAGATCACACCACTGGACTCCAGCCTGGGTGACAAAGCAAGACTCTGTCTCAGAAAAAAAAAAAAAAAAAAGATAAAATCAGGAATATAAATGAAATTTAATTAACTGAATACATTTCTGGCATTAAACTGCTCATATGATTTTCTCTCTTATATAGTAGAGGATAAATAATATTAATAGGTCCAATATAAATTGCACCTTGCATTCTTAGAGTAACCATACTTGATCATGAATGACATATTATCATTTTAAGGTAATGATAATTGTTTTGCTAACATTTTGTTTGAAGATTTTGTTTCTAAGTTCTGAAGTGCCAATTGTCTTTGTTTTTTTTATTCTTTTTAAAGATCACGTTTCTACTGTCTTCAGGAAATGAGAAAAATGAATCCAGGAAATTTCCATCTTTAACTATACTCTGTAAATGTGCTGTCCAATACACAGATAGCTACTGAGCACTGGAATATAGCTAGTCTGAATGGAGATGTTCTGTAAGTATATCATACATACCAAATTTCAAATACTTAGTATGAAAAAAGAATTCAAATATTATACTTTTGTATTGAATGTACATTGGAATAATATTTTTGATACATCAACTTTTATAAAATCTTATCATTACAATTAATATATCATTATAATTATTTATCTATTATTAAATCAAATTTCTTCAATTTCTATTACTTATATGGGGTATTCATTTATATTTCTATTGTATAACTTCTCTCAATAACATTCTAAGTAGGAGATGAATGATCTAGTCCTTAGAAGTCTGAAGGGTATTCTCTGCCACAATGATTAAATGGGTGTGGCACCAGGGCATGAATATACACACAAATCAACGTAACAACATAGAAAATTCAGAATTTGCCTTTTTTGGGTAATGAATCTTTAATACAAATTTTAATTTTTTGATTACTGTTTTATTGAGCTTCTCTACCACATTTCCACCATTTTTTATAATGTATATTTCCTCAAACATTGCTTTTTTATTCAGATGTAAAAAGTTAATAGTATAGGGTTTTACTTCCTTTACCATTGCACTACTTCTCAGCTGGAGGTGATTTTGCCTTTCCTGACATTTGTTAATGTATGGAGATATTTTCAGATTTTGCAGATGGAAGTGGGAATGTGCTACTGCCATCTAGTTGGTAGAAGCCAGGGCTACTGTTACAATGCACAGGCTAGCCCCTTATAACAAAGAATTATCTGGCCCCAAATGTCAGTGTTGCTAAAGTTGAGAATTTCTGATCTATGATAATATCCCATCCCCTTCATCATTTTTCAAACTTAGGTTTTACCTCTTTTTATTTTTTTTTTCATTTTACATTTCCTGAGGTTTGCCTATGGTCTTTTCAAAGAGCTGGTGCTTGGATTTATTTATCAGTTTTGCATTTTAATATTTTATCATTAATTTAAATGTGGTTCTTAAGCTCTATTAATTTCCCTTTCCTGCTTCTACATTTAGAAACTTAGTTCATTTTGTATTACTTTTTATACCTTCTTGAGTGATATTCTTTTGTTAAGCACAAAGTGCTCTGTATTTTCCTGTTAGTATACTTTTAAATCTGTTCCCATAAATTTTTAAAACATTTTATTGAAAGATAGTTAATATAAAAAGAGAAAAGTGTGTACACCATAGTCAAAAAGCTCAATGAATTTTTACAAACTGAACACACTCATACAAACATCACCAACTGAATAAACCTGTGTAATCTGTACCTAGATCAAGAAATAGAATATACTGGCTTCCCAGAGCCCTTCTTTCTAGTCACAATCCTCCCAAAGGTAACTAATACCTTAACTTTTAATAGCATAGATTAATTCTGCCTCCTTTGCTCTTTGTATAAATGAAATCATAGTTTGTAGTCTTTGCATCTGGCTTCTTTGGCTCAATATTATTTGTGAGCTTCCGCCATATTGTTATGTATAATTATAATGTATTCATTCTTATAGCTATATATTATTTTATTCTGTGAATACATCACCATTTGTTCATCCATTCTACTGTTGATGGGTCATTTCTAACTACAGAGTATTATAAATATTGCTGCTATGAACTTTCTAGTAGACGTCTTTTGGTGAACATATGGATGCATGTCTTGGTGGGGATATACTTGGAATATGTATTTTCAACATTAATAGATACTCTGAACAGTTTTCCAAGTTGGTTGTACTAATTTCATTTCTACTAACAATGTATGGGATACTTGGTTACTCCATATCCTTGACAAAATTTAGTATTGATTGTTCTTTTAAATTTTAGCCGTTCTGGTGGGTGGGCAATGGTCTCACACTGTGGTTTTAATTTGCATTTTTCTGATGACATGAAAAGTTAGTATTTTTTCATAGTTTATTGGCCATTTAGATACTTCTTTTGTGAAGTAACTGTTCAAGTTTCTTGTCTATTTTTCTTTTGTTTTCTCCTACTGATTTTTAAGTGTTCTTTTTTCTGGATCTGAAGTCTTCGTTACACATGTACATTATGAGTATCTTCTTCTATGGTAGCTGTTTTTTCACTCTCTCAATGGTGTCCTTGATTAACATAGTTTTATAATTTAAACATTGTCCAGTGCATCACTTTTTTCTTTGAAGAGGTGTGTCTTATTTCTTGTTTAAAAATTCTTGTTCTAAAGTTACAAAGATGACATCTCCATTGTTGTATGGTAAAACTTTTATTGTATTACTATAATCACCTAGGTTTGATATATAGACACTTAATTGGTTATATTCTAGAATCTAGAATACAATCTAGAATTATCTGGATAAGTTAAAGTACAGTTTTGATTTCTTTTGTTACCCAAAAATTTCTTAGGAGGGTGTTTTAAAATTTCTTTGTAGGATGATTTTTTGTTTACTATTATTATTAGAGTTTTAGTATACTTAGATATGTGGTCCATGTAATTTCCACATTAAATAATTTATTGTGCTTTCCTGTGGCATATTATATTACTGTTTTTTGTAAAATATCCCTAAAATATTTGGAAAGAAAGAATATTCTCTATTCGTAAAACTCAAAATTCCATATATATATATATATATATATATATATACATCATTAGTTATTATAGCAGCTCATAGTAATTATTTATTATGGGCTGGACACTAATTTTTGTACTATATGTATAGACTTTAATTATCATAACAATGATACCATCCATTTTATAAGGGAGGATAGAAGGAAACTGAGGTAGCAAGATGGTAAGTGTATTGTCTAAGGACTGAGCTAGTTAAGTGGGGGAAATAAGTTTGAAATTCAGGTTATACAGCTCTGCAGCCAATGTCCTTAATCACGACCCTCTTTTACATGTATCTCTATATTGTTATATTATTACTTTCATATCCATAAAATTAACATACTAAATATACAATTAGACCTCTGTATTCATGGATTTTGCAGCCTTGGAGTCAATCAACTTCAGATGAAAATTAAAAAAAAATAAAAAATAATTCATAAGAAAATATAGCATAATAACAATTTACATAGCATTTACATTGTATTAGGTATTGTAAGTAATATAGAGATGATTTAAAGAATGTGGGAGGATATGCGTAGGTTACATACAAATACTGCACCATTTTATATAAGGAACTTGAGCATGCATGAATTTTAGTATCCCAGATGGTCCTGAAACTCATCCCATTTGGATACCAAGGGACGATTTGTAATAGTCAATTATTTTATATACTGAACTTTTGTCTTGATTAGCCAAAGACTGAGAAAACATTAAATGCTTTTTGCCACGACTACAATGTAATTTTTATTGTTTCATTGGATTTTGCTGTTTTTTTGAAGTGCCATGGTACATAGCACATACAAAGTTTTTATCTTTTACAAATTCATTCTGGATTTTCCTTTTTATGAACAGAAAATAGTTCTCTCTGTCCTGTTTATGTTTAATTTGAATTTTACCTTTTCTGAGATTGACACATGTATTTTTAAATTTGCATTTCCCTGGCGTATATTTACTCGTCTCTTTATTTCTAACCTTTCTGTGATTTAAGTTCTTTACACTTCCGAAGAGTCATATATTTCTTTTTTTTTAAGAATTTTTTCCAGCTTTATTGAGGTACGATTTACAAATAAAAATTGCATATACTTAAAGTGTATAATGTGATGATTTGATATACATATACATTGTGAAATGATTCTCAAAATTAAGTTAATTAACATATCAGCTCACATAGTTACCTTTCTTGGGGGTGGGAACACTTAAAATCTACTCTCTTGGCAAATTTCAAGCTAATAATACATTATTATGAACCATAGTCACCATAATCTACATTAGATTTTCAAAAGTTATTAATGTTATAATTGAAAAATTATACCCTTTAACAAACATCTTTCCTTTCTCCCCATCTCCCAGGTCCTGGTAACTACCCTTCCACTCTCTGTTTCTCTAGGTTTGACTTTTTTGGACTCCACATGTGTGAGATCATGCAATATTTGTCTTTCTGTGCCTGGCTTATTTCACTTAGCGTAATGTCCTCCAGGCTCATCCAGGTTGTTGCAAAAGGCAGGATTTTCTTCTTTTTTAAGGCTTGGAGAGTCATTTGTTTTCATAAGAGGTATGTATTTCAATACTTTTGTTATTGATTCATTTTTAATAATTATTTTGGAGCTTCCTCCTTTACGTTTTCTATTTTTGCTCTCCTTTCATTTTCCTTTCGAGGAGCTGCGTAGCCTAGTGGTTAAGCACTCAGATGTGGTGCTCAGACTCTCTGGACTTAACTCCTGGCTGCACCATTTTGCTAGCCCTATAACTGTGAACAAGTTCCTTGATTTCTCTAAAACTGTATTGTCCTCTGCACTGGGTATAGCAACAGAGTCTATTTCATAGGGTTATTGTGAGGTTTGAGTGGGTTACTGAAGTATTTGGAACAGTGCTTTGCCCATAGTAACCACTGGGTAAACACTACGTGTTATTATACTACTGTCTTCCCCCTTCTTAGATTTTCGTTACTGCCTTTGTCTCTTTCAGCTGTTCCCTTCTTTTTGTAATGTTTTGGAAGGGAACATAGTGATTATGTTTTGTCTTTCTTTTCTTTTCTTTTCTTTTTTTTTTTTTTTTTTGAGATGGAGTCTCACTCTTGTTGCCCAGGCTGGAGTGCAATGGCACGATCTCGGCTCACCGCAACCTCTGCCTCCCGGGTTCTAGCGATTCTCCTGCCTCAGCCTCCAGAGTAGCTGGGATTACAGGCTTGTGCCACCACGCCCAGCTAATTTTTGTATTTTTAGTAGAGATGGGGTTTCACCATGTTGGTCAGGCTGGTCTCGAACTCCCGACCTTAGATGATCCGCCCGCCTCGGCCTCCCAAAGTGCTGGGATTACGGGCGTGTGTCTTTTCTTGTCTTTTGTATATATGTCAGCTCAATTAGGTATGGAATTCCTGGTTCTTAAATTGATTTTCTTAGACTCTGAAGGCAACTCTCCATGATCCTTTGGCATTTAGTATTGTGAAAAACTTGGTGCCAATTTGAGGATTTCTTTTGTAAGTCACTTGTCCTCGCCCTTCCCTGCTGGCACCCCTGTGTTGATGCTTGTAGGGTTCTGTTTTTAGTGCTGAAATGAAATATTTCATCAAAATATATCAGGCTTAACTCTGCTTTAATTAATTTTACCTGACATTAAACATGTCCTCTACACTTCTAGTCAAATGACTTTCTTCAGCTCTGCTAAGTTTTCTATTGCTTCTTCCTTTTTTTTTTTTTTTTTAATTTTTGCTGCTCTATCTGCCAAGTTCTTTCTTTCTAGACATCTATCTTTTTCAACTTTTATTTTAAGTCCAGGGGTACATGTGCAGGATGTGCAGGTTTGTTACATAGGTAAATGTGTGCCATGGTGGTTTACTGCACAGATCATCCCATCACCTAGAAATTAAGCCCAGCATCCATTAGCTATTCTTCCTGATGCTCTCTGCCCCACACCCCCAATAGGTACCCAGTGTGTGTTGTTCCCTCTCATGTGCCCATGTGTTCCCCTCAGTCAGCTTCCACTTACACATGAAAGCATGTGGTATTCGGTTTTCTGTTCCTGTGTCCTTCTAGACTTCTTATAAAACTTATTTTAGATCTCCTGGATATTTCCTCTAAATTTTTACTTCTTTGGCAGCATTGTTTTTACATTTTTAGAAGTTCTGGAAGAAGTTATTTAGCTTATTTTTCTAATCCATTGATTCCAATTCTACAGAATCTCCTCTTGTATTCACAAATTCCATTACATTAGAAATTTCATGGTCATATTTTTCATCTCAAAGCAACTTTTTCTGCTCTCAGGTCCTACCTTTTTAATGACTTCTTGCTTTTACTTCATACACAAAATGTTCTCTTGAATCTTCTTGAAAGTACACATTGGATATTTTCTATAGTTTTTCCTAGCTTTTATTAATAAAACCATTCTTAGGAAATATTTTGTCTGCCTTCTCAGATTGACTGCCTTCTAACTATTGACTCTCTTTAGAATTTTCTCTTTGCTTCTTGCAAATAACACATGGATGGGATAGGGAATGAAGGAGTGACTAGGTAAATAGAATGTTGGAGGACATTCTAGGTTTGTCCATATTTGGAGATTTATGTGACTTCTTTTAAACAGATACAGTTTGGGACAAAATAAAAAATAAAGCAGGAATAAAGAGGAGGGAAGAGAAGGAATAAAAAAACAGGGGAAGAAAGAAAGTAAAAAAGGAAGGAAGGAAGAAAAAAAATGAAGGAAATTAAAAAGGAAAAGGAAGGAAGAGTTAACGCTATTGTAGTTTTACATTGAAAAATTATAAGGTGATGACCTCTGAAGAATAGGATATAAATTAAGGCTGGGTGGGGGTGTGGACAGCAACATCAAGAAGTCTTATTCTTAAGCCAAAGAGATTAAATTCACTTTTATTGCTGGAATAATGTGCCTGTTCTCTGACTGTCACAGCCTTTCTCTTTTGAGACTAGTTGTAGCATTGCCCCTATTCTACTTGGCTTGCTGTATGATTCAATAGTAAACTGGGGAAAAATTATGCAGAGTAATCCCATCCTTGTCAGCTCCAGATTTGTAACTTCCCTCCAGTACCTCCTACTTTGTCCTAATGCCCTGCTGCTATCAACTTGGAGTCAGTGTGGGAATTGTGACTTGGTCAGCAGTTCTCTCAATTTTCTTGCTTACAATATATTCTGCAGGAATTGCTTTACTTTTTCATAATAGTTTGGTCTCCTTCTATGATTTTCAGAGCTGATACAATTTTCCCACAATTTTTGAATTCCTTTGGTCATTCCATTGGGGATTTTGGGGAGTCAGAAGTTATATGCAAGTATTCAGACCAAAGTCTGTGTTTTAAATGTTTGAGTAGATTATTATCAGGTATTACATGATAATTAACACTTTAACAAACCATTGGGAATATTTAAACACCCCTCAATTTTGTGGTTTCCAAACTCTGGTGACAGATGAGCTGCATCTGAAATACGTGGAAACTGCTTTATGAATGGTGACTCTCAAGAGTTCCAATTTAGAAGGCATGTTAAGGGTCCTTAAAATATGAGTTTTAAACCTGTTTCCAAGCAATTTTTATGATCAGCTAGGTTTGAGAGTGCTATGATGTAAATGTGTCCCCAAGAAGTTCATGTGTAAAAAAGTTAACTGTCATCGTAACAGTATTAAGAGGTGGGGTCTTTAAGAGGTGATTAGGTCAGTGAGTACTCTGCCGTCATGAATAGATTAATGTTGTTGCCTCGGGAGTGAGCTCCTGATAATAGAATCCATTTTGCTCTGTTTGTCTCTGTCTTGCAGATTCACACTCTATGTGATGCCTTCTGCCATGGGATGTCCCTCACCAGATTCTAGTGCCATGCTCTTGGACTTCCTAGCCTCCAGAACCATAAGCCAAATAAACTTTAGTTCTTTGTAAATTACCCAATCTGTGGTATTCTGTTATAGCAGCAGAAAATGAAGTAGAACATTGAGTCACTTCCCTAATCTAGACTGGCCAACTCTTTGCAATTATGATCTTATTATTCAATTTTTGATTTCAGGAACTCTTTCTCCTTTCTACTCCTAAGGATAATAGAATACATTTTAGTCTTTTGTTTATGAGAGCAAGTATACATTAATTTTTTTTTTCTTTTAGAGTTTCATGACAGTTGTTAACATAACTGGAGACCCCCTGAAGTGTGACAAGAAAAAAATTATTGCTCTAACTGTAGGGTGGTTGTAGCTACATCTGAATAAGACACTTTTGGAAAATGAGATAGTAATCCCCTACAAATTCTTTGCTGGAGTTCTTAGATCTGTAGAAGTAGTTTCATCATGCATTGTGATTATTTGGGAAAGTCCTATTGTGCCTTTTTAAGATGATAGTGTGGAGCTGATGGGGGAAAATAATCAGGAACAGCTGGAGGCTTTGAAAGTGTTTTCATGAGCAGAAAAATTCCATGCAAGGAGGGAATGCATTTTACTGGAATTTTTAAATAAAAGTGTTCTACTTCTTGAATATGTTTTTTATTAGTATTATTTAGAAATTTCAGTACTGGCTTTATTTTCTGTAATAACAAGGACAGATATACTTATTGCTAAAGATGTAGTTAACACAGTTTGGTTTTATTTGGGGAGTGGTTGGCTATTTAATCCATAATTCAAATCCACTAATATCAGTGAGAAATGTTCATACTTAGAATGACATATGAAAATACATAAAAATAAAAGGCATTTTTAAACTTTGTTTTTAACCTAGGAACTCTGCCTCTGGTATCTAAACATCTGGTTTCCATTCTCTTCGTCAAAGCTAACAGCCAGAGCCCTTAAGAAGAGAGATTAGACACAAAATCCTGATAAATCCCATTCAGTTTGAGTTCTGTACCAATAACAGAACACCATTTGTTGTCCATTTGTCTTTGGGTAAAATGGGGGAGCTTTGGGGCTAACACCACAATGAAAAAAATGATTGGAGTTTATCTTGCATTGTATTTTATTCTGACTGCAATCTGATGACACAGATATATACCACACTGTACTCTGAAATCACCAGAATAAAATTGTTTTAGGCCCTTACATAATACTGTGCTAACTAAACAATAACACCCACATTTAAATAGTCTGTGGGTTACACAGACAAACTGCAGGTTTTCTTTTAGGTTTACCACTCCCCTAGGAACTTTAAGTCTCTTTGTATCTAATCTCTGATTTCTTCTACCTCTCATTCTGTTTAAAAGTGCAATTTGGGACTCAAAACAGAAAAGCATTTGCAAGGTTTAAGGGTTTAGAACTCTACCTCTCAGGACAAAACAAATCAACAAGCAAATCTCTTGTGCAGGTTACTGCATTATCATCAAGATGAGAATCTTAACAATTTATTTAATTATAGAAGATGTGTATGAAAGATGTGTAGTAAAAGAGCTATTTAGATATAAAACATAAGTCAATGATAGGTATACAAAAGGCATATAGAACAACAGCAAGAATATGTGTTAGGTCCTGCCCGTGCTTCAAAGCCACTAAATTCTCTTAGTGCACAAATTATGCATGCACACAAAGCTACGCATGCACACATGCACACACACACACACACACACACACACACACACACACACAATGACATTTGCCACTGTATTAGTTGTATTAGTTTTCTTTGCTGGATAGAAAATAACCACTAATATAGTGGCTTGCAATAATATTAATTTATTATCAGAAATCTGGCATGCTTTAGTTGGGTTCTCTGCTCAGTGTCTCATGGATGCAATCAAGGTGTCCGCTGGCTGCATTTTCATCTGGAGGCTCAGCTAGGGAAATCTGTTTCCCGGCTCTCTTAGGTTATTGGCAGAATTCATTTTCTTGAACTTGTATGACTGAGATCCTCATTTTCTTACTAGTTGTTGGCTGAAGATAAACAAAATGTGATATATCCATATAATGGAATATTATTTGACCATAGAAGGGAATGAAATTCGGTTACATACTACAACAAAGAAGAGCCTTGAAGACTTTATGCTTTTCATATTTTCATAAGTGAAAGAAGTCAGACACAAAAGACCACATATTATGATTCCATTTATAAGAAATATCCAGAATAGGCAAATCTATAGGCACAGAAAGTGGATCTGTGGTTACTTTGGATTGGGGGATAAAGAGGTAGGAAAATGATGGCTAAACAGGTTTTCTTTTACGGTGATGAAAATATTCTAAAATTAGCTACAGTAACGGTGTACACAATTGTGAATATACCATGAATCCTTGCATTGCACACTTTAAATGATTGAATTGTATTGTGTAAGAATTATATCTCAGTAAAGCTCTTAATAAGGGAGTTATAACTGCTGAAAGGAAATCATGTTGGGTAAACAGAGGTAAAGCACAAACTTCAGGCCCCTTTCTCAAAACCTAAGTAAGAAAGGGAACCTCTTTTACAGCAGGGTAACTTTCTCCTGGCAAAATCTTTTCAATTCACTGAGAATATACATTTTTGTCTACTTTTTCATCCAAGGAGTTCCAGTGAGGACGTGTTTCTTAATCATATTGAGAAAGCTCTCGGGAAGGTGTAAGAGTGGGCTCTGATACTGAATTCCAGGAAGAACAACATCTTGTCTTTACTTTTGAGATTGCTTGCTAGTTTACTTATGCAAAGTACCTTCCTGTGGAGGGTTAGGAAGTGGGTGAAACTTGGCAATCCTTAAGCAGCTTCACAGAATCAGGATTGCTTCCGCATTGTAGCTACAAAGTCAAAGATCCAGGTTTCCTAAGAGACTGATAAGAGGATAAATGTTGTTCTGGAGTTTCGTGGAGCTAAACTGGACTAACAGCTTTAAGGGAGAAGGGAAGAGATAAGAGGCCCACAGTAATGGACACTTACAAAGGCAGGCACTTTGAATATGCTCTCACTTTAAGAAGTGTTTTCAATATTAAATAATTGCCACACCTATTTCGTGAATTAGATTATATCATGTCCATTTTGTAGATAAGAATACTGGGGTCTGGAAAGATGGTCACAGTTAGTCATGGAATTGTAAGTGAATGATGGAGTTGTATGACTCCTTGAGGCTTCATTCTCTGCCCTCTTCTCTTTTTACTCCATACCACTGGTTCTTAACTGGGGTCACTTTTGCCCCCACTATCCCCCAGGGGACATTGGGTAATATCTGTAGACATTTTTGGTTGTGACTACTGCGTGTGGGAATGCTACTGGCATCTAGTTGGGTGGAGGCTATGGATATACCTAAACATTTTATAATACACAACGCAGAATTGGCTGGCCCCAAACCTCAGTAGTGCAGAAGTTGATAACCCCAGCTTCAAACACAGCTTTGTAGCTCATCAGCTCATGTGTGTTCAGCAAGAATTCATAGTTGATTCCGACTTCTACATATGTTTCCCCAGTTCAGATGTCTGTCAAGAGCTTTGGATTTATGTATGCAACTGCCTCGTCTCCTCATTTATTCCAAACTCAAACTATTCAGTCATCATATATTGAGTCAGTATCTAGGTGTGCAACTGTGACATAAATATCGCAATTTTGGTGTACAGTTGATTTTTTTAAATCAAGGTATAAATAAGGTCCACACATTGTGATTGATAGGCATGTCTCTGATTACTCTTCTAATCTGTAGTCTTTCTCCATTTCTTTTTTATTTTTGTAATTTGTTTGTTAAGAAAAATAGGTCATTTGTCTTGTTGATTTTCTGACTGTAACCTCTATCATTCTAAATTTCCTGCACATTAGTAATTGGTCTGAAGGTTTGATTAGATGTTTAATTAGATTCAGGTTTAACTTTTTCTTTTAGCAAAATTAATTCGTAGGTAATATTATGTTCTCCTATTCAGAGGCACATAATGTCCATTGGGTTTACTTTCATGGTTTTAGCAGCTATTGCTTATCAATACCTACTCCGTTACCTCATTTATAGTTGTAAAATGGTTATGTACTAATTAAATTATTCCTTCCTCATTTATTAGCTGAAGTATTTCTATAAAGAGAAACATCCCATCTAGTATTGTTTACCCTTTGGTACAGTTCATATAGAAAAAGCAAGATAAATGCTTGAATCTTTCCCTTTATTTAACAGTTTTAAAACAATTTATTGGTATCCTTTGGTGGCAGCTAATTTGTGTTATCAAAGTATCATTATAGACGGAAGCTTATGTGATGCACTTCAATCTATTGTAGTTATCATTATTGACACTCAAATTGCCCATCTTTAACGAGAGCCCTTGGAAGCTGACTCTTTAGTCCCCTCAGATCTGGGAGTGAGGAGATTAGGAGTAGAGGCCGACCTGCTCAGCTGCTCTAAATAGAGTTCCTCAGTGTTCTGCACTGATGTTTGTCCTGTATCTCTTCCACATAAGGTTGGGACACCCTTATGAAAAGAGGTAAAAGGTTCTCTCTTACCTCTTTTTCTCTCTTGTTCATACACTGGCCTGTGGCTTCTTTGTCTATCTGATACTGTTTAATTTCTGTTTTTATGCAAATCTTCCATTTCTGAATTCCTTATTGTTTCCCATGGCTGTTATTTATTTGGCCTTTTGGATGATGCTCTTTGTCCCTGGGGGAAAAGAGGTATTTGGTAAGAGTCAGGAATTGACGGAGTCTGCTGTCTTGATCGAATCTGAGAGATCTTTAAAAAATGTGAATTAAACAATGCTGCTTCCATGACTGAAACTCTAATGGCCCACACCTGCTACAGACCAAGTCCAAACTCTTTAAGGAATTCTGTTATCCTCTAAATCTTGCTTAGCCTTGCTTCTTGCCTGACACCTTCTGCCCCCATAATTTCAGCCATGTGAAATCTCTTGCAGTTTTCCAAACATGGCACACTGTTTCTCCAGCTTATTGTTTTCTGCTGACTATGTTCTTTCTGCCTGCTCACCTGGAGTACACTCCCTTCTTTCTCACCTTTGTCTCAACTTCCCTTCCTCCTTTAGGTCTCAGTTTAGATGGTATTTCTTCCATTAGGTCTTCTTTGAATAGGGTGCATATGTCTCCTACTTTTCCTGGGAAAGTTCTAGATTATGCCTGCTTAAAAATAATTAGTGCCTTTAAATTCTTTTTAATACACCTTTTCACTCTTACAAGTGTCCCTATTTGAATAATACATTATATAATCACTCTATCTCTGAATTTACATTTCCAGAACTGTGTTATATTTCTTTTGTATGGATTTCCATGACATTTTATAATTGCATCTAGCATATTTCAGGTGCAATTATACTTTCCTATTTACTTGCCTTTGTCATGGAAAGAATTGTGTCCGGCTCAAACTCATATGTTGAAGCCCTAACCCTCAGATGTGACTATATTGGAAATAGGTTCCTTAAAGAGGTAATAAAGATTAAACGAGGTCATAAAGGTGTCATCCTGAACCCCTATTTACTCCAATAGGGATGGCACTGTGTCTGAGAGGCTGAAGAAGAGACCTGGAGACAAGGAATAAGACACAGGGTTCTTTGGGGGAACTTGCTTTCAGGGACAGTCCAGTGGCAGCGAGCTGAACAGGAGAAGTGCTACCATTTGTAAAAAGCATGCAGTTCATACAGTATTTTCACACAGTACCATCCATCTAGCAATCACTATTTAACCCAAAACAAAGGGCCTCAATCCGCTGGACAGCCTGTGTTCTAAGGGAAAGGCCAGGGTTTCAGAACTCTGAACACACATTCTTCTTAGACTACAGGGTCATTCTCAGCATATGCTTAAGTTATTGCCGACACGTGTATCTGCTGTAGAAAACGTGAGTCCCTAATGCAATAGGACTAGTGTCCTTATAAAAAGAGGAAAAGACACCAGGAACGCACACAGAGAAAAGGCTGTGTGAGGGCGCGGAAAGAATACAAGCATCTGCAAGCCAAGGAAAGAGGCCTCAGGAGAAGCTAAACATGTTGATACCGCGAGCTTGGACTTCCAGCCTCCAGAGCAGTGAGAAAATAAATTTCTGTTGTTTAAGCCACCCAGTTTGTGATATTTTATTATGGCAGCCCTAACAAACTAACACAGACTTCTTCACTAGATTGGCTTAATTTTTATATCTGTATGATCAGAATATAAAATTAATTTTTATTTTATATCCATACGATCAGTGCTAGGTACATGGTGGGCATTGTATGAGTCAAGGTTCAGTATGACAAAACAGAGCCCTTAAGAATGAAATACATTTGATCTGTGTACCCAGTTACTGTCACCTAGTTCCTAAAACCATTGGAATTTCCTGGGTAATTAGAGTGTCTTTTGTTATTCATGGACCCCCTTTGATCACACCTGTATTTATCCTAATATCTCAATTTAGGATAGAGCCCCTGGATAGCCTCAAGATGCTGCCAGTTATCAGAAAGACCAAGGGATTAAAGAATTAAAGGGTTGGAACTTTCAACCCCACCCATTGACCTGATGGAAGGTGCTGGAGATTATAGCCTATAAAAACTCTTGAACGACGAGATTTAATGAGCTTCCTGGTTATTGAACATGTGGAGGTGCTGAGAGGGTGGCAAACCGAGAGAAAGATGAAAACTGTGACATCCCCTACCCCAGACTTGTAGCCATCTCTTAAATCTAGCTGTTCATCCATATCCTGTATATCCTTTAAAACAAACCAGTAAATGTAAGTAAAGTCTTTCACTCAGTTCTGTGAGCTGTCTTAGCAAATTATGGAACACAAGGAGGCAGACTGTGGGAATCCCAGTTGCTATAGCCATTGATCAGGATTACAGGTCACAACCTGGGCCTTGCAATTGGCATCTTAAGGTAGGGCGGCAGTTTTGTGGGATTGAGCTCTTAACCTGTGGGATCTGACTCTTAACCTGTGGGATCACACAGTGTCAGAATTGATTTGAGTTATAGGACACCCAACTGGTGTCTGCTAAAGAATTGCTTGATGTGTTGAGGGGAAAAAAAACCCACGCGTTTGGTCACAGAGGCATTCTGTGTTAAGAGTGAGAGTAGAGAGAAAAATGTGGTTTTGGTTTTGGTTTGCCTTTTATAAGAAAAAATTCCAACTGGCCTTATGTAATTTTGGAAGTTGCTTAAATGGTCTAACAGAGTCTATTGTCTTTGTGCCTGATTCTGAAGTCTGAATCAGGAAGGCAGCCACCTGTGAAGAAAAGACAAAGGCAAAGTGGTGAAGAGCAAGGAGAAATTGGAACCCACGAGAATGAGCTGGAACTCCAATGGATGAGTTAGAACTCTGTCAGTCTTTCCAAACCTCCAGTTTCAATGCTGAAGGGGTGACCTTCAATCAAAGTTTGAGCCCTTTGTCATGGAACTAAATATTCACCTGAACAGGGAGTTGAAGAAGCTTGTCAGAGAGTTGACGGGGTGTCCGATAGGAGCAGAAAAACTAGGAGTGGGATCTGCCCTATGCTATTATTGGGGCTTGGAAAATAAAACTGCAAAGATTGGCACTTTGACATGCTGAGAGGCCTTAGAAGCTGCCTCAGAATCCAGGTCCCTCTAATATTGTCTTCTTCCCCCAACCCCGCTTCGTGCCCAAGCACAAGAAGGGATTCTCTGGGATTTTCTGGGATTTTCTTATTTCACCATGAAATCTTATTTCCAAAATGAACAAGATTGCCTTCTTCCTCTCCCTGAAGTCCCCCTGTCTCTTTCAGAAAAGAAGACTGAGGAATGCAACTAGAATGGATTTTTCACAAGAGAATGCCTGCTTTTCTGGCTCATTCGAATTCCAAAGACAATCATTTACAAGTTAATTTCTGTCCATTTCTTCTCCTTAAGAATCATTTGCTGTCTCTGAGAAGCATTGTCCACATTCCCCATTCTCCCCTCTCCCCTGTGAAAAAGGATATAAGCTTCTGTACCTCATTGGGTTATTGGGTAATCATTCTCCTGAGAATCACCTGTGCTATGCATGTTAAAATAAAATTGTGCAAGCCTTCTCTGCTATTGTTTTGCCTTTGTCAGTTGATTTTCAGTGAAACTTCAAAGTGCAAATAGGTCATTTCCCTTTGGCTCCTACATCTTCAAGGCAAGCCAGCAGATGGGCGCAACGTACATGAGTTGCAGTGGTGCCTAGTGGACCTGAGCAAATCTTCCAACTATTAGTTTTATTTTTTAAGGCTGCTGTTTCACTTCTACTTCTCAGTTTTTGCAAATGTCATTTGTGGCCCATACTAACTTGGAATTATGCAGTGAAGGGAAGTCTGAAAACTGTGGTTACACCTTAGCTAAGTTGACATGATATAAATCCACCACAGGTACTCAATATTATTTGTTAAATAAATAAATGATGCTGATATTAGTGACCTTATCATAGTATCATGATCCTTCTCCTAGAATGGAAAGAGCCCTTCGGACCCATTTAACCTCTAGTAACTTCTCAAGGAGCTTTATGTGTGAGTTTTGTCCTGCAGATTTTGAGGGTATTAAAATTTTACTGTGAGTGTGAAAGGAAAATACGGGACCCCCAAATCACTAAGCCAAACAGAAAAGTCAAGCTGGGAATCACATCAGGCAAACCTACCTCCCATTTTATTCCTAAATAAGATAGCTACAAAAATACAAAGTATATACCTCCCTCACAATTTGCCCACTAGGAAATTCCTTGTGGACTTCAAGATCTTCACCCTATGACAGTTCTGTTGAATTTTACTCTGACAGTGAAATAGACAGCTTATCTTTACAGGTGCAGGACAAAGGACAGAACTCTAAGTCATCCCTCTGATCACTTGAGACAAACACATATCTGATTGTTTCCTCTGATGTAAAAATGCTGATTCAGTGAGCCAGATGACAGCATAAGTGTCTATTCCTCCACACCACCGACATGTAAATTGTGTATTCAGTGAAAGGCTGATCAAAGATTCAAAAGAATGCAACCATTTGTCTACCCACACCTTTTGAAAATTTCTTTCTCTTTCCCAAATACCCACTCTTTCACCTTTAAACATTGAAGCCCTCAAAACCATCTTTGGAGAAAGGCACAGACCTGCCTTTCAGGCGTGCATCCTTAACCTTGGCAAAATAAGCTTTCTAAATTGATTGAGAGCTGTCTGAGATACTTTTTGGTTTCCATGAGGTTGGCATGTTATTACTAAAACAATAGACATGAATCAGATATATTAGACATAATGCTATAAAAAGAAGCCTGAATCATGAGAATTGGCTATAACTTTGCTTTATAATTTACCAAATTACAGAGGATTGGTAAAGGAGATTACCAAGTAGTGATCATTATTGCTTCATATTTACCCTCAAACTAATATAATTACAGATGTAGGTGAGGAAAAAATCGTTTTCTCTATCCATCTTAGATTCTTCAGCTGGGGCTCTATAAATTAGACTGTCCAAAAACAGATTAACAAGAGAAAAACAAACAATAGTTTATTAGTGAAGTGGCATCCTTGTCTGGGGTAAATACCCGGGGTTCATCATTTTGCACTAAGAAGATTAAGAACATGGACACATGTGGGTGGGTTAAGGAGCAAAAAGTTTAATAGGCAGAAGAAAGAAGAGAGGACAGCAGCTATCTGAAGTGAGGTGTCTGAAAGGGAAAAGCCAGCCTGCAGCAGATCACAGCAGATTTTATAGGCAGGCATGAGGAGGCAGTGTCTGATTTACATAGGGCCACAGATTGGTTCTACCAGGTGTGACGTTTACATAGCGAGGGGTGGGGCCAGGGAAGGCTGGTTGCACCACCCTAATCTTATTATGCAAATGGACTTTCCACTTGGCCAGCGTCATCTTGTCTGCTTCTTACTGTACATGTGGCTGGCAAAGTGAAGGGAAGATGGAGCCGCCATTTTGATTATGCCTAGTCATAGGTAGCCTTTTCCTACTGACACAACTGCTAACATTCACCCATGCAAGCTTCCAGCTTGCATATGTATGTCTGCAGCTTGATTTTACAGGCTGCTCTTTGTTAGAAAAGAAAATGATTTGGGGGCTGCTTTTTATTAAAAGGAAAACCTTCCTTAGCCTCACTATCTGCCTAAATAATTTCTTTTTAACTCCTATATCATTAACACATGTGTTGTGCTTACACACGCGAGTACCCAGAGATGAGTGACCTACGGGGGTGGTTAGAATTTAGGATTATATACCATCTTAGACTAAAGAAAAAGGGTTTCATGTTGTGGGTGGAAGGAGGCAAGTTATGGGAAGGTGACAAGAGAAAAGAATGGCAAACAAGGGTTGTTTATTAAGATTTGTTTGCAGATTTAAATTGGTGCTTTCTCCATTGATAAGAGTTAAGAGTTGTTAAGAGTCCTCCTCTTCCTGGTATGAGGGAGACACCTCTATAAATGGAGACTTCCCCAGTAAAAGGAAAATCTGTGCTTTATTTTTAGAGCTTTTCCTGCTGCTGGTTTTTAATGGCTTTTAGCTCAAAATAATCCATAATCCAAAGAGGCATATTTTAGGGTGGCATACTCTGGTATTCCTCAGAGATTACCTGGCTTGTGAATTAGCCAATTTTGTTTCTTCATTGTCTATTTATCTCTTCCATTTACTGATTGCCATTTTATTCATTCATGTAGAATGAATGTAGAATTCACGTAGAATGAATGTACATGAATGATTTCATGTAGAGTTTCTGAAACACATAATATACTGTGACATTAAGAGATTTTGTTCTGTAGATTTTCCAGGGACCAACAGTTTGAAGTAGAACAAGAAACACCGTTGCTGTTGATTGCTTATATTGAAGGACAATATATGTTTCATCACAGCAGCTCACAAAAATGATTTATTGCCATAGTATCTAAACAACGCTCTGTAACCAATAACTTTAGTTTTTAGATAAACGATAATGAGCATGAACAGTGTTCAGTCCCATTCTCTCTGGGACACTTGAACCAGCTCAGCTGTTATACAAAAGCACCCTGAATATGGGAGATTTTTCTTTTCTATTTTCCAGGGTTGCTTAAGAAACTAGACCCATTTTTTTAAAAAAATTTATGTTATTATTATTATACTTTAAGTTTTAGGGTACATGTGCACAATGCGCAGGTTAGTTACATATGTATACATGTGACAGGCTGGTGTGCTGCACCCATTAACTCGTCATTTAGCATTAGGTATATCTCCTAAAGCTATCCCTCCTCCTTCCCCCCACCCCACAACAGACCCCAGAGTGTGATGTTCCCCTTCCTGCGTCCGTGTGTTCTCATTGTTCAGTTCCCACCTATGAGTGAGAATATGCGGTGTTTGGTTTTTTGTTCTTGTGATATTTTACTGAGAATGATGATTTCCAGTTTCACCCATGTCTCTACAAAGGACATGAACTCATCATTTTTTATGGCTGCGTAGTATTCCATGGTGTGTATGTGCCACATTTTCTTAATCCAGTCTATCATTGTAGGACATTTGGGTTGGTTCCAAGTCTTTGCTATTGTGAATAGTGCCGCAGTAAACATATGTGTGCACGTGTCTTTATAGCAGCATGATTTATAATCCTTTGGGTATATACCCAGTAATGGGATGGCTGGGTCAAATGGTATTTCTAGTTCTAGATCCCTGAGGACTCGCCACACTGACTTCCACAATGGTTGAACTAGTTTACAGTCCCACCAACAGTGTAAAAGTGTTCCAATTTCTCCACATCCTCTCCAGCACCTGTTGTTTCCTGACTTTTTAATGATTGCTGTTTTAACTGGTGTGAGATGGTATCTGATTGTGGTTTTGATTTGCATTTCTCTGATGGCCAGTGATGGTGAGCATTTTTTCATGTGTTTTTTGGCTGCATAAATGTCTTCTTTTGAGAAGTGTCTGTTCATGTCCTTTGCCCACTTTTTGATGGGGTTGTTTGTTTTTTTCTTGTAAATTTGTTGGAGTTCATTGTAGATTCTGGATATTAGCTCTTTGTCAGATGAGTAGGTTGCGAAAATTTTCTCCCATTGTGTAGGTTGCCTGTTCACTCTGATGGTAGTTTCTTTTGCTGTGCAGAAGCTCTTTAGTTTAATTAGATCCCATTTGTCAATTTTGGCTTTTGTTGCCATTGCTTTTGGTGTTTTAGACATGAAGTCCTTGCCCATGCCTATGTCCTGAATGGTATTGCCTAGGTTTTCTTCTAGGGTTTTTATGGTTTTAGGTCTAACGTTTAAGTCTTTAATCCATCTTGAATTAATTTTTGTATAAGGTGTAAGGAAGGGATCCAGTTTCAGCTTTCTACATATGGCTAGCCAGTTTTCCCAGCACCATTTATTAAATAGGGAATCCTTTCCCCATTGCTTGTTTTTCTCAGGTTTGTCAAAGATCAGATAGTTGTAGATATGCGGCGTTATTTCTGAGGGCTCTGTTCTGTTCCATTCATCTATATCTTTGTTTTGGTACCAGTACCATGCTGTTTTGGTTACTGTAGCCTTGTAGTATAGTTTGAAGTCAGGTAGCGTGATGCCTTCAGCTTTGTTCTTTTGGCTTAGGATTGACTTCACGATGCGGGCTCTTTTTTGGTTCCATATGAACTTGAAAGTAGTTTTTTCCAATTCTGTGAAGAAAGTCATTGGTAGCTTGATGGGGATGGCATTGAATCTATAAATTACCTTGGGCAGTATGGCCATTTTCATGATATTGATTCTTCCTACCCATGAGCATGGAATGTTCTTCCATTTGTTTGTATCCTCTTTTATTTCATTGAGCAGTGGTTTGTAGTTCTCCTTGAAGAGGTCCTTCACATCCCTTGTAAGTTGGATTCCTAGGTATTTTATTCGCTTTGAAGCAATTGTGAATGGGAGTTCACTCATGATTTGGCTCTCTGTTTGTCTGTTATTGGTGTATAAGAATGCTTGTGATTTTTGTACATTGATTTTGTATCCTGAGACTTTGCTGAAGTTGCTTATCAGCTTAAGGAGATTTTGGGCTGAGACAATGGGGTTTTCTAGATATACAATCATGTCATCTGTAAACAGGGACAATTTGACTTCCTCTTTTCCTAATTGAATACCGTTTATTTCCTTCTCCTGCCTAATTGCCCTGGCCAGAACTTCCAACACTATGTTGAATAGGAGTGATGAGAGAGGGCATCCCTGTCTTGTGCCAGTTTTCAAAGGGAATGCTTCCAGTTTTTGCCCATTCAGTATGATATTGGCTGTGGGTTTGTCATACATAGCTCTTATTATTTTGAGATGCATCCCATCAATACCTAATTTATTGAGAGCTTTTAGCATGAAGGGTTGTTGAATTTTGTCAAAGGCCTTTTCTGCATCTATTGAGATAATCATGTGGTTTTTGTCTTTGGTTCTGTTTATATGCTGGATTACATTTATTGATTTGCGTATATTGAACCAGCCTTGCATCCCAGGGATGAAGCCCACTTGATCATGGTGGATAAGCTTTTTGATATGCTGCTGGATTCGGTTTGCCAGTATTTTATTGAGGATTTTTGCATCAATGTTCATCAAGGATATTGGTCTAAAATTCTCTTTTTTGGTTGTGTCTCTGCCCGGCTTTGGTATCAGGATGATGCTGGCCTCATAAAATGAGTTAGGGAGGATTCCCTCTTTTTCTATTGATTGGAATAGTTTCAGAAGGAATGGTACCAGTTCCTCCTTGTACCTCTGGTAGAATTCGGCTGTGAATCCATCTGGTCCTGGACTCTTTTTGGTTGGTAAGCTATTGATTATTGCCACAATTTCAGAGCCTGTTCCTTGACACATACACCCTCCCAAGACTAAACCAGGAAGAAACTAGACCCATTCTTAAGATCTTCCACTTGGTCATTGTTGGAGGGGACAGAAAGTATATCCTTAGGCTTAACCAACCAACCCTTCAAAGCTGGAATATCAAACATGTTAGCTACTTTGGCTAAATGTCTGCAGTGGGATTCTTAGTTAAAATGTTACTGATATATAGGCAGACTTTATTTAGCCAATTAAATATCAAGCATCTTTTTAAAAAAATATAAATAATTGCAGGTTGCTAGTGTTCTTCTTTTAATTGACTTTGACTATGCAGAATGATTTTTTAAATCTTTCCAGCTGCTTCATTAGAATTGAAGAGAGAGAAAGTGGCCCATCCCGTCACCCTCCTCTCTCATTGTAATGAAGTAAAATTCACAAAACCAGAAATGCAAATGGATTTTCTTGAGTCTTTCCTTCTAATACACTGATTAGCATGCTAACCAACTCTTTTTCATCAACTACTTCCATATAGAATCATGCATGGAAACTGTACATGGACTTGGCAATTATGTGAGGGGAATTTGCGTCCTCCAAAAGCAATGCAGATAGCGGAAAAATGAACTGAAATAACAGGAATGAGAAAATGGGAATAAATCATAAATGATAATCAGAAAGATCCTGATAAACCAGTAGCAAGGATCTTACAAGTCTCTAAAGGTTCATAAAATTCCTTGATTGCTGCCAGCACAGCAAAGAAAGGTACTGTATGAGCGTCATCAAGTCATGCTTCTTTGTGTCTCCTATTATTGCAGCTCATCTCTTTCTCCTCCCAGCTCATCAACTCTCATAGCTCTTTGGAAATTAAAAGAGCTCTCTCTCCATGTTCTCTCTGGTTACTGAAAAACAGAGACTCACTCAAACCACTAGAGGGATCTCTCTTCTTTGAAAAGAGAGAGAGAAAAAAGTAAATTGCATAAGCTATAAAGTTGGAATGACACAAGAAATCATCGAGCAAGAGAGAAAATGAACTGTTGCAATTTTCAAAGACATTTCAGTGTCTGTGGAGGGGAATCTCCCACTGTGGAGTCTGGCCTTGCCAAGGTCTTGAGAGAGATCCCTCTGGCAAATATGGATCCTGTTGCACCAACATGCTTTGGATGACTCTAGTGGCCTTCAGTGGTAGCTGGGATTACAGATGCCCACCACCACATTGGCTAATTTTTGTATTTTTAGTAGAGAAGGGGTTTCACCATATAGGCCAGGCTGGTCTTGAACTCCAGACCTCAAGTGATCTGCTCGCCTTGGCCTCCCAAAGTGCTGGGATTACAGGCGTGAGCCACCGCACCTGGCCTTTGACTTCTATATGATAAAAATTTAAAGCTACAGAAGGAATTGCCACCTCAGAAAACTTTCCTCACTTGTCTTCCAGAATGCCTTACCATTCTGTGGCTAAAGACACAGCAAACATTTCCCTGATTTATTTGCCAGCTGGCCTCCTGTTGGGTTCTACCAAGAAACACTAGAGTGACTGGAACACAGGAAGAAAGGAGGAAGGACCTCCTGTTTCCTGTTTGTTATTCTTGCTCTCACCTGCATGGTGACAGCTTTCTCCAGCAATAACATTTCATCCCTGCAGAAACAGTTATCTTAAGAGTGCCAGTTGGTTTCAATGTCCAACTGCCTTCAAATTCCCAAACCAGTTTGTTGCTCTCCTTCATAAGAACTAACCACCGTCAAGCATTGCCTACTCTTTAGAAGTTTGAGTCCTGCCAGTTGTGTTGGCTTATGCCTGAAATCCCAGTGAGGCAGAAGCAGGAAGATAGCATGAGGCTGGGAGTTGGAGATCAACCTGACAATATAGTGAGACACTGTCTACAAAATAAAATAATGATAATAATAATTAGCCAGGTGTGCTGATGCCTGCCTGTAGTCCTAGCTACTCAGGAGGCTGAGACAGGAGGGTCTTTTGAGCCCAGGATTTCAAGGCTGCAATGAACTATGTTCATGCCAATGCCACCCACCCTGGGTGACAGAGCAAGACCCTGTTTTTTGAAAAAAAAAAAAATCCAAGTCACAGTTATGTAAGTCCTCTTTTGTGAGATCCTAAGCTTTAATAGTCTAACCTCTTCTTTTTTTATTCTTCCAGCTGTATGAGAAATAGCTGCTTGTTATTTCATGCTAACCTTTAGTGTTTTCTGTTGCTCTTTCATCCCTCAAACATCTGTATAACCAGCCCCTATATTAAATCCTCCTTGTTGGAGTCCCTAGTGTGGTTTCTGTTTTTTTCTGACTGCACCTGACTGATAAACTGTGAGAAGACTATAGCAATAAAAGATCTATGTAAATAGAGTGGGGGTTCCCCAATAATTCAGTTGGAAAGATCAGGGAAGAATTTATGAAAAAAATAGGATTTGCAAAAGACCTTGAATATAGGTAGAATTTAGAGGTATAAAGATGGGGTGAAAAAAGACTTTCAAAGCAGGAAAACATTATAAAAATATTTAATAACAGGGAACACAAAATATAATTCAGCTGGAAATCATAATATGTAAAAGTTAATATTTAATAATAAACTACCAAAGGTAAAATTGAATCAGATCTTAGTGTAGGAGTAGGGGGAGGGATCTTTAATACCAGGCTCAGAATTGCTGAACTATTTAAGGCTTTTGAGCAGGAAGGTTGCAATATTAGGAAGTCAGAGAAGGAAAAGAATAAAACGTATTATATATTTTGAAGATATGTAGTCGATATCAGTATGTTCTGTGTTATGCTGGCAATAATAAGAATGCCATATTCTATTTTTCTAAACCAAATGTACTCTGTGTCTGAGTTCCCAATTATCTGACCGGCAGGACATCCAATATCAGTCATTACTTGAACTCATTTCTTACCTTCATGTAAGAAGGTAGGTGAAACTTTATTCCATATTAACTTACTGTGAATCAGTCAGTTTAATTCACATTATTCTGTGCGAACAGGGGAGGTCCCTGGTTCTTAGTTCAAGATGGTCAACATTGCTTTCTTGTTCCTTTTGTTTCTGGGTGGCTTGGTTGACAACTGCAAAACTGTTCTGGTTGGGTTCCAGAGATGCCTTGTCATATGGTCCTCTTTGATACAAGAAATTTGCACATGTTTACCTATGTAATAAACCTGAACATCTTGCACATGTACCCTGAAATTTACTTAAAAAAAAAGTTGAAGAAAAAAAAATTTGTAGCTGCTTTCAAGGTCAGGGTGTTTACATTTTAGCCTCTTTGGGTCTCTACATTTGTCTCTCATCAGAGGTTCTGCCACCTTCTAAGTTCTGGTTGGGAGTAAAATATAGGTTTTGCATGTTCCTTGTGGTAGGTAGAATAATGGTTTCTCAAAGATGTTACATCCTGATTCCCAGAACTTGTGAATGTTATATGATATAAAAAAGGGGAATTAAGATTGCAGATCAATTAAGATTGCCAATCAATTGATTTAAAAGGAGATTATCCTGAATTATTTGGGTGGGCTCAATGTAATCATAAGAGTTCTTAAAAGTGGAAGAGGGAGGCAGAGAAAAAAGTTGGAGCGATGTCATCTCAGAAGCACTGGACTTGTTGCTGGCTTTGGAGATGGAGGTAGAGGACCATGAACCAGGACATGTGAAGCTGGTGAATTCAAGGAAACATACGTTCTCCTCAAGCCTCCAGGAGAAACATAGTCTTGCTATCATCTTGATTTCAACTCAGGGAGAACACTGTTGCAATTCTAACCTACAGAACTGGAAGGTAATAACTTTGTGTTGTTTTGAGCCACAAAATTTGTGTCAATTTGTTACAGCACATATAAGAAACTATTGGAACAGTTATGACAGAGATCATATGGTTGACAAGTTCTTAAACATTTATTATCTGGCCCTTTTCAGAAAAAGTGTACTGTCTTCTGTCTTGGAAACAAAATTATCGCTAATCTTAGGATGAGTATGTGAATAGGGAGGGGGGTGCAGACTTTTTTTTAATTGTTATTTTACAGTGGCAATAAGCATGACAGACAATATCTCAATAGAATAACTCATGGTTGGTGAGGTAAGCTACATTGTGGCCCCAAAGATATCAGGTCCTAATGTCTAGAACATGCAAATATTGTAAATGTTACCTTACTTGGAAAAAGGGTCTTTACAGATGTGATTAAGGATCTTGAGATGAGAAGGTATACCTGGATTAGCTGGGTGGGCCCTAAATGTCATCTTGAATGTCCTCATAGGAAGATCTAAGAGGTGGAGGGAGATCTGCTATACACATAGTGAAGGAAGTGTGAAGATAGAGGCAGAGATAGGAATGATAGCGCTGGCAAGTCAAGGAATGCAAGGAATGCTAGCAGCTGCCAGAAGCCAGAAGAGGCAAGGGATGGATTCTCTCCAAGAGCCTCAGGAGGAAGCACAGTCACTGTCGCTTTGATTTTGGACTTCTGGCTTCTAGAACTGTGAGTACATAAACTTCTGTTGTTTTAAACCACCAAGGTGGCTATGATAATTTCCCATAATTTGTGGCTATTTGTGATTATTTTTTACGGTAGCAATAGGAAACTAATATAGGTTGGGAGACCATTTGGGAAGATGATAACCTTTTCATTGGCCCATATGATTGAAGTCAGTAGAAATTTTGTCTGCTTATGAATTTCAGATACATTACTTCACATGATATCTGTCTTTGGTGGAAGAAAGGCAGGGAAATGCAAAAGAACATGATTTGGGGACCTACGGACTTCATGGGTATTCAAATCATTTACAGTGCATAAATGATTTCACAGTAATGCAAAGTTCTCAGAGTAAATCACTTTGATTGTCACTTCTGTCTGGCACAAGGAAATAATCAGCACTTCAAAATGAGCCCTTGGCTGTTGTATCATTGCCTCAGTAACTGCTTACAGAGCACATGTGATGCCAGCTTACTTCTCTTCTCTTTGTATTATCAACTTTTCAAAATCAATATTTATGTACATATATAGATTATACTATACTATTTTACAATACCTTATGTCATATGTGTGTGTATATAGATTTAAGATGGTTGTCCCACTTCATTACCACATTTAATGTATTAAATATGCTAAATATTTAAATATTCTGGCATGCATCAGTGAAAACTATTTACGACTGGCTTTCTTATAGATTGGCATATATTATTTGAACTCTTAACATCTATAGTATAATTTTCTAGTTTTAATATGTACTATTCTCTCCTGAGGAAGCTGTATATCTTGGTAAAGACATCAATCATAAAATTACCTATTAGGAGTTTGGCTGTTTAATATCAACATTCCCAAAATTAATCCGATGATTCATTTTATTGTATCAAATTAAAGGCAAGTTCTACAACTTATATGCAAGTGTTAGTAATCCCTTTTTGGGGGCAGCATACAGCTCTCTTGCCACATATCAAATTCTCCCTGCCTCCCCTCTTTGTGTAGCCACAGATATGAAAGCTAACTCTGCATAGGCTTGACTTCTCATCCCATGGGTACCCTAGCAGGACAAGGACTTGGGTATACCAGATGTGCCACTTACTCCCTGCCCTGGGGTCTCTCTGAGGCTGAGAGTGTCTGTTGCCGAGGTTCATTTCATCACACTTCTCCGAAAGCCCTTCCATATGAGCAGCCTCACGTGGTGGCCAACTCAACAATGCATCTTTGTGAAGACCCTCTCTTATTTCCTGTTTACCACCCTCCCTCCATCACACTACTGAATAGTCCAGTCAGGCGGCAGCTTTTCTCTTAGCCTTCACTTTTTGGGAAACCCAGGCTAAGGTGATAGGATACCAAGGTCAAGAGAAAACACCAGCAAAGATTAATTTTTAAAACCTTTCATTGTAGGTATTTATAAATAAGCACAAAAGTATAGAGAGGAGTAAAAGCGACCCTCATGAACCCTTCACCCCATATACCGTTTCCCCAGTGTTATCTTTGAAAGACATTCCTAGACAAGGTTATTATAGAGGGGAGATTGAAAAATAAATACATATATAATTCTGCTAGTTATAACTCAATTCCTCATGATAAAGATTATATCATTTTAGATTCTTCTTACCAATAAAGTCTAAGAGAGCCTATTTCCCTGTAGTCACCTTGATAGAGTAGGTTGTCAAACTTTTGGATTTCTGCCAATCTCATCAGTGTACTTTTAATTGCATTCTTTTATTATATTAGAGATTGAGCATATTGTTGTGTTTATTTGTGGGTTCTTTCCTCGTATCTTTTGTCCATTTTTCTATAGGGCTATTAGCCTTTCTCTTCTTGTTTTCCAGAAGGTCTTCTACATAAGAGGTACTAACACTTTATTTATGATATAATTTGAAAATACATTTATCCAGTTTTTGTCATTTAACTTTTATTTTTATTTGATGTTTTCTTGAATTTTTTTGAACATGTGTTTACAATGAGGGCCTTACAAAGTAATCACTGGAGAAGAGATTTGCATCAGAGATTATGCTAAATAAATATTGAGTGAATTAGTTCTTATTCTAAGAGCATTTTGACTTCATGAAAGGATGTATAGAAAAGGTGGTGGATATGATCAGAACTGTTTTTTGGAAAGGTCAATCTGACTTTTGGTGGAGTAGTAGAACTACTCTCCATGAATTCAACTGTTTTAATTTTAGCTACCACAAATAAGGGAAAACATGGGAAGTTTGTCTTTCTGTGGCTTATTTCACTTAACGTAATGACCTCCAGTTCTATGTTGTCGTGAATGACAGGATCTCCTTTTTATGGCAGAATAATAACCCATTGTGTATATGCACCATATTTTCTTTATCCATTGATCTGTTGATGGACATTTAGGATGCCTCCAAATGTTGGCTATTGTGAATAGTGCTGCAATAAATATGGGAGTGCAAATATCTCTGTAATATACTGATTTTCTTTATTTTGGGTATATACCTAGTAGTGGGATTGCTGGGTTGTATAAAAGCTCTATTTTTAGATTTTGTGGAAGCTTCATACTGTTCTCCATAGTGGTTGTACTAATTTACATTCTCACCAACATGTACAAGGGTTCCCTTTTCTCTACATCCTCGCCAGTGTTTGTTACCGCCTGTCTTTTGGAGATAAGCCATTTTACCTGGAGTGCAATGATATCTCATTGTAATTTTGATTTGCATTTCTCTGATGATCAATGATGATAAGCAGCTTTTAATATGCCTGTTTGCCATTTGTATGTCTTCTTTTGAAAAATATCTATTCAGATATTTTGCCTATTTTTAAATGGATTATTAGATTTCTTTTCTTATAGAGTTGAGTTATTAATCCTTTGTCAGATGGGTAGTTTGCAAATATTTTCTCTCATTCTGTAGGTTGTCTTTTCACTTCGTTGATTGTGTTCTTTGCCGTGCATAAGCTTTTTAACTTGATGTAATCATATTTGTCCATTTTTGCTTTGGTTGCCTGTGCTTGTGGAGTTTTACTCAAAAATAATTGCCCAAACCAATGTCCTGGAGATTTTCTTGTGGTACTTTCATAGTTTTATGCCTTAGATTTAAGTCTTTAATCCATTTTAATTTGAATTTTGTATATGGAAAGAAGCATCTAGTTTCATTCTTCTGCATATGGATATCCAGTTTTCCAAGAACAATTTATTAAAGAGACCGTCCTTTCCCCAGTGTATGTTTTCAGCACCTTTGTCAAAAATGATGTCATTGTAGATGTATGAATTTGTTTCTGGGTTCTCTATTCTGTTCCATTGGTCTATGCGTCTGTTTTTATGCCAGTAGCATCTCGTTTTGATTACCATAGCTCTGCAGTATGAGTTGAAATCAGGTAATATGATTCCTCCAGTTTTGTTCTTTTTGCTCAGGATAGCTTTGGCTATTCTGGGTCTTTTGTGGTTCCATATAAATTTTAGGATTTTTTTTATATTTATGTGAAGAATGTTATTGGTATTTTGATAGAGATTCCATTGAATCTGCAGATTGCTTTGGGTAGCATGGACATTTTAAATATTGATTCTTCCAATTGATGAACGTGAAATATCTTTCCATTTTTTCTGTGTCATCTTTAATTTTGTTCACCAGTGTTTTATAGTTTTTATCGTAGAGCCCTTCCACTTCTTTGGTTAAGTTAATTCCTAGGCATTTAATTTCATTTGCAGCTATTGTAAATGGGATTACTTTCTTTATTTCTTTTTCAGATTGTTCACTGTTGGCATATAGAAATACTGCTGATTTTCATATTTTGATTTTGTATCCTGCAACTTTGCTGAATTTGTTTTTCAATTCAAATAGTTTTTTTGTGGGGTCTTTAGGTTTTTCCAAATATAAGATCATATCATCAATGAACAAGGATAATTGGACTTTTTTCTTTCCTATTTAGATGACCTTTATTTCTTTCTCTAGTCTGATTGCTCTAGCTAGAGATTTCAGTACTATGCTGAATAATAGTGGTGGAAGTGGGCATTCTTGTTGTGTTTCATATCTTAGAGGAAAAGCTTTCAGTTTTTCCTAATTTAGCATGATATTAACTGTGGGTCTGTCATTTATAACTTTTATTATGTTGAGGTAAGTTCATTCTATACCAAGTTTTTTGAGAGTTTTTATCAGAAATAGATGTTGAATTTTATCAAATGCTTTTTCAGCATCAATTTAAATGATCTCATGGTTTTTGTCCTTCATTCTATTAGTTTGATGTATCTCATTGATTGATTTGTATATGTTGAACCATCCTTGCATCTCAGGGATAAATTCCAGTTAGTCATGATGAATGATCTTTCTAATGTTTTGTTGCATTTTGTTTGCTAGTATTTTGTTGAAGATTTTTGCATCAATGTTCATCAGAAATATCAGCCTATAGTTTTCTTTTTTGATGTGTCTTTGTCTGGTTTTGGTATCAGGGTAATACTGGCAACAGACAATGAGTTTGGATGATTTCCTTCACCTCTATTTTTTTTTTAACAATAGTTTGAGTAGGATTGGTATTAGTTATTCTTTAAATGTTTGGTAAAATTTTGCCGTGAAGCCTTTGGACCCCAGGCTTTTCTTTGTTGGGAGACTTTTATTATGGCTTTGATCCTATTATTTGTTGTTGGTCTCTTCAGGATTTTTATGTCTTCTTGGTTCAGTCTTGGTAGGTTATATGTGTCTGGGAATTTGTCCATTTCTTCTAGATTTTCCCATTTATTGGCATATAGTTGCTCAGTTGCTCATAGTGGGCTCTTATGTTCTTTTGGATTTCTGTTTTATCAGTTATAATGTCTCCTTTTTCACCTCTTATTTTATTTGTTTGGCTGTTCTCTCCTTTTTTCAGCACCACTGGGATTGTGCTGAAGCCAGCACAGCACTGGGTCTTGCCTGAGGCCTGCTCTAACCACTGCCTGTACCACCTATGTTCGCTCAAGGCCCTAGGGTCCTACAATCAGCAGGTGGCAAAGCCAGCCAGTTTTGTGTCCTTCTCTTCAGAGCAGTTAGTTACTCTGGGCCCCAGGCAGGTCCAGAGATGCTGTTTGGGAGCCAGGGCCTGGAGTTGGAAGCCTTAGAAATCTACCTGGTGCTCTTTTATATTGCGGCTGCGCTGGCACTCAAACCATGAGATGCAGTTCTTCCCGCTCTTTTCTCCCCTTTCCACAAGCAGAGGAGCCTCACCCTCAAGGCCTATGGTATGTACTATCTGGTTACTGCTGCTGATTATTCAGAGCCCAAGGGCTCTTTAGTGATCAGGTAATGAATTCTACCAGGAGTGGGTCCTTCCCTGCAAGGCAGTAGATTCCCTTCTGGCCCAAGGTATGTCTGGAAATGCCATCCAGGAGCTAGGGCCTGGAACAGGAGACTCAGGACTCTGCCTGATGCCTTATACTAAAGTGGATGAGCTGGAATACAAGCTGCAAGACAAAGTCCTCATTACTCTTCTCTCTCTTCTCCTCAAGTGAAAGAAAGGGGTCTCTTTTGGAGCTGCAAACTGTGCTGCCTGAGGTTGGGGGAGGGGTGATGCGAGTACTGCCTTTGCCACCCTGACTGGTCATGTGCCCCTCCAAGTCCACTGGCTCTTAGGCCAGCACAGCAGTAGGACCTGCCTAGAAGTTGCAGTCCTTGTGACCTAGACAGGATTTAGAGTTAATTTAGGGCTGTGTGCGGTGGCTCACACCTGTAATCCCAGCACTTTGAGAGACTGAGGTGGGTGGATCACCTGAGGTCAGGAGTTCGAAACCAGCCTGAACAACATGGTGAAACCCTGTCTCTACTAAAAACATAAAAAATTAGCTGGCCGTGGTAGTCGGTGCCTGTAATCCCAGCTACTTGGGAGGCTGAGGCGGGAGAATCTCTTGAACCCGGGAGGTGGAGGTTGCAGTGAGCCAAGATCACAATATTGCACTCCAGGCTGGGCAATAAGAGCAAAAAACTCCATCTCAAAAAAAAAAAAAGTTAATTTAGAACCCCAGAGCCCCTTAGCCCATGGTGATGAGGCTTGCTGAAACTCAAGCTGCGACTGCTGAAATGGACAATTCTTCTCTGGATAGAGCTGGTCTAAAGACTCCCTTTGTGGGCATCCCCTGAATTCTGCCGGGTGTTGGCAGCACTGAGTTTCAATGCAAAGTTGCACAATCACTGTGCTTTCCCTCCCATAAGTGCACAGATTCTCTCTCCACACCACGCGGCCATTGCTGGGGGATGGGAGAGAGGTGGTTCAGCCATTCAAGACTGTCTTTTCCACCTTCTTCAGTGCCTCTTTCGGCAATATGAAGTTAAAACTAGGTACTGTGATCTCTCTCCTGATTGTTGGTTCTTATGTAGGTGCTTTTTCCGTGTGTAGAGTGTTGTCACATTTGGTGTTCTTATGGGAAGAACAATTGGGGGAGGCTTCTATTCGTTATCTTGCTCTGCCTTTCCACCTCCCTATTTCTTAATTCCTCCTTTAAAACACACTGTCGCCTCCATACAAATCAAAGCTGAGTTCAGGTCAGGCTGGACTCTTTTTATTGCAATAATATACTAGTGATTAATCTATCCATACCACTTTAACAAATTTCCAATTTTGCTTATATTTGGCAAGATTTATAAATCAATCTAAATATATATTTGAACAAAGGTAGGCACATGAATCAAAGGCCCCTTTGGGATTAGATCCACGGGAAAATTCTACTACAAATGTGGTCCTTCAAATGGAACACATTTGACTCTGTTGACTATAGCTAGAAATAGAAGTCAGACCAGACATAGGACTGGTGGAAATTGAAACAGTCTGCCCATCGGCAGGTACTAGCAATAGAGATGAAAATTCTAACTAAGGGCTTTGGAGTTGCCAGATGGAGAGGCAATGGATGGACATCCCAGATGGAGAGAGAAACTTGTAGAATATACTGGTTTAGTGATAATTCCTAAAACGTCAATTTGTAAATAATTTGGAAATGTTTAAATTACAAGAGCCATCAGATCAAACAAAAGCTTTCAGTTTTCCAACAAACTGCATGGGATGGGATGAAAGGAATAAGGCACAAATGAGAATTATTAGAAAAGGTCAAACAGCATAATATTTTTGTATGCTATTTTGACAAGTTATAGCTGCACTATACCAAGAAATGTGGCAATTTCATAGGAAGTCATATATACACAAAGAAGCACTGATTTTCTGATTATTAAATGCTGACATTATATTTGCTAATAAATCATTCATTTATTCTGTAAAATATTTACTGATGCTTAATGAATGTTAGACTCTGGGCTAGGCAGTGGTCCCTGCCTTCACAAAGCATATAGATCAGTTATAACAGAGGTAGAAGTTCTCCAAGAGCTCTGAGGTGTGGGTGTCAGTCTTTTAGCCGTTGGTTCTTGAATCCATTCCTTGCCCTACTCCAGCTCTGCTCTGTATCTCAGGAGACATAAACTTTCAGGCTACATTTCCCAGGCTTGGCAAGATTTTGGCTGAGTTTGACGGAAGAAAGGACTCAAAAGGAGAATGAAAGGTGGGAGGATTGTAGAAGCCAATGTACTTGTCCTCTTGCTCTATTCAGGTAGCATTTTGGAAACAGCGGCCTCTTTTGCATGGCTCCAAATTCTGCTTGACAGGCTCAGCTTCTGGTTTCTGGTGTGTGAGCTCATAAGAGCTGAATCTCTGCATCTCTTCCCAGCTCTGCGTTTAGTGAAATGTTGGTATCTTGAAATCAGCCATGGTATGATATTAACACCACAGAAATTGGCAGTAAAGTTTTGTTTATCCCTAGAGAGCTGGATGTTAAACATGAACCAGTACACCACTGTTTCTAGTAATGATGCTTCTACTGGTTCCTGAAACTCTAGAGGTGGTAGTTTGCTCTCTTCTGTTATTCCCTCAGTTGCCTCAACTTCTCAATTGTTTCTTCCTCTGTACAGTTATTTCCTTGTATTAAATCCCTTAGGCTGGAATAACTAGAGTAGTTTTATTTTTCTGATGAGATTCCAATGGATATTACAGGGCATCTAACCTGGACTTGAATATTTAAACATTGGATATACAGGAAAAAATCTTCAGAAGAAGTAAAATATATACTTTTTAAAATTTAATTTAATTTTAAGTTCTAGGATACATGTGTGGGACGTGCAGGTTTGTTACATAGGTAAACATGTGTCATGGTGGTTTGCAGCACCTATGAACCCATCACCTAGTATTAAGCCTCTCATGCATTAGCTATTTATCCTAATGCTCTCCCTCCCCTTGACCCCTGACAGGCCCTAGTGTATATTGTTCTCTCCCTGTGTTTATATGTTGTCATTGTTCAGTTCCCACTTATAAGTGAGAACATGTGGTGTTTGGTTTTCCGTTCCTGTGTTAGTTGGTGAGGATAATGGCTTCCAGCTCCATCCATGTCCCTGCAAAAAACATGATCTCATTTCTTTTCATGGCTGCATAGTATTCCATGGTGTATATGTACCATATTTTCTTTATTCAGTCTATCATTGATGGGCATGTGGGTTGATTCCATGTCTTTGCTATTAAGACTAGTGCTGCAATGAACATACGTGTGCATGTATGTTTATAATAAAATGATTTCTATTTCCTTGGTTATATACCCAGTAATGGGATTGCTGGGTCAAATGGTATTTCTAGTTCTAGATCCTTGAGGAATTGCCACACTGTCTCCCACAATGGTTGAACTAATTTACACTCCCACCAACAATGTAAAAGCATTCCTATTTCTCCACAGCCCCAGCATCTGTTATTAAAATACTTATTTTTAAAAGATAAAATGAACATAAGTTGGTAATAAGATGCAAGGATAAAGAGAAGGGATGATCCAGCATCAGGCCTAGATTTTTGGTTTAGGAATGTAGGTGGATAATGGTGCAATTTTTCAAGAAAGAAAGCAAAGGCAGAGGGTTTGGGCATGGAGATGGAACTGATGAGTTGAGGTGCTTATAAGATCCCCAAGGATAAATATGTCCAGTAGGGTTCAGTGAAATCTACAGCACAGAGGGGATGTCATTTCCTGAAACCCTCCTACTCTTCCTAATCCCTTAGTTGCCTTGCTCAGTAGATTATCTTATTTCCTTTCTGTACCTTCAAAGTGCTATCCCAGCTTTCATTTGTATGTGCTCAGTTCTCTCCTATCTTTAAAAAAAATAAAAAAAAAAAAAAAAAAAAAATAAATAAATAAACCCTTTCTTATTAAATTCCATATTTCCCACCAGCTTCTGCTGAATTTCTTTTTTTTCCCTTCATGGGTAATTTTGTGTCCATGATAGCTATTTCTACTTTCTCCTTTCCCATTCCTTCTTAATCCATTGAAACCTGGCTTCTATCCCCACTCTCCTGAAAGTGATCTTGGCAAACAGCAATGACTTGCTTATTGCTGAAGCCACTCAGCTCTGAGTGGGCCAGATGAGTGGCCAGTACATAGTAAATATTCAGTAAATGGGAGTTGTTATTATTATGATTGGGCTGAATTAATTTCTTAGTGTCACTGCTAAATTTATCTCAAGAGAAATTATCTTTACAATTCATCACTTCATGAAACCATTTTATTTCTTAGTGAATTCTTCTTTCTAATTACCTATCATTAAAACAACTGGAGAATTCAGTGAGGAAAAATAACATCAATTACTTAGCATTCCATGAAAAAAAACAAAAATGTAAACTCTCAAAAACTGTTTGAGTAAAATTTTCACCTTCCTACTAGTTGTTTGTTTCATTACACAGAGAGAGCTTCAAAGGATGCAAATTGCCTTAGGGGAACGACAGATTAAACATTTTTCTCCAAACTTTCTGTGTTTTCTTGCGGTTTCCACAAATAGCTAGTACTCTTTAGTAAGGAACAGAAATGAAGAATAAGGGTCATTTACTAAAGTGGCATGTTTGGTTTACAGTCTGGTAGTTGCAAAGAATTAGTGGTGTATTCACATTTCAATAGCTCACAGCATAAAAGGCATGGCTATAGTGATGAGCATTCTCTTAAATCATATCTTTGCCTAACTGTAAAAGAGAATATACTTTAAAACAACTCTGCTACCTAAGCTTTCAGTATCTTTCAGAGGAAGGAACAAGATCTATAAATGAGATATGATACTTTATTTTTTTACTTTTTCTTTGGCTTTTTAAAAATAGCAGTTTCTACTTTGTAGACAATTTGAATTTTGAAAGCCAAGCTTTGCCATGTGGACATTTGTAATCATATATGCTTGGATTTCATCCTGTGTCACTACCAATAAACCTCATGTTCTGAAGCATAAAAACCACAAGGCAATCTTGAAATGGTCAGTAAACTAGCGTGCTTTGTAATGTAACACCCGTGGTTGGAGTGCAGGAAGATTTTTAGGGTTCATTTAAGGGCACACTTAACATAGTATTTCTAATTAAAAGATTATGATGACACAATGATCCATCTCTGTTAGATCTCAAATGAAATGTTAAAGTTGATAAATGAATTACAGATACAAACCTATATTAGTCTTAAAGAAATAAATGATCCATTCTTTTAATAAATAAAGAGATAGAAGGAGACCTAATGCCATGCTTATCTCAGATGTTCACCCACAATCTCTCTTTCATCACATGGAGAAGCTCTAAGGAAAATGAAAAGCAGTGCTAAATGGAATCCGTCTTACACAAATTGCAGAATTTTAGTAAGAAAGTTCAGAAGAAAGGAGCGTTTTAATTTAACATGAGGCACATCTGTTCTCATGTCTTCTCCTGCATTGTTCTTGTTTCTTTGCGCCCTTATATTCACCCAATTCGGTTATACTTGACTGCAGGATTTTAAAAAGCGAATGACCAATCAGGTAAGCTTACAAAAGAAAGAAAGGCAAAAAAAGCATCAGTGCATAGTTAAACACACACATGTGCACACACGCACACAGATTGTTTTGATGATCTCTTGAAAATTTCGAAACTGTCCCTGTTTTGCTGACCAATATTAAGTTTCCTTTGATAATTTCTCCTCTTTAACAGACTTGGGAAATAAGTAACCTTTTCTAACACATGGCATTATTTCTGCAGGTCAAAAACATCCATTCTACTTTAAGGTATTGAGGCAAAGAAGAGAGCCTCACTCAAGTCATTGTGCGCCGCAGGGTTTCTCTCAGGACACGTGTGTGGGAATCAAGAAAAACTGAACCATCTGGTCAAGGAATCTTGGGAATTCTGGAAGAGCTGTGCACCCCAGGACAGGAGCTGAAAATCTTCCTTACATTTCATTCTCTTTCAAATAACCTGCAATTTTGCATAGTAGGCATTCACAACTTTAACCACTTTTCATTTGCCATATTCAGTCTGATAAATTAACTGATTAATGAATCCTTTCTTCTTTCCTTCATCCTTTCCTACCTCCTTTTCATTCTTTCCTCCTTTATTTCCTTCTTTGGTTTTGCTACCTGGACACTGTGCAATGTTGAGTAAGCTACTTAGCTCTTCTATGCTTTAGCTTCTTCTCTAATTGAAATAGTAATATTAACATTAATAATAATAATATATCCTCTAGGGCTGTTGTGATGATTAAATGAGTTAATACATCTGTAATGCTCAAAGTATTGCCTATTACAAGAGCTTTAAATGTCATTTGTCATTATTAGTAGTTACTTTTCTTTCTTTGTTTTCCTTTCATGAGAAGTATATAAATCTATTCTTGTAAAAACATTAAATGGATACAGAAATATGTAGAGTACAATGTCAAAGTTTCATTTTCTTACTTCCCATAGACACTATCCTTGGCAGAGATTACAACTTGATATATATAATTTTAGTTCTCTATCTAGATAATTACATGCATGTATGTGTTAAACACATACACACCCCTATATATAAATACTCACGTATTCTTAACATAAAAGTGAACATATCATTTGTGTCTTTTTTGGCAACACCAATAGATCTTAGATATTTTTCTATGTTAAAATACACAGTTCTATCATATACTTTTGTAGAATAAATGAATTTATCAAACATACATTTATTCTTTACAAGACATCACTCTAGGCATTGGGGATTTAGTGATAAATAATAGATAAATTGCTTGCCCATAAAAGTTTTGATTCTAGTGAAAGATATGGACAATAAAAAATGTGGCTTAATATTTAATATAATGTCAAGAGAAGGTAAATTAGACAAAGAAAATAAGAAGAGAGAAAATATAGAGAGGTTTGAGGCCAGGTTGATGAGGAAATTTCTCCCTGGGGGTAACATTTAACCAGAGATGCTGGAGAGAAGGAATCAGCCCTGAGAATGGCTGGAGATATGAAACGAGCAGAGGAATGAGCAAGTGCAAATGCCAGTGAGTTCTGAAGCAGGTGAGTGGTGGGGAAGGAGAGAAGAGATGAGTTCAGAAATGCAGGGACCAAATTATATAGGACTGCGGTTCAAAGTAAGGATGTTGGGTTTGATTTTATTTCTATTGAATCTCTGCCTTTCTTCTAATGAATGAAAATAACATAGCCTACTTCACCCTAATGATGGAAATGTATCTCTTTTGAATATTACAATGAAAATCCTTGCCTCATCTTTGTGCACCTGTGGCTATTTTTGCAAGTTGTCTTCCTGGAGTAGACTAACTGGGTTAAAAGGTGATGAGCATAATGTAAATGCTGGTAGATGCTGTCAAATTGCCTTAATAATTTTTGTATTCCCACCCATGGGGCGTGGAGGTGACCATTTCCCTTCATTCTTTTCAATATGAGATATTATCACCCTTCTTATTTTCAATAATATGAGACTTGTCACTCCTAATTTTCAACAATCCAATGGGAATAAAATCATGTCTGTCTCTTTTTTAGCTTGCATTTTCACTGTTAATAAAGCAGAAAAGGCTTTACAGGTTTATTAGCCAGTTTGATTTTTTTTCTCTTATGAGTAGCCTATGATCACATTTGCATTCCAGGTCATGCTCTGGCCAGGTTTTGGATTGGCTGCCTTTGAGTCAAGTATTCACCCTCAATACAATCAGCTGTGTCTGGAGATTGGGGTTACATATTACAAAACATAGCTCTTTAAGGCTGCTCTTCAACATGGGCTATAAGTAGCACATGATAACCTATAAACTCTATGGGCAAAGCAGTTACCCTGACTAATGCCCAGTACAATTTGATGGTGAGTGAAATTAGAAATATAACACATTATTTATTGAGCACACACCGAAAGCATCTAAGCTCTACTTTACATGTTATAGGTGACAAAAAGTTACACAAGACAGTGTCACTATCCTCAAGGAAAGACAAATTCAAAACTAATTATAATTCAGAATCCAATGTATTCTGAATTCCCCAAAATGATACTCACCAAATGATAAAGCAATTCTGAGAGAAAGGAAATCACATTCAGCCAGTAACCCTGGTAAGGTTTAGTGGTAGTAATAGTCTTTGCCTTCGATTTTGAATAGGTATAGGATTTTTTTAAGTGGCTATATTATTTTTGTAAAATAAATTCATGCGAATACATGACATAAAAGACTGAAGTAAAAATCAGCTATAGTCCCCCACTGGGAGAAAACCACTTTATTTTTTAGCGAATGACTCAATATTTTTGAGAAGGTCCCACCAGACATCTGTGTGTGTGTGTATGTGTGTGTGTTCATATGAACATATGTGAAGTTTTACATCAATAGGGACTTTTTTTTCTTCTGTCACTCTTTGGTACATTGGCCAATGCAGATACTCAGTATATATTTTTTGAATGAATGAATGTTTTATAGCTTGCTCTATGTTAATAAAAGGTATGTCTAACCAGTCATGTTTACTGACTGCATAGTGTTTCATTACTTGTGTAATTTATTTAACCAGGATTCTATGCAAAACTTTTAGGTTTATGTTCATCTGCTTTATTTTAAAAAACCTGATAAAATAATCTCCAGCTAAATCTATTTTATATGGATGTAACTATCTCCCTAGAGATAATTTCTAGGAATGCATTTTCTATAGGAAGGATAGAGCATATTTTAGAGCATAAATGGTGCATAAAACCAAACTTCTGTCCTGCATGGAAATGTGAATTAAATTTTCAACAAGATGTGGTAGCACATGATTTTACACGCTGGCCAAAACCAGGTTTTAAAAACCTTTTGGTGAAGAGAAAAACAACAGATACTGGGGCTTAACTGAGCAGGGAGGGTGAAAGGAGGGACAAGATCAGAAAAAATAACTATTGGATACTAGGCATAGTACCTGGGTGATGAAATAATCTGTACAACAAATCTCTGTGACATGCGTTTAACTATATAACAAACCTGCACACATGTACCCCTGAGCCTAAAATAAAAATTAAAAAACTGATTACATTCTAGTCACTTATCATGTAGCAAAAAGAAATAGATAATTGAAAGTTGATTCATTTTTTAAAGTGGTGAACACACGATAAGAAAGTCAATAGGTAGATGTTCTTAATTATTTATTATTATAAATTATGGTAATAAATTTTTTTTGGTGTATGTGGAAGTTAGAAATTCTAGTTGTTATTAAGTATGTGTCAGGAGGTAGAGGGGGATTAGAAGTGGGTATACTGTTTAGAAATATCATTTGAGATAAGGTTTATTTGGTCTGATTTGGAGGATAAGAATGCTTTAATTTTGTGTCTTTTACATGTTTGTCCATTTATTTTACTAATTTTATTCTTGGAAGCCACAAGCTGGTTCGATATTTCTCACACAGGAATCAAAGTGGACATTCAGATGCACAGTGTATCTCCTTGTATTCCATAATGAACAGGGAGTGGAAACTGAATGCTTATCTCTTTCTCTTTGTTAAAACTATGAGACTATGCTGAATTATACAACTTCTTAGTAAGTTACAAAACTACATAAGCAGTTTAGCTATACCGTAGTGTAATTAATCATGAATCAATTTTCAGTTATTTCAGAAGACTTTTCGGTGTATGGTTGTGCCACTTACTCAGCTATTGTCTCTCAGCTCAAACCACATTTCTATAATTGCTTCATGATCCTGAAGCTGGAACTCTGCAAACCTTATTTCTGCTTTGCCCCCTGATTTCCTGTTATGCTCTGCCAAAAGGGGGCACAAGACGGAGACTAGGACTGGAGGAGAAAGAAGGAACCTGGTCTTTCTTATTTACTCCTTGTTGACTTCCTGTCCGTTTGCAGTTCCTGTAAGCATCATTTTGGCAGCGCTTCTTCACCCAGGCAGGAGTAGTAATTCTGTATGCAGTAGCTGAATTCAGTTAACAGTTTTTTAAACACTTGTGAAACAAGCTTCACTGTGTCACAGTTAACAATCACCAGCATCTGCTAACAGTATCCTGTTTTCTACAGTCTGGGTCTCAGCCCCTTGGGACCGCTCTTCCAAGCTCAAAGACACCAGAATCTGTTGAGCAACTGAACCAGTAGCCCTCCTCAAAGCCCTGAGTTTCAGTTATGCAAGACCCCTCCTCTAAGTTTCTAAATTTTAATAAATCCAATCATGTCCCTTAGTTTTTTTAACCATAAGGATGGTATCTGCTTCCTACATTTGCTGCCTCCATGATACATTAGCGTCCTCTTTTTATCTTTTCAGTTCCTAGTTCACAACTTCATACCTGGTTGACAATTATTTACATTACATTCTCCCTGTTCAAAATCTCGTATGTTTTCCATCCTCTCACCTGACCCTGATGGAGACAATGGTCGTAGACGAACTGTGGGAGTTTTGTATTAAGTGTATGATAGTAGAAACCAAGTTTTGTGTTTTTAGAGAACAAATGTTAATTCACAGCTACTATATATATATATATATATATCTCCCTAGAAGGATTCTACGAGACAGAGAGGATGAAGAAAACCAAGGAGTGAGGCTCATTCATTAAGTGTGATTGAATAAAATGTGTCCATAGAGCATTGCCTTCACCACAGAGAGACTCCAGAAACCTCTTTGCATGTTTTTTTTCTTCAATGTCATAAATTCACATCTCCACAGCAGTAGCAGGATGGATTTTCTTGATGTAATCTGCCTAATAATGGGTTGTTTGTAGAGCCAAGGTGTTTCAGTGACCTGGGGTTATTCTGGAAGCTGCAATTACCTGCAGAGAATAACCGCTGAAATTCCTACGTGGAGAAATCCAGGGAAATGTCACAGAGGTGCATCTTTGAAATGGCCATGTTCGTACACTATGGTTGAGGGCAGGATTTCACGATTTACAGCAGTGAGATAAAATTCCTATGTACAGTGACTGTGGTCTTAACAGCTTCTTTACTTTTGATATTCATTTTCTATAAAGTTTTATGGTTTTAAAATTTCAAGTTAACCATTAAAGCTCAACTATGTTAAATAATCATTAAGAATCAAGCTCATAGCTCTTCTGAAAATCAAAGTGATTGGAGAACTACCTTTTTAACTGTGTTCTAGTGAAACAAGCTAATTGACCTGCTTATAGACACAATTTCTTTTGTGCAATTAGCTCAAGGTTGTATCCATTCACCTGGAATCCTCTAGAAGTAAGCCCTATTAGACTTCTTCAGTTATTGATGATTTTGGATGTAATTTCATCTGCTTTTGAAAAAAGGTTACTAAACATTTCAGATATATTCTTCCTGTCTTACAAAAGTAGACACAGTGCAGCATCGAATGTATTTATGTCTGTGATACATACTAATTTTCCATAAAGCTATGTTTGGGGGTTTTATGTAGATTATCTTATCAATTGCAAATAATGACAATTTTGTTTTCTTCCCTACCATTTTCCACTTACTTCTTCAGCTCTATTGCTTCCAATGCAATGTTGTATAGAAATGGTGAGAAGGAGCATACTTATCTCACACCTGATTTTATGGGGAATAATTTTAAAATTTCACTACTGAGTATGTTGTTTACTGCACTCTTTTGATAAATCGCCTATATATCTATTAGAATTCAGTTCAGGAAACAAAAATCACTCTAGATGTTACAAGGAGGGAAGAATATAACAGGCACTTGAAAGGTCATTGGAAGAGCTGGAGGAGAGCATTTTGGGGATAAGGGGTGATGCTGAAATTTCATTTCACAGTCACCTACCTCAGGTGTCATCATAGGTCATATAAGCAAATTTGCTGCCACTGTCACAGTTGCCTCATACCACAAATATAGTACCCAAAACAGAGAATAATGAATGAACATATGTTACTAGTTCTTATTTGTTAGTAACTTTTGCCAAAGGAAGATGCCTCTGCTCTTTTATTAGTCAGCATCCAGAACAACCACAGAAATTACTTTAACACACGTGATTCCATACAAATATTTTAAAAGTAAGTGGTTGTTAATGTAACTCAGAAGAGGAAAAAAATATAAAAAACCATTAAGTTGTGGAAATAGCAATCGCAGGCAGCAGTGACCACTCCTAGCCTTAGTGAACAAAGAGAAGAAGTTAGAATCACTAAAATTCAAAAGCTTTGTTGAAGAAACTTGTGGAGGTGAAACTGACATTTCAGTAGATGAAGCTGGTTGGCTGGTGATCAGTTTCTTTGAGGAGGATTTAGTTAGGCCATTTCTACACATTTTGGGGGAAAAAAATCCAGCTAGATTGAACTGCAGCTAAGGAAAGGAAGTGCCTCCCCTATGGTATAGGAAAGAGTCTTGTAGCAGGTCTGATGTTCCTCTTCGAAGGGCTTGCTAATCCTTGGCTGGTGTCTGAAAACTTGACTTTGGAATTTTCCTTTTGTTACTAAAGAATCCGGCTGTCTTGTATGCCTCAGGCACTGAGTCCTCCTTGCCTATACTGTGCAAACAGTGTGATTGATGGTAAATACCTGCTTTCCTCCTAGGAGTCTAGAACTTTGATAATCATTCCTGGCTACACCGGGAGAAAGTTCTGATGTGACCTGTCCCCCAGTAAAAACCTTGAACTCTAAATCTCAAGTGGGCTATCCTGGGCAAAATCCCAGCACATATATTGCAGCATTTTGTTGCTAGAACAAGGAATGTGTTCTATGCAATCTATTCTAAGACCTACCTGGAAGAGAGATTTTGCCTCGACTTTCTAGACTTTGATGCATCTTTTTCCTTTGCTAACCTCACTGTAAAATCATATGAACTCCCTTGTAAAGCTGTCTGGATTCTGTTTCCATTTGTAAGTTTTAGAATTTCTTTCTCAGTGTTGTTGAAGGAATGCAACTTTAACTATGAAATCAAACTGCATGATTGAAGCTCTATTCAGATTTTCTATTTCTTCTTCACTCATCAAGCTCATCTATTTAAACATTAACATTTTTTTTACATTGAGGTGTTGTTTACCTACAACAAAATTCATAAGTTTGAAGTATGCACTTTGAGTTTTGAAAAATATATAGAGTAGTGCAATTACTGCAACAATTATGATATAGAACATTTCAATCTTCCCGACAAAATTCTCTTAATGCCCCATTGAAGTCAATTCCCTAACCCACCCTACCCCTCATAATCACTGAGATGCTTTATGTTATTATACTTTGTCCTCTCCATAATTCCACATAAATGGAACTATAGAGTATATAGCCTTTAAGGGCTGACTTTTTTCACTTAGCACAGTATTTTTGAGATTCATCTGTTAAATTGCTAAATATTATTTCTTTCTACATACCACAATTTTAAAACTTATTCACCAGTTAATGGATATTTGGATTATTTGTACATTAGGCTATTATGAATACAGTTTGCTGCAAATATTTGTTTGCTAGTGTTTGTGTGGAAATCAGTGGGTTTTTTAGAGAGGCTCAATTTCTAGTAGTAGAAATGCTATTATATGGTGTATTAGTCTGTTTTCACACTGCTATAAAGATACTATATGGGACTGTAATTTATGAAGAAAAAAGGTTTAATTGACTATCAGTTCTGCATGACTGGGGAAGTCTCAGGAAATCTAGAATCAGGTGAAAGGCAAAGGGGGACGCAAGACACATTTTATATGGCAGCAAAAGACAGAGAGCATCCAGGGGAAACTGCCAGACACTTGTCAAACAACAAGATCTCGTGAGAACACCCCCACTATCATGAGGACAGCATGGGGAAACTGCCCCCATAATCCAGTCTCCTCCCACTAGGTTCCTCTCTCAACATGTAGGGATTACAATTAGAGATGAGATTTGGTGGGGACACAGAGCCAGACCATATCATACAGTAGGTTTTCAACTAGCTTTATTATAAAGAATTAAACTGCTTTCCAAAGTGACTATGAAATTTTACATTTTCACCAGCAATATATGAGTGCTAGAGTTGCTTCAAATCCTCTCCAACACTTAGTATTGTCAGACTTGTTAATTTTAGTCATTCAAGTAGATATATACTAGTAACTAACAGTAGTTTTAATTTGTATTTCCCTGATGCTTTGTTTACTGGCACTAGTGTATCTTTACTGAGGTATGTGCTCAAACTATAAAAGCAAAAATTGATAAAATGGATTCTAACAAAATTAAACCTTTTGCTTTTCAAAAGATACTATGAGGAAAAATAGAGATATAAAAAGCAATTGGAAAATATATATCTGATAAAGTATTTATATCTAGAATACGTAAAGACTTCGTACAACTCAATAAGAAGACAAATAACATTATAAAATAGGAGGTTGTATTATAAAATAGGAGGTTGTATTAGTTCATTCTCATACTGCTATAAAGATAGTACACGAGACTGGCTAATTTATAAACAAATGAAAGAATTTTAATTGACTCACAGTTCTACATGACTGGTGAGGCCTCAGGAAACTTACAATCATGGTGGAAGGAGAAACAGACACCTTCCTCACAAGTTGGCAGGAGGGAGAAGAGTGTGTGAAGGAGGAACTGTCAAACACTTATAAAACCATCAGATCTCAGGATAACTCACTCACTATCACAAGAACAGCATGGGGGAAACTTCCCCCATTATCCAGTCACCTCCCTCCCTCCACACGTGGAGATTACACATCTCACCTTTGACACATGGGGATTACAATTCAAGATGAGATTTGGGTGGGACACAGAGCCAAACCATGTCGGGGTCAAAGATTTGAGCACATACTTTTGTATTTTTTACTTAAAATGTATCTTATATGCAACATATAGTTTGTCCTGCCTTCTTAAAAACCCAGACTAATGATTTCTGTCTTCTGATTGGCATGTTTAGTACATTTATATTTAATATAATTAAAGATAGCATTCTATTCAGGTCTGCTATTCAACATTTGTTTTATTTTGGTTCGTTTATTTGTCTTATTCACTTTTTTATTAGTTTACTTTTGTTTTCTTCTTTTTCTGTTTTTATGTTAATTAAGCAATTTTAATATTCCACTTTAATTTCTCTCTTAGCCCTCCTCAATATAGCTTTGTTTTGTTTTATTTATTTATTTATTTTTCAAACAGAGTCTTGCTCTGTCACCCAGACTGGAGCTCAGTGGCATAATCTTGGCTCACTGCAACCTCTACCTCCCAGGCTCAAGTGTTTCTCTTGCCTCAGTATCCCGAGCAGCTTGGATTATAGGCCTGAGCCACTTCTACTGGCTACTTTTTTTGTATTTTTAGTAGAGATGGGGTTTTCCCATGTTGGCCAGGCTGGTCTCGAACTCTTAGCCTCAAGTGATCTGCCTGCCTTGGCCTCCCAAAGTGCTGGGATTACAGGCATAAGTCACCATGCCCAGCCTCTTTGCATTTTTTAAGGAAGTTGTTCTAGACATTATAATATGTATCTGACATGTATCCCAATTACTTAGAGTTGAAGATGAATTATTTCAGGTAAATCTTAGAAAACTCACAACAGAATAGTTTTTATTACCCTGAGGATAGATTCATACTTTCCTGATTTTTTTCTTTCTTTTGTACATAGTCTAATTTTGGATTAAAATCTGGATATTATAGGTAACACACTGTAGCAACTCTAGAGTCATCATATTGTTCAGAAGATTGGATTTTAGTTCTATGATTGCGTTACGTTGCCTAGAATCAATCTAGAAACTTTGCCCGCTACTCATTTCCCATGGTAGACAGCTGTTTATCATTCCAGCCCATTCTAATGTCTTCCTACTGTTGCTTTTAAAGCTTCTCCCCCTGTTGATTTCCTCCATGCTTGTTAAATTTGGGCAGAGATGAGGAACTAGGCAATGATTAGGATCATTCTCTCTGTTGTTTTCATGTTTCTATGAATTTTCCTAATTTTCAGCTGTTCTGTCAGGTTTGTCTTTAAACTTGGACACTTCAGGCTTTTTACCACCCAGGTTGCACATAATTGGAAAATTCAGTTAAAGAAAAAAAGAAAAGCATGTAGCTCACAAATTTGGATCCACGTTGCTCTAGCTCTAAGGAGCAGATTTCTCTCTGGTCTCTGCCTGCTTTTTCATAATGCTCCCCTCTGGTTTTCCAGCACATCAATAGTTTTGCCAAGGATTTTGGCAGTCTATGCTGTGAATTTGGGTATCACGGTTCCCCACACATTCATATAACTTCCTTCCTTTACTTGCTTCCTTAATTAAGCATCATAGAGTTTTATAACTGGAAAGTATCTTAGAAAGAATGTAGTCACCTCATTTTATATGGGAAGCACCAGGAGTCTCAAAAGGTAAAATGAATTGTCCAGGGTCACCGAGCCAGTTAATGGGTTGGATTCCTAATTCAGTCCTGATGAGTAGCTGTGATGCTGGCACCGGGAGCACTGTATGGTTCTAATGCAATTGGATTGTGCAAAAGATATGAAAGATACCATCCCAGTCCTCAGTACACTTGTATCTTTTTTAGAGAGATCAAATGTACACAAGAAAGCAAATCGTTAACAACTACAAAACCAACCTCACTTCTAGTTCAAAATAATATACTTACTAAACACAAACTTAAGAGTGATAAGGCTACGAGCTCAGGCAACCAACATAGAGTGCACTTGCCTTAGCACCCTAGGAAAGAAGACATTTTAATATATCAGAAATCCATGTAGTATTACTGTATTTCTTCAGACTACAAATGCATGATGCCAGTAAATGCATAATTCCTATGGCACTGGTAAGTGTCAGAAGGCTTCTGAAATTTTTCCACTTTGAAATTTTGGCAAATTAAATTTGTTTTAAGTGCTTGGCTTTCAGTGTCTCTCTCTAATATGAATCCACTACAAATCTCTTTTGATAGAATGTTGGGTTACATTTCCAGGCATATGAGATATAAGGACTAATTTTTAGGAACTTTCAGTTTCCTCTTCATCCCTGCATCTTTACATCTATTAATGGGAAAGGCATAACTTTATCTAGAGTATTCAGTGTATCATGCAAGCTCTTGTATGTGTATGAAGAATAGAAACTTTTTCTAATTATTTGTTCTATGTAGCCTTCTTTTTATAATGAAGTGACATAAGCATAAATTGTGGTTCTAAAACATGTGAATTGATGAATTAATCAAGAAGTGAATAAGTTAAATAATGATGATATAAATATTTAATTTTTGATTAATTTGTAGCATATAACATAATTTTATTTAATTCCAAGTTTATATTCAAGGCTAGTTGTTACTTTTACAGATATGTTCCCTTTAGTTTTTGTTTAAAGCCTTGGAATGGTTTATAATATGAATTGGGTGAAAGTAATAGCATATTATAAAAACAATCCCTTTCAAACTCTAGAAGCAATTAAAGCTGCATTCGTTAACCAATTTTTTTATCTGAATAAAAATCTTTCTGAATGAAGAATTTTATTTTGCAACACTCCTGCAAAATTCCTCCTTGTTTTTGGATAGACAGCAGGCAGGCAGCATTCTGTTGCCCTTGTCAAATGGTCAAATGTCTTTTGATTCACAGCAATGGAAGGAAACGACTTTACCACCTTCTTCCTCTGGAAAGAAGGGAAGGATGTTGAGGCTAGAAGCAGCGATGTATTGGGCTGATACACTGATTGAACCAAAAGCCTTGTTCAAAGTGTGATATTTTGGCAGGCAGAGAGTTGTAGGGAGTGTTACATAATGGGTTCTGCAAGTGGCCACAAACTTATTTAAGTAAACACTTACTGGAATTAATATTTATTGCCTGGGACATAAAGTGATTGCAAAATGCTTGCAAGAGCCTGAAATGATAAAGGCTTTCTGTATCCTGGGCCAGAAACTGGAAAAGAGAAGTTTGTTGATGGTGTTTATACCCAAATATTATTTGTAAGGATCAGAAAGCAACTATTATGGTTAAAAGTAATGTAGCTAAGATTTTTTTTTTCTTTTTTTTGCAGCGAGCAGTTAAAGTGAAAACAAGATCACGGAAAAGGAGATATATTTTGGTAGATCCAAGAATCTATGTTTGATAGAGTCTTCACAGAAAGAGTCGAAATTGACAACATGCTTATTGCTTTGGCTTTGGATGTTGGTTGGGAACATGGTTCTTGAATATCCACACTTCAAAGTAGATCTTACTTTTTGGAAGAGTAGAAAGCTCATTACGTTGGTTAATTTGAGAAGTAAGACAAGGGCTCAGAAAGGTACTAGTTATTAGTACCTTATACACTAGCCTGCCTGGCATTCTTACCATGACAGTGAATTGTCATGGTAAGAGTTGTGGTTTTAAACCTCTTTTCCCCAGATGTTACATGGAGTAATATATGTATCCACATACATATTAAAGTAGGAGGTAGATATTATATTGACTGGTGACTTGAGGACATGATACACAAAATAGGTAACGTTTGATGAAGCTTGAAATGAGCCAAGAAAGGACAAATCTGGATAACACACTGTAGCCTTGGTGATGAGAAAGGAGAAAGGAAAGATAATGAAGATGGGTATCATATTGCTTTGCCTTGAATTTGCAGAAAGAGATATTTGGATTATGATGTTACCTTAAAAAAGGCAGTTGATATTACTCAGTGAAAGTTCAGAAGCCAAGAAAACTATGTGTGTGTACATATATGTATATAATGTACATATGTTTATTTCTTTTTTTAAAAAATTCTTACCTACCTCTCTACTATAACAAAATTAATTTCATTCTTTTTTGTTGCATTTAAACTTTATCTTGGTAATGTTCATATTACAAATTTGCCTATATTGTTGGTATTATATTGTTACTATATAGATATATTTGTAAGCATAAATGCTTGGTATTCAAATGTTTAACTAGTAATATTCATATTACAAATTTGCATATATGTTTGGTATGATATTGTTACTATATAGATATGTTATATTTGTAAGCATCAATGCGTGGTATTCAAATGTTTAACAACTCTCCATTTTTTTCTCAAGTAACCCTCTGACAAAAGGCTGTATTTATATAAAACTGACAGATTTTTATGGTGGATCATTTTTCTTACATTAATTACATAGGTAGTATTATTTTAGTTGGAGGTCAAATAACATACTATCAATGACAATTTAGAGATAAATTGTTTGAAATCCTGATATGGAAGAGCTATAGAAATAACATGGGTGACCTCACGTTTTTAAGATAGCCTCTCTGCACCATATGGCTAGTCCCAAATGGAGATCAAGAAAGCAAGGTCATTTTTAATCTCTACATACATCTTGCTTTCCTGGTTTAACACTAATCATTCATTGTATTCTGCATATTGGAAGGGAGCAGATGAAGGATACTAAGAATTCACTTTGAAAACATGTACTCAATGTTTCATATCCAAAAACTCCCAGGGATTAAACAATCAGAAAACCCTACATCATTTGCATTTTAATGGATACAAATAAGAGTTGAAACATTTCTTTACACTTAAACTACCATGAACAAGCTTATATAGCTATTAGGAGTGAAAATGGGGAGGAGGAGGAAGAAGGGGACTCTGAAATTTAAGGAAAATTCATTTCTTTTACAGAGTTGGAGCTAGGCTGATTAAGTCAAGGTGCCTAACTCTGCTAGAGACACATTTTCCTAATGAAAAATACTGTAACTTCAGACTTTTCACATTTTCCATGAATAGATGTCATTACTCATTATCACATTTATCATTACTTGTAAAACAATGAGGTGGCAGCAGGGGGGGAAAGGACTAAAATAGAATTGAAAAAAAAATTGGTACTAGCTAAGGTAATTTAAATGAAGCTTTTTTTTTTCCAGAAGCAAAGGTGACCTCCATGATTACTCCACCATACCTTTGGGAAACTGACATAAGATAGTGGACAACTATAATGGAAAGAATAGTGACTACGGTTTCTCTCCACCCTCCTCTAATTCTGCATTAGAAATGAAAAAAAGCTTGACTGGTAAAATTCTGAAACAGACAATGAGCTATTTAAGTGATAATTACTGAATCTCATTTTTAGAAGCCCATTAACAGGTATCTCTTTAGTCATGAGAAAATTATTCATAAATATTAAATTGTGTGATCACATTGCAAGTTTCTTTCAAATTATAGAATCTGACTAATTTCACAGTAACTGTTTGCCATTAATTGGCTTTAAGATTTAATCAAGTAAAGACATCATTGTTTAATTCTAATTTGTAAAGCCAAAAAAAGTGTAACATTATTATCTTTAGTCAAACTTCTTCAAATGTTTATGCAAGGTAGAAATTGAAAACAACAGGTACTCCTGTGCTTACAGTTTCTCCAGTTCAAAGAACAAAATTCATCAATGGGAAGCTGCAGTGGATTGTAGAGTAAAATCTTGCTGCCCAACTAGAGAATAAAAAGAGTTTGACCAGACTTATAACAATGACATAATGGCCATTTTGTTGAGTTCTTAATGAGTTTAGTAGGTAGTGAAATGGGAAAGGTTCCCTTGTCCCCCTTGCAGGGTGTGTGGTGGGGGTGTAGCTTGCTTCTTCAGTGCCCCACTGCTCAAACTTCTAGGGGAGCATACAGATGGGCAGGTTGTGGGGCTCCAACCCCACGGCAGTGTCTAGGGGTGAATGTTTACAGCTCCTGAAGTGCCAGTGGGCGTGTGTTACAGGGTGCTCTGTTAGTTTGCCCTCTCTAGGCAGCTTGTGTTAACCAGCTCAGTTGGACTTTGTTGCAAGGATAGAAGACTTTCTGTATCTCCAGGTTCTTGCCTTGGTGTACCAGAAGAATCAATCACACATGGTCTTGGAGAATGAGTGCAAAGTTTTATTGAGTGCAGGTAGCTCTCTGCTGCTCTTCCACCAGTATGCTCTCCACAACCAGCCGCTTGTGTGTTCTTCCACTGATGTGTCCTCTCAATGTCCAGACGCTTCTGTCTCTGCCTTGCTAGGATCTTGGGCTTTTATAGACCTTGGATGGGGAGGTGGTGAGCCAGGGTGGTCTTGGGAAATGCAACATTTGGGCGTGAAGTCAGGAGTGCCTGTTCTCACCTAGGTCCGTGGGGGTAAAGCCCTAGCTAGGGACCATGCCTTCCTCTACCCAGCACTTCCCTTCCTCATTCTGTATCATTTAAAGAGACCACACTCCTCCCTTCCCAGCACTCCTGTATCAGTAGGAAGATAGAAGAAAACTCTAGATCACCATCAAGTTCAAGTCATTTCAGATTTTCAGTGAATATATGTTTGCTGTGTCCTTCAGGTACCAAGATGCAGGGAAATGATTAAAAGGCCCTGAGATATACAATACTGAATGGTAGGGAGGAGGAGGCCTTCTAGGTTGGAAAGTCCCGTAGCTGACTAGCTACTAAATGTTCTATCAGCTATTGATAAGACCGTGTTCAGAACATACGGAAATTGTAGGATATAATTTTTGTATGTTACTTGTCACCAGCTGTTCAATATTATGAATTATTCCTGAGACATTACAGAAGTTGAGAATGAATTGTGCCCATAAACAGAAAACATATTAACCTATACAATACACTCGTTTTCCTTTTAGAGACACGAATACCCCTAGCTCAAGGAGTCGATATGTATAAAATAGGCAACTAGGGGCATGCAAATATTGTGGAAATGGTGTTTCTGATTGGCACTGGCAGATTTATTATTCGAAATAATCCTGTTGGCAAAAAAAGGAAATTTTTTTTCCGTATCATAAAATCTGATTTCAAAAACTTGCTCCTTTTTGACTTTCTCTATAAGCTTGTAAGTCTGCATTCTTCTCTCATTTTTATATCCAGGCTCTATTGTAATTTATCTGTTGCTAACCAGTTTTCAATAAAATATATAATAAATAAGATTTTCGGTTTTTATTTTTCAATGATTCAGTTATTCATAAAGCTGATGGGAGATAGGAAATTAAAGTTTTCCGCAAGCCTTCTTATAAGACTGTGGTTGTGTCTGTAGTCTTATTTTTTTGATGACTGTGAACATTAATTAAGCTATAGCTATGCAGGTTGGAAGGTCTATTATGGTCTGAATATCTACAAATTTATATATTGAAATCCTAACCCCCAATATGATGATATTCAGATATTGGGCCTCTGGGAAGCAATCATATCATGAATTCAGAGCCCTCATAAATGAGATGATGTCCCTTAAAAAAAGAGGCCCAAGGGGGTTTGTTTGCCACTTCTGCCACATGAGGACTCATCTAGAATGTGCCCTCAATATTTAAATGGCTATACTGCAGGGATTCACAGTGGCACTGACATGCCAGCCCCCTGCCCCTTCAGCCCCCTCTGGACTTTGGGCACTGACAAGCATGGAAGGGAGGTCGAGGTGGGGATAAGGGCGGCTTGGCACAGGCCTGCAGGTGCCCCTCAGCACAAGCAGCCTGGGCGCCATGGGCTCTGTGGATGGCAGGTTAATGGCAGCAGGAGGCAGACAGGCTCCTGGCTGCAAAGGGGCAGGTCCCCAGTGAAACACTAGCTTCAGGCCAGGGATGACCCAAGAAGCCTGCGGGTCAGGATGTCAGTTCCATGGACCAGAATGAAAACTAATGGCGCTTTTTCAGGGCCTGCCCATAATCACCCATGGGCCAATCAGCATGCACTTCCTGTCCTCTGAAGCCCATACAAATCCTGGACTCGGCCAGACTCAGGAAGATGACAGGACAAACCTGCTTCTGGAGAGAAGCTACCCACTGTGGGTCTCCTCTCTACTGAGAGCTCAGCAGAAGACAGGATGACCTGCCTGCGTAGAGGAGGTACCCACTCCAGGGTCTCCTCTCTGCTGAGAGCTGCAGATTCATCAGACGACCTGCCTGAGGAGAGAAGCTACCAACTACAGGTCTCCTCTGAACTGTTCTGTTGCTCAATAAAGCACCTCTCTGCCTTGCTCACTTGTCCACATACCTCATTTTTCCTGGATGCGGGACAACAAGTCAAGACCTGCCAAATGGTGGGGCTGAAAGAGCTGTAACACAGGCAGTGCTGAAACATGCACCTCACTCGCCATATTGCAGGTGACAAGAAGGAGAGAAGAGCTGTGGCCCCTAGGGGAGCCCAGGCCTAGAAGCTCCCCGAGCCAGGGCAGTGACACCTTCTTTGGGGCTCTGTAGTTCCTGGTGTCTCCAAGCTTCCAGGCACCACTGTGTTTCCTGGTGTCAGCTGTGGCAGCTATTTGCAGTACACCTGGTCCAGCCATAGCCTTGCAGTGAGCAGGCACTCGTGCCAGTACCTGGAGCTGCCTGCCCTACCATAGCCAGAATATCTGGCTATGCACAGTGGCCAGACCCCACACTCTCTCACACACCCCTCACCACTCCATGCCTGGCTCACACTTGGCAGGTGGAGGATCCAGGTTGGTAGCATGATCCAAGCGCAGCCTGCCAGGCCAAGTGGGTGGAAGGAGCCCAGTGGGCCTGAGCAAAACTCAGGCAAAGGTGCCCCTGGCCACAGAGTTTACTGGCTGGAAATGTGACACCCCAAAGATCCTGTGACAGTGTGGTGATGCTTTCTTGCATTTTCTGAAACCCATCTTTTGCACCTCCAAACTAGAGTCTAAAAGCTGAATGTTTTATGCTGTAGACAATTTTCTGTAGCTTGAGGAAATTTCAGCCACTTTGGAGGTGGGGAGGAAGTCATGCACACAGGAGAGCTGAGAGGAAGTGGCATGAAATCTTTATTAGAACTCTGAGCTCTTCTGTCTCCTCTGCCCTATTCCAGGGTTCACTCCACCTAGTGGCAGATACTCTGGGGAAGGATTCTTTCTCTGGGTAACCCTGGGGGCTTTATTTCTATCAGAGATGTCTTGTAATTTATTTCCCCTAACTTCACCCACTTCGCCCCTGGAGCACTTTCCACTCGTGTTCAATCAAAATAAAAAGATGCCAACATTTATATGGCATTAGGGAGGATTGACTGGCTCTTTTCCAGGATGAGGGCATGGTTGGGAGCTTCTTCCTTTTCTTCTGGAAACATTTGTTGCTTTCTTTGGACTGGCTTATTAAATTACAGTATGTTATTCTCTTGTTCTGGTTTGGTGGTTGCTGTTGAACATTTTCTCATTGGGTTTTATTGCTGTCATTGTTGTTCTTTTTTGCTCGTTTTGTGAAATTTTATGGGAGAGAAATTAAATTTTTGGACCCACCATCTTAACATGGAAGCTTGTAAACAATATTTTACTGGCCACCTTTATTCATTACTTAGAAAAGAAACTCAATCTATCAAAACTATATTTCAGACATAGGATTATTTTGATGAAGTGAAATTTATTATACATACGGTGAGACCTAACTTGTGTTTTTAATATCCTTAAAGTGCCTCGATTGTGTGGTGATAGGAGCAATAAACATCAAATATAAATAAGTACTTGCACCTGACAAGTAATTTATAAATATTTTGCATGTACTATGACCGTACTTATTTATGTACAGAAAATACATAGTCAGACTATATCCACAAATAAAAATGCTGACCATATAAAGTGGTAATTCATAGTTATTACATGTCTCTTCTCTCTTGGTTTATTTTCCTCTACATCTTTTCCCATAATTATTTCCTTCAGTCATGGCTGTCTGTTCTTTTTTTTTTTTTTTGAGACAGAGTCTTACTCTGTCACCCATGCTGGAGTGCAATGGCAGGATCTTGGCCCACTGCAACCTCCGCCTCCCAGATTCAAGCGATTCTCCTGCCTCAGCCTCCCGAGTAACTGGGATTACAGGCACCTGCCACTGTACTCGGCTAATTTTTGTATTTTTTAGTAGGGATGGGATTTCACCATTTGGTTAGGCTGGTCTTGAACTCCAGCTGTCAGTTTTACTTTAAGGCAAAAAGCAAGGAAATGCAGCTTTTGAGTTTACGCCAGAAAGCTTTTTCTGCCTTGAAGAAAAATAATATTTCAAACTGTACACTACAGTTTTTAATAACCTGATGTTCTAAGTTAGCAACTGTTGTCTATTCTTGTTAAACTTTACATAAGCATATGTGAAATAAAAAAACTAAGAAGCTATTATCACAATATTATATGAAAAATAAATGCTCAAGAGAATTAATTCAGATGCCAACACTGCGTATAACCCATATTTAATTCTCCTCAGAGTTGCCATATAATCTGCTTATAGTTGAAAAATCCTTGAAATGTATAGATATTTCAACAAAAATTCAGTAGGACTCAAGAGAGATTATTTGATGGGATCAAGAGACAAAACTAGAGAGTACACACAAATGTACACAACACACACACACACACACACACACACACACACACACACACACACACACAGTAAGTTAGATGCCACAGTGGCCTAGAACATTAACCAACTACTTTAAAACAAGGTATTCAGGTGACTGTATGATATGGTTTGGCTTTGTCCCCACCCAAATCTCACCTCGAATTGTAGTTTCCATAATACCCAATGTGTTGTGGGAAGGACCCAGTGAAAGGTAATTGAATCATGGTTGAAGTTACCCCAAGCTGCTGTTCTTGTGGCAGTAAGTTCCCAGGAGAGCTGATGGTTTCATAGGTTTTATAAGGGACTTTTTCCTCTTTTGCTTGGCACTTCTCCTTCCTGCTGCCATGTGAATAAGTACATGTTTGCTCCCCCTTCTGCCATGATTGTAAGTTTCCTGAGGCCTCTCCAGCCATCCTGAACTGTGAGTCAATTAAACCTCTTTCCTTTGTAAATTATCCAGCCTTGAGTATGTCTTAATTAGCAACATGAGAACAGACTAACACACTGTAATACAGCAATGGCTTGTAGCTCTGTAAGTGACTGTCATCCTGCCCTGATTCCTCTCTCTAGCACAAAACAATGCCTATGTATTCTAATATCTCATCAGTTCTATAAAGGAGTGACTAATAAAAAATATCTTTAATTTATTCTTCTTGTTCCAAGAAGCAAAAGTGCTAAAGGTAAGTCTAATTTATTTCCAACATACATTAAACTGACAGTATGTGTAAACTACAAAAGGATCATAATTTTATTCTATCCTCGTTTGTTCATATCCAGAATTATTAATAAGAAAAATCAGGAAGCCTAGTAACTCTCGACACTATAATTCAGCTTATGAGAAATTTCTTTTTTTTTTAATTTACTTAACCAGTTACTTTTTATTGAATATTTTGGGTTTTCAACTTTTCACTCTTACGAACAATGCTAAAAATGAGCTGTCTTGTACGTAAATATTTGGTACCTTTTTCATAATTTCCTCAGGATAGAGTCCTAGAAGTGGAATTTCCAGGACAATAGGGCATGCATATTTGAAGACATCTAAGGCACCAAACTGCTTTTCAGAAAGATGGCACTCATTTATAGTACTATGGGTGGTAATTGAGATGACTGATACCTTGTTATTCCAAAGTTATTGCACTTGAACTTAAAGAACCATGGTTTGGGTTTACAATGAAGGAAGTGAGCAGCGTGCACTGTTCTATTACAGTGTTCTTCTGAAAAGACAGACCTGATAGGCCACTTCCGTGCTGAAAGTCTCCATTGATCTCTGCTGCCTGAGGAACCAAGTTTCTTTATATATATATATATATATATATATATATATTTTATTATACTTTAAGTTCTAGGGTACATGTGCACAACGTGCAGGTTTGTTACATATGTATACAAGTGCCATGTTGGTGTGCTGCACCCATTAACTCGTCGTTTACATTAGGTATATCTCCTAATGCTATCCCTCCCCCCTCCCCCCACCCCACAGAAATATCAATGAAGAGTCAATAGGTAATTCCAGATGCATATTATGTTGAGATGCATTTTTTACTATTTATAGGTCTAGAAGTCACTTGGATTAACGTTATTCTTAAATTTCCAAGATAGCTCCTTCTCAATTCATTCTCTTGGAACATCCTGAGTATATAACTAATATTCTTTAAGTGAAGCTATACAAAAAGATACACAATTTGATAAAGGTTTGTACTTTTTTCATCTTACTGTTAGAGTATTGCTATCCCAGTTTAGAATATGTTAGTTCCAGTGCCCAAGCCCTACCAGATCTGCAAATATTCATTTATAGAGGCATGTTTTTGTGTGACTCTTCTATATGTTAGCTGTGGCTGAAATATCCTTTGACATGATAACCTATGTCAGCTATAGCCACTACCCATGTAACCTCTCTGAAATCTTTCTCTATGGTTTAGTGACTCATGCAGTGTTTACCAAAATAGAGCAGTAGGACATATTAAACTTGGGCACCATACATTTTCACTAGAGAAAGTATTTGAATGCTCTGTAACTTCTGCCTCATAAGGCTACAGAAAGGCCCATCAGCCCACTCCACTCTGCCCCCACTACCATAAAGCTACAGATGTCTCATTATACACTGACCCAACACACTCTCCAAATTTTTTCACATTAATTCTGAATAACCAATTTGTAAATTCATGCAATTTAAGCAGGCAAAATAATTTGTTGATTCATGACCACCTTCTTGGTCCATTGGGCCAAGAATTAGAACAGCCGAATCCCACAGAAAAAAAGGGAATGACTAGTTGGATTATTTTTCTAAATGAGCAGCTACTTATGTAATTAGGTATTGCAGTGAATAGTCAATAAAATCATCTTTTGCATTATCTTATTCTATGAGGGCTGTGGACATTGACTACTAGAAAAGAAAATTATCTTGCATTTTGTTTAGCAAGGTGCGGTCAGTAAAATTTCCTACCACTTTAGTGGAAGTTCATTTGTTTTTCTGTCTAACTAAATAGTCATATTATTTCAGGAAGAAGCTTCTAGAGGCTATCTCCTTAATAGGATTTAAATATTGTTACACAGTATATGAAAGCCTCTCTAGTTTACTCAGTTTGTCACTGAGTGTATTTCTTTTTAATATTTTTATTAAAGTATAGCTTACATTAATTGTAATTGTATAGCTTGATGGAAATTTACGTAGTTTACACTAATGTAACCAACACCTTGATGAAGGTGTATAAATTTCCAGCATACCAGAAGTTATGCATTTTGCAATTTTTCTGAACTTCAGAGAATAATGGGTAATAATGGACTTTGCCCAACTCCTAAGCATTGTGAAGTCAAATAAAGTAAATTAAAATGCCATTGGGAAACTACCCAAAGAGAAAGCTTAGCATCAGTAGTAGTAAAAATTATGTAAGATTTCCCTTAACCTGGAGATCATTCTGTCATACTTTGTCCTTCCTATTGTATATAAACTCACAAAAACTGATGGCTTAGCTCTCAGCAGATTAAATATTTCAAAGTTAGTTTTTCAAAAGCAAATTTGAAAATAATGTTTAAGCAGTCAAAAGTATTTCCATGGCATGGTTCATTAATGTTTCATCTATACTTACTTAAGTGTAAGCAGTTTAAATTATGTAATTACTGCTTCTCCTTTACTCATGCCAAATTATATGTATGTTTGTATCTGTATTAAAAACCATTGCCAAACTATGTAATATGATCAGCATCTACTGGTGACAAACCAAGCAATAGGCTCGTATGGTTTATTCAGCTTAAAAGAAAAATAAAACAAAACAAAGCAAAACAAAGTAATTGTTGATATTTTCTTTAGGCGTTACTAGGATATTACAACAGGATTTTTTGTTTCTGGTTTTATTTTTCCTAAAAGTTAATTGTCAGCATTAACACATTTTTTTAACATTCTCTAAAGAGTACATACATAACCAGAAAAATCAGCAGATTTGAAACAATAGAAAAATGTACAATTTTTTCAATGATTGATGGATTTAGTTGGATTATTGGCATTAATTTTCTTTTTCTTTTTTTATGTCATATGAAGTATTTATTAGGCAGTTATACATATTGTTATGATAGGAGGAGTAATGTACATTGAGTATTATTGGCATTAATTTTCTACTCATATGTATTCAGTCTTTCACATATATAAATATACATGCCTACTATATTTTTTATATTTCTATTATTATGATATATTATTTTAACTCTCTGTAAGGACAAGTATCACTTTGACTGCAACAGAACTTTCACCTCTTTGTTGGGCTTTAGCTAATATTCCTAGGACAGTCACAAATATAGCTCCAGAGAGTTACGGGTAACTCCAAGAGATAAATTGTTGTGTCTGCAGCCCAAGCTAGGAAACAGGTTGCCCATGGTGAGATTTATTGACTTCAACTTTCGTTTTTTAAAGTAACTAAATTAAACTAACATTGACTCTGAGTGTCCTGAGACATTTAAAACAATGTATACGTTTAGGAAAGGATTATTGTTGTGACAATCGTAGTAAATGTGATGGTTTTGGAACTGAATAGTTTCATTGCTCTGGGGCTATCTTTGATAACTCAAGTAAAGAGAATAATATTTGCTGAAAAGTTATAGATAGGAATTTAGTGTCTATGAGAGTTGAGGGAGAGGTAGGAGCCGATTAATAGCATTAGTTTGAGTGGCATAGCCAGGATATTTGAAACATCCTCCTCAGAGTTCTTTTAATACTCTTCAGGCCTGACCTGAACACACAGTACTTGTCCATCTGCAAAAATGCAGATTGTTAATCTTTGCCGAACCCTTTCCAGTTACTGAAGAGAAACGTCCAAAAAGTATAGTGATGCCCCAATTATTTAAACAGATTGAAAATGATTTTGGAATTTAGACTTCCTAATATAATTATTTAAAATGTTAAAACAGATTATAATGTCATAGATAGACTATCAATCACTGTCACGGTCATTATGTTTAAAAAATCCTTATTGTGATAGAGAAGTATAATTAAGTGTTTACAGGTAAAACGTTCCAGTGATTGAGACTTGCTTTAAACATCGGTGTTTGGGGAATACATGAAATGAAACTGTCAAGATATTGGCACATGGGGCTCATTACTTATTGTCTCTACTTTTGAGTAGGTTGGACAAATTCCATAATAAAAATGTGAGGAAGTCAACGGTGATGATATGGATACTAGCACATTTGGGTTCTAGATAGAATGGAAACATTAACTAGTGGATAATCTCACAAGAGATGAATTATTTTGGTATATTGTGCTGTTTACATTTATGAAATAGGGAAATAGCAGCTAAAATGCCTTTCATAAGATCTCAGAGAGTTAGGTGGAGGACGCTGTCTTTCCCAGTGTTGATCAATACGTGTTGAGCAGCCTTACGTGTTGACAGAAGAGTGGACCCTGATCCTGCTAATGTAAATAAAGTCCATTGCAGTCCAGGGAGGAAAATATTCACACAAACAGATAATTACAATACAATGTCATAAATGCAAAGGAAGGCCATAGCATGTTTGAAGTGGTGATAACCACAGGAGCAATAGCATGAAGAACAGGAAATACATGCACTGCTGAAAAAGAAACAAGCAGTTGAGTGTTGCTAGAGTTTCAAGCGTAAGGTAGGAGGAAATGAGAATGATGGAGGCGGGGCAGGCAGAGATCTTTATTCTGCAGATGGTTCAGATAACATCAGAGTCAGGGAAGACAGAAGTCTGTGGCAGTCAACCAGGCGAGAGATGATGAGGACTTGAACTAGATTCAGATTAGTTTGAGTGGAACTTTCATGGGGAGAAGAGTAGGAAGGAAAGAGGATCTCAGATTAGGGTATTTTTGTAATAGTGGGTTACAACAGCATGTTAAGCGTTCCCTGCTTCTCTCTTCCTCCCCTCTCACATCCCCTTTTTTACCCTTTTCTTGTCCCTCTCTTACCTTTCTCTTTCTTTTGTTGCATCTTGGGCAAATATTTAATTAAAACAATTTTAAAAATAGTAATATATGCTAATGGAACAGAACTCAAAATACAAAAGACACATAATTTAAAATGTCTGTCTTCCTTTTCCCTTGCTTCTCAGCTGCCCAGTTCTCCTCCTTCAGTGGAACCAGCTATTGTTCCTTCCAAGGTTCTTGTGTATTGCTTCAAAGGTACTGCATGCACTTGCAATCACACATAACACACTTGCAAAGACTTTCAAAAATAACTTTCATGGAGACTTTGTGTACATACTTGACAAGTTAATTAGCATGCTAGCTGCACTAGATTAAAATTCTATTAATTAATTTGATGGGTCATTTGATTATATAGCTCTAAAAGGAAGCGCGGGCTTTTTCTTGAAGACAACAATGAACTCATCAAGGATATTCACATGAATAATCTTTGGAAAATGAAAAATATTAAATTAAACTATCTGAGCCCATCTTTTTCTAATGGATCTGAAGACTGTTAATCTAATATCTATCCAGAGTATCGATTAATCTTCATAAAACCTCAGTGAATACTCTTTTTTACTGTTAAAAAAATCTGCTCATGCAACAACATATTACCCTGCTGAAAGGTCTCTATCCTAACTGAGCAATAATTGAGACTCTAAATAAATTTGTTTTAGTTTTTTAAAAAATCAAAGAAAAATCCTTAACCTTTCTTCAGTGGTAGGTTGTGGCACATTCACATAGTGAAGCATTCCAGCTTTTATTTTCACCTTATGTACACTGCAGTGAAACTCTTACTGCAATAATTCACGGAAGAGCAGAATATATGATGCTTTCATAAATAAGTATTAGTGCATTAGTCTTGTCCCAGTCCAAGCCAGATTTTCCTGGCTGCTTATTTCCCCAGGTGGCCAGAATAATACAATCCCTGATATAAAAACTCAACGGCTTCAGATACATATCTGATCAGAAGTAACACTTTCATAATGTTTTTGCATTTCTGTTGGCGAAATATGGTGTAGTGTTTATATAACAGCCATAATAAAATAGCCACATGCATGATTAGAACAACTGTGTCTTAATATGTGGTTGTATTTTACTTTATAAAAAGGATTCCTTAGTAAGCACTTGCTCAAGGAGTAAGTCCTTCAAATACAGAAAAATTTAGACTAAAAATAATGATTATGGCATGTTTGAATGCCAGCTTTTTCCTAATATGATTTTCAGTACTTAGAAGCACGTTGACAGAATTAAAGAGAATATGAATTCCTAAAAATATTAAGAACACTATATCAAATTATACTTTTCCCCCAATAGGAAGCTAGCTAACATTCTCCAGGATGTCATAAGTCTCTTATATTTCAAGCAGATGCACTCCAATTTATTGAGTACCCAAATAATGTTTAATGTTATTTTACAAAATCAGTTTGTTTTTATATGTTGGGTCTGAAATTATGTTATTAAACATAATTTAAATGTTATTCTGAATTATTTAACAATACTCTCTGCATTAATTCTCTAGAATATGTTTATCTGTTTCATTCACTGTTGTATCCCAAAGATTTAGAACATAGTAAGTGCTAAATGATATTTTAAAAATGAACAAACACAGCATTAACTATAACCCATATTTCCATTAGAGTATCTTCTCAATCACCCATTGTACATCTTTTTACAACCTTGATTTTGCTCTTTGCTATTTCAAACTATATAGCATAGGATTAAAAAATAAAATTGAAAAAAATTTTGGCTTCATTAGCTCATTATATTCCAGCTGCAGGAAAGCTAGTATAGAAAAATATTAACATTTTAATGGTTTAATTATTTTCCATACTTCATTTTCCTAGTTCAAGGTGATGGTAAATATGGAAAAAGCTATGGATTCTAAGAAATAAATAAAATAGAAATAGAGATAGAGAGGACTAGACAGCTAGATCATGAGTCACAGGGGCCGAGACATTGGTACTGGGAGGGAGAATCTTGCTTATGTGTCATTAGTAGGCCTTTTAAAACAAGGTGCCCCACACTACTCCATGCATTTCATCATATGCTAATGAAGAGGTGCTTTAATTAGGAAGATAATAAGTGATTCAGAGGGTGAGAAAAGAAAGCAAGGATTCCAAACCATTGGAGCTAAACACATGAAGGGTCAGCTACCGAGTGAGAGAAGGCCTGTGGCACAGGGCAGAGAGCAAGTAAGCTGCATGACACTGCAATAGCAAGGAATGGAAGGCAAGGACAGCGTACTCAATGAGAACTCACACCCACAAGGGTTAGAATATCACAGGGCCATGCTGGGCCTCCACCCTGACCCATAGTATTAAGCCGATTTACCCTCTTTTTATTGTCAGAAGAAAAGCAGATTACCTCAAATTTTGGAATGAGTCACTAAAATAATCTTAAATTTATTATTCACACTATCGGTTTAGTCTTAAAATCTGTAATAGTTTTTTGACATTCCTTAGAGAATCAATGGTCTGTCATTTGATATAGGAGAAAAAACAATAGTCCTGCTCCTAAGGAAACTTTGCCAACACCTTGACTATCAGGACACTGATCATTAGTAAGAGCTGAGCTCGTTTAGAAGAAACAGATGAAAAATGGCATATAAATGTTACATATGACCATAAATCAACAATACAGCATATCTCCTAGGTCTCCTTTTTCATTCTGTTCTTACTCATGCTTTCTTCTCCCAGGCACCCAGAGAAACTATTTGGTGTAAGAAGAGAATACAATATTAAGGCATGATGAATACAAAGAAGATTTCTATTTTTAAGAGGGAGGTATTGACTTTCATCTGCATCTTGATTTAATTTTTGTTCTGGAAAACAAAGGTCTCCATAGGAATTAGTAGTGAACCTCTAGAAATACACTGGATGAAGACCGCTAAGCCAGTGCTACTCAAAATGTGATTCATAGCCTGATACCTGCTTCTGAACTGATACTGGATCGCAATAAGGTAAGTATAGAAATGAGAATAAACATTTAGAAATTTTCACAGTAATTTGGCAAAGTTTTTGTCTATTGAACTTAATCATAAAAAGTTGAGACATTTTATGAATGTCTTTTTCCATTTTTTTCAGGGAATTTTCTCTTGCATAAGTACTGGATTAGCACTTACCTATCTTTTGATTAGAAATATCAAAAATATCTTGCCAAAGACCTTCTTTTGAATACTTCTAAATATCTACAACTTTGCATATTATAAACTTCCATTTCTTTATGTTTTCTCTGCTATTTTACAAAGTAAACATACCTTAAATCTGGAATGCCTTTATATATTTTGGAAGGATTTTTAAAAATTCAGTCTTATGAAATTTAGAATTGAAACCATGCCTGTAAGGAACATTTTACTTTTGTATCAATAAACATTTACAGGTGATTGTGGATGGAGATAGTAGTAGAAGAACAGAGTCTGTCTGTACTACTCTTAGTAAACTACTAGGTTATAAATTAGGTCATTGACAAATATCGACTGACTATGCCAGGAAAAATTTCTGCACACTAAGTCATTAGAGGGATCATGTTAAGAGAAACAAATAAAACTGCAAATAATTGTGGACCAAGATCATTTTGTCAAATTGAAGTTGGACACAGGATTATGTGAGCTGAAGGAACATTTCAATAGCTTACAGTCGTAAGATGGAGGTGTGGGAATGGACACTGGTTATCAGCAAACATGAGACAACTTCAGTATCTACGGATCAACTGCCAAGGCCCACGTCCTCTGCCTGAGCTACATTCAGTCTCCAGAGACTGGGCAGCAGACCACCAGGAACTGCTAGAATATGTTTTTTGAAAACTTTGCATATTACCTGCCACCCTTGTTAGCTTTATAATTTAATTTAATTTAATTTTTTTATAATTGACATACAATAATTGTACTTATTTATGGAGTACATAGTGATATTTCAATACATATAATGTATAGTTATCAGTGTAATTAGCATATTCATCATCTTAAACATTTATTATTTCTTTACATTGGGAATACTCAGTGTCTTTATTCTAGCTATTTGAAACTATATAACATATTGCTATCATTCTCCTTCTAGTCACATTTCCCCTCTTCTTATTTTTGGCTGATTTTCCCCCTGACCACCTATACACTGCCTCAAATCCCCATTTGAAAGCATACAAAAAAATCCCTTTTTTCACCCTTGACACTTTATTGACCCTCTTCTTGATGTGACAGGAACCAGACTCTTCCATAAGAACATAATTTTGCATGTAGGAATTAGTTTTTTCCACATGTCCAATATGTCAGCCATCCACTTTTATCCCCAAGGCTGCTTTCACGGTGTTATTGCATTAGCATTATGTAAAAATCCCCACTAATTTGAGATTATTTCATCAGGTTATACTATTCTCTAGCCTTCATTTTTACTGTCACCTACTGATCCGGCCACTCACTCTCACAACTTCAATAAGTTAGAGTCTAACTCATTTTTTAATACTCTTAACTTCACGTCCTACTCCTTTAGCCACTCTCTTGCTTGAATACTTCATTTCCAGCAACGTTGCTGTCTTTAGTAACCCAATACTATGAGCACACCCAGATGTTGTCATCATTTGAAACTGTCCCACCTCTGAAACATTAACTCTGAATGCCCAGCTCTGACCACAGTTCTCTGCGAGCCCTCTCTTCCAGTTATTCTTGCCATTCCTCTCCTTGACTCCGTGGGGCTGGCATCCTGTGATCCCTCTATTAGTTCCATCTTGTCTTTTTCTTTCTTGTCTTGCTTTGATATCATGGACCCTCACTTCAATCATTCTTTTGGCAACTTTTAAATAACCTAGCTCCATTTCTGTTTTATCCATCCTCCTAGCAAATCCTCCATCCAAGTACCCTGTTTCTGTGTGTCTAACTTAGTTTCTGTTAGTGAAGAGGTTTACACAACTGTACACATTGATAACACTATTAATTTCTGGCCTTAACAATTTTCATATTTCCTTATTCAGCTTTCTCTTTTCAAATCTTTACTGTTTTCATCACTATTGCCTGATACACTTGCCTGTTTGTTCAGAGAGAAAATAGAACTCCAACTTCCTGCCACTGAATCCACAAACAGAAGCCCCAGAAAAGAGAAATTATTTCCCTGGCTGAAGGTTAAACCTTGCATCTGTACTCACATTGACATCTCCTGCTTTCCCAGGAGACCCTTTCCTTTGTCTCCACACTTTATTTTCCATCTTCTCCTTTTCGTCAGCCCATAAACATACTCAATCTTCTCACATTATAATAACACGTTCCCCAGCTTCACACCTTCTGCCAGCTTCTCTACTTTCTGACCACTCCTTCACAACTAAACCTTTAGAAAGACTTGTCTGTACTCACTGTCTCTAGTTCTCAGTTCTACTCACTCTTCAACCCCTTTCAATTTGGCTTTTGCTCTCAACACCCATAGAAACTGATCTTGCCAAAGGCATCAACGATTGTCTTGCTGCTAAGTCAGTGAAGCATTTCCTTTTTGATCTCCCTGCTCCTCTTTCCATTGTTGAGTACCCTTTTTGTTCCCTAATGCCACACTCTCTCTCCATCCCATCTAATTGCATTGAAATCAAAGATTCCTTTGTAGAATCCTGAAATTTTCGTATTTCCCAGGGTTCTATCTTAAATAGTCTCATTTCAATTTGCATAATTTCTAAGAATTGTCTCCCTCCATTCCTGTTGTGGTTTCAAAAATCCTCTATCTATCTGGTGAAGACTCCCCCAATTTGTCATCTCCTCTAAATGTTAGAACTGGAAATCCCTCTTCCCACAAGATGTCTCTTGCATGTTCAATAGATTCATCAAAGTCAACAGTCACATAACTGAGATCCTCTTTTTTATTAACCTGCTCCATTTCACCTCTTGCCCACTGGCAAAAACTGGAACTCTAAGTATCAGTCTTGACTGCTCCCTTTCTTCTGTGTTAAGATTCCTAGATATGGACTCATCCATCACCCTTTTCTTTTTTCCCTCTGTTACTCACCTAATTCAGTCCATCACGTTATTTTCAACAGCTTCATAAGGGGCCTTTCTTTCTCTATCTAGGTGTCTTAGTCGGCTTCTTGCTGCTACAACAGACTACTACAGACAGAGTAACTTACAAAAGCTAGAAGCTTATTTGACTCACAGTTCTGGAGGCTGGAAAGTCCAAGATCCAGGGGCCACATCTGGTGAGAACCTTCTTGCTGCATCATAAGATGGTGGAAGGCATCACATGGCAAGACAGCACACATGAGAGCAAGGGAGGGTGGGAGAGAGCAAGGGAGGGTGGGAGAGAGCAAGGGAGGGTGGGAGAGAGCAAGGGAGGGTGGGAAAGAGCAAGAGACAAATTGGGACAAATTCATCCTGTTTACCAGGAACACACTCTGTGATAACCACTCTCACAACAATGGCATTAGTCCATTCATGATGGTGGATCCCTCATGACCTAAACATCTCCCATTAGGCCTCACCTCCCAACACTGTTGCATTGAGGATTAGGTTTCCAACACATGGATTTTGGAGGGACAAACGTTCAAACGACAGTGCCTGTTCTCTCTTCAACTTATTCTTTACATTGCAGATCGTGACTTTTCTAAAACACTAGTGTTATGTCTGTGTTGCTGATATGCTTAAAAGTGTTCAATCACTCTTCATTACACTGAGGGTAAAGTCCAAATTCTTTAGCAGGCCTCTCGTGGTCCTTTCATCTTCTTAGTGCTCCTTGCTATTCTTCTTTTTACCTTTTAATGTTTCAAACACACTGCGCTTCACTTAGGTTTTCAAATATCTCATCTCATTTCTATTACCCCATCTTCCTCTGTCCTCAGGCCTTTGTATAGCCTTTTCCTTTTGTTTTGAATTTTACACACACGTGCACACACACACTACACTAGATGCTTTCCCTGGCTAAATTATATATACCATCCAAGTCTCACTTAGACATAATTTCCTCTGGGAAGACTTTCTCGATGCTATAACACTGTTTTGGGGATCCTCCTTTGTGCTTCCACAGCAATTAATATTTCATTTACGTAATACTTGTCACTTTCTATTATACTTTTCTACTTTTGCCTTTTTATCACCCATTAGCTTGTCAGCTCCATTAGAGCAAGAATTGTTTGTTTGTTTTGACTGTAATGGTCTTGGCACATAGTAAGTTCTAACAGTTATCCAATTCATGAATGCGGGAGGAAAAGAAAAGGATGATGGAGGCAGAATCAAGCTAATAGAGGCAAGAAACTAAAGAGATCAAAACTAGAAGTATAAGCCAAGGTCAGAAACTTAGCAAGTTAGAGTTGGAATAGTTAGGAGATGTACCTCTTTAGGGTCTCAGGTTGTAACAGGATCAGGACAAAAAGGCAAAATCCCTGTACCAAATACTTCTCTGCATTTGGGCATGTCTTTTTCATCGGGTTTGGTCCCATATGTCCTGTCTACATGCTTCCCCAAGGGGTCATTTCACAGTGTACAAGTCCACAGTTCTTCAAAATTTCATTTCTACTATTATTGACAATACCTGAGTTTTCACTGGGCTGCCTGGGATTATTACCTAGGCATGCTCCCTGCTCACTCGAAGCCTATACTCAGTCAAATGCAAAGCAGATACATCTAGTTGAGAAAAAATAAAATGAAAAGACTAAACAAAATTTATTTAATAAATATATACCAGGCAAATATGTTGTACCAAGTGACAAGTGAGAAGGAATCACAGGTGTTGCATGATTTAACCCACTCCTCTCAAAGTGCTACGTGACTCACATGAATCTACTAGCCTTCTCATAGTTGCTTCCCAAATCCTTCCTTCCTCAACCATCATTTATGATACCACATACATGCTAAAGCAAATCAAAATTCCTTAGGTAAACTAACTTGTCAGGATCCTGTCACCTGAGTCATCAACATGTGCAAAGGGATTTCTAAATTCTAATTTAGACTCAAACTTATCCACCCACAACACTGCTAAGTTCTAAGTTGTAGATAGAACAACCTCTTGCTTTGCAATTGATAGAACTAATAAAAGTATTTCTGAAACATCAAAATTAAAAACTGTGCTTCAAAGGTCATAATCAACACAGTGAAAATGCAGCCTATGGAATCAGAGAAAGTATTTGCAAATTATATACCTGATAAGGGGTTAATATCCAGATCATATGAAGAACTCCTGCAGTTAAACAACAACAGCAACAACAAAAAACAAATAACCGAATTTAAAAGTGGGCAAAGCAGACTTTGCCATTATGCAAAATATCCATGTAACAAAGCTGCACTTGTACCCCCTTGTTTTAGTTCATTTTCACATTGCTATAAAGAACTACCTGAGATTGGGTAAGTTATATTAAAAAAAAAAGAAGTTTAATTGGCTCATGGTTCTTGGGGCTGTACAGGAAGCATGGCTGGGGAGGCCTCAGGAGACTTACAATTATGGAAGAAAGTGAAGGGGAAACCTGCACATTCTATAGGACTAGAGAATGGAAAGAGAGAGAGCAAAGGGAGAAGTGCTACACATTTTCAAGCGACCGGATCTTATGAGAACTCACTCACTATCACAAGTACAGCAAGGGGAAAATCCACCCTCAAGATCCAATCGCCTCCCACCAAGTCCCTCCTCCAACACTGAGGATTACAATTCAACATGAGATTTGGGTGGGGACACAGAGCCAAACCACATCACCCCTAAATCTATAAAGATAAAAAATAAAAATAAAGACAGTAGCAACATGAAAAACAAATGGGCAAAGGACTTGAATAGCTATTATTTCGAAGAAGATATACAAATGGCTAAAAAGCATATGAAAATATGTTCAATGTCATTAGACAAAGGCAAACAAAACTGTGGTGACATAACACCTCATACCCATCAGGATGGCTACTTTAAAAAAAATAACAAGTATTGGTGAGGATGTGGAGAAATTGGAACACTTACACACTGTTGGTGGAAATGTAAAATGGTGCAGCTACTATGGAAAAGAGCATGGTGGTTGTTCAAAAAATTGAAAATAGAACTATAGGCCGGGCAGGGTGGCTCACGCCTTTAATCCCAGCACTTTGGGATGCCAAGGTGGGTGGATCACTTGAGGTCCAGGAGTTCAAGGCCAGCCCAGCCAACATGGTGAAACTCCATCTCTACTAAAAATAGAAGTTAGCCAGGCATGGTGGTGGGCACCTGTAGTCCTGGCTACTCGGGAGGCTAAGACAGGAGAATAGCTTGAACCTGGGAGACAGAGGTTGCAGTGATCATGCCACTGCAGTCTAGCTTGGGTGACAGAGCAAGACTCCATCTCAAAAAATAAAATAAAATAAAACTATGATATAATCCAGAAATTCCACTTTGGGATATATACCCAAAGGAAGTGAAAGCAGGAACTTGTACAAGTATTTGTACATCCATGTTCATAGTGGCATTATTCACAAGAACCAAAAGGTAGAAAGAACCAAGTTTCTGTTGATGTATCAATAAAAAAACAAAGTGTGGTACAATGGGATAGTATTCAGCTCCGACGTGTGCTACAACATGGATGAACTTTGAGGATATTATGCTAAGTAAAATATGCCAGTCACAAAAAGACAAATACTGTGTGATTCCACTTACATGAGTTACTCAGAGTACTCAAATTTATAGAGACAGAAAGTAGAATGGTGGTGGCCAGGGGCTGGGAGGAGTGAGGAATGGGGAGTTGTTTAATGGATGTAGAGTTTCAGTTTTGTGAGTGAAACAAGTTCTGGTGATTGGTTGCACAACGATGTGAATGTACTTAACACGACTGAACTGTACACTAACAAATGGTTAAAAATGGTGACTTTTACATAATATATGTGTTAACACAATTAAAATTTTTTAAAAGGTGAAAAAAAGTATTTCCAAAATGGTTGTAGCTGTGTATTTCTATTCAAGACCAACATTTCAGGTAGATATCAAGCAAATTTGTAGATATTAAAGAATTGCATGTAGATCTTGAGCAATGGATTAAACATTCCCTTGTCTCCACTCTATCAGAAAAAAACCATAAAATCTTTTGGAGAAAAAATTTGCTTTCTTCTTACTAAATTTTCTACTCCTCTTTTAATTGATTTATAATTTTCTTTAAAAACTAAAACAATATATCATTATAAATGATGCAAAACATCATAATATATTCCATTAGGATATTTAGAAAATAAATGTGGAATGTTATTTGGGGTGCATAGTGTAAAATCTTCCCTGTGGTATAGTCATAGTTACCTCGATTTTTTGTTTTCTAGAAAATATGGAATTTATTGTAATCAAACTTCAGAATGAATGAATGTGTGCACCAAGAACAATTACTAGGTATTGATTAGCCAACAATACAGGTAGAGTAAAAATTTTAAGTTCATTTAGTTGTCAGAGAACACCAATTATCTGAGAGTTTCATAAGTCTCATGTAGCTACTGTTTAGGGGCCCCTTATCTTAATTCTTGTGCTATTGAGTGTACCGTGGCAGGGAATCTCAAAGATGGCCCCAGTGATAACCTTCTAGGATTCATGTCCTTCTATAATCAATCCCCTTCCTTCTCTTGATTATGGGGCTTCTAATGAATAGAATATATCAGAAATGATGATATGTCACTTCCCTCATTAAGATACAAGAAGATTGTGTCTTCCATCTTGGATGCCTTTTTTCCTGTCTTTGTCTCTCTCTGTCTTTCTCTTTTTCCTTCTCTCTGTCTTCTCTTTCTTAGGAAAAACAAGCTATCAAGTTGTGAATAGCCCTATGGAGGAACCACATAACATGGCAGTAAAATCTGGAGATAACCTTGAGCATTTGAGGGCTGCCAAAGTGACACAAGTGAGCTTGGAAGTGGATCCTCCCCGATTTGAGAAGCTTATACCCCAGGCAGACATCTTTACTGAAACCTTTTGAGAGACATCAACCCAGGGGTATCCAGCTAAGCTGTGTCTAGATTTCTAGTTCACAGAAGCTATGCAATTATAAGTGTTTCTTTTTTAAAGCTGGTGAGTTTTGGGGGTAATATGTTAGACACTGCTGGATAGCTAATACATTCCCAAAAGTATGAAATATAATGACCTTTTAATAGTAATATTTTATATGTAATTTTTATACATTTTTAGGTAAGGCTACATACTAGAATTCTCTTTACTATAGTTTCTGTGCTCCTAGCTTGTCCCTAGTCTCATCCTATTCCCATAGTCTAGCTTTGATGTGTGGATCACGTGTATTCAGCCTGACTTGATCAACACATTTTTCTAGTCTTGTCTAACATCTTTTCAATGTTCTTAACAACCCCTGTCTTTTTTCTCTTCTCAATGTCAATTAGAATATACTTTTTTCCAGTCTGCCTCTAAATCTTTAGAAATATTAGAAAGAAGAATAGTATATATTTATGATCTATAGGTGTGCTTGAGTAAGTCATGAAGTTTAAAATGACAATTCCAATCGTTGGCTAGGTCTTCAAACGCTTCAATCAGCAACGGAGTGATCCTTTGGTTCCTGTTCAGAATCTGATGATTTCTCATCACCCAGAAAATCCACCACCAGTTAACAGAATTATACCAATAGCTTCTGTATTGTTCTTCTTCCTTCTGCTCTTACTTTTTGTTATGACCTTAATATGATGTTCCCTCAAAAATTCATCTTAAAACCCAGTCAACAAGGTGCTGGTATTAGAAGGTTGTGCTTCTGAGAGTGATTAGATCATAAGGGCTCCTCTCTCATGAATGAATTAGGGTCCTTTTAAAAAGCTTTGAGAGTGGGTTCTCTCCCTTCCATCTTCTGCCATGTGAAGACACAACATTTCTCCCCTCTGGAGAATGCAGCCCTCAGCAGAGAAACAAACCTGTCTTGATTTTGGACTTACCAGCCTCCAGAACTGAAAGAAGTAAATTTCTGTTCTTCATAAGTTACCCAGTCTCAGGTATTTTATTATAGCAGCACCAAATGAACTAAGACACTTTCCTTCAGTCTGTTCTCAACATAGAAGCCAGAATGATGCTGTTAAAACAAAGGTCAGGTTATGTTTCTCTTCTGTTCAAAACTCTGCTACAGCTTCTCATTGCACTGAGAATAAAAGACATTAGAGGGCCTCAAAGTGTCTTCTAGCCCCAATTTTGTAATCCTATACTCCATGAACTCCTTACCTACACCACAAGGGCTCACTTCATTACAGCCAGGCTGTGCTCATTGCTAGTCTCCCACTTTCCAAGGACACGGTCACTTTTGGGCACTTGCTCTAGATATTTCCACTCCTGGAATCTTGTTTCCCCAAGTATGTTCTTGGCTAACTTATTACTCCTCTTTCTAGCCTTTATTTACAATTTCTATTTACAGGGATTTACCTTGACCCCTACCAAATATAGTAACTCCTCATCCCCTGCTCCAGCCTTCAGAATTCACCAGTATTTATTAACTTCTAACATATTAAATAATATGCTTATTATTTATTGCATTTATGGCTTATTAACTGTCTCCTTCCACAAGACGATAAGTGCCATGATAAAAGGAATCTTTGTTTTGTTTACTGTTGTATCTCAATCACCTAGACCATTGCCAGGCACATAGTAGGTACTCAATAAATATTCATTGAACTGAACTGTGAACTGACTTGAATGGATGTGCCCTTTTAGCTCTCAAAATGTGAAAAGAAGTAACAAAGTATTAATGATAAGTAAGTAGAAATGCTGAAAAAGTTATAGTAATGGAAAACATTCTGGTAGCAGAACCCTTGTTTTCTCTCAAAATAACCTGATGCAGCATATTAACAAATAGGGACATGATTTATTCATCGCCATTTGCAACATCTTGATTGACAAAATTAAATTGTTTTGTAGATGCTTGATACACTCAGAGACCTCTTCAATTTCTTCACTGTTCTTTCCTTGCTAATTTTTCTTGTTTTCTTTAAAAAACTACAGGCAAGTAAGCAAAATTCTGCTCCTTTGGCAAATAATTGATCACTTGGCCTCTTGAACTCCTTCATGGACAGTATGTCTCTACAGGTTTACTAAGCATCCTGAGCTGGGTGATGGAATTAGAGAGGGATTTCTTACAGTAAACCATGAAAAGAAAGAAAAGAGTCAGTGCTGCTTATTTTGGCCACAGTGCAAGATGAAATAGAGAACCAGCAAAAGGCACTTTCCAACATCACTTTAAAGAGTATATATTTCACTCATCTTTGTCTCAAAGGAAAAAAATGCTTTCCAACTCACTCTTCCTGTTGCTGTTCATATTAGCATTAATATCAAATCACAGATTGGAAGTGGAAAGACATATTAGGTCTCTGATTTTAAATGAGAAAGTAAATTATGAAAATCAAAATCAAATTCCTTTGCACTTAATATTAGCTAAAACATGATTAAAACATCATAGCTCAATTCCTTTCTAAAATATTGTTATAATGAAGATTTATGTATCTAAATAAAAATATTTCCCCAACCTAGCTTGAGATCTAACAATTGTAAGTAACCACATCTAATACAACCAAATTCTAGAACAGGAGTTAGTCAATTCATTACTTTTTTTTGTAAATAAAGTTTTATTGGAACACATCTGTGTCCTTTCTTTTATGTGTTGTCTGTGGCTGCCTTTGTGCTACAAAAACAGAGTTGAATAGCTGTGCAGAGATTGGATGGCCTACAAAACAAAAATATGTACTATCTGGCCCATTACAGAAAAAAAATTGCTGACTCCTGTCCTAGAAAAATAAAACATTGGTGCAGTTCCTTATGTTTCATCACACAGAAGTTAATCTCCATGTTCACTTCTTTCATTTAAGAGGGAAGGAGAACTTGGAGACATTTCTGAGTTTCTGAGTCTGGAGAGATAGCTGGAATTGATTAGGAAAAGATAGAATTAACTACTGGCTCACATGAGTCTCTCAGGCTGGCCACACTCATGGCTTCCTATAATCCCTCAATTTTCTTCCAAGTCCTCTCACTAAGCGCCTGAAGCACACGAGTCTCCCTTGAGATGCTTACTTTTAACAGAAGTGTTTAAGTTTTCCATCATGACCTTGCCTTACCTCTCTCCTCTATCGATCTTCTCACTTTAGATTGTGGCTGGTTGCACGTGTCCACTGATTTGGCCTCAATGCATTCTACAGCTCTGGGAACTACTTTGTCCTCAGCTGCTGCATGCCCCAGTTCTGCCTCTTGGTCTTGATTGTCAAGCCTTAAACATGGGTAACAGTTTCCAACTTCTGATTCTTAGATTTCCGTCTCAGGCTACCCTTTATCTTCTGCTCCCTAATCAAATGAGAGACAGTGACTGATAAAGAATTTAGACAGCATTTTGAAATATTTAAAGAGTCATCTGCAAAAAATAGTAGGAACTATAATTACTTAGTCTTAAGGAGAGAAGGTGAATAGAAAATTACGGCTGCTAAATTCTTAAATTCCACAGCTGTATTTCATAGGAAGAAAGAAAATCATTGATTTGTATATCCATGGATACACAAATATGAAAAAACCTGATAAACATGAAGAGTGTGATAAAACAATAGAACAATATGTGCCAGGAATCACAGAATTTCCAGGATAGAAAAATTCCATAAACAAGGTAGATATCAATTTCTTTGGTTAGTCAGGTAGATATTGCAGTTTACATTCAGAGGCCAATATTGATCATCTATAAATATTTCTTCTAAGTGACTGAAGCAATAGCTCTTCTGTCATTTTTGTGAAGACGTGGTCAGAGACAAAGCAGAAAAGTCATGTTTTATAACATTTAAAGGAAACAACTATCATGAAAAAATATAGTTTTAAAGCATAAAATTGTACTTTTTTTTAGCTACTCAAACTAGTCTTCTTCTTTAAGGCATTTGATCTTCAAGTTGCACTAAGAAGGGGTTTCTTTATGCAAATATAAAAATAATTTTCTATATTTTATTCAAGTACTTTTATGGTTTTATATTTACATTCTAGCATTTAATCCATATGAGATTTATTATATTTTTGTTTTGAGATAGGAAGCTGAGTCTTCTTTTACCAAGTATGTATGTGGCTTTTCTGACCCCTTTGCTGAAGACTTCATCCTTATTCACTGATTTTTAAATACTGTCTTCAGAGCATCTCTAATTCCCTTTGTCATTCATGGAGTCTACATAAACCTACTTGACTGTATAAAACTTCATATGCCTCTAACACTCAGTTCACCTTAAGAGGTAGTATATTCTTACTATTTGTTATGGCAGGTCTTTATTCATCTTTTCGTTTGAAAGAATTCAGGCTACTGTCCTATCTATATTCTTGCTGATCAGCTTTATAATATATGTCATCCAGTTTTGTAAAATGTACACATTGCACACAGTGTTTATAAATACTCTGAAAAAAATTATTACAGGCAAAAATTAAACTGGTAAAGTTGGCTGTCTCAAGGAGGAGGAAGGAAAGGAGGGTCATGAAGTTTATGGGACCTGTTTACTGTGAGAATGGGGCTAATCATCTGACTCAGACTCAGGTGTCAAAGAAGGATTTTTAAGAGTAGTCATTTGTATCTGACTCAGACTCAGGTGTCAAAGAAGGCTTTTTAAGAGTAGTCATTTGTGGAATGGACAGTGCATTGGGCTTCTAAGAGTAGTCATTTGTATGGGATTTGAATACAAATAGAAATTGGTTGATGTGAAGAAGGAAAGGAGAATATTTAAAATAGAGGAAAAAATCATATGTAAAGTGGTGTGTCTTCAGAGGACTGACTGCTAACTATTCAGAATGGTTTTAGTTCTGGGGAGTGTCTGAAGATTTGGTGACATGTTTGGGCAAGAGTCATATTATAAACAGCAATTATACCTAAATCAGGAGCTTGAACTTTTTGTAACAGTTTGGATAAATTGCTTAAAATTTTAAACAAGGCATTGTCATGATCAGGTCTGCATCTTTAAAATGTCACTCTGATATCCAAGTGGAAGTTTGAAGGGAGTATCGAGGACATTAGAGAGAAGGCTACTGCAATATTCAACTGTGGATCGTGTAAACCTTGGTCTTCATGTGGACCGGTCTCTTTGTGATGCCATCATCAAATAAACACAACTTTTGCCCCTGAAAATGTTTAAATGCAACATAAGCCTTTATTAGAATTTCAGGAATAGTATTAGATCATCGTTCTTCACTCACCTTTCTATTTCTATCAAACCCTAGCACTACACTGAAAACTTTTTTCCACCCTCAGTTCAGGTGTAAACTTTTTTTAAAAAACTCATCTCCTTGTTTCCTGGATGTGTTCCTTCTCCCCACTACCTTTTTTCTCTTTCTTGGCCCTATTTCTAGTTATTTCTGATTTTCAATTCTTTTAAACCATTATCACTATGGGCACAGCAGATGGTTCTTAAGTGAATCCTGCAAAGGGGAGAAGGACACATAACAAATACTCATGCAGAAGTCATTTTTATCTTTGTTAAACAGGAAAAAGGTGATTAGAGCCAATTTTCACGTAGTAGTCATAAGGATGAAGAAGAAGGCATGGATGTGAAAGTAATATTGGAAGCAGAATGGCAGACATTGGGCCTTAGATGTGGAATGGCAGAAATTGGATATAGAGGAAAAAAATGAAGGTTGTCTAGAAATATCTGCCAGGTTTGTGGCTCAGAAAAGAGGATAATTGGGGGTACTACTGATTAAGTAAGACACTACTACAGGAAGAGAAGAGTTAGGGGAAATACATAATGCATCCTACCTTATAAAAACTGATTTTGAAGTGTTTTAGATTATCCAAGTGGAGCTTTCCAGAGACAGAGGGATAAATAAAACTAGACCTTAGAAGAGGAATGAACTTAATGTTCATCATTGTAAAGGTGTTAGTTGAACCAGAGAATAAGGTTTAGAGGTGTCAGGACAGAATGCCAGGTAAAGAATAAAATAGAAGGCAAGGCACTTCCAAAAGTCTGAAAAAATTAGAACAGAGAAGTGGGAAGAAAGTAAGGAAGTGGAAGAGGAAGATACTTCGTGCAGCAATGCCTAATATTACAGAGAAGTTGAGAAACACGTGAACTGAGCCTGGAAGTAGCCAGAAATATTTCCAAGAATAGTCCATTACATTTGACCCTATTAAGAGTTATTTCAATAGAAATAGGGACTGAAAGCTGATGGCTGATAAGGACTGGAATGTAGACTGCTCTTTCCATAATCTTGTCTATGAAGGAAAGAAATTGAGCTGAAATGGGGATCTAGAAGTACTAATAGGCTGACCTTAGGTTGCAGATAAAAGGAGTTGTGAGAATGAGCAACCTTGTTTGATGAGGACAAAATAGGAAGTCTCATCTCTTAAGGAGGAATCACGTTAAAGAGGTGACTATATAGAGGGAGAGCTGGGTGAAGTGCTTGAATGAACAGAGGAATTTATTTACAGGGAAATAAGGTTTCCAGAGAGTCGCTATGGAAAGAATTTAATGTAATTATCCAGCCATATATGATAACCAACTCTGTGCCCGGAGCTATGGGGTAATGGGGAAAGAAGACATTATTCTTGCCTCCAAGGAGCTAATGGTCCAATAGAGATGCTTATCTCATTAAGAAACATTTAGTAAGAACATACTGTGTGCTGGAAGATACTGTTCTAGGCACTGAGGATACAGCTGTGGTTACAGAACTATCTAGGCCCTTAGAGGGATTTGATTCTAGTGGCAGCAGACATGCAAAGAAATTCTTTAACCATTTATATCATAGCTGCTACCTCTCACAAATTGGCAATCGTCTCCATTTTTACACCCTATATGGAATGCAAAAATAGAGGGGATTGTCAGTTCTATGAGGTGCTGCAGCTAGGGGGAGGCAGGTGATGGTTCTTCTTTGCAGAGGTGATTGTGATGAGTCTTGAAAGGACAGTGGGTTTTCACCAGGTGGAGCATGTAGTCAGGGCAGGCAGATGGAACAATGAGAGCAAAAGCCAGGAGGTTGGCCGGGAAATTGAGTAGGAATGGAAGGATGAGTCATAGGAGAGGAAACTGAGTAGCATGAGGATGAGGATGTAAGAGACCAGATGACGATGGCAGTGTGCATTTTGGGTGGAGGCCAATGATGGCAGGAATGAAAAGTTCTGTAGGATTAAGTGGCTCCAAAGTTCTGAAAGACTCTGCTTAGAGTGGTGCTCACTCTGGCCAAAGAAAATCACTGATGAACGCTACAGTCTACAGCCCAGCCCAGTCAGCAGGCTTGGTCAGGCTTCCAGAATAAATGCCTGGGCAAAGTAGTCTGTGGCTCTGTTGGGCTAGGCCCAGCATGACTGGAAGGACAGAGGTGAAGTGGGATCACAGGCCCGATGGAAGCCAATGGGAAGTGAAAGTTCCACTGAGTCTCATGGATACACAGCTATGAGGAGGCATCTAGAGAGACATTCCCATAAGGACTCTGGCAGGCCACATCATCGCGAGCCAGGGATCCTCACTTCCCTGTGGAGTCCAGTTCTCATCCAAAATAAAAAAGGTCAGAATCAATGAAGCTTTAGGTCCTTTTTAGCTCTGAAATTCTAAGAATCTACTTGTGAGCATGATTTATTGAGACAAAGAAATGTGCTTTCCTTGTTTTTATTTTTCTAATTTTACTTTGGTACAACCCCTTTCTCAAAAAAAAAAAAACAACAAAAAAACGACTTTTTAGTAAAGTGCTCACCACATAATAGAAGTACAATTAATAAGTAATTAATTGATTCATTTCATCATGACAGGAAATTTTTATTCTTCACATTAAAAGTTAACCAGTCATTATAAGTTCCATGTGCAAATATTATGAATTGTATTTTCATTATAGCTTTTCTGCTTACATTTTACTTTAGTTGACTGACTACAAGTGCTTCCAAGTTTTTCTCTTTGAGATTTTCAGCTGGCAAATCAGCATGCAAATTAACCTGCATCCAAAAATCTGGGTCCCAAAAGTGGGAGGGTTGGGGATGAATAAATATCATTTTTATAGAGATTTTCAAATTTAAGAATATTCACTGCCATAAGTTATATCATTATTTTGTTCAAATAAATATTGGAGCATAAATCAAAAACTTGAAAGATGATAAAATGGCAGGCAAACTGGATTGTTTACATTGATCTACAGGTGTGTTCCAAATCTTTGAAATTTGGGAAGAATCTCTCTCAAGTTATTTTCATATCAGTAACTATTTAGGCGATTTTCCACTTCTATATTTCTAGCATTCTTTTGACTCAATGTAATTTTCCTTTTATTAATTTTACCCTCCTTCACACTGAGAGTCGGCTGTGATTTTGTCCATATACTCTTCACTCCTTTGTAGGTAATACACCTAGTGACCAAAAATGAACTCGAATCCTGACTCATGGGGCATCTCTGGACACTGTCTTCTGGTGGAAAACTCATCCACTGGCCCTTGATTGCACTGGCATTTGTCATTATCCTTGTTTACAGTCTTTGAGCCTGTTTTCAATCCATGCAACAGCATTTCTGTCCAAATCCATTTGTACGACTTTTTCAGTTTGGATTTCACAAGGCATTGGTATTACGGAAGGTCCGGGTATATGACATTTACACATTCCCTTCCTCCAGTCATTTTGTAATTAGATTCTTTTAAAAGTAGGGGTGGCATGAGTGAGGGAATATCAAGTTCCACCGGCGCAACCTGCCTGTGCTGTCGCACCACCTGGAGAAAACTCCCCTGTGGAAGTATCGACGCCGGCACAAGTTGAATACCCACGGTAAGCTGGAGGGGTTTTTAATGGAACTGAAATACCAGCTGCTCCTCACATTCCTCATGCCATATTGTCCAATGAAGCAGCCCCTTTTTCATCAGCTCTAGCCAGGAATCGTTGAGTCATTTTTGATCCACTTTTATCGTTTGATCAACGTTTGATCTATGGGATGAAGTCAAATTGTGAGTCCATCAGCTTCCCTCACTTGTGCTGTTTCCCTCTCTCTTTTATGCACTCAGTTATTAACACTCACTTCTAACCAGCTGTACCTCTGTAAAGCTTTATTCTTTGGCTTAAGGTAGTCACTTAGCTGTTGCAGGCTGTTTTAGTCAGCTGGTCAAGTTGACCCTGGTACCATGGGCACAGTCCGTCTTATTACTCAGGCACTTCATGTTCTTAAATGAAGTCGCCCTAAAACGTTCGCTTATATTGTCTCTCATCTTCAGTGGGCTGAGAGCAAGCACAGCTATCTGGATTTCATTGCATTTTTTTTTCTTTTTTAAGTCTGGAGACATTTAATCCCCAATAAAAGTCAGCAGAGCTTGTGTGGTTGAGGTAAAATGGTGAGCAGGGGAAGAGGCGGTGAAGTCCTTGCCTGTGCTGTCTAGGAGCATTCTTATCTTAATACTTCTGTAGAGTCTCGTGCTATTTTCAAACAAAGACAATTTTAGCGTAGTTCCCTAAATTTTGCCCCCACCCCTTTTTTGGCAAATCACCCTGATGCAAAACTTTCAAAAGGCTAAAAAAAAAAATACTGACAACAAATTATTTTAAGTGGTATGTTCAACTGCTGTATATACAAGAATGTGTCTCTAGTCTCTCCTTCTCCAATGAAATTAGCCAATAGTTTTAATTTTTCCTCATTTTCTAAAGTGTCTTACTCTTCTCTGACTGTTTGAACTTTGCACTGTGCAGCTTTCTCAAATCTCTGCACCAAAAATGAATTTTATAATACTTGACCTTTTAATCTAGCAAATCAGACCCTTTTGTAATTAAATTAAACTTTTCATAGGATGAACCGAACTATCAAATGTCATCTTATCTTTAGCAGCAGAAGCTGGTGCAGAAACATCAGACACTGTAGACAATAAAGAATCAAAACAAATCATTAACACCAGTCTAAATGCCTTTAGACTGTTTTACAATGTCTTCATGCTTATCTGTTGAAAATAAGCTGTCAAAAACTATGTTGCTGTCTGTTCAAAGAATACAAAGTAATACACTAAGTATATTTGCCTTGAAGCTGTCTGGAGCAGCTTTGAAAAAGATTAGCAACTTAGTATGGACATATGAGTGCTGAGGCGAATGGAATTGCCATTTTGGGGACAAGAAGCACTAAATGTAGATGTGCTATATTGTGCTTATAAGGTTGCTCTTTGCTAATAAAAGCTAATGGAAAATGAGAAAGAATCAATTATTGATAGAATATATGGAATGAAAATAAACATTAGAAGATAGGGGCTAAACTGCCATTAAACATTTAGATATATTTGAAATCCTTCTTAACATTTTAAAACACATTTATACTTATAATTAAAAATTCTCTCAAAAATCTATGAATAATAAACAAGTGAAGTTCAGTCATAATTTTCAAACTTCAAAAATAACCGCTGTCTTATTCCAGGCTCCAAAAATATTTAAGCAGATCTAATAAAACCAGCAAGATATCTGAATAAAATTTGCCGCATCTTATCACCTTCATGATCTGTGAGGATCTATTTTCTGAGTAACCAAGCTGCTAAGTTTTTTTTTTTTCATTTTTCATTTTTATTTTTTAGAGACAGGGTCTCTCTGTGTTGCCCGGGTTGAAGTGCACTGGCATGATCATGGCTCACTGTGGCTTTGACCTTCTGGGCTTGAGTGATCCTCCTGCCTCAGCCTCCCAAGTAGCTAGAACTAGAAGCATACACCACCACACCCAGCTAATTTTTTATTTATTTATTTAGGGAGGAGGTGGAGTCTCACTATGTTGCCCAAGCTGGGCTGGAACCCCTGGCCTCAAGTGATCCTCCTGCCTTAGCCTCCCAAATTGTTGGGATAATGGGCCTGAATACAGGCATGAACCACCACACCTGACTGCATATTTGTTACAGGCAGATAAATATATTCTTCTGTGAGGTCAAGAAGAAGCTGATGATGCCCTGTTTCTATGAACAGTAAAGGAAAGAGATGTTGTATACAAAGCACTTAACACTGGGCTTGGCATCTAGTAAGTGCTCAATAAATGCCTTTCCCATTAAATTTCCCATTAAATAAACCTATTCAGCCAAAGTGTGATCAGATACTGTTTTAATACTTGGAGACTGGTTTGACAGCTACAAAATAAGATGTTCGCTAGGTAGGTATCTGCCTTTTCAAAGTTTAGGAGAACAGAGAAATGCTCTGGTAAAGCTAATGCAGGTGGTGGTTACACCTTGTCTCTAAAGACAAGAATGGAGAAGACTTTGCAGTTATGTAGGCCAAAACATCTGTTTTCTAATCCAGGCCGCAAGAGATACAGGGCTTCAGGTCTCTCTGAGATTCAGATCTCTCATCTGAAAAATCTGAATAACACTGCCTACTTCACAGATTTGTCGTGAGCATCAAATGAAATCATGTTTGTAAAACGTGTATCAAATTGGCTAGTTTATAGCAGGTGTTCATTAAATATCTTTAACAGATTAAGTGTTCTTTTCCTTTTCTTTGAGGGAGTGAGTTGGCAAGAGCAAGGTAGGGTGTCAAGGTGCTAGCTGAGCAGGCAGCAACAACAATTACGTGGACCGAACCAACACAACTGGGGATGGTAAAGTCCATGGCAGAATTGGCATGGGGCAGCCTGTATCCCACTCTAGACCTACCATGAGTTCAGGTTAACAGCAACAAAATTCATGTCAAATTACTTCCTGTTGAGCCTGCCTTGTCCTTCTAGGGTCTGCATGGAGTATCAATTAGTGGTACTCAAACACTAGTATAAGTATCAGAATCACCCAGGGAGCTTGGTAAGAATACAAAGGCCCATATCCTATCCCTCTTCTACAATTCAGGGCATCTGTGTTCTTTAATAGTTCTCCAGATGATTCTGATATTCTTCTGCGTTTGTAAACAACTGGCATAGGTAATATAGTTGCAGCAGACATGGCTGAGGTCACTTCTCTGGCTCCAGCCACACCTGGAGTAGACAGTTCCAGTGCACTCTCCAGTTTTCTGACAGCCATGTCTTTGACTTCTGCCCTAGTTCTCTTTTGATGCCAAAGACTGTGGCCAGAGTGAGCTTCAGCAGAACAATGTTTGACCAATGGGGAATATAAGCCATGGATCAATGCTTCCTATCCACCCTCTGGTAGATAGTTTTGGGAGGCATTGTGTGGACCCTCAAAAGGTCGCAGTAGAATAATTCACCATTCTCCTTAGCAGCAGTCTGGAAAACATACTCATATTGGATTTTTATACTCAATATGAGATTATATATTCATATTGGATTCCTCCCCGCCCCCCACCCCATCCCCGTATTCATCCCACACTTCCTGGAAACTCGCTTCTATTTCCTAGAGCCACCTCCCAAGTGAACTCCTGCACACAAGCCCTTACCTCCGGTGCTGCTTTGGGGAAACCACAACCTAAGGCAATGATACAGTGGCTGAAAACGTGTCTGGGACTGAGCAGAACATTGAGCTTCCACCAGGAAGCTTCTATTGCATGCAATGCAATGACAGAGCAAATTAAAAATAAATAAAGCTCCGAAGGGCAAGGGAGTTTTTGTTCAGAACTATAGCAAGTGGCACACTGTGGAAAAGGGAGGCATGCACAAAACTGGACCAGGTGTGTATGGTCTGTTTGAGTGGACAATGGTTCAGGCCCTGGATTCTCTTACACAGATGCCAACAAGAACAAAGGTAGTGCCTGAGAACACTGATAGAATATTTGATGTGTCCAAAAAGACACATCCTTGGAACAAAAATGATCTTCGCTGGTGTGCAGTAAAGAATTAATTTTGTCCAAAGAAAGATTTGGCCTTTTCCCTGGGCTCCTGGGAGGTAAATCTCTAAGACCTTGGAATGTCCTTGCCCTATATGAGTTTCTTTGTTTTCCGGGAGGCCTTGGGCCACACCAGATTGTCTGTGCTAACAATGGAACAACATGTTATTTATTCTTGGGCAACATGTTATCGTTTTGACCTCTGGAGGGACTGGAGACTATGATCAGCCGTGTGGTAAGTCATGTCAATGTGACCAATCCCCCATAAAACTCAGGACACTAAAACTTAGGTGAGCATCTCTAGTTGGTGAGACTCCATGTGTACTGTCACTCATCCTTTCTGGGAGAAATAGGCACAGTCTGCACCACTTCACTGGGCGAGGACAACTACAAGTTGCATGTTTTGTTGTCTCCCAGATCTGCCTTATGTGACTCTTCCTTCTATTAATTTTAATCTGTATTCTTTTGCTGTCATAACGTACAACTGTGAATATAAGTGAATATAATGACTTTTCTGAGTTTCTGTGAATACCTCTATCAAACTAGCAAGTACATGCATAATCTTGGAGTTTCCTGAATTTGCAGTTGGTATCAGAAGTGAGGATGGTCATGGGGACTACAGAACTTTTCAGCTTGAACTTATAAGGGAGAGAGTGCAAACTTGATAGCAGATCTCAAAACAAACAAACAAACAAAAAAACCGACTAATGAATAATAGTAAGCCACTGCTTTACTTATTACAAAAGACAAATGCCTGATAACTGTTTAAAAGCAGGTGCTATATTTCAATTAATCTGATAAACCAGAATTCAGATCATTAATGGCTGATAGAATATTCTTGTTGAACAGTCCTGATTTAAATAAAATTGGCTGGTCGTTAAATGAATGTGATCATACTTTTTGAATTTTGATAGTAATTCAGGTCCAGCAAATATTATCACAATTTCCTCTTCTAAAGGCATAATTGGAATTGAGGCTAACCTGGATTAGTTAGGTCCAACTTTTCACAAACCTGCTGATTGCCATCTCATAACTAGAGAAGATTGGTTTTCTATTTAGATTTATATAACTGGTTATATGAATATACTTTAATATGATAGTGAAATTCCTTCACTATCTTATAAAGTAGAGTAAGACTCAACTGTATTTGAATTTGTGTTTACCAGTCCATCTAAATGCAGAGGGTGAAGATTTGATTGCCATGCCCATTTTATTTTATTTTATTTTATTTTTTTATTTTATTTGGTATGTTCTATGTCAATTTCACAAAAATTTCTTGCATCTAAATTGTTGTTTTTTACATAGTTTATATATAATATCAAAAAATATTTAACACTTTTTACATTTTATAGATAATCTACAAGATCTGATGCTTTTAAAGGTCAAAATGACAAGAAGTAGTAGCAAGTTAGAATTCACTTTTGAATTGTTTACTATTACACTATGTTGTAATTCAGGCTTATGCTTACGTAGTTGTTAAAAAACAAATAAAATTGTAGAAATGCCATATATACATGATTAGTAATGAGGGTTTTACAAACTCATTAGAATGTAGAGATATACCATCAGCACAGACTTGTAAGTGATGTCATCATAAGGCTTTAGTTAATTTTTTTTTAATTTTTAAAAAACAAAAAAACATTCTTGGTGTGGTAGTTCCTAAGATGGCTTCCAATGAGCTCTGTTTCCTGATATTCACATCTTTGTTTGATTTCTTCCCACTGAGTGTGAGTTGGAGTTAATAACTTGCTTCTAAGCGATGCCACTTCAAGATGAGGTTGTAAAAGTCAGTGACTTCTATTTTGCTCACATTCTGGGGCTGTCTTGTTGGCTCATTCTGGAAGCCAGCTGCCATGTTCTGAGCCACCCCATGGAGAGCGCACAAGGGCAGCCTCCAGGCAACAGCCTGCAAGGAATTGAGGCCTTCACTCCAATAGCCAGCGAGGAACAGAATCCTGCCAACAACTATATGGGCTTGGAAGCGGATCCACTCTCAATAGAGCACTGGGGTGTCTGTGATTTTCTCCTAGTAAGCAACTCAGAGCCAGAGGACCCAGAGAAGCTACAAGGAATTGTGAAATAGTAAATGCTATTGTGTTAAGCCACTAAGTTTTGGAAGAATCTGTTATGCAGCAATAGATAATATATCTAGGCTTAAATCTCAGCTTCATTCCTTTGGAGTAGTATGATTGTTTATAGGTTATTTAAGCTTTTTATGCCTTCATTGAATTATTTGTAAGCTTTGGGAAAAGAGTAGTACCTAACTTATAAGGATATTGTAAGAACCAGTAAAATATATTAATCCCTGGGAGGACAAAATAGAAGAAGCGCAATGCATGTTCATTTTCATTCACACTGTCTCAGGAACCGTATGGAATTACAGTGACTGCTACTTGCAAGGTGATTGGCAATGGGGTCTTCCTAGCTGCGACAGAGTCACTTCTTCAGTGATGCCATCTAATGAGACTATCAATTGGATCTGATATTATCCAAATGATTAATTCAGATAATTTGGGGGAAAAAAGATATGTTGAAATTGAGTACTCTGTTTTCTATTTTGCACCAATGATTTAAAGAATAATTAGAAAACCAAATATTTAAATATTTAGCACCAAAATATTTAAAGTATAATTGTGACATCTGATAGACATATTAAGCTTTTAAGATGTTGGCGTCTCATTTTGAATATAGGCTGAAGTCAGAGGTCAATATTTGTGGTAATTAGAAAATGTATATAAAGGAACTTAATATTGTCTCGTTCTTGTTAGTTTTGCATTTTGGACTATTTAAGTATCCCAGAGTTGTGAATTAGGATTTATGTTTGTCACAAAAGCAAATGAAATGAACTCAGTGAATTTATCAGATTATCATCTTACAACACATTAATTAAATATTACCTATTACATATTTGTGTCTATAATTACTATCCAGTAATTATTAAACCAAGTCTGGTATTCTTGCAAATCAAACTATACAATCCAAGTAAATTTTTACCTTCAAATCTTTTTTCTGGCCATTTGTCTTTTTCTTTTAATCATACATTTTCTTTGGAGTTGTTAAAAGAGCAAAGTCATACATTTGAGTAAGTGCAGATGGCCAAGATTAAGAGAACATTCAGGCTAGGGTCCCTCCAACATAATTTAATTTAGGGGTTCGAGAGTTCCAGAAAGCTTTCCGCTGGGGTAGAAAGGCATTTTAGGAGGATGTGAGTGACTGGCAGCCTTGCCGAAGTAATTTGTACTCTCTTTCCAGCCAACTGCAATAACATCAACTTCAAGTGATAAGGATACTGCTAAATTTGCTTTAATTAATGTCAGGTTCCTGAGTAATAAATCACTATTAATTGTTGAGTTAGTTTTTTGGAAATGGCCTAGTCTTTTTGGCTGTTGCTGATATTTGGCTGGGAAAGTCTTCCACTTGTGGAGGCCCTACCTGCTCAATCATTTACTTTACTGTTCTTAGCTTTTCAAGGTAAGAATTTCATCACGGTTGAAGGTCCATGAAATTACTCTCATTTTATTTTGCAATTTTCCCAAAGAGTAGAATTTCATAACCTAATGTGGAATTCAAAAAGGGAAAACATCTATATGATTCTACTCTTCTAATCCCGAAGAGTAGAATTTCATAACCTAATGTGGAATTCGAAAAAGGAAAACATCTATATGATAAAAAATAACTGAACTTCTGTCTTCATTTTTCAATATTTTCTGGAGATGCCAGGATACACAAAACCTGTATTTTTTTCCTCTCTTCTCCCTATAATTTAGAGATGCATTTCTGAGTTGCGTAATTTCTAAAAAAGAATGTGTGTGCGTGCGCACATGCGTGTGTGTACTTGTGTATGTGTGCGTGTGTGTGTGCACATGGGTGTGTGCATGTGTGTGCGTGTGTGTGCATGCATGCACGTGTGCCTGTGTGTGTGCACGCATGCATGTGTGCATGTGTGTGTGTGCATGTGTGTGTAAGTTCTCCTAGCTATTTGGTCTATCCTTTAATTCAACTTATTTGAGCTGGTTGGTCTCATCTAGTCTAACCTTGCAAAGAATCCCCTTCTCAACCAAGGATCCATCTTGTGCAATAGCTTCTTGCTTCTGAGGCTTCCTAGAGCTCTATTTTCAGTTCAGTTTGGATTTGTACTTCTTGCTTCCACTGGGTGACTTTATTCTTTGTAGTGTACACTGTCACATGCATGCAGGAAATATGCATAGGTAAGTTCTAGTCTGGGCTGATCCTACAGATGTTTGATATGTTGTATAATTATGCCTCCTTGATATGTAACCATAGGCCATTTCAAATTCTGTTAAATTTGAAATATACCAAGTAGCATTATTGATTAGTTAATCCATGGACGTCATAAATTCTGAACTCTCTAATTGGCATATCTTGTATTGGTCCTTCAGATTCTCAGAGAAATGTGTCTGAACCAGGGTAAGAAAGGAACGACTTTCTTAATGCATTACATTGCAATTCAGTGAATATGCTAAGCTACCACATTAGGAACCTGGCCAAGCTCTTTAGTCAATTTTCAATTAATTTTAAGTGGGGGGAGGGGCAAAGGGTGCTGAAAAAGAAATGGGCTGAGAATTAGAGAGCCTGACACTGACATCTGACACACAGACAATTTACTGAACCTCATTTTCACATCCATTAATTCAGTGAGAGCTGGATGGTTGGGCTGGGGAGTTCCTCATGTCCTTTCCACTGCTAACTTTCTATGAATAATTCTTAATGTCCACCTGTAACCAGTCCATTGCTTATCAATTTCTTTATTTCACAGGGAGTAGGAGCAAAGTAAGGTATTAAAACTCGGATGGTCGCTTTTTTTTGTTGTTCTTACAACTTCTGGCATATAAGTTTAGGTTTGAAAGAAGAATTAAACCATTTATAAAAACAGAGAAGGAAATTATCTGTAGATTTGTGAACATACACAGCAGCTTCTCATTTAGCATATAAAATTTAGAACTGGATTTTTAAAAAATAGAATCTTTGCTAAACAAATGCATATTTTTCCTTCAACTTTTCTTTGTCTACAAAAATTTCTGAATACTAGTCCCCCCAATCGTCACTTATAGTTCTTATGAAGCAACTAGCTTCTTAAAAGCTTTGAGTTTACTCATCTCTCAACAGTGATTATAAGAGCCTCATTTGCACTCAATCAAAAAGTATGCCTATTTCAATGTCTTGTTATACTTCAATGATTTTCTAGCTTCACCTCAGCAGTGATTTTGCAGGATAAGAGTGGAAACCACTGGAAAATAGAAGACTGAGGAGAATTGTGTAGCATTGTATAAGATATCATAGGTATGGGTTGTTTTAATGGACTCCTCTTTACCCCATTAGTGAGGAAGGGATTTCCACGCTAGGGCTAAGGTGATGGCCATATACACAATACCTGGTGCTGGACAGATGGGATAGACAGCAATTTATTAGTCACATATACTCACAGCCCAGGAGAGGAGGACACTGCATGCCAGGGAGTATATCACCAGGAACAGAGTGAACAACCAGGGGCTGTGGGAGCAGGCTTTGTAGTATCAAGAGGGCATGATGTCCTGGTTCCCACAAGACGACGTGATTGGCTTGTTTGAATAAATCCATAGGCTAGCTGGGAACTGAAACCTACTCCCCAGTAATAGGCAGAAATTGTGCCTGGTCACCTCACTAAGGAGAGTTATTCAGTTAGGGAGCTTTATTCTCACAAGCAAAGTGAGGAGGGGAACTTGCAGTTAGACCATTTGAGACCCTCCATTCTTAGCAGATGTCAAGCAGAAAATAATATTGAATTTTAGTTTTAGTTCTAACGACACATGGATATATGAAGTTATATATTTTTTAAAAAATTATCTAAAGCAAAATTAAGAAAATTAAGAGGATCATATTTAAATAAAATATGGGAAACAATTATTGGTGAGAAATAAAGACTAATTTTTTTTGGAATAATATGTCAGAAGATGTATTCAAGCTTTAATAAATAACATCAAAATCCTGGAGAAAATGTTTTGTTTGGATAGAAAATGGGTGAATTTTAGGATCTTCCAGTTTTAAGCTTTTATCGTTTGTTATCACCTGATTGATAGTTTGTCTTTCTCAGGGATTTCATTAATAAATACCTTTTCCTGGTTTTAATTTCCCCTTTTGTTCTAAAGTGTCTCTGCATAGGTAATCTAAGCTCTTTCTGCATCTTACAAGATTGAGGTTGGCTTTTCCGGTATTTACTTTGCTTGGCTTTCACAGAGCAAATTTGAATTTATGATTTTAGGTTTGCTCAGCTCTTTTGTATATAAGAAAATGCTCTGCAAACAACAATTCAATAGACTAATTTTTATGTAATTTATAAATTGCAACACATTTTTAATGAGAAGAAACTATTCAGAGGAATAGTATTAAGGATGAACCTAACACTATTGAAAGGCTATTTTTCAATAAATGCTAGTGTAGTTTACAATCTTTTATGGTAGAGATGTATTTACCATAACCAACTCCTTCAATTTTCCTGGTACTTGTTTTGGCACTGAAAATATCGCATCCTAGGAAGCCTGTGAATCCTGAGAAAACCAAGACGGTTGGTCACTCTAGTTGTATTCCCATTAGAACTTATATTTCAGCAGGTCAGAAATAGATACAAGGTGACTGGCATATATCTTTTTAAAGTATTGTATTTCTTGCTATATCCCTGACACTTAAAAGATTTCTGGGTGTGTAGTAGGTTTTCAAAAAATATTTGATGGCAAAATGATTGAGAATACAGCCTACCAGTCAATGTCTAATTAACTCAGAAGGAGAAGGTTTATCTCATTGGAATATCATCTTTATCTGTTAGGAACCATCTCTTCTAATTCATGTGAGATAAAAATAGTTCTCTGATTGGAGAATACCTGGCGAAGTGTGCTGAATCAGTCAAAAGGAATGAGTGTTCCAAAATGTGAATGCTAGTCAGTTTGTAATGAGTATCATTGAAAATCCCAAGTTAAAAAGTCAGATGCTTGTTTATCATGTTACTCAAAGCATCTTTAGTAAAATACCCAAACCTCTAAAATTATCAATTTCACCTAACCCTTTGTGAAGACTGTACATGTCCACTCAGGTCTGATGGTGTAGGAGAGGCGGGGCAGGAAACCCACACTTGAGAAGGGACTCTGAGGCTACTTGCTGCAATCTGTCCAGCAGAGGGCGGTGGTACACCTCTGCAAAGACCGAGGCCCACTCTGGGATACGCGAGGATGGTCAGAAAGATGCCTAAGGCCTGCCTGCAAGCGCAGAAAATTAAGAGCATTGGGGAAGGATTCTATGCAGGAAAGCTCTGAGGTCACTTGATACAAGCACAGTGCTATCGTGCACAAGCTGTGGTTTCCCAGTGAACAGTCTTAAGTCACTCAGAAATATATGAAGTCTCATAATTTTACTTTAACCTAAAATAAAACAAAAACAATAAATTATCGTTCCTGAGGGCCAATGCACTAACTACAAAGCTCATTTAAAAATGAAAAAAACACTAAATACTCAAAACCAAGACAAAACACAAATGTATAAAGTTTAAAGGAAAAATCCTAATCATTTTTTCTAGCTTCTGATGATATCGAACATGTTCAGTGCCTTAAAGTTTCCCAAAGTTACAGTGACATTCTTTTAAACATACAGGCTTTTTGAGATCTTTAGGATTCTACTAGTTTTGTGTTTTGTGGCAAACTCTTGTGGCACAGAGCAGTTAAGTGCTTTATTTAGGGACACATAGCTAGATGGAGTAGAGCCAGTTAGTTTGAAAACTAGTTTATTTCTGTCTGCACTCACCTATGGCACTCTCCAATTACATACCACATATTAAATAACATTATATTTATCATTAATGATTACCCATGCTTTAACTGAAGACAGGTATTTCTTACAAATAATAAGGTGATTTCACCAAGACTAAACTTGATAATCTGATTTGTGTCCTAAAATGTCAACTTGCCCTGTAAATAATAATTCAGAAAAAAAAAAAGAGTGAAGTGTTACTTTCCAAAGAGCAGGAAAATTCTGGGTGCAAGAAAGAAACATTATTTCTAGATATCATTAAGGATTTCTTTAGTACTTTCAGAAAGGACATAAAGCATCTTTAGAAAAGAGAAGATAATGGTGAAATGAGGGAGGTTCTGTGCTCACTAGTGACATTTAATTTTCTTTGCTGAGGATGAAGAGGAAGATGAGGTCTCTGGGGACAGCTCCTAACATGCTTGCAGCAGGGTGACATTGTTGAATGCTTTTTCTGACTTCCATTTTTTCAGGGTAGTGAGAGCTGTTTGGCTTCTCCCCCTGGAATCTGCAGTCATTTGCTACCCTACAGCAAAATCTGGGTGATCACAGTTAGGAAAAATGGGTTCTGTGACTTCACATTTACATTCTGCACTAGTGTTCATGGGCTCCATTATTAAAAAAAAAAAAAAAAGAAAGACCCTCAGGGGACCCCCTTTCTCTGGCCTTGAAAGCTACATGGCAAATCTATAGCAAAGCTATTTGAAGGGTATACGTACTTGTGAATGACATGTGGTCCGCTCACCATCAGGAACAGATCTTCTTCAAGCACAGTCCTCTAACGTGAGCTGCTTGGCTTGGCTATCCAGGAGTTCAACTGCATGTGCTGTTTGGATTTGTTTGTGTCCAAATATATGTTTAACAGTAACTAATTTTTTTTTAATTGAGACTTCGCAACGGCAATAAAGAAGATTACTTCAGAATGACCCATCTGTAATTTACAATAAACTATATTTAATTTATTCAATTATGCATATAAAGCATATCTATGCATACATGTATGAAATGCCCAGAAACCGTGCTCAGCTTTAACTAAAATGAGATCCCTGGGTCCCCTACTAATCTTTTCTACATTCTTTTTTTGTTTTGAGACGGAGTCTCACTCTGTTGCCTGGCTGGAGTGCAGTGGCACGATCTTGGCTCACTGCAACCTCCACCACCTGGTTTCAAGCGATTCTGCTGCCTCGGCCTCCAGAATAGCTGGGACTACAGGCACCTGCCACCACGCCTAGCTAATTTTTGTATTTTTAGTAGAGACAGGGTTTCACCACGTTGGCCAGGATGGTCTCGATATCTTGACCTTGGGATCTGCCCACCTCGGCCTCCCAAAGTGCTGAGATTACAGGTGTGAGCCACTGCCCCCAGCCCCTACTAATCTTTTCTAGCTATGCACAGCTTAGGGGGAAAGTATCTTCAGTTTTGACCCTGATCCTCTTACTGTGTCATTATTTGAATTTTTTTTTTTAATCATAGGTTGACTTCCCTCTGTGTTCTCTGTTTTTATGTGGATCTGCCTCAGTGTAGTCACTTCCTGAGTCAAGACAGATGTGCTAATTGGAAGAATTCTCAGTCTCTCTCTGTTTGCAACCATTTAGAGTTCAGACTTTAAAATACAGCCTTTGCAGCAGAATTTCCACAGCTTGTATTTCTGTTCTTATTTACTACTATACATAGCCCCGCAAGGGCTGGATATGTGAAACTGCTCCATTTCTGTAAATATGTCTATTGTAACTCTTGATTATATAATTCCTCTTCATCTCTACTATAGTAGCCCCTTCAAATTGGAATTCAGTATCCCTCTTATGTTTGCATGTAGCACACTATACTTGTCTTCTCACAGAACTCATCAAACTGTCTTCAAATTGTCTATTTATTATCTGTTTCCCATTAGATTGTAAGGTCTGGGGACAGGAACACTCCTATCTTTATTTGTTCATTCATGCAACCAGTGAGTTGTTTCCTCCTGCCTCCATGCCACTAGTATTTGTTGAGCATCTACTATGTGCTAGACGTGCGTGCACACACGCTCAAACACACTTAAGAGCACAGCAGACATTTTCCTTGCAATCATTATGTCATCATTGAGCTAATAGGCTAATGAGGCAGGCAGAGGTTAATCAAATAATCAAACAGACAACATGAATTATCATTAAATGTGATGAAAGAAGGAGAGGTACATGATACCATGAAATTAATACAAAAGTAGCTGGGTGTGCAGTAGGTGAAGTGAATTCTGAACTGAAACTTAAAAGATGACAGAGTTAACTAGAAGGCAAAGTGGGAAAATAGTATTGCAGGCTACAAAGCTGCAAGGCAGAAAGGGTAAGTTTGAGAAATGGAAAAACATTGTGGTTGGATAACAGACAGTGAAGAAGAGAGGGGTGGTAGATGAAGCTGAATAAACAGGTATGGAACAAATTACACAGGGCCTTGGCCGCCGTGTTAGGAGTGTTGGCTTCCATCTAAAGAGCCGGGGAAATCCAGTGGAGCGTTTTAAGCACGAGAATCACAAGACCCTGTATGTAATTGCTCTGACTCCTGTGCAGAAGATGGATTGGATAGGATCCGAGTGAATGTAGAGATTTACCAAGGTGGCTCCTACAGCAGTCCAGGCAATAGATGATATAGTTTAAACTGGGGTGGTGGGGGTAGAGAAGGGTAGAAATTGCCACATGGTAGGATGAAACTGGATTCATATAGCTTTCAGCAAAGTGAAGAAAATCTTTCCAGAAGTGACTGGTTATGAGTGCTGGACATTACTTAGAATTTTCCCACTGTGCCTTGTTCACAATTTTATCTCCAGCACCTGACACATGCAGGTTCTTGTGGTTAGTGCTTAGTACATTTTTTTTTTCAAGAAAAGACAGAGGAGAGTAAGAAAAGAAAGCAAAAAGGAAACGCATAATCTCACCAGGCTTTTAGTGAAAAGGAAAAAATCTCTGGAGAGTTTTCACCACCATTCAAAATTCAGAAATCTTTTGCTGGTGTTTGATAGAAAGTAGCTCTCAAATCGAGTGCAAAATTTGATTGTTTATTTGTTTATATAGTGGCTACTTCCAGTGCTGGGTTGACAAGGATGCTGAGGCCTGGCCTGGGCTTCATAGAACAGAGAGCTGTGCTCCTTTAACATTGTCTGCCATTGGCATGCAGCATAGAAGGGATGAAATAAATGCTACATTTTGTTGCTTCTACAGATTACACTATAGCTACTTCCTATGTTGCATCATAATGGAAACCCTCACTGAAGGTTTTGTCTGCTTACCTATTTTATATCTAGTTGTACTTGTGTTGTATGTGCTCAGATCACACACATTCATTAATACACACACATTTTGCTGTTGTTTTATTTTCACTAGAATTATCATTAGGAAAAAGAACATGGTAGTTCAGTCTATGGGAACAGATCTTCTTTTGACCTGAAATGTTGCACTCACTCTGTATAATGGATTCAAAAGACAAATAGTGCGCTCGTTATTTCCATGAGAAAAGGATAAATTGGGACAGATTTAAGGACCCGTAAAACTATCATGCTCCAAAATCACATTTCATGATTGAGATCACGTCTGCTTGTCCCACATCCATCCCCCACTATTGATCCACTGCCCCAATTTCCAGCAGCTTTGCTCTTTCCGCCATCTCAGTACCTGCCTCTCACGTGAGAACCTTCCACTTCACCAATGATCTGACTTTAACTCCTCTTCCTACAGTATACAGATACTGTAGAGATTCTCAGACTCATTCCATGGTGACTTCAAAGCTCCTCCTATAAAAACTGGAAACACTTTTTTCTTTTAATTCACCCTCTTTAATTTGTGTCTTCAGGGATCTCTAAAGAATTAAGTGTGTATTTAGCTCCCAAAAGTTCAGAAGTTCAGACTGCCATCTGAACCTTTGAGTATGTTCTATCAACATAGCTAACACACAGAGTTAATTTCCTCTGTCATCAGAGATGACATTAATTGCTCCCAAATTCCCACATGCAAGAAGACTAAGCGGGAGCATGCAAAGCTAATCCCCATCAGTCTCTAGATACCAAAACTCAACAGGAAATCCTAGGAGAAAAACATTAAGCCCTTGGCAGCTTAATTTACCCCACTGCAACAATGTTGAGGGTTAAATGATGATATTCCCAACAAGAACATGGTACCATACTGCTTCTGCCTAGTAATACATTGCTACTTCATGGCCCAGAATAATAAGTGTGCATGAATACTTATTTGATAAGAAACAGCAAAAAGTATATTGTGAAATAAAATAAAAAGAACTGTGTTAGTAACTTCTGGTGCTTATCCCAAGCTGGTTATCCTCATCTCCCTGGCACAAAGGGGAAATTATACTTTTCTGACTTTTAAATTAAGCTGGACTAAGCAACCTGTTCCTGGTAAAATTTTGTGAGAAGCAATGATATGTGTTGTGTTGTCACTTTCACTACTGTGAGAATGCTACTGTGAGCATTCTCTTTTCCTGCTGCATTGACTGAGAAAGTGCATGCTACAGTTGACACAGCTATAGCATGGTGGAAACTAGCTCATCTGGGACCACTGAGTGAATGCATGGACAACAGATACCCTGAAGAGTCACCAGAAACTCACAGCAGAATTTACATAAGCAAGAAATAAATATGGACTATGTTAAACCACTGAGGTTTGGGGTTTGCTACTTGATATAGTTTGGCTTCGTGTCCCCACCCAAATCTCACCTTGAATTATAGTAATTCTCCCATGTGTCAAGGGTAGGACCAGGTTGAGATCATTGAATCATGAGGGTGGTTTTTCCCATGCTGTTCTCATGATAGTGAGTGAGTTCTCACAAGATCTGATGGTTTTATAAGGGGTTTCCCCCTTCCCTAACCTCTCATTCTTCTCTCTCCTGCTGCCTTGTGAAGAAGGACGTGTTTGCTTCCCCTTCTGCCGTGACTGTAAGTTTCCTGAGGCCTCCCCAGCCCTGCAGAACTGTGAGTCAATTAAACCTTTCCTTTATAAACTACGCAGTTTCAGGTATGTCCTTAACAGTAGCATGAAAATGAACTAATACACTACTATAGTATACCTGGTCTACCCTGATTAATGCAGTGACCTTAGGGAAATTGTCAATTTTTTAAATCAAGGGCAATAGCACTACCAGGTTTTAGATGGTTACACTAAGGACTTTATGGGAAGCCAGAATAAATGATGATAACCTACATCTGTTATCTGGTCATGGCTTGGTTCTGTGTCAATGAGTTTAGGTTTGGAGTGAACTATCCCATGTGTCAGGGTGATCTTAAATATATTGCATTGATTTTTTAGTCAATTTTATTGAGGTATAATCCACATACAGTAAAATTCACCATTTTTTAAACATGTAGCTTTATAAATCTTGATGAATGTAGATATTTGTATAACTACTACTATCATCAAGATATACATAGAATATTTTCATCGCTCCAAAAATGTCCTCTATCCTTCTTTGTAACACAGCCTCTTCCCCCATCCCCAACTCCCTGACAATCACGTCTTGGATCTATGTCCCTTTAAATTTGCTTTTCTCAGATAATCATGTAACTGGAATCACATGGCATATAAGCTTTTGTGTCTGGCTTTCTTCAGTTAGCATGATGTTTTTGAGATTCATCCATGTTGTTGCATCAATTGTTCATCTAGTTTTGCTTTTGAGTAGCACTTTGTTTTATGGAATTATCACAATTTGTTTATCCATTCACTCCATCACTAATGATGAACATTTGTATTGTTTTCAGTTTGAGGCAATTATGAGTAAAAATGCTGTGAACATTCACATAGAGGTTTTTGTGAGGACATGGGTTTTCATTACTCTTGGGTAAATACTTAGATGAGCTATTGATTGATCATATGGTAAGTGTATACTTATTTTTCAAAATTATGTTTCAAAGTGATGGTAACATTTGCATTACTACTAGAAAAATGTATGAGTTCTAGATGTTCCACACCTTTACCAGTACTTTGTATTTTCAGCTTTTAAAGTTTTATCCACTCTCTAGTATAAGTGTGGTAATATCTTACTTTGATTTTAATTGGGATTCCCCTAATGACTCGTGGTATTGAGTATCTTTTCATGTGCTTACTTACCTCTTGGATTTCTTCCTTGGTGAGTTGTTTATTCAAGTTCTTTGTTAATTTTTTCATATTTGGTTTTGTGTCTTCTTTTATTATTCAGTTACAGATAGTCCAGATATTTTAGTTTATATGTTTTAAACATAACTCCCTTTTAATGTGTATAAAGTAAACACTGCATCATGTTTTAAATTCGACAAACTCAGCCAAATGGGAGAATATTGAAAGGCAGTGGTACAGTACAGGCCTGAGAAAGAATTGAAGATCATTTTACCCCTTTCCCTTCCCAGAGCCTTGGAAAGAAGAACCACGCAGAGAGACAACATATGTAACCTCATGCTTTTTATGTACAAGTGGTGGAATTTTTCCATTCTCCATTTTCTTTCTTCTCTATCTTCCTGTATCTTTGTCACCATGTTAAGGTAACATCCAGCCACATGCCCCAAATCTTCAATACGTTATGCCAATTCAGGGTGACTTAAAGATGCTTTGTAAATGCTCTTTTGCAAAAAAGTATGATTAAAGGATTTCAGCGTATTCTCTCACTGGGACATCTTATGTTATTCTGAAATGAAGAGTTTACTAAAATTATATTTGATCATGATGAATCTTTTTAAAACCACTTAAGGAAACAGGAAGAATTTCTTATATTCTGGAAATTTTGTCTGTGATAATAATTGTCATGGATTGTTGTCCTTAGAATCAAGGGGGTTCATCACAAAACAACTTTTTATGGTAATGAGGAAGCAGATCATTCAAGTTTGTTTTTCCTCCTCAAGAATTCTTTGTAAATGTGTTTGGAAAAGTTTGGTAGCCTTATTTTCTATATTAATTTTTGAATATTTAAAATAAATTGTTTCTAGGTTTGAAAATTATCACCTGCCTGAGGCAAATAACTAACTAAACAAAGGAGTTCTAATACTTGAATTGTAATTTCCCACATAATATACGTATTTTTGCTCAATCTCTCTTGGGTTAGGAAGAGCTGAACTCAGAAGTTTGTTTCCTTCTGTCATCAATAATATTTATAATAGTTCAATTACATTTCATCTATTATTTATGAGTATTGAGAGATAAAAAGATTTTTCCTACATTGGAGTAGATAAGTATGTCATGATTAAGAAATTAATCACTTAAGCACCAACTTAAAAATTGATTCAAAAAATATTGTGAATTAAAAAAATAAATACTGTGTGGTCAAGACTATCCCAGGGAAAGTATTCATTTTATGCAATTTGAATATCATCAGCCCCTTAGTGAAAACCTGCTTCTATGAGGGAGCATTACGTTGTTTTTCACCATGCTTGATTTATGTCACACAAAATAATCCTCCTCCTCTTTCTATTATCTGTCCAATGATAACTTTAAATTCTTTACTCTGGGCTAACCAAATTTTTATCTATTGTCATGTATTATTATGTAGTCTCAATATGACTTAATATATAATGGAAGTAAATATGATTGAAACAGAACTTGTAAAATGCAGCAGAAAGATATGGACCCCAAAGGCCATAAAGACAAACTAGGAGACTGAAAAGTGCAGCTTGCCAAAAGTCTTTGGAGTCAAATGTTTTATTTCTTAACGTGAAGTCTTTAGGGAATTGGATCAAATCAAATAAAAAGAGACATGAGAAAAGTGAAACAATCACAGAAATAATCATTTATTGAACATCTACTACATACTAGACTCTACTCTTCATGCTTTATGTGCATTAACTTGTAATCTTTACAGCAACTTAATGAGGTTGTTACTATTATTAGACCAATTTTACAGAGTAGAAAACCAAGGTCACACAGTTGATAACTGACAGAGTCACAATTGCATCCTAGCAGTTGAGCTACTAAGCCCATGGTTTTATTCAGTATGCTATGCTACCTCTCAATTCAGTTAATTAATAGCTCAAAAAGATCTTCTCTCATAATAAATTATTATAATTGTTATTTGAAATTAGTATTGTTAGCTATAACTGGAAAAAAATCTGATTTCTGTTTTCAAAGAATGTTTAGCTAATGGGTTATCTATAGATTGGATCTGTAAAATAATGCAATTTATTTTCTTAAAAGTAGCAACATTTATAAATCCAAATGCTTATTGTCCTTCTCAGAGCGGTTACCTTGGGAGACCTTATATTTATGTCAAAGAAGCTATCATTACTCAAAATATTTTTGCTTTGTCTTTTTAAATTGTCTTGGAAAACTGGGAATCTTAAAAATATTTCTGTTGGTAGTAACATTAAACTTTTATTTTATTTTATTATCATCTTATTTTTTAAATTAATTTATTTATTTTTGAAATGGAATCTCACTCTGTTGCCCAGGCTAGAGTTCAGTGGCATGATCTCCACTCACTGCAACCTCTGCCGCCTGGGTTCAAGCAATTCTCATGCCTCAGCCTCCCAAGTAGCTGGGATTACAGGTGCTCACCACCACGCCCAGCTAATTTTTGTATTTTTAATAGAGAGAGGGTTTCACCTTGTTGGCTAGGCTGGTCTTGAACTCCTGACCTCAAGTGATCCACCCACTTCAGCCTCCCAAAGTGTTGGGATTACAGGCTTGAGCCACTGTGCCCGGCCATATTAAACTTTTAAATGTGGATTTGAATGTTGGAAACAAGTTTTGTAGATAAAAATCCAGTTAACCAAAATTAGATGTAATTCTAAACAAAAATGAGTTCTTGTTGAGACTCAGGATGGCCTTTATTTCAGGTCTACAACATTTAAAATGGTTGGAGAATGGGGCAATGACAGTTTTGGAGTTTACTAAATTGTCTAGCTTACTAAGGTGTCTACAACCTTGAAGCAACAACTTTTGTTAGTGTAAGCTCTGATATGTTTTATTAAAACAGACAATATTAATAGCTCATAGATCTGTGCCTAATATCTTGCTTTAACTCATAAGTGGGTTGGATGTTTCTGAATTAATAACAGAACCATTGTTTGAGTGTTCCATGTTGATCCTAATGGCAATAAAGGTGAATGGTTGATATTTTTTCTCTTTGTATAAAGAAGTGGTTTTTCTGCAATTTTACTTCATTAATGGATATCACATATATTTCTCTGTCAAACCCTGTTATGAAGGAATTCAGTTTGCCTTTCTGGTCGAAAGGAGCAGATTTCTGCCCGTTTTTGAATAGCAGATAAGTAAATGGGAGAGCATGCACTAAGCCTGGTCCTTCATATCACTTGCTACGTGAGTAGAGACTGGGCCATTGAAAATTATGTATACCCTGGGAAAATGTTCCATTAACTCATTATTCTGAACCAAAATAAAATAAAACATTTTTATAATATTTTCAGTGCACAAGTTTTAGCCAAAGAAATCAAAGTTATGATTTAGATGAATTTTAGTGTTTCAGTGTAATTTCTAATAGTCTTATCTAGAAATGTTTGAAGTGGACCAGTGGTTTCCAACCAAGAACAATTTCCTGATCCAGGGACATTTGGGAATTTCTAGAGGCATGTTTTATTGACACAACTGGTGGAATGCTACTGGCACCTAGAGAGTAGAGGCGAGGGATGCTGTGAAACACAATACAATGAGCAGCAAATCCTCCCACAAGAAAGAATTATCAAGCCCCAAATGTCAGTCATGCTGTGACTGAAAAACTTTGGTCTAGAAGAACTACCAATGAAGACAATAATAATAAGTTAAAGCAATAACTTAAAATAAATAGACACAAAGTTAAGGTATGCAGAATATTTAAAATAAATGTTTAGAGCACCAAATGTAATACCACAAATTATTTACCTCTTCAAATCTAAAGATGAATCACTCACTGTAGTGAATGGAATGGTGGTTTCCACATAAGGTATGTCCACCTGGTACCTGGGAATGTGACCTTATTTGGAAAAGGGATCTTTGCAGAGATAATTAAGTCAAGGATCTCAAGATGAGATCATCTGGAATTATCCTAATTGGCCCTAAATTCAATGAAAAATGTCCTGATACATAGAAAGGGAGAAAACACAGGGGAGAGATCATACAAAGACAGAGGCAGAAATTGGAGTTATGTAACTACAAGCCAAGAATCTGAAATAGACAAGGAAGGATTCTCCCCCAGAGTCTTTGAAAAGTGCATGGTCCTGTTGACACCCTGATTTCAGACTCTCGCCTCCACAACTATAAAAGAATGATTTTCTGTAATCTTGAGCCACCAGTTTGTAATTCGTTATGACAGCCCTTGGAAACTAATACGCCTGCTAATTATCCCTGCTCAAAAGAACTCAGGGAAAAAAAAGAAAAAAAAAGTGAGAGAACACTTCAAGGGCATAGGAGGTTTGAAATAGTTGAAAGGATCAGGACGGACCTGTGTGAACCTTTAAGTTTGCCAACAGAATGGGTCAAAAGGTTCTAAGCCAAATCAGTCTCCCAGGGAACCCTCTACTGGACATAATGTTCAGCCAGCTTGAACTGGCTGTGAGGGATGAACTCTGTATAGCTACTTACCCAAAAGCCAAGACCAGAACCAAAATATATCTAAAAGGTCAAGTCCAGAGAGGTAAAGTTTGTTAGGACGTTTATCCCGTTTCATCTTGAATGTGAAGAACATAGTATAGTATGTAGCACACCTAAAGAGAAATAAGCCCTATCACGAGAGAAAACTTTGAGGATAACTCTTTACTTGTTTTTCTCCATTCAGAACATCAGAAACATGAATCTGGTATAGAAGGCTTTCCAAATCCAAGGTTCATTCATTCAGCAAATATTCACTGGGTCTGTTGTTCTAGATATCTGTCCATCGAATCCTGACAGCAGATTCTTCAGCTCCAGTCTTTATGAAGAGGACAAATGGATTTGTTAGTAGTGACTGATTCACAATTTACCATAATTTCTTGGACATGATACAGGCAAATATGGGCATCAGGGTTTGACTTTCCACTTTCTCTGGGGTAAGAAGCGGGTAGCAATCTTTAATCAGCATTTTTGTAGGGAACAGCAACAGCATTTTTTAAAATTATTCTTTGCCTTACAAAGTCTGCCTTGGAATGTGTGTGTGTGTGTGTGTGTGTGTGTGTGTGTGTGTGTTTAAAGACCTTATTGCTAATTAGACTTAGTATTCATATGCATTTATTCCAAAGGCAGTTTTTAATTATTTATAGTTTTACTTGATTTTTATGGAGGATTTGTTTTTCTTAACCATTTCTTAGAGTACTGTGTGAGGCTGTGTGATACTCATTGCTACATATACTTCATTGCATGGCTGTAGGCTCAGCATTCACATCTCTGGAGTAGTGTGGAAAGGGTTCTTTAAATCCCCTTTGGTAGCAAAAGTCACTCCCTGCTCAGAATGTAATTAACAAGCAGATTCACTGTTGGTTAGAAACTTGGGTGCCATGTTTCCTGTGTAACATCATTAACTGTCTCCTGACCAGTGGCATATCAGCCTTCTCAGTTTAGTGGTGACTTGGGCAGGAACAGCACCGTATAGTCACTTCATAGCTGAAGATTTTCATGTGGGATACAAAAAGATGATTATGTCTAAGGAGTGACATAGAGGCTTGTGATTTAGGAAGGCTTCGCTATCTTTCTTGACATCTTCTTTCAAATATTAGGAATTTATTCCATTATTTCTAGTTTTTAAAAACACATTGGTCTAGATATTTAAAAAATCAAAACAAAGTTTTAAAACTTTTCCTAAAGTTATTTATTAGGCTTACAGACTTACCGCCTCTTACAGTTGAGTATCTTAGGCTTGATGCCCAAGGGATGTTTTTCTTTTATAAGTTGAAAGTTGTCCGTATTCACTATTAAATTTAAATTTTCCAGGGATTAATCATTTATTTGTCACTTTTTCTGTCTTTTTCCTGCTGCCTGCTTTGGACTTACTTTTTTTTCTCTCTCTCTCTCTCTCTCTGTGTGTGTGTGTGTGTGTGTGTGTGTGTGTGTGTGTGTTTCCTCGGCATTACCTTCAAGGAGTAGAGAAATAACGAGATGAAAGACAAATCAGGTAACTTTACCATTCTATTTAACTTTTTACAGATGTGGAAAAGGAACCAAATTCAATGGGTAAAGTACAAATTTATCTCTGCATTAAGTTACCAATGCTTAGCCCTGTTCGTCGATACTGATACCCAGGTTGATTGTAGTGAAAAATGTCCTCATGTGCATTTTAATTTTGAGTAGCTGCTTTTTAGGGTTAAGGGGCTCTGCTGGCAGGCCCTGGTGCATTTGTGGGCAAAGGCAACACTGTTTTCCCGCTTTGAGAATCCCGTCCAAGTTACTAAAATGTGCTTTGAAATCATTTATAAAACATAAATAACAGATGGTGAATCATCCTATTCAGTATTGTCACGTATCTCTGCCATGATATCCACTGTTCAGCAACTCATATATTTCTTTCTGATTAAATAGTCATAGTTTTTTTTATTTTTTTTATGTTTTTTATTTTTTATTTATTTACTTTTTTACAGAGTCTTGCTCTATTGCTCAGGCTAAAGTGCAGTGGCATGATCTCAGCTCATTGCAACCTCTGCCTCCTGGGTTCAAGCAATTCTCCTGCCTCAGCCTCCCGAGTAGCTGGGATTACAGGTGCACACCACCACGCCCAGCTAAGTTTTATATTTTTAGTAGAGATGGGGTTTCACCATATTGGCCAGGCTGGTCTCGAACTCCTGACCTCGCGATCCACCTGCCTCGGCCTCTTAAAGTGCTGGGATTACAGGCATGAGCCACTGCACCTGACCTAAAATTCTACTCCTTTTCTACTTGTAAATGGAATCCAGTCATTTCTCTTTCTTCTGAATGAATTGGTTTAATCTTCGTTTGTGTTGAAAAAGAGTAGAACTTAAGACCATATTCAATCCTTCTATGTAGCACTGAGAAGGGGGGGTCTTTAAGGAAATTGGTTACAAGGAAAGTAGAGCTTTGGTGTTTTTCACATTTTTATTTATTTGCAAAGATGCACATGCCTTAAAGCTTTATAAAGATGCCATATAAAGTAATACATATAGGGGTCTCTCATTTCTTCCTCTAGAACTTGTACATGGTCTTATTCTACAGCCAATATTTTACAGATTGCATTTTACCTCTGTAGTGCAACTCTGAGAGCCGTGTCCCATATCTTTAGCCCATGATCCTCAATTAACAGATACAGCCAGATTTTCAAATAAATGACTAAAAGTAAGAGAATTCTCAAAATTTCTTATACTCATTCCTTTAAGCCAAAACTTTAAAAGATGCTAACCATTTCAAAAGACACTTTGCCAGAATAAATCATATTCCTCTGTGCTTTTAAAAACAGAGAATGCAATCTTAATTCTAATTTGTATTGTGGACTTAGAGTAGACTTTTATCCTAGTCAAAGGGCAAAGCAGACCACAGTGGCGCACTGCTCCTGGGAGACAGAGGTGTGGAGAATTCCATGTCTAGATGCCCATAGAAACACCATGCATTTTGACTTTCATTCCATACTCAACAAATATTTATTGGGCATTGGTGTGCTAGAGATTATGCTGATAACTAAGGCTACAATGCTACAAAGGTACTAACTCTGCTCTCAAAAAGTTTACAAGTCAGCAGAGGACAAAGACAAATAAATGTCTGGCATATAATTACCATTTGGGAAATGCTTCTAATAGAGGTGTGAACAGAGCTCTCCTGAGAGAATCAAGAAATAATTTTTAAATTTTCTTTAATTGAAAATATCTGTGTTGCCTCTTCTGATCATAAACATGCATGTAAAAAGTTTAGCTAATATTTAAAAAGTGTAAGAAGAAAATAAGACCACTTGTAAGCTCATTACTAAAAAATAACCACAAATTCCATTTTGGTACATTTCTTCCAAATTTTTATGGGAATTGCTGCATATAGTGGAGTGCATGTGTGTGTTTGTGTGTGTATATGTGTGCATGTGTTTTTACCAGATCGTCTGCCACAAGGCTGACCCCTAGTCTACATAGCCATCCTGCCCACTTTGCAATTTCCTGCTTTCTATCTCTGTTGGGTGGGAAATCAGACAACCAAACTTGTTTGGATGGTGTCTGAAAGAAGAGCAAATTACACTGAGTGCAAGTCTGAGGGCCTCTTCTCAGAGAAAAGAGCATGAGCTTTAGCACATGGTTTCTATTTTGAATCCTCAGAGGCCTTTTTTTCCCTTGCTTCCTGGGTTTCAGCTGTGTTCCTGGTACTTGAGGTTACTGGAGAGATGACCTCTCCATAAGCGAGCCGCTTTTTTCTAAATGTAGTTCCTGACTTTTAGAAACTAATGAGAATTTGGCAATGCCTGGCTATCAATAGCTTGTCACTATTAAGCAGTGAGCAAAAGCAGCCTCAATTTTAAGCCTCTACTTTCCCCCAGGAGAAGCCTGCCAATCTGTGCATAAAAGACATGTGGCAATTGGAACCCAATGCTAGTTATATTTGTCCTGTGTGATCCTTCATCTAGGGTTACCAGATAAAATATAGGACACCCAGTTAAATATGAATTTAAATAAACAATGGGTGATTTTAAAATATAAGTATGTCTCATGCAGTATTTGAGACATCCTTGTACAAAAAACTGTGCCTTGTTTTATCTGAAGTTCAAATGTATTCAAGTGTTCTGTATTTTTATTTACAAAACCTGATGATTTTACCCCATCTTTTCCAGGTACCAAATCACCATAATCAAACTCTTCTCCTCCCTCTTTTACTTCTTTTCTCCTTACTCACAAGGCTGGCCAGAGAGGCTCAGTTCAGTTGAATAGGATTTGCTTCTTACTTGGCTGTGATTCAAACAGTTTAAACAGAAGGCATGTTTGGTAATGGAATAATCTAGTTTAAATAAATGAAATATCTTAACATGAATGCAGAATCTCATTCAAAGACAATTAAATTGAGGTCAAATACGTATGTGTGTATAGATAGATAGAACCATTATGATTTTATAAGGAAAAGTTATTTCCAACTTAAGTTCATAATCTAAATCATAAGGATTTGAACAGAAAGATTTGGAAGGTTCCAATAAAGGTTAAGTTTCAAAATCATGGGGAAAGTTACCTAGAAAATAACTTTTCTCAATGCTTTTTTAATGATTCTAAAATCGTAGTCAAGGGAATTTATCTATTAATTCCTTTAAAGCTACTGCTAGCACTAAGCCAAGTGCATTGAGATGATTGATCTACATTTCTTCCCCATGATGACAATGATTATGCTGCTTTTTAGGAAATACCTGTATAGAATTGGAGAATTTAGAGTTTTTCTGCCTATTAAATGTATAAAATTCTGAGTTATTCTCTTATCTTAAAGTCAAAGAAGGCATAGTTAACGGTTTGTCCTGGATTAGAATTTGACCTCTGATCCTTACTTTTCAGACTGTACAGAAATCCCTTAAATGCTCTGATCTCCAGTTCCAGTATCTGAACAAAAGGATAGTGATACCTGAGGATTTGTGAGGCTTAAATGAGGTAACATATGCAAAAATATCTGGCCTGGCATAGTGGTTACCCAATAAATGTCATTGTAGTTCTTTTGGGATGTAATTGCTATTAGACACTAAGATATCTGGCAATTAAAGAGACATACATGTGAGCAGTTGATTCCTGCTTCTTGTGGTAAATCCTGGACTACATCACTCACATGTTCCTATCTTTCTGCATTTTCTTCTACATATCATAAGGCATGTTAAGTTACTCTGCAGGCCTTAATCTTATAATGTTCCTTTCACCTCTTGCCAAATTCCCAAAGCCATATGTAGAGGATGGCTTTCTCTTCAGTCTCTAACCTCTTAAGTTACCTGATAGCTAATAAACAGAGATCTTGCATCCATGACACTGATATTTTGCATACATTTATCTTTCCTCTGAAAAACAGGTACTACTTATTTTCCTCCATTCTTGGTAAAGAAAAAGTGCTATAACCTGATATCACCTAAAAATAAAGTTTGGCCAATACTACACAGGTTTCATGTAAGTTCATCATCAATGAAAGATAAAATGACTAAATTAAACAAAATGTCCTATAAGTGTTAAATAAAAGATATGTATTCGCATGGATTGAAACATAGTAGAAACAATTATTTTAAACAAAAAAAATGCAGTTCAAAAATGTTACAAAGGTAACCCATTGCTTTATTTGGAAAATTCTGGCGTTATATTGGAGTAACATCAAATTACTATTTTAAAACTAATATTTTAAAATATATTTTATTTTTATTATTATTTAAAATAATATTTTAAAATATATATAAATATAATTATATAGCTTTCAATTTGAAATAAAGAAAGACAAAATAGGTAGATCTACAACAGGACTTTTTGCTGTTGTTTGAGTTTGTCTTCGCCAAAACTCATGTTGAAATTTCATCCCTAATGTGGCAGTGTTGGGAGGTGAAACCTTATGGGTGGTGTTTTGGTCACGGGGGCAAATTTCTCATGAATGGTTTGGTGCTGTTCTCACGTTAGTGAATGAGTTCTTGCTTTGGCCAGACTGGATTAGTTCCTGTGGGAATGAATTAGTTCCTGTGAGAGTGGGTTGCTGAAAAAGCAAAGATGTCCCTTGGGTTTTCCTTCTTTGCACGTGTTTGCTTCCACTTTGACCTACACCATGTTATGATTTAGCACCAAAACCCTCACTAGAAGCCAGGGCCATGCTTTTGAACTTCTCAGCCTGCAAAACTGTGAACTAACTAAACCTGTTTTCGTTATAAATTATCCAGACTCAGGTACTCTGTTATAGCAACACAAAATGGATGAAGACACTAAGCTTCCCAGCAACCACTTCTTCCCTGCAATTCAGAGACCATCTGAGATGTACTGTACAGTGAACAGTAGTATCTATCACTGAAGTTCTCACCAGCATGTCTATGCTATTTGAGTGTTCTCAAATCATGGACCTAAACTTTACAAAGTGTCTCGTGCATTTTGCTTCATATTTACTTTTAAAAT